>NC_000023.11:11512488-12137488 GCF_000001405.40 Homo sapiens | reverse complement strand
AAGAACAGAGAGCACCCCCAGAAATGTTGGAAGATCCAGCCAGTGTTCCAGTCTAGCTCTCCGAGGGGATTAAGAAAGAAATAGGTTTAAAGTTCCCACACTTCTGCTCCTCTCCTGGTCTGTTGTTATATTTAAAGTCTTCAGTATTCAAGCCTAGTACTAAAGCGTTTTTTTTAAGCATTTATTTCAAAAACTGAACATAAAATAAATAGCAATCTGCAAAATCTAAATGACTTAAAACTCAGGCATAAAATTACATGTTTTTGAATACATAGTTATCAGTTTTCCTGCAGCTTCTATTAAACAGGCTAGTTTAATTGCATGAACGCAGTTACTACTCAAGGATCGGAAGGGGCGAGAGGGACCTTGGCTTTTGAACTCTATTGTTTGTAAAATAATTATAGTTTGGGTCTGCACTGTGCTTTATAATTTTTAAAGCTTTTTTTTGCATTGGAGTCTCATCGCAACCTTTTCATATAAGGCAATATATTTAGAAATCTTTTATTTTTATGCCATAATCTATTCTCAACATACCAGACAAAAAGATGTTTTGTGTGTGTGTATGTGTGTGTGTGTGTGTGTGTGTGTGTGTGTGTGTTTTAACGTAGATCACATAAGGCTACTTGTCTGATCTAAAATATGTAAAAGCTCCCCATTGTCCGTCAAGCTAAAGTTGCGCTCCTGCAAGGGCCAACAGGACCCTAGATCCCGTATCCTTTGATCTTTCTTACCTCAACTATTACTGCCCACTTCCCTCTCCCGTTTTTCTCTGTCCCTCCTCATCCCCTACCCCGAGCCCCTCCTCTCTCACACACATACACTCACTGGGCTCCAGCAATTCTGGACTTCTTGCTATCCTTCAAACTCTACAGGTAATCTTCCCACCTTAGGCTCTTTGCAATGGTTGTTCCCTCAGCCTGGAATGCTCTTTCCTGGGATATCTGCATGGCCGGCTTCTCCACCCTGTCAAATGTATGCACCAATACCACTTCCAAAATGCCCCCTCTAGAAAGCCAATTTAAAATTGCAAAAGGTTCTCACACCCTGGACTCCGAGTCCCTATTAACTGTTTTATTCTTTTTTCTTGTTTCCATAGCATTTATCACCCACTAGCACACTATATAATTTATTTTTATCTTTAGGATTTCTTTTTTTTTTTTTTGGTCTGAATCTCCCACTGGAGCTCCACAAGGGCTGGGATCTTTGTTTTGTTTTGCTTTTGTTTTTCACTGATGGATCTCAAATGCCTAGACCACTTCCCCAGATGTAGAAAGAACTTAAGAAATATTTGTTGAACGAACAAATCATATGCCCATTGGATTCACAGCCAAACCAAAGCTGGCCAAGCATCCCCAGTGAGTACTGATCTGTGTATGACTTCGTGGCTTACATCTGTCTCTTTCCCCACCCATCCACTTCCCCAGCATCCTTCAACCTCCTTTGGACTGACTGTTAATGATGGCAACAAAGGCCTTCTTACATTCTCCAGTTATTTTCCCCCTTCACCTTTTCTACCTTTCCCCCAAAAGAGTGGCCACCGACACGTTCCCTCATCTCTGAGTCAACATCTGGCAGCACAAGACCAGCTCGTGATTGGGAAAAGGGGATAAAACAGTGCCTTTGGAGAATGTGTTTTGAAAAAGTGCTTCCTTCTGAGAAGAGAACAGTTGGGATGCTCTTTTTAAAAGGATTACCCTATTTATCAATAATTATTCCAGATACCAAATATCTAATTATTCAACAGTGAAAGTGACAGGAAATAGACATTGTGTTTACTTCTAGAGAGACAGCCTCCCTTGGAGACATCTGGTCTACCTGGAACAGCTTGCTGTTGGCCTTCTCCCTGTGCCAATTTGTGCGCTACGGTTATGAATGATGCAGATGCCATCTCTCCACAGCATAATAGCTACCAAGGGAAATGACTGACTTCTACAGGTCTTTACACACCTCTCATATAGTAATTATCTAGTATGTTTTCTAATGGATTGATATTGTTTTCTAAAGCAAAGAGATTCCACCCCTCCTCCTTTGTTTCTCATTAATACAACAATGGAAAAAGCTGCTCCCTTGAAACATGCTAACACAGAGTGTTTATATCTTTAAGCCATCTTGGCAGAAGGGCAGAGATTGGAGTAGTTGGTCTCTCAGCTCTGTCCCCTCTCTGTGCCAGGTGTGTGCTGCAGAGGTTAGGATAGGTTTGTCTAGCATGAACTAGATCTGCCTAAAACAAATAAAAGCCAAAAAAGTGGGATCCTGAGTACATATGTGGTTTTCTGAAGTTTTCTTATTAACCTGGATGATCTCTAAGGCCCCTTCTGGATCTTGTAGGGATTTACTAGTTGGAAACTGTATTATCCAACCTTGAGAATCTACTTAATTTGCTTTACTTAGGTTCAAGTGACATTTGGTCATTTCTGAAAACCAGACACACTTTCAAACACTGTTGAAAGTACTCATGAATAAAAGACTCAGGGTCACCAGATCCAGAGCAAGTCCTATAACTTCTCTGAGACTCAGTTTCCTCAGCTGTAAAATGGAAATAATACATCTTTACCTTACACAAAATGAGCACTTGAAGTTGGCACCAGTTTACAGTTGGCTACATATGAGTTGAGGCACATGAATATTAGCTCTAGAAGGATTTCCACAGCTGTCTGCAGCCTTGGCAGTACTGGTAGGAAAAGTTTCAGCCTGTAAGATGACTATTTAGGAGGCCCAACATTCGCTTGGATTAATCAGAGGTAGGCACTTTTGCCTAAAAATCAAACACTTTGTTGCCTGGGCAGTTACTAAAGCCCTAGGCTGTAGCATTTTTTATGCCCCGGGGGATTCTCAGGGGGAAGTGTGAGGAGCTTCATCATTCTTAAGGCCTTATCTAAAGCTGGTGTTAGGAATCTGCTATTGGGCCAGATGTTCCATATAGGTTGGCAGCTGAGGGTTCTTTCGCTGCAAGTTACAATAGAGAGAGCCCCAAGCATTTCTCAGCTGGACTGAAGCATCTCGACCATCTGGTCTCAGTCCTGAAAACAGAAGTAAATAAATAACAGCAAGGTATCCATTCAATCAGCAAATATTTATGGAGTGTCTCCCATGTACCAGGCACCACTGTAGGCACTGGGAAATAGACTAGGCAACAAGGCAAGTTTCTGTTCTCATAGAACTTATGAAGAGGAGGTAGATGATAAACAACAAAATCAGAAATTGTAGTGAACAAGAAAATAGCAGATAGCAATGTGCAGAGAATTAAAATTCTTCTGATGGAAAGGGAGTGGCTAGGTGGCTATTTGTTATTCAGTGGTTCAGGAAGACTTCTATAAGGAGGTGACATTTAAACTGAGATATGAAGAACAAGAAGGAGGCTGCCACACAAAATTCATATGGAAGAGCATTCCATGCAGACGGAACGGCAAGGATAAAACAAGGATGGAGTCCTTGAGGCAGGAACGATGATTGTATGTTTGAAGAATCCGAAGGCAGCCACTGTGACTGAAGAGTAACGCGTTAAATGAAGTGAGAGTGAGCGAATTTGCAGGGGCAAGAAGGGTGAGATCACATGGGGCACAGTAGGCCAGTGTCAGCTGTCTGGCTGGTATGAGACGGGAAGCCATGTGAGGATTTTTAGCATGGAAGTGGCCAAATCTGACTTATGTTTTGAATGACCACTCTTGAGGGAAGTGAGTGTGAGGGCAGGGAAACTACTGATTTAGGAGCCTGTTGCAAGAATCCAGGCAAGAGCTGGCAGCAGCTCAGAGAGGACATGACAAGGAGGTGGTGAAAAGTAGCCAGGCTCAGGATATGTTTTGAATAGGAACAGTTGATGGGTTAGATGTAGGAGGTGGGGAAAGAGAGGAATAAGGGAAAACTCATTTATTTGTATTATTTACGAAATACCCTAGTTCGGTCAGGCGTGGTGGCTCACGCCTGTAATCCCAACAGTTTGGGAGGCTGAGGTGGGAGGATCACTTGAGCCCAGGAGGTTGAGGCTGCATTGAGCTCTGATCATGCTACTGCACTCCAGCCTGGGGAACAGAGTGAGACCGTATATGAAAAAAATAAAGAAAAGAAATGCCCTGGTTCCCTTATCTAGATATAGAACATACAAAAACCAGAAGGGTTTCGCTGGGTGCAGTAGCTCAGGCCTGAAATCCCAACACTTTGGAAGGCTGAAGTAGGAAAATTGCTTGTGGCCAGGAGTTCGAGACCAGCCTGGGTAACATAGTGAGACCCCATCTCTAAAAAATAAAATAAAATAAAATAAAATAAAATAAAATAAAATAAATTTTTAGAAACCAGAAGGGTTTTACCTCCCACTGGCTAAAGTACTCTGCCTTTCCTCCTGTTCCTTTTAATGAACTCCACTGCTCTGAAAGCTGGCCCTCCTGTGATTCTCCTCTCTCTTGCCTGCTCAAGGCCCTTAATCTAGCACTTACTGTCTCTTTTTCCTATATCAGTATTTTTTTTAATCAAACTGTTGGACCATTCCCATGTGCATTCAAACATGATGCTCTTTATCCAACCTTTAAAATATTTCTTAATTCCCACCACATCTCCTGTCAGCTAAATCCCATTTTTCTGCTTGCCTTTATAGCATATCTTCTCCCAAAAGTTCTCCATTTGCTATCTCCTACTGTATCTTGAATCTATTCCATCCATGTTTTCTTTTTACCCTTACAATCACCCTACATTAAAACTGTTCTTGTCATTGTAACTAGGGACTCCACGTAGCTGGATCCAACAGCCATTGCTCAGTCCTTATTGACACAGCTGACCATTCCCTCTTCCTTGAAACATTTTCTTCACATGTCTTAGGTGACAACACACTCTCCTGGTTTTCTTCTTTCCTTGCTGTTTGCGTCTTCTCAATGTCTTTTTTATTACTCATCTGTCACTGTATCTCATCTTGCCAACCTTGAATCGTTGAGATGGCCCAGGGTTGAGCTAGAATTTCTTCTCTTTGAGTATCTATGCTTACTTCCTAAGTGACAACATTGAGTTTTATGATGCTTAATGTTATCTATATGCTGACAAATCCCACATTTCTATCCCTGGCCTAGATCCCTCAACTCCAGACCACCCACTCAACATCTCCATCTAGTGACTAACAGGCACCTTGAAGTTAACATAGCCTAAAACTAATTCCCATAGAGAAGACTCCTGCCTACAGTCTTTTCCATCTCTGGTAATGCCAATTTCATCCTTTTAGTTGCTTAGCTCCAAAATCCAGGGGCCACTTTTAACTTTTTTTTTTTCCCTCCTAAACCTCACCTGAAACCGATCATCAAATCATTCAGATCTACCTCCAAAATAGATCCACATTATTTATATATCCTCCCAACTCCACCACAACCACTTACATCCAAGCCTCCATTGTCTCTCTCCTGGATAATTGCGATGGCCTACTAGCTGCTCTCCTTGCTTCCCTCATTGTCCCTTCCTTTGTTACTTTTCACCTTGTGTGCATGTGTTAATATTCTATAGTCTGGGAGAGGGACTGGGGGTTGGAAAGCCAGAGAAGTTGGTTTTAAAGATTATTGTTTTCATCAGTATTCAACAAAAAGATGAATCATTATTGTACATTTGTAAGTTTTGAGTTTTCTAAACGTTTTTGTTCCTTTATACCTGGAAATAACCCTGTAAGTTAGAGAAAAAAGTTATTATTATCCCATTTTAGGGATGACAAAAGGTGAGACCAGAAAAGCTAAGTGATGACAATAATTCTTACTAAATATGAGGATTATTATAGGAAGCATTGTTTCCTGAGGATTCATCTAGCATCATAAGGGGAACTTTTGAATATAGATTTGTGGGATAAAAATGTCTCAAATTCTACCAATATAATTCAGTTTTTTTTTCTCTCATATTTGATTGCCCTAAAGGATATTCAAAAATTTTAAATGCTATATGGGGCATAAGAAAGAACAACAGAAAGGCACCAGGATTTCTTGGTACCATTCCCAAATCTGTAAATATAAGTGACCCTTAAGAAATCATTCAACTTTTCTTAGTGTTGTCTTCCTCATTTGTAAGCTTTATAGGTTAAAATAAATGTGCATGTCCTGTTCTCGTTTCCTTCCCCTTCTGATGCAATGCAGATACACAAGTGAATCTTCCTAAGGGCCAAGAGATGTATAATATTTTGAGATTCCATCTACATTGGTAATTCTGTAATCAAGAAGACTAGGTTCTACAGGAACAAATCCAATATCAGAAACTTTTACCAGATAACTGTATATCTATAAAATACACAATGATTAGCTCAGCCCCCTAGCAGCTGACCTTTATTCAAGGTTAAGAACCACGTTTGCTATATGGGCCTTCCCCTGGGCCTTATTAGGTCACTTAACTTCCTTTCTTTCTTTAACCCCACCCTCTCTCACCCGTTTTGCTCAGGCACATACCAAAAGTCTGCCAATGTAGGATTATAATTACTGCTTTCCCACTGAATCTCCTCTTGTCTGATGAGGTATGGAGAGGCACGGGGAGGAGGTCATTTAAAAGATTCTGCCAGTGTATAATTTTCAGACTATGAATTCTTAATGTGACATACCCTGTAACAATATTTTGAATTCTTATGCAACATTCAAATAACCGACAAAGCCTCATATTTGTCTGAGACATATTTTAATATTTCAAACTCATTTTAAACCTCTCAGATCCCGAATCACTTTTATGCTGTCTTTCTGACATAATGTTCCTTCACCTTGGCCCCCTGACTAGACAAAAACTAATCAAATCACGTTGAATAACAGCACTTCTGCTTGATGGATAAATTGCTCTAGCCTTGAAGACTATTATGAGGGTGAACTTTAAGGAAGATGTATGTACAAAAATGGCAGACTTGAGACCAGTTATTCCAAGTTTTTGAAGTCTCATTCATAAATTTATTATTTTACTTATTAATTCATTCAATTAATATTTATTGAACATCTACCATACACCATCTACTATATACTAGGCATTGTGGAGAGGGAATCAAGATAAAGACTTGACTCCTGTCCTCAAGGGCTGTAGCAGACATTGGTGCCTACTCTTTTCATGTGGAAATGAAGTTCCTTCTCAAGACCACCTGAGGACCCACCTCCCATCCAGCATCCAGTACTTCCCTCCCTCCTCCCTGCTTCCTGTCTCTAAATGAGGTCATCAAGCCTTAAGCTACATCTATCATCTTGCAACCATGAGGTAATAGGCATGAAAATCAAAAGTCAAGATGTTGAGAACAGTGGGGTAGAGGCCAGAGAGGCTTGGCCCTGGAAGATATTGTCAAGTCATAGAACCAACTTAGAATTTTGGCCTTCAAATTTTCATTTTATGAGACAATTAAATCTCTGTCCCCACCCCCTTACGCCTCCACCTTCTCTCTCTCTCTCTCTCTCTCTCTCTCTCTCTTCCGCTGGCTCCCTTTTTCCATTTAAGCCAAAGATAACCAAGTATTTTGTTACTTGCAGCTGAATGCATGCCTAATTGATGCAGAGGGTTAACAATTAGTTGTGGGAGGATGGCATAAAATTATTGCTTAAAGACCTATAAAGAGATTTAATAAGGCAACTATATAAATAAATAGAGTATAAGATAGATAATCATTATGATGCCCCACATTGGTATAATGCTTTAAAGTTTAGAAAGGTTTCTGCACATGTCATCTCAGGCTTTACAACAATCCTATGGGGCAGGAATTATTGCCTCCAATTTACAAATAATAATCCTGAGGTCCTAGGAAGTTAAATGATTAGAGACCACACAGCCAGAAAACTGGAAGTAGAAGTCCTCAAACACATGTATCCTAATTTCCAATTTACTGAGTTTTCAACGATAGCAGAGCTACCTCACTCAGCACAATGTCCATGGGTCTGAGCAAACTATGAGAGGTGGAGATAAGAGGATGGGTAGCCGTGAATGTTGTTCAAAGGAGGGAGGTATATGGGGCTGGGAAACAGGAGAAATCTCCCGAAGAAGGAGAGCTGATATAGTTTGGCTGTGTTCCCACCCAAATCTAATCTTGAATTGTAGTTATCATAATCCTGTGTCATGGGAGGGACCTGGTGGGAGGTGATTGAATCATGGGGGCAGTTACCCCCATGCTGTTCTCGTGATAGTGAATTCTCATGAGCTCTGATGGTCTTATAAGGGGTTTTTCCCCTTTGCTTGGCACTTCTCTCTCCTGCTGCCTTGTGAAGAAGGATTGTTTGCTTCCCCTTCTGCCATGATTGTAAGTTTCCTGAGGCCTCCCCAACCATGCAGAATTGTAAGTCAATTAAACCTCTTTTCTTTATAAATTACCCAGTCTTGGGTATTTCTTCATAGCCACATGAGAATGGACTAATACAGTAAACTGGTACCACAGATAGTAGGGTGCTGCTATAAAGATACCTGGAAATGTGGAAGCGACTTTGGAACTGGGCAACAGGCAGAGGTTGGAACAGTTTGGAGGGCTCAGAAGAAGACAGGAAGATGTAGGAAAGTTTGGAACTTCCTAGAGACTTGTTGAATGGCTTTGACCAAAATGCTGATAGTGATACGGACAATGAAGTCCAGGCTGAGGTAGTCTCAGATGGAGATGAGGAACTTGTTGGGAACTGGAATAAAGGCGACTCTTGCTATGCTATAGCAAAGAAACTGGCAGCATTTTGCCCCTGTCCTAGAGATCTGTGGAACTTTGACATTGAAAGAGATGATTTAGGGTATCTGGCAGAAGAAATTTCTAAGCAGCAAGGAATTCAAGAGGTGACTTGGGTGCTCTCAAAAGCTTTCAGTTTCATGCATTCACAAACACATAATTTGGAATTGGGATTTATGTTTAAAAGGGAAGCAGAGCATTTGCACCCTGACAATGTGATAGAAAAGCAAAACCTATTTTCTGCAGAGAAATTCAAGCCCACTGCAGAAATTTACATAAGTAATGAGGAGCTGAATGTTAATCACCAAAACAATGGGGAAATTGTCTCCAGGGCATGTCAGAGACCTTCATGGTAGCTTCTTCCATGATAGGTCCAAAGGCCTAGGATGGAAAAATGGTTTTTTGGGTAGGACCCCAGGCCCCTCTGCTCTGTGCAGACTCCGGACATGGTGCCCTGCATCCCAGCTGCTTCAGCTCCAGCCATAGCTAAAAGGGGTCAAGGTATAGCTCAGGCCATTACTTCAGAGGGTGCAAGCCCCAAGCCTTGGCAGTTTACATGTGGTGTTGAGCCTGTGGGTACACAGAAGTCAAAAACTGAGGTTTGGGAACTTCTACCTAGATTTCAGAGGACATATGGAAATGCCAGGATGTCCAGGCAGAAGTTTGCTGCATGGGCGGAGCCCTCATGGAGAACCACTGCTACGGCAGTGTGGAAGGGAAATGTGGGGTTGGAGCTGTGAGAAGAAGGCCACCATCCTCCAGAACCCAGAATGGTAGCTCCACCGACAGCTTGCACTGTGCACCTGGAAATGCCTCAGACACTCAATGCCAGCCTGTGGAAACAGCTGGGAGGTGGCTGTGCCTTGCAAAGCCACAGGGGTGGAGCTGCCCAAGGTCTTGTGAGCCCACATCTTGCATTGGCATGACCTGGATATGAGACATGGCATCAAAGGAGATCATTTTGGAACTTTAAGGTTTCATGACTGCTCTATTGGATTTCAGACTTGCATGGTGCCTATAGCCCCTTTGTTTTGGCCAATTTCTCCCATTTAGAATGAGTGTATACATCCAATGCCTGTACCGACATTGTATCTAGGAAATAATTAACTTGTTTTTTATTTTACAGGCTTATAGGTGGAAGGGACTTGCCTTGTCTCAGATGAAATTTTGGACTTGGACTTTTGGGTTAATGCTGGAATGGGCTAAGACATTGGGGGACTGTTGGAAAGGCATAATTATGTTTTGAAATGTGAGGACATGAGATTTGGGAGGGGCCAGGGGCAGAATGATATGGTTTGGCTGTGTCCCCATCCAACTCTCATCTTGAATTATAATTCTCATAATCCCCACCTGTGGTGGGAGGGACCCAGTGGGAGGTAATTGAATCATGGGAGCAGTTACCCCTATGCTGCTCTTGTGATAGTGAATGAGTTCTCATGAGATCTGATGGTCTTATAAGGGTTTTTCCCCCTTTACTTGGCACTTCTCTCTCCTGCTGCCTTGTGAAGAAGGATGTGTTTGCTTCCCCCTTCTGCCATGATTATAAGTTTTCTGAGGCCTCCCCAGCCATGTGGAACTGTGAGTCAATTAAACCTGTTTTTTAATATAAATTACCCAGTCTCAGGTATTTTTTCATAGCAGCATGAGAACGAACTAATATAGGAGCCCTAATGGATGTGTGGGAATTCAGAAAGAAAGACCATTCCAGACAAAGAGAATGTCACGAAGATGAAAACAGGAAGATAAAAACAGGAATGAACAAGTATTTCAATTGGAGTGCATTCCCTGAGTTGGAGAGAAACTAAGGATATAAGGGACAAATGAATTCTGACATCAGGTATTCAATTTCACACCATGGACCTACCATTTTAGTAGGCAATGGGGTTCCATTAGCAACTCCAGAACAAAGACTTGTAGGGGCAGTTACAAAAGGAAATTGAGCTTTATCAATAGAGCAATGGGTGGATAAAGGAGAGGAAGAGAACCTGGAGGCAGAAACCAGTAAGGGGATATTTTCAGTGGTCAGCCCACGTGAGAGAATGTGTGTCGATGATGCAAACTAGGGCTGGGGCATCTAAAACAGAATAGCCGTGATGGAATTAGGATGGTTGGCTAGGCTTGTCTATTGAGTATGAGAGATAGTAATGGAAGGGAGAAACCGAATTAGACTTCAAGGAATTCAGTAAAAGCAGCAGGTTTAGGGGAATGACAAGGATGACTGGTCTACTTGTTCCTTAGCACCCTAGGAAGAATGCTGATTTAATTAAATCAAACTCCCTCCCCTACTCAGAACCACTCAGGGGGGCTCTTTTATGAGGCATCAGTCCAGTCTGCCTGTGATGTGGGACCTCTCTCTCACCCTTCCTGCAGTCACTACCAAAACTTCAGATCCATCCTTAGCTGTATGCCTGGCTTTGTAAGACACTAAAATCTACCTCTCATAAGTTCTCTCTTAGAGCAGGAAGATGGAGGGAAATTCATGATCCGTTTCTTCCCACGGAACCAGCTTTGTCTCTGACCAAGAAATGTAGTATTCTCCTCTCCATGGCTTTTTGCTGTTATTATTATCTATTCATTCTGACCTTCCTTGGGATTCTTGCCATCAATCGGCAGACAGATGTCCTTCTCTATGGTTCTTCCTGTTTCCTGCTGTGTCACTGGCTAGTGACAAGCTGTGGCTAAGTTGTCAGCTCCCTAATTACAGGACAGTCTAATTACAGACATGTTATACTTGCAAGGTATTATTACTGAGGCTCTGTCTGCCATAGCCTAGAAGTAATCAAGCAAAATGTTATCTCAATTGTTATGGGACAGATATATGGAGTGATGTAAATTCTCTCATGCATTCTTGGTCTTGGGGACACCCTTGGACTCTCAGGATGGGTTAACTGAGTGGATCTTGTTGAGTGGGCTAGAATAAAACAGAAGGTAAGATGAGAGAAAACTGAGGGAACAGGAGCATGAGGAATACAGAACAGTCAGTAAACTAGATTCTTCAGGGCCATTCAGTGAGCAGGGCAGAGCTTTCTGTCCCCCTAATCTAATTCAATCCTTGCCCTCTTCAACGTAGGAGAAGGGAGCTTTTGCGTTTGCTAAAGCTAACATTTGAACTCTTGTTATGAGGGACTATCACTGTTAGCAAGTCCAAAGTTGGTCTTATAATTGTTCCACTCTGAAGAAACCAAAGGATGTAAATCTATTCCTGTGGAGGACTTTACCCTGTCTGGAGTGATGCATTGGATGCCTTCCAGAACATAGCTGGGAAAGACAGCCTCTACCCACCTGACCCCAATGTGCTTGCCAAGAAGGCTCCAGATAAGGACCGGGGGGGATTAAAAAAAAATTCAGAGGAAAGAGGCCAAGGAGAGGAAAACTCCCAATTGCCCATCAGAGGATGGCTGTCAAGATGGAAAGATTACTTGGTGAGAAAAGTAATGTTGGGCATCACTTTATGGGTTTCTTGTATATTTGAGAACAGCCAATAATGAGATTCTTTCTTTCTGGTAACACCTCCAGAAATCCTTCCAGATGTGGTTTCATTCCAGTTTTTTAAAACATAAGGGGTATCCTTCTAACTCCAGTTGACTGATATCTCAGGATGTCCAGGTTCCAGGAGACTATTCCAGAAAATTAACACAACCTACACTAGCTCATGAATGAAAGCTACATCAGAGCTATATCAGAGTGTGTTGACACAGCAGAGGAGAATTTTGGACTCTCAGTATGGAATTATTGGAAGAGCTGACAGCTTTTAGAAAGCTTCTGGGGCTCCAAGCATTCTCTCAAGATTGCCATGGCATCACTTGCACAGTGACTTAAGAACCCAGTCAGTGGGACTGCTCTCAAAGGTCACTGTATCTCAACGGAAACGAGGATGAAAAGGTTCCCAGCTGATCTGCATGTTGGGAAACGTACTATGCAAAGAAGACATTAAATGAGCAGTGGGCTTGGCAGTAGAGCACATTCCTGGATTTACTCATTCTTTCATTCAGTAAATATATATTGAGCATTTGTTACATGGAAGGCACTGTACAAGTTGCTGTGGCTACCATGGTGAGCCACACAGGTGTAGCTTCTAGCAATTTTACACTCCAGAGGCACTCCACTTTGGAGCTCTGCCACCCTCCCCTCATTATATCAAGCATATTAAAATGCATACTCATCACACATTAAATATACTTTGTTGCTATTAATATTTGAAAGATTTTTAATAAAATCTATAATTTTGAATTTTGTTATGAATCAAATATTTAGTTTGCTCTTGTGATTTGATTCATATACATCTACTTAAGAATAGAGTTTCATTCACTTGGTTGCCATATTGTAATATCATTAAGTTTTGTAAACATTTAATTACACATTAATTACTTTTAATTTTATAGCTTATTTTCATATTTTGGAGGCCAATATCTGTTTTCCTCAGGTCTCAAATTATGAAATAGGCCCTTCAAAATCTCAAAGGCCCTTGATATTTGGTCTGCCACATGTTAGGGAATAAAGAAACCCCAATGGGTCCTCCCATTGTAGAACCTACCTTCTAGTGTGGGAGAAAAAAATACTTATTTAATTATCTAATAGTGTACATATTTTCAACTTTTATAAGAGCTAGTAAATTATGTACAGAATGTTCTGTTAGCAATTAACTCAGGACCAAACCTTCTCTTACAAGGAACATGGTGTTAGGGGAAGTTTTGCTAAGTAAGTGATAAACTGTGAGCACTGAAAGATAAGTGGAAATTAAGGGAAGAGGAATTGGGTCAGGAAGATCATTCCAGAAAGGGAGATTAGTATGTGTAAAGTCCCTAGGAAAGGAAGGGTCATGAGATGTACCAGGAACTGGATTACAAAGAATATAGGGGAGAGTGGTAGCTGATAAGGTCAAAGAGGAGGTTAGAGGGCCCACAAGCCACTGGAAGGATATCTTGTATATCTTAAGTGCAATGGGAAGTCATTGGAGTTTCCTTTTAGAATAGCAGTGACATGTCTGCTCCTGTGATTCCCAGGAGTGGGAGACCAAGGTGGGAGCACAGAGAATGAAGAAAAGCACAAACCAAGAATTGATTCCACTGCTCTAACCCAAGTAGCACAGGCACAACACCCCATCTAAACTTTTACCCAAGAAGTTTAGAAGGTTGTCACAACTAATAAGAAGGGTTGCTACTGGACTCTAATTGGTAGAGACCAGGGATGCTATGAAATGCCCAACAATATACAAGACAGCCCCACAACAAAGAATGATCCATTCAGTTGTCAATAGTGTTGAGGTTGAGAAACTTTGCTATAGGACAATGCTATAGACTCAACAACAATCTGTGTTGAGAAACCTCATCAGACCTAGAAGTCGAAAATGTAGTTCTTCCTTTTCTACTAAGGTCAAGCAATGGAGAGAGATGCTAGAGTGCAAGGAACAAATGGAAGGAACCCAGAAGAAAATCAAGGCCAGGTGCAGTGACTCACGACTATAATCCCAGAATTTTGGGAGGCCAAGGTGGGTGGATCACTTGAGCCCAGGAGTTCGAGACCAACTTGGCCAACATGGTGAAACCCTGTCTCTACTAAAAATATAAAAATTAGCCAGGCATACTGGCACACGCCTGTAATCCCAGCTATTTGGGAGGCTGAGGCAGGAAGATCACTTGAACCGGGAAGGCAGGGGTTTAAGCTGAGATCACCCCACTGTAATCCAGCCTGGGTGATAGAGCAAGTGAGATTCCATCTAAAAAACAAACAAACAAAAAAAAAAAAAAAAAAGAAAAGAAAATCAAGCTATGACTCTATGACTCAATTATACTCTTTGGGTGCATTACAGAAAGAGTTGGAAACCTGGGCTAAACTGTAAGAACTTAGGTGGTTGGGTCCTCAGCCAGCATAAAGGGAGGCCCTCCTTATACAGTTGTGCAGAATGTACACTGCACAATTTTGTAGGGCACCATTCACATAATGTTAATTATAGATATGTATATTTGCTCAGAAAATTTTCTCAAACATAGCAATGAAGTGCTTTAGGAAGTAAATCTTTTTCTAATTTTTATTAAAATGTTATATGAGCTGCTTAGCATTAACATCATATTAAAATTTTTGATACTTAACTGTAGGCCCATATATACTTGTATTTGAACACCTGGCCCCTGGTGGCCTTGTTCCACGTCAGAGATATACAATTATTGGCAAACCTTATAAAGTATCAGTTGATCTGTGAGCTCAGCCCTTGGCAATATTCCTGGAATCTCCACATTATTAACAGAAAACTCTTCAAAGTGTTCATGAAAAAAAAAAAAAGATACAGTTAATTGTTCAACTCTTCTCCTTTTGGGCAGGTGAACTACATTTCCCAGCATCCCTCACAGTTGGATGTGGCTACATGAGTGGTTTGACTATGAAATATAGACAGAAGTGCTGGCTTGGCCCACAAAACACTCCTGTTGTACAGTTTTCCACTCTCTCTTTCCCCATCTATACAGAGACCACTCCAAGGACCTACAGAAGGATGAAGCCATAAGATGGGAGAACTCTGGGTTTTCAAGTGACCATGTGGAGCCCTCACCGACCCACTTAGCAGTGGAACACAAAGGAACAACATTTATATTCATCTTTCGTAAATTTTAGGCTGTTTGGTACAGTGGTTCCCTGCCCTTCCTAGTACATTGCTAAGGGGGATATTACAGTCATCAAGTCTATAAGGAGGGTGATACAATATAGTTGGTAATGCCACAGAACCTGGAGCCAGAGTACATATGTTTGTGTCCTACTCCTGCCACTTTCTAGCTGTGAGAACTTGGGCAAATTTACTTAAATGTCTTTATTAGCTTCCTTATATATAAAATTGGAGTAATAATTATATCAAACTCATAAATGTGTGGTGAGATTCAATACACGAAAATTGCCCCCACCAATGTCTCACACATCATGAGCTTCAGTAACAGTTCACTATTGTGAGGTTGACACTTGAGCACTCTTACTATGCATATGCTGAGAGACTTACAGAGGAAGACTGCTAATGATGCGGGACCAGGCCTTTTCACCAGATCCAGATCGTCCCTAGGACCCTTCCTGCAGCCTAAGATGCCATGGATCTCATGACCCAGAGATGAGTAACCTTGGAGATTCCCTGCAGCACAGGAATGAGACATGTTGTGAGGCTTGGATGTGATGGCATTGCCTGGGGAACCAAGTACACAGTTCAGCTTTATCTTGTGTCAGTTTGAGAGTGATCCCAAAGTTTTGCACTCTCAGAGAGATTCTCACTGAGGATACCACCACCCACCATAAGACCATGGAAGGATCAGGGAAAGTTACAATATGCTCAGATCGCCTTATGCAAAGTTACCTTGCCAAGGTGAAGTAATGGACCAGTGGTCCTCACTTCCAAATCCCCATTATACTCTTAAAAATGGAAGACTCTCCAAAATCTTTTGTTTGTGTGAATTATATCTATCAATATTTACTATGTTAGAAATTAAAACTGAAAAATGTTTAAATATTTATCAATTCTTTTAAAATAAGAACAATAAATCTATTACACACATATAACATTTTTAATAAAATATATTTCAAAAAAAAATTGTGAGAAAAGTGGCACTGTTTTACATTTTTTGCAAATCTAAGATCTGGCCTTAAAAAGCTGGATTCTTATATCTGCTTCTGCATTCAATTTGTTGAAGTATCACACATCACGTAGCCTCCAAAAACTCCACCAAGCATTAATGAGATAATGAGATTGAAAATAGCAAATAAAGTCTTAGTATTATTATAAATTATTATTAGTAGTAGTATTATAAAATAAATTATTAGTATTATTATAAATAGCAAATAAAGTCTTAGTATTATTATAAAGTCTTAGTATTATTAAGTCTTAGTATTATTATTATAAAAATTAGTATTATTATTATAAATTATATATAATTTTTACCTTACAGTCTCCCTGAATGAGTTTAAAGGACTCCCAGGATTCACAGCCTACACTTGAAGAATCACTGAAAGTGGTCAATCATGACACAGTGCCAAGTACTTGCTCAGTTCTCAGTAGTTCTCACTATTTGGTGGTAGGACTTTTGATAGCAAATGTCTGTGTTTTCTTTTAAGTGATCACACATTATTGTACCCCAGCATAGATGAATATACACATTATCCATATTTGAAAATGAAAGGCATAAAAGATTTTTTGCTTCACCCAAGGTGACAATCCTAGTCACTCTGGAATCCTAGTCTTGGATTTTCTTCTACCCAATCAACATTTTTACTTAGTTCTGATAACTCATTGAAATGTCTACTTAGTCCACTGTTAATATACTTAGTCAGATACAGGTCACCTGAGCATAGCACACCTTCTACAGGTGACCTCAGCTCTTATCCAATCCCATTCTGAGGCTATATTGAGTATTTTGGGACTCCTGGCCTCAAGCAATCCTCCCTTCTCAGCCTCCCAAAAAGCTGGGATTACAGGTGTGAGCCACCCTGCCCAGCTTATAGTTAGTATTTTCTATGCATCCTAGCAGAGATTCAATTTTGTGACGCAATAACTAGAAATGGATATTTTGTGATGATCTTATGGAGAAATCTTTTGGGAGAGAAGAAGAGAAAGATGATTCATACCACACACTACTTACAAGCAAATCCGTTAATTTCTCTAACTGAAAATTCCAACATTCTTTCCTCATTCCCGTAATCTCATCTCTTCTTCCTCTCTTCTCTTACATAGTTCTCTTTTCTTATACAGTAACTCAGAATCTCACTTTACTGTGGAGGAAAACTTAGCTTTTACACTTAATTCATAATTTCCATCTTGCAAAACAAAACTCAGTGATTGGTGACTACTGCTGCTTCTTTGACTATCCCTTGGAGAGCACAATTCATTCAGCCATACCTAGAATAGTTCATTAAGAAAAAATATTACACAATTTCTTTACTTGTCTTTCATTTCTACTAAGTGTCGTGGAACTGACTTCAGTCCCATAGAACTCGAGGCCATCTCAATGAAGTTCTCTAGTTTATACTCCTGTGACTATAGTATCACACATTCTGCTTCTACAGATACATTTATACAACTTCTACTTAAGCAAATTCAAGAATATCTCCGCACATAGCTTTGCGGTGCGAATGAAAGGTTGAGTTTATGTTATCATTCAAACCCATGTTCTGCTGCATATTATTTCAAGACAATAAAGATGAATTGAATATATCCCTGCTTCGCCTTCACATGTTTGAGGAAATTCTCACATCATTACTGTCTTCTCTTCTCCAGGCTAAATAAACTTACCATCTTCCTTAAATTGAAACTCATACTTTATTTTCTTTCCCTCTTATCATTTGCTTAGCTTTCCATAGACTCCCTCCAATCCTTCCATATGCTTTTTAAAATTTGCAGTCCCAAGTTACACCTAGCCTCTAATAAGGTAGATTTTAAATCATGTAACATATGATATATGTAATTGTAACAAATAATTCATAATTTTTCTTCATTTCATATTGATGACATATCAGTCACATGTTCATTTTGAGATTAAGTTAACAATTTCTATTCTAAATCATGGTGAACTGGGCCACTGAAATTGGAAGAAAGCAAAGAAACAGCCCTAGGGTGTTAAACTTAAATTATTCTTCTTTCATATTACTCAATGATGCATCCCAAATACATACAGCATGCTGAACTTTTCATGGTAGAAGCTTTTGGATCTATGTATGGCTCTACTGTAAAACCCCTTGAAAGAACAGGACCAAGTGTTTATTTTTATAATATGTGACCCCAATCCTGGACATAGTGCTGTGGACCAAGAATGAACACTTGGCCTAAGGTAAAGCGCCACTCTCAAACCAAAAATTAGCCAAATTCTCTCAGTTGAGAATTTGAACTTAGAGTCACAGAAAATGCAGTCAGTCTGTGGTGGGGAAGGGAACTCTAAGGTCATGTATCTGGGAGTCCTTGAGATCCCTTTACAAGTGATCAAAATTGTTAGAAAAGAGACCAGGAGACACAGAAATGGGATATATCCTGTGGTTATGAACAGACAAAGAGACGAAGAGAAAAAGAAAACAGCTTTCAGCCCCAGTGTCCTCCCTTCTCCCATTCTCATGAAGCTTGGCTGCATTTTGATTCCTGTGTCTGAGTGACTGCATAATATAAATGTACTACATCTCTCTTCTTTACATCAGCTAGTTTGAGCAGATTTCTAACTCTTGCAACCAAATGCTTCCCAGCCAAAGGCCATCTTCACCACCGGATGGCACAGGTGTGGGAGGCAGGATGAGCCAAGTCTGACAGCCCTGGACATTGGAGACAAGCCTGTCCCTGCCCCCACTCCTCTGTGGCAGAAGGTGTTCTCATTGAGTTCCCACAGCCACACACACAGGAGGCCTTTCTGCTTCCATTGACAATGACAGTGCCCCAACGGTGACTTGGAAATGGTTTTGCTTATTTCTAGGTTTGTTAACAGCCAGCAGTCGCCTGCTGCGGACTTTCATTTTTTTAAGCAAAAGTATTTAGCAATTTGGTATAAAAAAAGACAAGAAAGTGAGGTAAGAATACTTCTAGGCACTTTTAAAAATGTCTGGCTTCTTTGTCATCCACTTAAGTGCATACTTAACAGATTAATCAATGGCTCTTGAAGAAGAGAGTTTTAGTGGATAATTCTACTTACTAGTAAGTAGACAAGGCAATAATGGAGCATAAGAATTAAAATTAGGACAGAATATTTAGGTCAAAAGGAGTCAAGTAGGCTTTGGGGAAAAGGTAGATTTTGATGTAGTACTAAGGGGTTTTAGAAGTCAGTAATAATTTTTAAAAACTTTTTTGAACATTACATAACTCACCCTTTGCTTCTTTTTCCTAACCATTGTATGTATGTTACATTAAAGGTATTTTAAATATAAAAAAGAATTTGCCCAGATGAAATATAAGGTGGGAAACAGGGAAAGAGTGTATCAAGCAAAAAAAGGAGCAACAGATACTGTTTAATATGCTCGGGAAGCAAAATGATTGGAACTTGGATATTGGGAAGAACAATTGATAAATGTTGATTAATCTGATGTTTATCTGATTTGATAAAATGTGATAAATAAGTCTGGCAAATAAATGTAAAAGAGAAGTCAGTAGTACAAGTTGCATGGAGGGAGGGTGGTCTGTCCAGCGCAAACCAAAGAGCAGACACAGAAGAGTGACAGTCCTTGTCTGAGTGGAGTGAGGGAACACGCTGGACCATGAAAATGGGGCCAAAGCATGGGAGCCTTGCGTGCCAGTCTTGTGAGTTGTAACTTAATCTAAAAGCCAGTTGGTATCATATTTGGAATTGAAATGGCAATGTGTCCTTTTATTTGGGGGAATAATTGGTGTGAGTTCAATATCCTTGAAGGGGAGAGAGTGAAAGAGCTAAATGGCAACATTAGGACATGAGTGTAGGAATATGGGCTGAGATGACAGACATATACACAATGGTGGCGGCAGAGAAGAAAAGGAAGGATAGACTCTACGGGCAACATTATAAATAAAGATTAATGGGCACAACTAAATTTTCAGAAATCATTCCTAAAGAACATATCCATGGAACCAAAAACCACCCGTATCCCCAAAACTATTGAAATTTTAAAGATTTTTTAAAATAATGAAAAAAAAAGGAATATATTACCTGCATTTTCCTCTTCCCATTTTGCAGATGAGGAAGTTGACATGGAGCAGGACAAAAGTGTTTGCCCAAGATCATACGATATACATGCTCTTACCTTCTAAGTTTGTGCCATAGTTGACTTTGGCAACTTCTAATTCTGCAACTTCAGATTTGAGAAGATACCTCAGGAAAGCTTTGACGATGGTAACGTAGCATTAAGTAAAAAGCAAAGATATTGAGTAATGGGAAAACTTAAACTAAGATTAACCAGTTCTCTGGCACAGGAAGAAAAGATGATTCTTGAATGTTTGATGCTACTTAATGAGTAAATAAATAAATGAAGATAAATTTTTAAAAAAGATTAATGGGCCTAGTAACTAACTTGGCATAGGGAAAAAAGAAAATGGAGGATTTTCAAAGGTTATTCATCCCATTAATTATTTAACAAGCACATATAGCAACAAATATATATGTTATCTAATGCTATTATGTCAGAGAAGGGTCTTAAGAATATCAGGTGCTCATGGCATCAGTGAGGGCTTGGAGGGTCAGGCACAGAAAGCTGACAGATCCAAAAATGCCCTGTAGCAATCTTTCTAACTTGAGTCCCATGAGAAAATTACGCTCCATCACCCTATAGCATGCATTCCACATAATGACTTAACTCTTCTCCTGTGCATCTAAAATGGCACTAGTTTTGTGCCATCTCAGGCAGAGTTGAAAAAATTGTCACTCAAATCATTTTCAGTTCCCGTAGTTCAAATGAGGTTCCCCAACTTAGAAAGGCTATCTGGGGGGAAAGGTAAAAGCACCATGTGGTCTCGGCCACACACTACTCAATGCCTTTGTTCTCATATTATTTCTTCACCTGCTCAAGATTAAAAGTCTCAGGAGCATGGGGAGAGTTCAAGTATCTGGAAAATCTTTAAAAGAAAATGTTTTAAAACGGATCTTGAAAAATATCAGTGAGGGCTGGCAAGCCCAGCAAAAAGAGAGAAAGAGAGAGAGAGAGAAGGTTGAAAGGGCTTGGCATGTTTGGGATGTGGTATAAAGTGTGATAGAGCTGGGAATAGTGAGACTGGGGGTTGATGGCAGAGGATGAAGTTGGAAATGGGAACAGGCTGGGAAGCGTCTGGAATGTTCTGATAAATAGATTAGATAATTCTGTCTAGGCCCGGGAAAGTCACTGAGGCTAAAGTTTGAGAGTAACCAGATCTATCTGTCACAATAGTAAGACTGATGGGGAACAAATTATAAAAAGGAAAGACTAGAAGAGTAAGGGAAGTACTGTATAATCGGGATGTTAGTGGCAACAGGCCATTCATCCATGAGCCTCAGTACATAAATCAAGACTCAAAAATGTTTCCGCGACTACATGGAGAGGCACAGCTTGCAAGGGAAGAGTGAGGATTCAAACCACTGGGAAGCAAGGAAGCCATCGAGAGATGAATTTAAGTCGTCCAGGTGATAAATTATAAGGTCTTGCAAAAAAGGGAGTGAGAGTAACCATGGGGAGGAGAAGACACTGCAGGAATGAAAATTAGGCTAAATGAAGGGACATGAGTTAATCTCACACCTACAAAATTCTCCAGATTTGTGTGACACGAAGCCACAGTCTGAAGTAAGTGAGGAAGAAAAAAAAAAAAGAGGCCAGCATTGGGGGATACTCAGAGTTAGGACATGCAGTGTGGACAAGAGCCAACAGAGGGGGCAGGGGAGCAAGGAGAGAATGTCAAGGGAACAACACCATGAGAGACAGGCAATACTGAAGGAATGGTAGAGTTAAGAAAGAATAGGTAAGGCCAGGAGTGGTGGCTCACACCTGTAATCCCAACACTTTGGGAGGCCAAGGCAGGAGGATCACTTCAGCTCACGAGTTAGAGACCAGCCTAGGCAACATGAAGAAACCCTGTCTCTACAAAAATTAAAAAACTTAGCCAAGCATGTTGGTGTGTGCCTGTAGTCCCAGGTACTTTGGAGGCTGAGGCATGAGGATTGCTCAAGGCTGCAATCAGCCTTGATTTCTAGTCTCATTAAAAAACAAAAATGAAAAGTTCTCCTTCAAATCTTGTTCAAATGAAATAGAATAACTTCATATCCTTGCTTCCTTCCATCAAAATCTTATTTACTCTCAAGATATTTTATTCTGATACCACCAAAATATAATAGAGATTAGTAGTTATGACCATATTGCTTGGCCTGGTCTACCCCTGTTAGGAATCTACCTATCCCAAAGAATTACTTAAAAATGTATTCAAGACTGGCTTTAGCTGTATTGCTGATAGTATAAACAAATGCAGTAGAACAAAAACAGAAAAGATATCTGGCAAGTGAGCAAAGCTAGGATAGGTTACATGTACTGTGCTATAGCAATATTCTACACTGTAGATCAAATAGATACACGGAAACATTTATATGAATTCAGGAAAAAGAAGTAATTAGCTAATTAAGATTACATTTAAAAAGTCATTTTGTATTTTTGTCTGTTACACAGTTATTTATATGTTTATTTTAAAGACGGTTAAAAAGGAAATAAAAATTAAATATGAGAGTTATTTCTGGCATGCTAGAACAATGAGAAAAGATTTCTCATTTGTTAGGTTAAATTGCCATAGATAAAACTTTACCGTTAAATGCCACTGAGTAAATAAGGGGCTTATGCCATATATTCTTATGAGCAAAAAGTCAAAATGGCCTGATAAAATCATATTTCAATTTAAAAATATGAGATTGAAATATGAATGAGTACTTAAAATGACTAAAAATATGATTTTATAAGCTTTTTGGTTAAGTAATATAGGGCTATATTATTTACATGTAAACAGCAAAGTATAGGGAACAACTCTGGAAGAGAGAGATTAATTTACTCATTTATTGTGAAATAGGAATTTATGCGTATTTGATGCCAGTCATGAGACTTATTACAAAACATACGCTAAAACGACAGAAATCCTAAAGACAGATAGAAAAAAATATTCATAGAAACAGTGAAAAAAGAAAACAGTTCAAATTTAAGAAAGAAACAGATGAATATTCTAGAAAATGAGAAGAGTGACAGTTGAGAAAAAAGAAGAAAAATGGATAACAGGAGGAAAACATATTGCAGAAAGGCTCTGTAGCATATAATAGGCTATAGGAAGCAAGGTATTTTAAAGGTGAACTTGACTGAGAACAAGAATATGTGAAAGAAAATTCCCAGTTGGTAGCATAAAAGAAGAGAAAAATATAGTTTAAAAAGATACAAAGAGATTAAAGGACAGGAAAATATTGGAGTCACTTAAAGTTATGTTCATAATTTAATGTTCTCTGTACAATTCTTTCATCTTTCCAAAAAATGCTTCATAACTCCAAATATCTATGCAAAAGGTCCTCTTTTCATCGTAATGTTTAAATTGCCCCAATATCTCATTGTATTTAATACAGTGTTTTCTAAGACTCTTGGTTGCAAATGCTAGTATTCCAACCAAGACTAGCTTATACCAAAGAGGAATGCATTGTGGTAGGCAGAATAATGCCCCCTTCTGCAAAGATGTCCCTGTCCTAATCCCCAGAACCTGAGAATATGCTTCCTTACATGGCGAAAGGACTTTCACTGATGTGACTAAGTCAAAGATTTTGAGATGGGTTGTTTATCTTGGATTACGGAGAGGGACTCAATTTAATCACAGGGGCTTTATAAGGGAAAAGAGAAAGGCAGGCAGGAAGGCAGGCAGGCAGGTGAATCAGAGTCAGAGTCAGAGGAAGAGATATGATTACAGAAGCAGAGGTTGGAGTGATGCAGAGCCATGAACCAAGAGCCAAGGAATGTGGGTAGCCCCTAGAAGCTGAAAAAGGCAAGTAAATGGACCTTCCTGAGAGCCTCCAGAAGGAATGCAGCCCTGCAGATCAGTTTAGCCATCTGACCTCCAAACTACAAGATAATGCATATATATTTTTTAGGCCACTAAGTTTGTGGTAATTTGTTATAGCAGCAGCAGGAAATGAATACATTCATGTAACCAAGAAGTGCAAGGGGCTATAGATAACTTCCAGTTAGTTTAATCGAAGAGTTCAGATGATGCAAATCTGTCTGTTACAATAATAAGCTAAGCAATGTGTTCTGCTGTGCTGGTCTAATTTTCAGGGAGGTCCTCCCCACACCATAAAAAGATGACCTGACCATAGTAGTTCAAGGCTTTCCTTGTCCTTAATGGGTGGAGATTTCCTTGTGTGGTGGCCTTGCTTAATAATAATAACCCCAGAAGAAAAGCAAGAGTATATTTCCCCCAAAACTCCAGAAAAACTTAAGGGTGAATCTGGTTGGCGTGGCAATAATCACACCCTTTCCTTGAACCAACCATTTAGCTAGGAGGAATGCAGTACTTTAATTGGCCAGGTCTTGGTCACCCCACCCTTGTGGTTGGAGTTGGGTAGAAGAGAGTCAACCCATATAAACCACACAGACTTAGGTTCCCACAAGAAAGATGGGTGTTACTACTAGAAGAGAGGAAGGAAAGGATATTGAATAAATAATAATCATAGCTACCACTGGATCGAAACATACTATTTAAAAAGTATATATTTTATATTTAATCAAAAAATTCAAAATTAAAGTCACAATTTCCTTTGACTATTGATCATATAATTTTAAAAACATTATTATAAAATGAAAATAATACTCCAGATCTTGGTTATGTTTTTAGGTCTCATTAATATCCTTTTTGAAATTATTATTATATTTTAAGTTCTAGGGTACATGTGTACAACGTGCAGGTTTGTTACATATGTATACATGCGCCATGTTGGTGTGCTGCACCCATTAGCTCATCATTTACATTAGGTATATCTCCTACTGTTATCCCTCCCCCTACCTCCCACCTCATGACAAGCCCCAGTGTGTGATGTTCCCCGCCCTGTGTCCAAGTGTTCTCATTGTTCAATTCCCACCTATGAGTGAGAACATGCGGTGTTTGGTTTTCTGTCCTTGCGATAGTTTGCTGAGAATGATGGTTTCCAGCTTCATCCATGTCCCTACAAAGGACATGAACTCATCATTTTTTATGGCTGCATAGTATTCCATGGTGTATATGTGCCACATTTTCTTAATCCAGTCTATCTTTGATGGACATTTGGGTTGGTTCCAAGTGTTTGCTATTGTGAATAGTGCCGCAATAAACATACGTGTGCATGTGTCTTTATAGCGGTATGATTTATAGTCCTTTGGGTATATACCCAGTAATGGGATGGCTGGGTCAAATGGTATTTCTAGTTCTAGATCCTTGAGGAATCGCCACACTGTCTTCCACAATGGTTGAACTAGTTTACAGTCCCACCAACAGTGTAAAAGTGTTCCTATTTCTCCACATCCTCTCCAGCACCTGTTGTTTCCTGACTTTTTAATGATCACCATTCTAACTGGTGTGAGATGGTATCTTATTGTGGTTTTGATTTGCATTTCTCTGATGGCCAGTGATGATGAGCATTTTTTCATGTGTCTGTTGGCTGCATAAATGTCTTCTTTTGAGAAATGTCTGTTCATATCCTTCGCCCACTTGTTGATGGGGTTGTTTTTTTCTTGTAAATTTGTTTGAGTTCTTTGTAGATTCTGGATAGCAGCCCTTTGTCAGATGAGTAGTTTGCAAAAATTTTCTCCCATTCTGTAGGTTGCCTGTTCACTCTGATGGTAGTTTCTTTTGCTGTGCAGAAGCTCTTTAGTTTAATTAGATCTCATTTGTCAATTTTGGCTTTTGTTGCCATTGCTTTTGGTGTTTTAGACATGAAGTCCTTGCCCATGCCTATGTCCTGAATGGTAATGCCTAGGTTTTCTTCTAGGGTTTTTATGGTTTTAGGTCTAACGTTTAAGTCTTTAATCCATCTTGAATTAATTTTTGTATAACGTGTAAGGAAGGGATCCAGTTTCAGCTTTCTACATGTGGCTAGCCAGTTTTCCCAGCACCATTTATTAAATAGGGAATCCTTTCCCCATTTCCTGTTTTTGTCAGGTTTGTCAAAGATCAGATGGTTGTAGATGTGTGGTATTATTTCTGAGGGCTCTGTTCTCTTCCATTGGTCTATAACTCTGTTTTGACACCAGTACCATGCTGTTTTGGTTACTGTAGCCTTGTAGTATAGTTTGAAGTCAGGTAGCGTGATGCCTCCAGCTTTGTTCTTTTGGCTTAGGATTGTCTTGGGAATGCGGGCCCTTTTTTGGTTCCATATGAACTTTAAAGTAGTTTTTTCCAATTTTGTGAAGAAAGTCATTGGTAGCTTGATGGGGATGGCATTGAATCTATAAATTACCTTGGGCAGTATGGCCATTTTCATATATTGATTTTTCCTATCCATGAGCATGGAATGTTCTTCCATTTGTTTGTGTCCTCTTTTATTTCATTGAGCAGTGGTTTGTAGTTCTCCTTGAAGAGGTCCTTCACATCCCTTGTAAGTTGGATTCCTAGGTATTTTATTCTCTTTGAAGCAATTGTGAATGGGAGTTCACTCAGGATTTGGCTCTCTGTTTGTCTGTTATTGGTGTGTAAGAATGCTTGTGATTTTTGCACAATGATTTTGTATCCTGAGACTTTGCTGAGGTTGCTTATCAGCTTAAGGAGATTTTGGGCTGAGACAATGGGGTTTTCTAAATATACAATCATGTCATCTGCAAACAGGGACAATTTGGCTTCCTCTTTTCCTAATTGAATATCCTTTATTTCTTTCTCCTGCCTGATTGCCCTGGCCAGAACTTCCAACACTATGTTGAGTAGGAGTGGTGAGAGAGGGCATCCCTGTCTTGTGCCAGTTTTCAAAGGGAATGCTTCCAGTTTTTGCCCATTCAGTATGATATTGACTGTGAGTTTGTCATAAATAGCTCTTATTATTTTGAGATACGTCCCAGAAATACCTAATTTATTGTGAGTTTTTAGCCTGAAGAGCTGTTGAATTTTGTCAAAGACGTTTTCTGCATCTATTGAGATAATCATGTGGTTTTTGTCTTTGGTTCTGTTTATATGCTGGATTAAGTTTATTGATTTGCCTATGTTGAACCAGCCTTGCATCCCAGGGATGAAGCCCACTTGATCATGGTGGATAAGCTTTTTGATGTGTTGCTGGATTCAGTTTGCCAGTATTTTATTGAGGATTTTTGCATTAAAGTTCATCAGGGATATCAGTCTAAAATTCTCTTTTTTTATTGGTCTGTATCAGGCTTTGGTATCAGGATGATCCTGGCCTCATAAAATGAGTTAGGGAGGATTCCCTCTTTTTCTATTGATTGGAATAGTTTCAGAAGGAATGGTACCAGCTCCTCCTTGTATCTCTGGTAGAATTCAGCTGTGAATCTGTCTGGTCCTGGACTTTTTTTGGTTGGTAGGCTATTAATTATTGCCTCAATTTCAGAGCCTGTTATTGGTCAATTCCGGGATTCAACTTCTTCCTGGTTTAGTCTTGGGAGGATGTACGTGTCCAGGAATTTATCAATTTCTTCTAGATTTTCTAGTTTATTTGCATAGAGGTGTTTATAGTATTCTCTGATGGTAGTTTGTATTTCTCTGGGATCAGTGGTGATATCCCCTTTATCATTTTTTATTGCGTCTATTTGATTCTCCCCTCTTTTCTTATTAGTCTTGCTAGCGGTCTATCAATTTTGTTGATCTTTTCAAAAAACCAGCTCCTGGATTCATTGATTTTTTGAAGGGATTTTTGTGTCTCTATTTCCTTCAGTTCTGCTCTGATCTTAGTTATTTCTCACCTTCTGCTAGCTTTTCAATGTGTTTGCTCTTGCTTCTCTAGTTCTTTTAATTGTGATGTTAGGGTCTTGATTTTAGATCTTTCCTGCTTTCTCTTGTGGGCATTTAGTGCTATAAATTTCCCTCTACACACTGCTTTAAATGTGTCCCAGAGATTCTGGTATGTTGTACCTTTGTTCTCATTGGTTTCAAAGAACATCTTTATTTCTGCCTTCATTTTGTTATGTACCCAGTAGTCATTCAGGAGCAGGTTGTTCAGTTTCCATGTAGTTGAGCAGTTTTGAGTGAGTTTCTTAATCCTGAGTTCTAGTTTGATTGCACTGTTGTCTGAGAGGCAGTTTGTTATAATTTCTGTTCTTTTACATTTGCTGAGGAGTGCTTTACTTCCAACTATGTGGTCAATTTTGGAATAAGTGTGATGTGGTGCTGAGAGGAATATATATTCTGTTGATTTGGGGTGGAGAGTTCTGTAGATGTCTATTAGGTCCGCTTGGTGCAGAGCTGAGTTCAATTCCTGGATATCCTTGTTAACTTTCTGTCTCATTGATCTGTCTAATGTTGACAGTGGGGTGTTAAGGTCTCCCACTATTGTTGTGTGGGAGTCTAAGTCTCTTTGTAGATCTCTAAGGACTTGCTTTATGAATCTGGCTGCTCCTGTATTGGGTGCATATATGTTTAGGATACTTAGGTCTTCTTGTTGAATTGATCCCTTTATCATTACATAATGGCCTTCTTTGTCTCTTTTGATTTTGTTGGTTTAAAGTCTGTTTTATCAGAGACTAGCATTGCAACCCCTGTCTTTTTTTGTTTTCCATATGCTTGGTAGATCATCCTCCATCCCTTTATTTTGAGCCTATGTGTGTCTCTGCACATGAGATGGGTCTCCTGAATACAGCACACTGATGGGTCTTGACTCTTTATCCAATTTGCCAGTCTGTGTCTTTTAATTGGAGCATTTAGCCCATTTACATTTAAGGTTAATATTGTTATGTGTGAATTTGATCCTGTCATTACAATGTTAGCTGGTTATTTTGCTCATTAGTTGATGCAGTTTCTTCCTAGCATTGATGGTCTTTACAATTTGGCATGTTTTTGCAGTGGCTGGTACTGGTTGTTCCTTTCCATGTTTAGTACTTCCTTCAGGAGCTCTTGTAGAGCAGGCCTGGTGGTGACAAAATCTCTCAACATTTGCTTGTCTGTAAAGGATTTTATTTCTCCTTCACTTATGAAGCTTAGTTTGGCTGGATATGAAATTCTGGGTTGAAAATTCTTTTCTTTAAGAATGTTGAATATTGGCCCCCACTCTCTTCTGGCTTGTAGAGTTTCTGCCGAGAGATCAGCTGTTAGTCTGATGGGCTTCCCTTTGTGGGTAACCCGACCTTTCTCTCTGGTTGCCCTTAACATTTTTTCCTTCATTTCAACTTTGGTGGATCTGACAATTATGTGTCTTGGAGTTGCTCTTCTCGAGGAGTATCTTTGTGGCGTTCTCTGTGTTTCCTGAATTTGAATGTTGGCCTGCCTTGCTAGGTTGGGGAAGTTCTCCTGGATAATATCCTGCAGAGTGTTTTCCAACTTGGTTCCATTTTCCCCGTCACTTTCAGGTACACCAATCAGACATAGATTTGGTCTTTTCACATAGTCCCATATTTCTTGGAGGCTTTGTTCATTTCTTTTCACTTTTTTTTTCTCTAAACTTCTCTTCTTGCTTCATTTCATTCATTTGATCTTTAATCACTGAAACCCTTTCTTCCAGTTGATCAAATTGGCTACTGAAGCTTGTGCATTCGTCACATAGTTCATGTGCCATGGTTTTCAGCTCCATCAGGTCATTTAAGGACTTATCTACACTGGTTATTCTAGTTAGCCATTCATCTACTCTTTTTTCAAGGTTTCATCTTCTTTGTGATGGGTTCAAACTTCCTCCTTCAGCTCAGAGAAGTTTGATCATCTGAAGCCTTCTTCTCTCAATCATCTGAAGCCTTCTTCTCTCAACTCATCAAAGTCATTCTCCATCCAACTTTGTTCCGTTGCTGGCAAGGAGCTGCATTCCTTTGGAGGGGGAGAGGCGCTCTGATTTTTACAATCTTCAGCTTTCCTGCTCTGTTTTTTCCCCATCTTTGTGGTTTCATCTACCTTTGGTCTTTGATGATGGTGACGTACAGGTGGGTTTTTGGTGTGGATGCCCTTTCTGTTTGTTAGTTTTCCTTCTAACAGTCATGACCCTCAGCTGCAGGTCTGTTGGAGTTTGCTGGAGGTCCACTCCACACCCTGTTTGCCTGGGTATCAGCAGCGGAGGCTGCAGAACAGTGAATATTGCTGAACAGCAAATGTTGCTGCCTGATCGTTCCTCTGGAAGCTTCAACTTAGAGGGGTACCCGGCCATGTGAGGTGTCAGTCTGCCCCTACTGGAGGGTGCCTCACAGTTAGGCTACTTGGGGGTCAGGGACCCACTTGAGGAGGCAATCTGTCCCTTCTCAGATCTCAGACTCCGTGCTGGGAGAACCACTACTCTATTCAAAGCTGTCAGACAGGGACATTTAAGTCTGCAGAGGTTTCTGCTGCCTTTTGTTCGACTATGCCCTGCCCCCAGAGGTGGAGTCTACAGAGGCAGGCAGACCTCCTTGAGCTGCGGTGGGGTCCACCCACTTCGAGCTTCCTGGTGACTTTGTTTACCCACTCAAGCCTCAGCAATGGCAGGACGCCCCTCCCCCAGCCTCGCTGCCACCTTGCAGTTCAATCTCAGACTGCTGTACTAGCAATGAGTGAGGCTCCGTGGGTGTGGGACCCTCTGAGCCAGGCGCGGGATATAATCTGGTGTGCCATTTGCTAAGACCGTTGGAAAAGTGCAGTATTAGGGTGGGAGTGACCCGATTTTCCAGTGCCTTCTGTCACTGCTTCCCTTGGCTAGGAAAGGGAATTCCCTGACCCCTTGTGCTTCCCGGGTGAGGCGATGCCTCATCCTGCTTAAGCTCATGCTCGGTGGGCTGCACCCACTGTCCTGCCCCTACTGTCCGACAAGCCCCAGTGAGATGAACCCGGTACGTCCGTTGGAAATGCAGAAATCACCTGTCTTCTGCGTTGCTCATGCTGGGAGCTGTAGACTGGAGCTGTTCCTATTTGGCCGTCTTGGAACCCATTAATACCCTTAATTCCCCCTCCCCCAGTTATGGATATGGCTCCTAAAAATTGGCCTATTGTATATTAACTCATGAATCTGGCAGTTGAGCAGTTAGAAGGACAATTATGTAATAACAGGCAAAACAATTACAAAATGCAATGTCCAAGTGGCATTGTTTTCAATCCAAAGCTGCCTCTCCAAGGACATTCTCACTGTTCAAAAGGGGCTTGAGATGCTATGGTACCAAAATTCCAAAGAGCTGATATTGGTAGAATATAATGGCAAGCATCAGGACTCTGCTTATAGAGTGGATCTCCTCCTTCATTTATTGATCTGTTATCGCAGGTCCTCCCTTTCTGCTTTGAAGAGCCTGGACATGCCCAAGGAAAAGTAGTAGTGGTGGTGAAGGTTTCATTGAAGGTAGTGGAGCCCAAGAAGCTGAAGTGACCTTCAGGGTGTAGCTCTCAGAGAAGTGTCTTACAAAATAATTAAAATATGTTCACTCTCTTCAAGGTATCTTCTAACAGTTCAGGTGAACCAGACCAACTATGATGCAAATAATGGAGTAGGAAGGGATTTTAATTTACTTATAAGACTTACTGGGTATCATGAAAGTTGATCTATCTTCTATAGTACCGTCATCACCTTGCTCATCCTACCACAAATCCTAGCACTTAGAGGGAGCTCAATAAATAAATACTAAATGAATGAACTGGCTTTACACTGTTGCCCTTCCCCATTCATTGAATATAAATTTAACTTTAAGGCTATACAAAACAGACAAACTATTCTTTTTCATTTGAGCCTGTATTGTTATCATCATCAACATGCATTTGATGTTTACTGCTTTCAGATATTACATTCACGTTAAGGGTTTGAAATGAGGGTTAAGTGAAAGATTAAGGGAGTTACAAGCAGCAATAATTCTGATGTTACTACAACCGAAAATAAACACAGACATGAGTGCACACATGTGTGTGTACACACACAGAGGATAGAATATTCAAGTTAATGCTAAGTGTCTGAGATAATGCAGATTGGAATGCAGCCAGCAAAAATGTCATTCTCTGGCTTAATGGAAAGATTAATAAATCAAAACCATGAATTATATATGAAGTCTCACCCAGGATCTGTTATTTTTAGCACAAGAGAGTAACATGATGCTGCAGGTATGGTTTGTGCCAATGCCATAACCTGAGGAGTAAGTGCCAAGAAAAGCAGGGCTGGGATGTCTCAATCAACGAAAGTGGAGACAAAAACTCAGCATCTTCCAGAAGACAGAGACAGCTTTGCTCATGGGCAAAATTGAATGGCAAATGGGATGGAAGGAGTCGTAAGTGTGAGGAAAGGACTTCTTCAGCATACTGATAACTATGCAAATAACTGAACTCGGTCTTCAGTGCATCTCTGCTTGTCAAGTGATGGAAGGTAATGTGCAGCTAGGATTTTAACTTCTCCTGCACTAGAGAAGGCCACCGTTTGAAACAAAAATAAAGGGAGATAATTAGCACTTGACAAAGCTATTGCATGTATGCCGACTCAAGAAACATCCACAGACTTGAGTTAAAGTCCCAAGGTCTGCCACTTACTCGGTGTTGTCTTCAACAAATAATTTAACCTTTAGAAGCCCTGTTTACTTCTCTATAAAATGAGAACAGTTACATCTATTTCATAAGGTTTTGAGAAGGACTCAGTGAAATTACACATGTAAAGTATTTACCATGGTGTCTAGCATATAGCAAGTGCTCATAAATAGTTAATGATTCTCAGAGATAAATATGACAAAAACAAAGAGAAGGGTATGTGTGTGCCCCCACATTAACTTTTAAAATTAAGCATTTTAACTATTTTTATGTGTGCATATATAAAATTTATGGAATAAAACTTATGGGACATGGATTAAAAGGTTTTAGCACATACATTATATAATGATAGAAATCCAGGCCCCACAGATATTAAATAGTTTTGAAACAGCTAGCATGACAATCACATAAGGAAGTTTCCTATTCAATGAAGAGGGAAGACAATTCTGAAATGAGTAAATCTACAAGGTATTATCTCATCACCTCTCCCCTGGCCTTTAGTGCCATAGGTACTAGACCCAGCTAGTAACCCTGCTTACTAATTACCATAATTAAACCTTAATGTTAAGAAGCTGCTATGGTTTGAATGTCTCTTCCAAAACTCATGTTGAAATTTAATTACCATTATAACAGTATTGAGAAGTGGCACCTTTAAGAGGTGTGATTAGGTCACGAGGGCTCTGCCCTCACAAATGAATTAATAATATTATCACAGGAGCATGTTAGTTATGACGGCAGTGGGCTCCTGATTAAAGGATGAAGTTTGGCCCGCATTTTTTCTCTGTCTTGCTTGCCCTAATGACTTCTGCCATGGGATGATGCAGCACAAAGGCCCTCACCAGAGGCTAGTACTATGCTCTTGGACTTCCCAGTTCCAGAACCATGAGAAATAAATGTCTTTTCTTTTTAAATTACCCAGTCTGTGGTAGTCTGTTATAGCAGCACAAAATAGACTAAGACAGAGGCAATTACAAACCAAGTTCCCAGAGACCTACAAAGGGAATATATTAGCAACATCTTTCTACTGGAAGAATACTTATTGACTATTCACCAATATGTAAACTCTAATTATCTCTGGTGGTAGAATACAAGCAATTTTTATTTTTCAACTTTGTTGAGTTTGTTTATCTATAATTTCTAAATTTTCCATTATATATATATTTACTTTTGCATTAAGAAATAAGAAATTAAGTAGTATCTGAAGGAAAGGGAGAAGCAGGAGCCTACAAACTAGAGTTTGACTGCCCCTGTTTTTGTAAATAAAGTTTTATTGGAATACAGCCACACCCCTTTGTTTACATATCATCTATGGCTGTTTTGGTATCACAATGGCAGAGTTGAGTAGTAGCAACAGAGAACCTATGCTCACTAAGTTGGTAATATTTACTATTTGGCTTTTTACAAAGTTTGTTGACCCGAGTTAGTCAGTCCAAAGAAAATTCTCAAATATGGCCTGCCCATTATGAAATATTTATCATATGTCGGTTACTTTCTAACTGTGATGGCTGGAACAAGTCATTTCACTATTAAACTATCTTATTTGTAAAAATAAATAGATCATAATAACAATAACCATCTTTATGGAGTGTTTATGGTACACCAGGCACTTTTCTATGTGCTTTACATAGATTAACTAATTTAGTCCTCATAATAGCCTTGAAACAGATTCTATTATTGTTGCAATATTTCCATGAGGAAACTGAGGCAGTGTGACTCTTACCGTTGGAGCCAGGAGTAGAACCCAGAAAATCTGGGGAGAGGATATCTCAAGACACTTCCTGGGGGAATCTCAGAAATAACTGGGGAAAAATACTTTGCTGGATGCTGTAAGCCCATTCTCACGTATAAATCAATACCTGATATGACAAAAGACAAGTCATATAAGAAAAAAGCCATCCATCTGGAAAGTTTAATGCATTCTCAAATTATTGCCTTCTGTTAGCTATTTTTTTCACCATGATGATAGCATCTCTCGGAGCAAGCCCACTAAGAATTTTCAAGAATGTTTTATGAAGTTACCCTTTAGAGCAATCATCACAGGCCATTAGAAAATCTAGTATCGCCAGGAAAAAGAAAATGCTCAAAAAATTTGAATTTAATTTCCAGGAATTCATAACCACCTTCCCCTAAAATATCCATTGATTCTGAGACATGCATGAACCTAGACTGACAATTCTTGTTTTAGATAACTAAAACACATGTGCAAATGGTATTTCCTACTTACATGGAGCACACAGTATGACTGGGAATCTAAAACATGTTGCACTGCAGCAGACAAAACTTGCTATGAAAATTTCCAAAAAGTTCACATTTATATACACAAAACAGAAAAAGTCAACATTTAAATGTACAGTTTATCACCTTAAAAGGGATGCTGAGGAGGAACAGAGCAGAAAATGATTGCAAATGAGACGGTAAGATCTATTTGAATGACTTCTTACTGTTTGTACAAAGATACATGTGTGCATACACATGCACACAAATCACAAGACAACTTAGCCAAACACGGTGACGGCTTTCCTTTTGTATGATTGTATTCTGGTATGTCTTATAATGACATACATAAGCTTATGCATTTACAAAAGGGCCCTTTCCCTGTAGATTGATACGTTAAAGGTGTTCACATGCTAAGGAAAAAGTTGATTTGCAAACTAAGAAAATTAAGTTAATTTCAAGGCCCACATTTACATGAAGAAGAGAAGTAGAGATGAACCCCACTGCACTCTGCCATACTCAGTTCATTTTGGAGCATTGTGGTGGCTTCTGTCAGTCACACTTTCAAAAGGGCACAGAGCAATTCTCATGTAACGGCATGATAGAGTGAAATGTAGTTATTAAGAATATTTGTGAACACTATTTGCTGTGAGAGAAAGTGTGCATGCTATGAAAATACAAAATCAAGATATGAAGCTTAATGTAGTTGGATCTCTACACCAGTATATAAAAATACAGCTATAGATGGAGATATAGATAAGTAGATGTGTAAACATACATTTATTCACTCACACACACAAAGACTAGAAAATAAGGACCAAAATTTTAAAAATGTTATCTGGGTAATGGAATAATGAGTGATTTTTTCCTTTCTTCATTCCTCCCTTCCTTCATTCCTTTCTTTCTTCCTTTCCTTTCATTCTTTTGAAGTTATATACGGTCCGAATTTTTTATTTTATGTAATAAACATTCATTACTTCTGGAATCAGAAAAGAAGTTAAACCTGGAAAATAAAGACACTGACATACTAGAATGGATCAATATAAGCATCCCCAGGATAATAAAGGGTCAGAATCTTATAAAAAATTTGAAAGATTGTACAGCTTTTATTTTAGAGAAATAAAGGCTTTGGAGAATGAGCTAAGACTCATCATATGCTCTGAAGAGCAACCATGTAGAAGAGGGATTAAACATTATTCCAGGTAGCTTCAGAGAGTAGGACTAGGATCAATTGATAGAAAAGTAAAGAGAGCTTCACTTACCCTCAATAGAGGGGAAAATACTTTCCCAAGATGAAGATGTGCTAAAGACCAGGATAAGGCTTCCTCTCTGTGGAGGCACAGAGCCAGATGCCCCTCGACAGAAACACTCCCAGATACTGGAAGTCCATCTATGGAAACACACATCTCAATGCTAGATGACCATCAATGGATATATATATACCCAAGAACTGAATGGCAACCTATGGAAACACACCCCAGATGCCAGATGAGCATCTACAGAAACACACCCCCTAGATGCCAGACACTCATACGTGGAAGTACACATTCACATGCCAACGACCATACAAAGAGTCACACATCTCGATGCTGGATGTCTTTGCTTCCTACAACCCATCACATGAAGTGACTATAAAGTTTGCTTTTTGTTCTTAAATACGTTTGTAAGAGCTGTGAGATATGTCCTGAAATAATAAGCCACAAAGACAGTAGCCTGTCTTTAGGGACCACAGAGTTTTGTGAACATGAAAAGTTCCTTGGAATCAACAGCACTGGTGACAGCTTCAGAAGAGTTGCACAGGAATGTGCAGCTTGTTTCTTTCAATGCCTTGCTTTTTAGCTTCACAGATGCAGAGGATACTCGTTATCCTCCCTTACAAATGCTCTCCATTAAGAAAGGGGAGAGCTTGAGAGTGGAAAGAGGGAAGCACAAAGAGCGAAAATAGCATTGAAGTATGATAAAGTCTAGAGAACAAGAAGACAGCAACAAATTAATATAAACATAAAAGCTTTTAGAAAACAATAAGTAGCAAATATTTTAAATCAATCTGTGCTCTGGCCTTTGAGGTTTATTCACCTGTTTCAACAGTCAGCTACTTTTTTTTTTTATTTAGATGTTTCAAAAACTGTCCTGTAAAAGGTCAGGATTGTTAGATAGGAGGAAAGAGAAAAACCAAAACAGCTGTGGTATTTATATTGTTATCATCAACTCTCCTAATTAGCTGTGTGACACTGAGGAAGTTAATCTCTCTTAAACTCCACTTTTTCATATATGAAATGAAAATTATGCCTACCTAGGCTGTTGTGAGATTTAAAATCTTCTTATATGTAGGTACTTACTCATTAAATGTTGAATGAATCCTAGCTTTAGTATTATTGCTGTTAAGAACAATTTGTTGGGTCTAGAAAGGAGTAGGCACTAATATTTTCAGAGATTCTATCTAAGATTAGGTTTAAGTATACTAACTCTAAGTTCCACCAAATAGTTGAGCTACAGCTGCCATTGACAAATTTTTTCAGTCAAGGGCCAGACAGTAAATATTTTAGGCTTTGAAGACACACAGTCTCTTGTCACAACTACTCAACTCCAGTGCAGTAGCACAAAAGCAATTCTAGGCAATATGAAAATGAGTGGGCATGGCTGTGTCCCAGTAAAACTTTATTTACAAAAACAAGCCACAGGCCAGATTTGGCTATGGGCAGTAGTTTGTTGGACCTCTGAGTTAGATTGTATTCCCAAATTATAAATGAAGAAACTACTGCTCAGAGTCCTTAAGCAACTTGCCTTAGGCCACACAGCTTATAAGCGGTAGGCCTGGGATTTGAACCATCTGTTTCAGAGCTCATGTTCTTTCCCCTATGTTGAGATGTGTTAATTGGCATAATAACTTTTTCAATAATTTAAAAACAGGATTTATGGTTCAGAAGAGAAATTCTGCTCAACTAAACACACAGTTGTTCCGTAATACAGTGTCCAAATAACTCAAGTAGAACATAGCAAGATTCCAGGGCCCATGCTCATTATAAAATTTATAGTCTCAAAAGGGTTGGCTGGTATTTCAGTGAGAAGCTGGTCTTGCTAAGATCAAGTGGAGAATTATTACATGAATATAAAAAAATTATCTTGTATTTCCTGGAAAACAGTAGTAGACATTTTCTAATTTGGGCTTTGATAACCTAGAGATTTGCCCCAAACATCCAATGTATTGTCAAAGAGGAAAGAACTGAATGATTCTTTACAGAATAACAAATGAGAATAGGAAAATATCCATTCTTCCAATTTATTTATGCTAAGTGTTAATTTCCTTTAAGATGGAGCACAGGTATTATGAAATATTTAGAGCAATAGTTTTTGATTGGGTTGGAAAGAGAAAATGGAGAAAGAGTAACAGTCAACTGGAAATATATATATATATTTTTTTATTATACTTTAAGTTTTAGGGTACATGTGCACAATGTGCAGGTTAGTTACATATGTATACATGTGCCATGCTGGTGCGCTGCACCCACTAACTCGTCATCTAGCATTAGGTATATCTCCCAGTGCTATCCCTCCCCCCTCCCCCCTCCCCCCACCCCACAACAGTCCCCAGAGTGTGATGTTCCCCTTCCTGTGTCCATGTGTTCTCATTGTTCAATTCCCACCTATGAGTGAGTGGAAATTTTTTTATCACAAATATACAGCCCAGCTTTCACCTCTACAACCCCAAGATGCAAAACCCCAAGTGAGGAGAATGACTCAGCATATGTAATTAGGAAGCAAAATAAGGGGAAACAAACATTTCAAGTGATTCTAATTATTCCACCTTCAGATGCATCAGTTAAAGTAGGGTTTCTCCACTTTGTCACCAGTCAGACTTAGATTGGGTAAATCTTTGTTGTGGGTGCTACCCTATGCTTTGTAGGATGCAGCATCCTTTGCCTCTACTCCCAGATGCCAGTAGCATCCCACCCCAAATCATAGCAATTAAAAATGTCTCCAGCCATAGCTAACTATTTCTTTGGGGGCAAAATTGCCCTGGTTGAGAATCAGTGGCAAACATAAACCATCTGATCCTGGCTTTATCCTGCTAGTTTTGGATTATTCAGTCCCCAAACAAAACAAAATAGAGACGGTAAGTCCACATGAGACTTAGTTAGAACATACTTCTTCTGCTTTATTTGACCACGAGGCCACTCATAGCCTCACCTTTTGGTTAATGTGTAGCCATTATTTTGTAGCTTTGAACTCATTGCAAATCTTAAGCACTAACATGCTTTCTTGACATGTTTTTTTATCTTACTAAATATCTTTTGACATTCACTGTAATAGGTTTTATGTCAACATTAATGCTCTACAGATCAACATTTTTTCCATGTTTTTTTTTTTTCTTTTTCTTTCTGTTTTTTACACATTTTAAATGATCCTAGAATTTGCAATAACAATCTTTCAAAACTTATATCACCTTTTGGCTTCCCTAACTAAAATTCAATTACCTGAAATATATAATGAAAGGTAACCAGTCCTCAAACAAATGCCATTCTAGTGTCAATTAAAATATTACCTAGGTCTGGACAACAACAAGTGTTGGCTAAAATGTGCAGATATTGGAACTGTTGTAAATTGCTGGTGGGATAGTAAAATGGTGCAGCCACTTTGGAAAATAGGTTGGCAGTTTCTTAAAAAGTTAAACACAATTGATCATAAGACCCAGCAATTCTACCCTTAGGTATCTAACCAAGAGAAATGGAAACATATATCCACACAAAGACTGGCCAAATGTTCATAACAGCATTACTCATAATAGCCCAAAAGTGGACACAACCCACATGTCCATTAACTAGTGAATAGATTTAAAAAGTTGTATATTCATACAATGCAATATCATTCAGCAATACAAAAGGAACAAAATACTGAAACATGCTACAGCATGGATAAACCTTGAAAATGTTATGCTCAGTGAAAGAAGCCAGACACAAAAGACCATTGCATTATTCCAGTTGCATTGTTCTATTTACATAAAATGTTCAGAATCGCAAATCTATAGAGACAGAAAGTAGATTAGCTAGACCTGGATGTGTAAGCAGGGGATGAGGATGGAGAATAACTGCTAACATGTATTTGGTTTCTTTTGGGGGTCAGAAAATATTCTAAAATTAGATCATTGTGATGGCTGAACAAGTTTGTAAATAAACGGAAAACTATTGAATTGTTCATTTTAAATGAGTGAATTTGTTGATATATAATTTATACCCCATTAAAGCTATTGAAAATATTTGCACAGGTTTAGATGCAATCTTTCCTGAATGAAAATTAAGGTTCACCTACCAGGCTTTAAACTTAATCTGTGAACTTTCACTGGCCTTCCATTCAGCAGGCCTGAATGCAGAGCTGAACAATGAGAGATCTGCTGTTAGATCCTTCCAGTTCTAACATTCTCTGCATTCTCCAAATTACTAAGACTGAGATGTGATATCAAGTTTACAGGTTCTGATTCTATTGCTGCTATGATATGTAATAGAATCACAAATCAATTTAGTTATTTGTATATGGGTATATCAATTACAGGATAATCCTCCATTTCAGTAGAGTGAGTGGTAGCTACTTTCTGGAATATTCAGGTGCATTTAATGTGTTCACACTCCAAAGAGTTTCCATTTCTATTTTGTCCCCAATTCCTTTCACTTTTTTTTTGGTTTAGGCATTGAGTCTAATAGTCCCTGGCTAATGTATACATGTATAGTAAACAAAAATGTGTTTTTGTTTGTTTGTTTTAGAGATGGGGTCTTGCTCTGTCACCCAGGCTGGAGTGCAGTGGCATGATCATAGTTCACTGCAGCCTTGAATTCCTGGGCTCGAGCAATACTCCTGCCTCAGCCTCCTGAGCAGCTAGGACTATAGGTGCACACAACCATGTCCAGCTAATTGTTAAAAAATTTTTTGAGAAATCGGGTCTTGCTATGTTGCCCAGGCTGGCATCAAACTCCTGGGCTCAAGTAACCCTACTGCCCCAGCCTCCTAAAAGCTCTGAGATTATAGGCATGAGCCACTGCACAAAAGTGTTTTGATTAACGGATTTTGATCAAGCTGGAGGGAAAATTCCAGCCACTTCCTACAGGACTATGCTGTTATCAACATCCCTGAAGACACAGACTCCTCATGCAATTTCTTTGTTACTCAAGGATAAGGGGGGAGTAGAAAATATATTGGGTAATAAAGTTAAAACTAAAAAATATTTCAATAAGCTGAAACTAAGTACTGAAACAAACAAAATTAATTAGGAATAGATATAAATGTTCAATAAATACATTCTACATGAATGCAATGGAGGCAACCCAATTCCACAATCACTGATTTAAAAGAAGTCTGTGACTTTTACTTTCAAATAATTTCCATATGAATTGCATATATAATTTATTTTTTAAAAGAATATTATGGTCACGGGCAGCAGTAACAAAATATAGGGTTCAGATGATATTTGGAATATTATACCTGTTTCCGATATAATGTTTTAAGAAGTATATTACAGATCAGTCATTCGGTAACCTTCAATAAATAATTGAGCCATCAGGAACAAAACCATGCTGGGAATATAGAGAAACACAAGAAAATAAGGCCCTTGCCCTTGTGAAGCTTATTAGCTACCCAGAGAAGGCAGGTCTTCAGTCATGGTATGAATCTTACAGAGGGAAAGGCAGAGATCCTGAGATCAGATTAGGGTGGACCAAGCCCAGACATGCTTTCACAGGAAGCAGGATGGAGAGGGGTCTGGAAACACTAAGGCACAACAGAGAGGTCTGAGAATGGATAATCCAGACAAGAGAGAATTGATGGAATGTGGTTGAAGTGTTGTCATGTGCATGAAGAATTAGCCTTCTCTTTGCTGTTCTAGAGGAAGAAATCAGGACCCATAGGGGGACATTACCAGGAGGCAGACTTTCTGTGTGGCTACTTAGAACTTCCTTGGACAACAGGGGAGGTGGCTTAATAAAGTAGTGAGCTCACCAATGCAAAAAGTATCCAAACTGATGACCTTTTTGCTGGACTAGAGCAGAGGTCAGCAAACTTTGTCTGTGAAGGGCCAGGGAGTAAACATTTTAGGCTTTGTGGGCAACATAGTCTCTGTCACAACTACTCAACTGTCATTGTATCAATAAAACAGCCACAGACATATGTAAATAAATGAACATGGTTGTGTTTCAATTGAAATTTATTTAATGGATGCTGAGATTTGAGTTTCATTTAATTTTCACATGTCATGAAATAGTATTTTTTTTTTTTTTTTGAGACAGAGAGTCTTACTCTCACCCAGGCTGGAGTGCAGTGGCATAATCATGGCTCACCACAGCCTCAACCACCCCTGCTCCAGTGATCCTCCCACCACAGCCTCTCGAGTAGCTGGGACCGCAAGCATGTACCACCATGTCCAGCTAATTTTTAAATGTTTTTATAGAGACAGGGTCTCACTACATTACCCAGGGTGGTTTCAAATTCCTGGTCTCAAGCAATCTTCCTGCCTTGGCCTCTCAAAGTGTTAGGACTACAGGGGTGAGCCACTGTGACCAGCCTTTATTTTTATTTCCTTTTCTCAACAATTCTTAGGGCATGGACTATGAAAATATAGACAGTGAGCTGAATTTAGGTCATGAGCCCATGATGCCAATCCCTGGACTAGATGATGGAGTTTGCTTCCAATTCTGTGACTGAGTGAGTAAAACCTGAGTTTGGGTAAAATACATATATGACTTGTCCTTTAAAACTCATCACTCCCTTACCAATAATTATACGTACAGGTAACATGAATTGAGACTGAGGCATAGAGAATGCTTCACAGTAACAAAGTGGTAAACTGGGATTTGAACTCAGAATCACTTTTCCATATATACTTTCAGTTAATGTATGCAACAATGCTAGTAGGTGAGCATGTCGGTCATGTCTGTGTTATCAATGAGAAAACTCAGACACAGAATTGTTAAGTAACTTACCCACACTCACAAGAGTATAAGTGCTGGGATCAAAGTTCAAACGCAGGCAGTCTGACCTAGAAACCATACATTTAACCACACCCTACTGCCTGCTGTGAAGTTGGTGTAACAGATGAGCTGGACACGGCCATAGTTGAAGGTAAAAAGTTGGCAGCCCATGGACTGCAAGTCTGGGAAATGGTGTGGGCACAGCATGGAGCCTCTGGAACTACTGATACAGGATAAATGAGGAAATGCAAGAAGACAGAATGAAAAGGGATCTAGAAAAGCAGGAAAAGTCAACTCTGCCTGTTCCAGAATTTGGTCAAGGAGAGAGCCTTGCTTCAATTTCTCTTCTGTAAGATGAAGGGTAATATTAATATCCACCAGTCTCACCCAAGGGTGTTGAGTTAATTAATTAATGTCAATAAACTGCTTGAGGTCTTAATATGGGAACAAAAAAGTCAAGAACAAGTATAACAGGGCAGCTGATTTGTATTTATTGTTATGTTTATTAAATTGTCACCCTCCTGGTCTTTGAGAGGCTTTATGAATAAGCAGCAGTATATTAATTATTCTCAGAACTATTGCTATCACCTAGAGAAAACCAAGCCTAAATCCCAGAAGACAATGGCCACTGCAAATGAGAAGATTTGGAAAGCCAAAGAATTAGTCTTTGATATATCTTTTCTATTTTTGTCTACCTATAATTCTGTCACAGAAATTATGAAACCAGTTTTAGCTGCTGTGTTGCCTTTTTTCTTTCTAAATAATTGGAGGGTTCTTTTTTTTTTTCATGCAAGTAGTCTTCTAGGTCCTAGGAGGTGCCATGTTGTAGAAAGAAGAGAACTAGACAGATGAGGCAGGAGAGCTGGTCAGACTGAAGCCCCAGCACAGAATTCAAGTAGGACAGTGATTTTTGGTTGCCTCATCCAGGAGGCCTTCCCTGATCTCCAGACTGAGTTGGATATCTCTCCTCTGTACTTCAATAGTACAAAGCATACTTCTGTCATACTACATATGCCTTTTTGAAATTGCTGATTTGCTCATCTGGCAGACTGGTGATGTCCTCAGCAAGACTTTTTTTTTTTTTTTTGTCTTGGTTTTGTCTGCAACTACTAGAAAGCTAGGCAGACTTTGGACTCCTAGCATCCTTAACATCAAATAATAATAAACAGTAAACTGTTCTTGGTTTTCTCATCAGTAAAATGAGAGAACAGGATGAGATGGTCATTAATGCCTCTTCTTGCCTTGAGATTTGGATAAAGACAACTCTTCTAACCCCCAAGTAGACTCTCATACATGTGGTTATTCTCTGGCTTGGGGGAAAAGGAGGGAAGGGAATCTCAAGGGAGAAAGAAATTTATATGACTAGACCCTTCTTCCTGTAGAATGGACACTCTCTTCTCAACTCTGCATCCAGAGGATTCCATTTTCAAACAATGCAGCTCTTCTAATTCCCTTGCTCATAACCCTCTAAATGATTCCCTATCTTGCCCAAAGGAAAAGCCACAATCTTCCCCACATTCTATGGACACTGTACTGTCTGGGCAGTTCCCCACTTACCTCTTTAATTTCCATCCTTACCTGACTCCAGTCCAGCCACACAAGTCTCCTTACCACTCCTACAATTAAGCATGTATCTTCCAACCTCAAGGTCTATGCCCTTGTGGTTCCCTCTTTCTAGAACTTTTCCCCCTAGATATCTTGATTACTTGCTCTCTCACCTCTTTCAAATCTGCCAGTAACCTTCACAGGCAGACCTATTCTAACCACCTCATTGACAATCTGGAGTCTCCCTTCCAGCACTTCCCATTCCCTTTGCTGATTTATTTTTCTCCAGAGTGCATGTTACTTTCCATCATACTGTAGAAGTCACTTTTACTTTATAGGGTCTTGGAGTTGAGGCTTTTGTCTGACCTGATCACTACTGTGTCCCAATACTTAGGTGATTGACAGGCATGCAGCATGGGGCTCAGTAATGTTCGTTGGATGAATGAACACAACTAAGGCATCATGATGAGAATGGGAATGAGGTTTGGCACATGAGCCTCAAGCTCCATTGCTTTTCCTGATGGGCCTTTTGGCTACTACTCTAATCTCATATTCATAGCCTCCTCCAGCACCACATTTGTTGTGCTCTGCCAGTTCTCTTTCTCTTTTCAACCTCTGTCCACTGGTTACTTCCTTTCAGGACAATGGGAGCTCCATCTCAAGGCAGACTAGGCAGGAGGTAACGCAATGGAAAGGGAAAATATCTGCATGCAAAAGCTATTATCAACAGGGAAGGCATGGGGTTGACCATTGACCTTATTTCCTGATGTGGAAAACGAGGAAAACATCAAAGTTTCAGTCCAAGATCCTCACAAAAACTATTTTTTGAGCTAATTATGGTTAGAGAAGCAATTTTACAAATAAAACTTAAATATATGTCTATCAATCTCTCCTAGCATAACTGGTGTTCATGGAGGCTGTCCAGAATGTGAAGTCCTATGTCTATGTTTATGTCCAATGATAGAATTCATTATAAGAAGAAAGAGGCAGCAGGGTAGAATGGAAAGATCCAGGTTTTGGATGTAGGCACTTATATTCCTTCATATGAACAGGCAAAATCATAATATCTACTTTATGAATTTATTTTTGAATAAAATGGGATATTTTAAGATATTATATGTACAATTACCCAGCCCATAATGGGTGCTCAGTAGATGCCAGCTGCCACCACCACCACCATAATCATCGTTGTTGTTATTTGGAAGTGTTGAGCTACCTAGGAGGCAGTAAGAGGAGTACCATCATTCTGAGAGAAATAGAGAAGAGGGGGCACTCTACAGGTTGGAAAATGAATCTAATTCAACTGGTCCAAGGTTTCTCACTCTTGGCATAATTAACATTGGGACCATATAATCCTTTACTGTGGGGATACCCTGCATATTGTAGGATGTTTAACATCATCCATGGCCTTTACACATCAGATGCTGAAGCAACCTTCCCAATTGTGGTAAATAAAAAATGTCTCTAGACACTACCAAAGGCCCCTGGGAGATACAATCACCCCAGAATGAGAACCACTGATGTCTGACCAGGAAACAGGAAATAGAATATAGTAAAAAAGAAGACCTTACTTAAATCCTCTGCATGCATAAGGGGAAATATATCATTCTGTTTTAGATCAGGGATAGGAAAACCATGGCCAATAGGTCAAATCTAGCCCATTGTTTATGTAAAATAAGATTTTATCAAAACATAGACATGCTCATTTATTCACATATTGTTTATGGCTGCTTTCTTATTTCCTATTACAGTGGCAGAGTTGAGAAGTTGTTACAGAGATTGTATAGTCCACCAAGCCTGAAATATTTGTTATCTGGCCCTTCTCAGACAAAGTTTGTTGCTCCTTGGTTTATGGCATAGAATCTGGAGGCAGACTGCTTTTTTTTAAAATCCTAGTTCAGCTGCTTATCACTGATACAATTTGCAGCAATGTCCTTGAAGCTCCTGGTGCCTCAGCTTCTCGATCTGCCAGTAAGGCTGATAATAATAGTGCCAATTCATAGTCATTATGAGGATTAAACGAATAAAGACATGTGATGTGATGTGCTCAGAACAGTCCCTGGAATGTTGTTGTAGGCACATTTGTAGGTACTTGTTCAGCAAAATAAAAGTGTTTGCCATTCTAATACTCTCCAAGGGGAAACAAAGGAAAAATTGTGAACTTACTTCTTAGAAGACTGAGCTATATATAAAAAAAGCTTCCCAAAGAAGAAAAAACTCTTTCATGCTTAATAAACTAATTAGTCTCTCTCCTCCAATCATCCCTTACTAATATTTGATGTGTTAGTTTCAAAGAAAGAAGATGAGAATAAAATGCCTTTGAAAAATATGAGTTTAAAGTATCCGATCAAAAATCCAAGAGGAGAAAAAGAAATTTGCAGTAAAACTGATATGGGCTTTATGTACTTTCTGGCCATTTCAGATCAAGCTTTCTTTTTTCATTGTCTCTTTCCTTATCTCGTTTTTAAACTCTTATAAAGGAAGGGCTTCCAGGTAATAATGAACATTTATGTGTGCTTGGCTGTGTATACATCCCCTTCACAAATCCCCCATTCTGACTAGCCCAGGAGCCTCACTGTATCGGAAAAAAGTGGAGTCTTACCTGTCCCTCAGCATTTGCTCAGGCTGTTTCTGCTTGTATTAGTTTGTTTCCACATTGCTATAAAGAAATACCTGAGATTGGGCAATTTAAAAATAAAATAGGCTTAATTGGCTCACAGTTCTGCAGACTGTGCAGGAAGCATGATGCTGGCATCTGTTTGGCTTCTGGGGAGGCCTCAGGAAACTTACAATCCTGGCAGAAGGCAAAAGGGGAGCAGGCACTTTACGTGGCCAGAGCAGGAGCAAGAGAGAGAGGTGGGGAGATGCCACACACTTTTAAAAGACCAGATATCATAAGAACTGAGTATTATGAGAACTATATCAAGGGGATGATACTAAACCATTCATGAGAAATCCACCCCCAAGATTCAATCACCTCCCACCAGGCCTCACCTCCAATTTTGGCGATTACAATTCAACATGAGATTTGTTCAGAGACACAGGTCCAAACCATATCACTGTTTCTCCAATTCTTATCTATTCTCCAGGTATCAGCTTAGATACTTCTTTTCCTGTGGCCCTTGTTATGTTCTCCAGACTACTTCTTCAAATTCCTGTAGTACTCAAAGGACTTCACCTCTCAACAGGCACTTCATCCCACACTCACTTGCAGCTGTTACTCAACTGCCACTCAGGTGGTTGCCTGGTTTCCCAACCAAACTGTAAATGACTTATCATAAGGACCTTAACTTAGGCTTCTCACATGTATCTCTTGTTGCACTATGCCCAGAGAGGAAGCTCTTAGTAGACACCAAACACATTCATTAATGAAAAACTTCATTGGTTGACACTATCCATCTATTTAATAAAAGACTCATTATATCTATAGGTAATATGTATATATATAGACATAGATATATAGAGATAGATAATTGTACAAATCAATGAAAAAGCAAACAACCACATAGTTAAATGGATGAAAGACTTGAACAGACACTCCACAAATGTTTATCCAAATGGCCAACGAACATATGAAAAGATACTCAACTACATTAGTTATCAGGGCAATATAAATTAAAACCTGGTGCTGATATCAGTACACACCCACCAGCATGGTTAAATTGAAAAAGATGTAGAGCAAAGAGTAGAGCAACTGGAATTCTGACACACAATTGATGGGACTACAGATCAATAGAATCATTTTGGGCAACTGATTTGAAAAGTGATTAGCAATATCTACAAATTCCCAACATAAGCACATTCTGTGACTCAGCAATTCCACTCCTTGGTTTACTCTCCATAGAAATGCATATATATGTCCATTAAAAGGAAGACACTAGAACCTTCCTGGCAACACCATTCATAGTAGCCCAAATCTGGAAACCACCTAAATGCTGATTGACAGTACAAGAAATAAAGAAACATCTATATTCTTTTAATGAAATGTGACACCAAAATGAAAATGAATGATTACAATTATCTGATCAATATGGATGAATTTCACAAACATAATATTGAGTCAAGGAAGCCAGACAGAAAAGGGCACATAGCATTTATATATAGCATATATAGTACAAAACCTGGTGAAACAAACCTATGCTGTGAGACATTAAGACAGTGGTTATTCTTATGGAGAGGAGTATGACAGCCTTCTCAGGAAAGACTGCTAATGTTCTACATTTTTCATCTGAATGTTGGTTATATGGGTGTGTTCAATCTGTGAAAATTCATTGAGTTGTGCAATCAAAATATGTGTCCTTTTCTATATGTAGACTATTCTTCAATATAAAGTTAAAACTATTTTGGTTGATTTAACTGACAGGAAAAAGGAGCAAATTAGCAACATTCTCCCTTATTTCCAGGTAGTGCTTTCTGTTTTATACATAGTATGTAAGTAACAAAAGTTACTATTCCCTGGGGACAGAAATCCATAATGAAAGAACAGCTGTTCTACTCAGACTGTCACGAAAACCCTTCAATTCTCCAGCACCAGTTCACCACCTCTAGTCTTTTGGTAAACACACTGGAACATGCCATTCTTTACACAGAGCTTGGAGCACTTGAAAACTGCAAAGGACTTCATTTTACAGGCAAGAAAATAGACCCTAGAAGTCAAGTTGCTGGTCTGAGACCACACCACCAATTCCGAGTTGAGGTGTGCAATGGACTGAATGTTTATGCTCCTGCTGTTCATATGTTGAAATCCCAACTCCTAAGAATTGAGAGGTGATTAGGTCATGAGGGCAGAGCCCTCATGAATGGGATTAGTGTTCTTATAAAAGAGGTCTCAGAGATCTTGTTCACCTCTTTCACGGTGTGAAGACATGGGGAGAAGTTTCCATTTATGAACCAGGAAGTGAGCCCTCACCAGCCACAGAATCTCCTGGTGACCTGATCTTGGACTTCCCAGCCTCCAGAACTTTGAGAAATAAGGTTGCTGTTCAGAAGCTGCCAGTTTATTTTGCATGGTATTTTGTGATAGTAGCCTAAACACAATAAGACAAGATGGGAACGTGAGCCCAGGACCCATGACTCTCACCTGCACTTCTGCCTCCTCTGTCTGCAAGGAATTAACAAAGCTCCCTGGGACAGGTCCAGAGTTTACACCCTTCAGGGGCTGCTAATCATCCTTGCAGCACAAAAAATGTATACGCCTGCAGCAAAGGCACCAAGAATTCTCCACCAACACACTTGTCTATGAAATCTTAACAGGAATCTAATAGGAGAAGACATGCTTATTAATTTTCTTTGGGGCCAATTGTTCCCTTCAAACTATATGTATGTGGTAATTTCTGCAGCTGAACAGCAGAATCATAACCTAGTACTTGGTTAGTAATTATACAGAACATTGTATTATACAGTTGTTACATGCTTTGGGGGGAAGAAAGAAAAAAACCCTAAACGTATCAATCCTTTGCCTTGTCATTTGAAGGCAAATAATATAACTATATTTGTATTCAAGGAAAACATGTTTAATGATATGAGTATTTTTTGTTTCTCCTTGAACAAGACTTTTGTACCTCTTTCTGCTTAGTGCATACTGGTGCCAGAAAGAGGGGAAGCTAAAAAAGAGGCCAAAGTATTACATAACCCAGCTTGGGTAAACAGACCTGTCTACCTGGGAGGCTTCCTGAATCTTGATGCTGACCCTGGGTGATATCAACAAAGAGCAAGGAATTCTAAGAGGAGGGCACTGAGTGCATAAACCTGTATGTCAAGTACAGGCTGGCGAGCAGGAAGGAATTGAGCCTGATTAGGAATGGAGGAAATAGGCTTGGAAAGTCTGTTGCCACCACATTTTAAACTTCTCTCTTTGACTTTCCCCTAGAACTCTTAGCCCCCATTCCTCTCCCACCCCCAACCTTAGGCCTTTGGTATTCTTGGTGGACACACCCTAAGGTCACCCCAGTGAGTTACAGCCTTCTATAATCCCCTCCCCTTGAGTATAAGTGAGACCTGGGACTTGTTTCTAATCCACAGAAGATGGTGAAGGTGCTGGGGTGTCGTGTTAGACTCTATCTCAGCAGGTTGGAGTGAGAGACTCTCCCTTGGGGCCTGGAAGTGAGCTGCCCTCTTGTGAGAGGGCCTCTGTCAGAGAGGCCTGTGAAAGGGGAACATGGCAAGGAATGCAAGTGGTCTCTGTGAGTAGCTCAAGCTGACAGCCAGCAAGAGAGTGGGGACCTCAGTCTTATAGTACCAAGAAACAGTTCTGCCTACAACCAGGTGAACTTGGGTGATGGCCCCAGGAAAGGAACACAGCCCAGACACCACCTTCGCTGCAGCCATGTGAGGTGCTGAGCAGAAGATCCAGCTCAGCCCTGCCTGGACTTCTGACCCATGGAAACTGGAGGATCATAAATGTGTGTTGTTTTAAGCAACTATGGTTTTGGTAACTTGTGAGGCAGCAACAGAAAATGAATAGAGTGTTCTCAGGACCAGCCTAGCTTTGCAGGGCCCTCCACGTCACATCCCACCCGGACTTCCTCACCTTGCCCCATCTTTGAAAGAGAGGCACTCTTGTCACCCTATTCCTTAAGCACCCAAATTCTCTCATTTCTCCAGAGTCTTAAAGAGAATTGCCTATTACTCTCTGATAGATTAAACATTAATGACCCAGTCACATATCCATTCCAGGAATATAAACTTTTTTTGGAATTATAAACTTTTAAATAGAAAGCCTCGATATTTTTTCAGATGTGTTCTTTGAGTTATTAGTTGCTATAGAGAAAACAACAACAACAACAAAACAGTTTCAGAGTCAAATATGTTTGGGAAATGGTGAGTAATGCAAAATTAAGCAAGTTCCTTTATTACAGATGTTTTAGAGCCTTCAACACTCTAAAGAAATTTGTATACCCACAAGAAGAAGGTAAGTACACAGCATTTCTATAACATTTAACTACAGAACCATTTCCTCCCTCTGCCTACATTTTAGTGTGTGTGCTTTTGTGTGCATGTAAAATCTCACAGGATATATCCCCAAAAGCATTCACACACACACACACACACACACATACACACACACGCACACAGACACAGGCAGATATGCAAATGACTAGAAAATACTCAAATATAATGCTGTCTATAAATGGTAGTAGTTATATCAATCATTATTATATAATAGGTTTAAGAGTGTTTTTCTTCTATAACTTTTATTGTTTGAAAATAATTTTTAAAAGATAAAAAATAGGCAGAACAGCCAGCATGTATCTGTCCAATCTCAGAATTTTTTTTTGAGACAGAATTTTGCTCTGTTGCCCATGCTGGAGTACAGTGGTGCAATCACAGTTCACCACAGCCTCAACCTCTTGGGCTTCAGTGATCCTCCCACCTCAGCCTCCCAAATAGCTGGGACTACAGGTGCACACCACCCCTGGCTAATTTTTATATTTTTTGTAGAGATGGGATCTCACTATGTTGCCCAGGCTGGTCTTGAGCTCCTGGGCTCAAATAAGCCTCCTGCCTCAGTCTCCCAAAGTGCTGGGATTACAGGCACGAGAAATCATGCCCACATGTCCAGCATCCAGAATTTTTTAATTTTAATTTTAATTCACTAATTTCTTTAAGAGACAGGGTCTTGCTCTGTTGACCAGGCTGGAGTGCAGTGGTACAATCATAGTTCATTGCAGCCTCAAACTTCTGAGCTCAAGAGATCCTCCCACCCACCTCAGCCTCCAGAGTAGCTGGGACTATAGGTATGAGACACTGCATCTAGCTATTTTTTTAAAAAAATTCATTAAGGGGTATTATTCATAATACAATCAGATCAATTAATGTTTTTCAGTATTCAAAAGATACTCACAGGTTTCTATAAAACATAAGCCCTCTCAGACATTTAAATTATATTTTAATTTTACAAAATAGAAATACACATGTTTAGTGCAGTAATTGCCGTATGGTAGATCCACATGAAGACTTTAATTCAACTCTTTGAAGTCACATTTACTGAATAAAATTGCCATCTGGTGGTATATCTGCTATTATGGGGCATTAGTAAACACCATTATGAGAGTTAATTGTTTAATTGAGATTAGTATCTATCTTGTGATTTCTTTTATTCCCAGCACTGAGTTTTAAATATACTGGGTTGAGACTATAGGCATTTTATCCATGCTGTTTTTTATTTTCTATTCTTCCATTATTTCTGATCCCCTGATGATATCCAAACAACTGTCTTTTCCCCAACACTTTTCTCGCTCTACCAAAATTTAAAATGTCACATTAGAGTTTGTCTGAAGGCTTTTATGTCGTCAATGTGCATATTCTCCTGTCCAAATCCATGTGCCATCAAATCTTCCATACACAAGGGGATCTCGCTCTTAAGTAATTGGTCTTTCCAAAGCTTCCAACCAATGTGGCTTCTTTCTTCTGGAATTTTCCTATGTAAGAAGATGCTTTTAATTATCAATTATACCATTCTGCTTTTATTCACAGAGAAGAGGCAAGAAATTTCAAAATCCATGCTTATTTGTTGTCCTACTATGTTGGAAAATGTTCATTATTTTAAATAATGACCCACCAAAGATTTTGGCTTTATTTTGATAATCAGAAATAAGATTCTTAATACTAACATCAGAAATTCTCCATCACTCCTACAGAGCACCCAAATTATTTGAATATTCCATCTGTTTACTCATTCTGAAATATAAGTGTATTAGTTTTTTTTTCACATTGCTGACAAAGACATACCCAAAACTGGGAATAAAAAGAGGTTTAATCGGACTTACAGTTCCACATGGCTGGGGAGGCCTCAGAATCATGGCAGGAGGCAAAAGGCACTTCTTACATGGTGGCAGCAAGAGAAAAATTAGGAAGAAGCAAAAGCGGAAACCCCTGATAAACCCATCAGATCTTGTGAGAGTTATTCATTATCATGAGAATAGCACAGGAAAGACCAGCCCCCATGATTCAATTACCCCCCCCCCCACTGGGTCCCTCCCATAACACATGAGAATTTTGGGAGATACAATTCAAGTTGAGATTTGGGTGGGGACACAGCCAAACCATATCATTCTGCCCCCTGGCCCCTCCAAATCTCATGTCCTTACATTTCAAAAGCAATCACGCCTTCCCAACAGTCCCCCAAAGTCTTAACTCATTTCAGCATTAACTAAAAGTTGACAGTCCAAAGTCTCATCTGAGACAAGGCAAGTCCCTTCCACCTATGAGCCTGTAAAATCAAAAGCAAGCTAGTTACTTCCTAGATACAATGGGGGTACAGGCATTTGATACATACAGCTGTTCCAAATGGGAGAAATTCGCCAAAACAAAGGGGTTACAGGGCTCATGCAAGTCTGAAATCCAGTGGGACAGTCAAATTTTAAAGCTCCAAAATGATCTCCTTTGACTCCAGGTCTCACATCCAGGTCATTCAGATGCAAGAGGTGGGTTCCCATGGTCTTGGGCAGCCGCCCCTGTGGCTTTGCAGGGTACAGCCTCTCTCCTGGCTGCTTTCACAGGCTGGCATTGAGTGTCTATGGCTTTTCCAGGCACACAGTACAAACTGCCAGTGGATCTACCATTCTGGGGTCTGGAGGATGATGGCCTTCTTCTCATAGCTCCACTAGGCAGTACCCCAGTAGGGACTCTGTTTGGGGGCTCTGACCCCACATTTCCCTTCCACACTGCCCTAGCAGATGTTCTCCATGAGGGCCCCCACCTCTGCAGCAAACTTTTGCCTGGGCATCCAGGCATTTCCATACATCTTCTGAAATCTAGGCGGAGGTTCCCAAACCTCAATTCTTGACTTCTGTGTACCTGCAAGCTCAACACCACATGGAAGCTGCCAAGGCTTGGGGCTTGCACCCTCTGAAGCCACATCCCAAGCTCTACATTAGCCCCTTTCAGCCATGGCTGGAGTGGCTGGGACGCAGGGCACCAAGTCCCTAGGCTGCACGCAGCATGGGAACCCTGGGCCTGGCCCATGAAACCACTTTTTCCTCCTGGGCCTCCAGGCCTGTGATGGGAGGGGATGCCATGAAGGTCTCTCACATGGCCTGGAGACATTTTCCCCATGGTCTTGAGAATTAACATTAGGCTCCTTGGTACTTATGCAAATTTCTGTAGCCAGCTTGAATGTCTCCTCAAAAAATGGGTTTTTCATTTCTACTGCATCATCAGGCTGCAAATTTTCTGAATTTTTATGCTCAATTTCCCTTTTAAAATGGATTGCTTTTAACAGCACCCAAGTTACCTTTTGAATGCTTTGCTGCTTATAAATTTCTTCTGCCAGATACCCTAAATCATCTCTCTCAATTTCAAAGTTCCACCAATCTCTAGGGCAGGGGGAAAATGCCGCTAGTCTCTTTGCTAAAACATAGCAAGAGTCATCTTTGCTCTAGTTCCCAAGTTCCTCATCTTCATCTGAGACCACCTCATCCTGGACCTTATTGTTCATATCACTATCAATATTTTTGTCAAAGCCATTCAATAAGTGTCTAGGAGGTTCCAAACTTTTCCACATTTTCCTGTCTTCTTCTGAGCCCTCCAAATTGTTCCAACCTCTGCCTGTTACCCAGTTCCAAAGTCACTTCCACATTTTTGGGTATCTTTTCAGCAATACCCCACTTCTAGTACCAATTTACTGTATTAGCTCATTTTCATTCTCCTGATAAAGACATCCCCAAAACTGGGAACAAAAACAGGTTTAATTGGACTTACAGTTCCACATGGCTGGGGAGGCCTCAGAATCATGGCAAGAGGCAAAAGGCACTTCTTACATGGTAGTAGCAAGAGAAAAATGAGGAAGAAGCAAAAGTGGAAACCCCTGATAAACCCATCAGATCTCATCAGACTTATTCACTATCATGAGAATAGCACAGGAAAGACCAGCCCCCATGATTCAATTACATCCCCCTGGTCTTTCCCACAACATGTGGAAATTCTGGGAGATACAATTCAAGTTGAGATTTGGGTCATGACACAGCCAAACCATATCAATAAGCCTTTTGCAAAAAGAAAGGTGCTTCAGAATGCACATATACACACAACCACAGAGAAACACAATTCGACATTTTCAAAGACACAATAAACAAGGAATTAATTGCATCTCATATTATAATTTTATTTGGGTAAATATCTCATTTTGCTTTAACAGTTTATCAGTCTCCTATAGAAAATGACTTGTGTTTGACACTTGAAAGGAAAGAAAACTAAAAATATTGTCAATCGGGCTACATCAGATAATTTCAAAAGTATAACTCACTGACTGTCTGAATAATGTCACAGTGAGGGGAAAAATATTTATGGTGGCTCACTCCTCACATCATAAATTTCATAGGAATGAGGAAATTCATTTCATACAGAGCAGAGAATACTGATGAAATTTTCTAAGGTAGGAGCTGTCAATTTTGGTGCCATTAGGGAATTTCAAAGGTAATAAAAACATGAAAAGCACAACTCCTGAAAGGGTGGATGGCCATATATTTCTCCCTCCCCATTGGAATCTAAAATCATACCAAAAGAATTAAATAGAAGAAACTAGTATTCTAAAAGCAGTGATCTAAGTGTCATTCAGGGTGGGAAAGGTTTCAGTCAGCCTTGTTGTTCCTTATCAGCCTGTTACTAGATCTACAAACTTCCTTTCTCTCTGTTAAGTACATAGAGTATGTAAGACTCTATGGTCAAAGTCATGGCTGAGAAAGAAGTCATAAAAAAGAGAAACATCGAGTCATGACAAGTTCACCACTGATAAAACCATGACCTGAAAATCACCTGATGAAGACTGCTTTGCTCATATTAAACTGTAAGTAAGTAAATATATTGGCAGCCCTCCCACAGTGTAGCTTATGGGAAAATGTGAGTTGAAAAAAGAAAGATACTATTAGCCTAGAGGGAAGGAAAATGTTGTCAGCATTAACCTCAACCCAATTATAACACACAGGTTATATCTACAACCAAGATAAAAATAAATGCAACAAAGGAACGCTTATTATCATTCTCTGTGGTCTTAGCATATGAGGGGCCAGGGTTTCCTGCTGGGCAGCAGGTTGTAGTAAACCATAGTCTAGTCTTTGGGTCATGTGCTCTGTACTAGGTGATTTAGCTCATGAAAAGAACCAATTTGCAAAAGCAAGGAAAGATTTGCTGTGATAAAGTTTCCTGTAGGTAGCTTTAAATAAGCAGCCATTTAAATGGGAGGAAAGGCAAACAAATAGGTAAATAATTCACACTAGTTAAGTCTGGCACATTTTGGGGGAAGGTAATAAAATACAATATTGATGCCTTTATAAAGAAATAATTCAGCTTTTACATGGTTTAGCAGAGTTGCTGAAGAAACATATGACAGTATTGCATTGACCTTCTTCAGTTACCTAAAAAAGCAGCTGTAATCACTACTGAAAGAGACATGCTCATAAATTCTCTCTGAATTATAATTCCCAGATAATCACATAATACATAATTTCTAGAACCCTAGATGCTTCCTCTTATTTTTCTCCTAGGAATAACTGTCTTCTGTTCCTTCTACAGGTGCTGATATTTTCTTATGGTTTCAAGGTAGACTGTGTTTTTATTTTTTTGCTTCCAAGTTTTAGAAGTTCTACTGAGAGCTTTGTGTCTAGTTAAATGTCTTCTCACAGAAATCCACAGGCTTTTTCTCCTCACTTAAAATTTGCCAGGAGAAAAACCACCTCTAGCTGAGGGATGTAAGCCAAAAACAAGAGCACTCCCTGGTGGACATATGTGGTGATACCACCTAAATAGAAACATGGACCACTTTTTCACCAGGCTGTCAAGAAGAGGTGATTAGAAGGAGGACCACATATGTTATCGTCCAAACCAGAAAGCTTTTGAGAGTGAATGAAGATTTTGAAAATAATGACACCAGGAAAACAAGTGTAAACCAAGACTGCAATGTAAAACCATTTTAGGTATGAAACTTAGAAATAGTGAATCTATCCCTGGGTAATCAAAGTAAAGCAAGAAAAAGAATTTGCTAACTTATTATGGAGGGAAAAGTGGAGAGCCACAGAGTTGGCAAATAATGCTATCATCCTCTCCTCTCTTCATTCTATCTGCACTCAGAGAAAGAAGCGTGTTACTGATTAGAAGGATCTGATCTCTAAGAGTTTCCAAAAGTAACTGGCTCAGCAACAATTTTCAAAATGTAAAAACTTAATTTCTACACAAATGTGTTAATGATCCAAATGGCACATTAAGATGTATCCTTAATTTTACTTTTTATTTAAAGCCTAGAATGTAAAGAGACATTCATGTTTTTAGCCAGTTTATATTGTAGCAATAGATTATTAATAGGTCTCTATTTTAAGACCTTGGTTGCAGAATATATTTCAGTTAACGCTGCCAATAGCAGAATGACTTAAATAGGTAGGTCTAAGACTGCAGATGTTTACAAAATAAATGAAATCATCAGGTTATGAGTATAGCACTGGCAGGACCTAATACTACCTTGGCTTAGAGAAAAATATTACATAATGAAACAAAATAAATGGAAATAATCTTTCATGAGTGCCAGTACTTTAGATTTATGGGGTCATCTATACAAATTGCAATTTCTAATAGATTGCCAAACATGTGTCTGAGGACTTTCATTTCCAGTTGTGTACATTTTATTATTGGAAGGGCTAAAAAATAAAGTCTTAAAGTGTAAAAATGGGGACATAAACCTTTGGAAATGGATCTTGTGTACAGATTCATTAAAATAACTGTATCTTTCATCTGAGTTTTTATTAATGTTTAATTATATAAGTTGCAAAACTTCATTCTTTTTTAGTTAAATGTCCTGAGACTGTCAATGGTAAATAGATATTTCAACTACTAGGTACATTGTTGGTGTGGGGGGAGGGGGCGGCGGTGGAGAATTTCAATAAACATAGAGAACTTTTCAAATCAAATAAAAGTATGGCTTCTGGTGCTACAATACCATTATTCTACCATTATTTTATAGAAATGTGTAAAATATACATATTTTACAGATGAGGTGACCTGAGCATACAGAAATTATGGTCCAAATTAGGACTGGAACCCTTTAAACCCTAGTAGGCTGCCTGAAACCAGTTCTAAATTTCCAATTGCCTTAGATCATCAGTTGTAATGCAGTGGGAGACTCACAGCTGTGTTCATACCAATTTCACCCTAATTATGTTTCCATGAAATTACACTGCATGGATTTTACTGCAATCAAGAGACGCCCACTGTCTCCTTAATGGAAACCTGGGGAAAGACCCTGGCTTAGTGGATCTCAATTGAGGTTGATTATGCACCCCCACTTACCAAGCGACACTTTCCAGTGTCTGGAGACATTTTTAGTTGATACAACCAGAAAGGTGAGGAGTGCTACTGGTATGTGGTGTGCAGAGGCCAGGGGTGTTACTAAACATCCTACAATGCGCAGGGTAGTGCTCCACCACAAAGAATTATACAGATTCAAATGTCAATAATGTTGAGGTTGAGAAATACTGTCCTAGACATTAGTACTGTGTTTCTAAGTGATTTCTTAGGATGGAATCTGACACTTGATAATTAAACCAACCAAATTGACGTTAATGCTTATGGACTGTAAAATCAGATACCTTTACAATTATTTTCTTGATTGTGGAAATGTACTGCATCTAGAACTTGATGTTCCCTATTCAGAGGGTTGCAGAGTCTTTAGAAGGTGTTTGTGGTACAAGAAGAGAGGCAATAAATTCTGAGAGGCTCTGCTAAGAAGAAATGGCCAGTTTCATTCTTCATACCCCAAGGTGACCTGCAATGAATCCATTCTTGTAGAATCCCTTCCCCTTGAGTGTGGATGCTTCTAACCAATAGACAATGGAAAAGTTGCTGGGATGCTATTCGCATTATTATATTACATAATATAAGACTTCGCCTTAAAACACTAGAATGAGAAATTATCCTGCTGGCCTTCAAGAAGTGAGCTATCATGTTGTGAACTGCCTATGGAATAAGCCACATTTCTTGAAACCGTGGGAATCATCTAGGACCTGAAGACAGTCTCCATCTGACAGCTAGTGAGAAACCAAGGACTTTGGTTCTACGACCTCAAGGAGATGACTTCTCCCAACGGCCTGAGGGAACTTGGAGGAAGATCTTTCTCCAGTCTGGCTACAGGTGACTGTAGCCCTGGCTGACACCAGCATTGCAGGCATGTGAGGTCTTGAGCAGAGGACCTAGCTAAGCTGTGCTCAAACATGAGCCACAGAAACTGTAAAATAATGTGTGTTGCTTTAAGCCACTAAAATTGCAGTAATTTGTTATACAGCAACAGTGAATGAACACCCCATGGAGGAGCAGTGATTATGGCACTAAAGGAAAAGTGTGGAGCCATGTAATACTCTTCTTTATTGGCTGGACTTCCTGAGAGAGAGAGAGAGAGAGAAGTCTGCAGGTGATGCTTGGGGCGAGGAACAGCATAAAATGGTATCTAGAGACCAACTGGCAGCAGTGCATCAAAGAGAACTATGTATAGAAAATTCCACACGGTGTCAACAAACAGAAGTCTGGAAAGCCTCTAGATTTCACCCTTACCCACTTTCTCTGCAAAGTGGACAGGTCAGCCCTAAGTGGGTGAAAATATGAGAGATGCTTTTCCATTAGAAATGGCATGCCTTGGCCTGACACATAATACCCCTGGTGCACGAGTTTCATCAGTTCGGGAAGGAAATGTCAAGAAGGTGGATTTCTCTGTTTCCAGCTCAAAGCCCCACACTCCCTTCCTTGTGCCATTAGGAACCGAGGGACTGAATATAGTCTAATAGCAGTAATGCCCAGCCCTCCATCTAGGGTTCCAAGAGCAAGATTCAAAGAGAGGTCAGATGAAATAAAAAGATTCTGTCATTGCTACCTACTGGGAAGACAAGCAGAACAGTCCCAATTCAAAGTACACAAAACAGAACACAAATGTGGGGTCTAAACAAAAATGCTTATAACTGGAAACAGTAAATTTGCGATGGAGGAGGCAGATGATGTAAATAACCAGTGGAAGATTTATTCAAGTACACAAAAGAACATTTGACTCAAACTCTGATGGAAATATAAAGAAACATAAGCCCTGTAAAATCATGAGAAAAATGAATTAATAAAAAAAACAGAATGAGAGGAAAAGGGTGCTGGCAGAGCTGAGGAAATAATTTGAGAAGAAAAATGCAACGCTGTGCCACTATGAAAGAACTGGAGGCAGGGATAGTGTTTGGAAATGGTATTAAAATAATACAAACTTGAGGTGTATTATCCAGTCTGGAGGCATTCATGATGAACAAGGTTGAGTGCAGATTTAGGAAAGAGAGAAGAGAATGCAGAAAAAGGTCTGTTTGGAGGAGGGAGAGAATAAAAATAGAGTTGTTTTGTGGAATTTGAGCAAGGAATTCCTAGAAGCAAAAGCAGTTACCATCAAGGGCTAAGGAAAGGTCATCAATGCATAGATAAAGTGGTAGAAAATCTGCTCTCTGTGGAGGAAGGGAAATCAGAGTGCCTTCAATTGTGGATTTTTGAGGGTCCTTGATCTCTATGGGCTACCAGGGGGAAATCAGAACTTTCCAGATCAAAGTGGGAATAGCAGGTATTTATTTGATCATCTGTAGTTTTCAACTAGGACTCTTAAGCTGCCAGGCGGTATTCTTTCCCATCCACTCTTGCTTCTGACAAATAGACTTTGATTTAAAGCTAACTTTTAGAATCTTTAGGTAAGATTTCTGTCTCAAGACACTAGGCTGTCCTGTAAACCCTGGCAACAGGTCAGGATATGCTCGCTCGCTCTCTCTCTCTCTCCACACACACACACACATACACACACACACACACACACACACACACACGTTTTGCTAGGGTTTAAGCTGCAGTTGATGCTTTCACCAGCATTATCCTATCTAAGGACTACTAACTTGCCATTTGGAAACACCAGTTGGCGCTACTCTATAGAGAGTAAAGGAGTCAGTGAAGATATAACTCTATCTTAAGAACCAAATGCTTTATTCATGCATTTGATATGCTGCAGCCAACTTCCAGTAGAACTGAGAAATGTTCTTCGTTCTCTACCCCAAGTGTCTATTCCTCATTCAGGGCAGGAAAGAGAGCAATGAAAAACATTCCTTATGGCTATGTTTCAAAACAAACAAGCAAACAAACAACAAAAACAACAACAACAAAACAAAGGCAGAAACAGTTTCAAAAAGAATTCATAGAATAATTTTCTGAGATATTTATTATGAAGCAAAGGCCAGAAGTGGGGGTTAAAACATTCCTAAGGAAAGGGTAGGGAGAGGAGAGGACTTGTGAAGTGAGAAATGTCTTGTTTTGTAATTCCACATTCAACTTCCCAGTGCTCTTTGCTATCAAGACCCATGGGAAGCCCAGTTCAGTCCAGGCAAACTAATTCAGCAACCACTGTGGTCATTGGCTGTCTTGCTGCTAATTTGCTGTTATAAATAAAGTCTGGAAAGTGACTTGCTGCTCCGTGATTATCATTTAGTTCTGGCCAAGAAAGCTAACTTTCCCACAATGCTAGTTGGCTGGCAATGAGGAGACATAGGGCACCTGCTGCAGCTGTCATGCTGACTGCAGTACCGCAGACAAGGTTCTGAGGACCCAACCAAAATTTACACCTGGTCATAAGGCATGCAGAATTGTTTATTCATTTATTTTATCTTTGCTCAAATGCATGTGTTAAATGAATATACTTTTATTATTTTTAATGCAGTCTTTTCTTCTCATCATCTTTTTTCATAAGAGCCATTTTAGGTTTACAGCAAAAATTGAGCAGAAGGTACAGAGGTTTTCTATATACCACCCCCCACACACACATAACCTCCCCCACTACTAACAGCCTTCACCAGAGTGGTACATTTGTTACAACTGATAAACCTATATCGATACAACATTATCACACAGAGCCCATAGTTTACATAAGGGTTCACCCCATGTACATTAGATTGGTTTAGACAAATGTATAATGACAAGTATCCACCATTATAATATATAGAGTAGTTTCACTGCCCTAAAAATCCTCTGTGCTCCACCTTTTCACTTCTCCCTCCTCCTAAAATTATTTGTAATACTCCAAATAAACATAACAGGCATTATAGCATTTTAGTACAATTAGATAAGAGCTCAACTATTGGAGACATGATCTAGCCAAGTAAATTGCCCTTTGCTGCCTGCAAGATTGTGGTTCTTCAGCTTTTTTATCATTGATTACAACCCTCTTCCCACACAAGCTACAAAATCCTTCTTCCCTTTACAAATACTGTACTTGTCTTTTGAAAGACCATAATTTAAAGCATTTGGGAAAGAATATCTCTGAACATTGTTTTAAGAATTATAGGATGAAAGAGATTATCTTATTTATGTCACTCGACATGGTGCAAGATCCACACAGAGCAAATGTATTTTCCATCTCTTGTCACTGGAGAAAAGCTAGCAAAACATGTAATACATTTTTGGAACACTTACATTTTCTTATTATCTCAAATTTCCCTAATAGAATATAAAAACCATATGTTGAATCAATAATATGTTGTGTTGAAGGAATAATCTCATTTATATTGAAATGGTAAAGCAGGTCTATCTGGCTTGATTTCAGGGAACCAAGAAAGTTACCTTATCTTGCTGACTGATGCCTCAAATTTTATATCAGTCAATTATCTCTTTAGATTAAGACACTGATCTCTTTGTCTGGAAAAATCTCTAAGCAGGTATCAGGCATTTGCATCTAAGTGGGGACCTAGGAGCAGGATTTAATAAGACACACAAGAGAAAGAGGTGGAAGAATGAACGGAAGGAGCAACACAAGGAGATGAGGGCTGGAGGGAAAACACCTGGGAAAAATCAGAAGACGGGCTTGCCTGAGATGAGTGTCAGCTCCTTCTCAATTTTGGAGTTGGAGTTATAGCAGTAGTGGTGATCTTTTAAATAGGTATCAATGTTTTTATAGCAAGTAATCTAATCTGTAAATTTCTTTTACAAAAAGCACAACCTATTATGAATTTTGACATAAATTATTCCTGTATAACAAACACGTCACAAACCTAAAACATATACAATGTAATATTTGTATTTGTAAAAAGATTAGTATCCAGATTTTATAAAGAACCCTACAAATTAGTAAGAAAATTTAGCAAACAATCCAGCAGAAAACTTGAAAAAACAGATAGGTAAATCAATAGAAGAGTGAAAGCAAGTGGCTAATGAACATATGGAATATTCTCCACTAAGTCTGAATGAATGGAAAGATGAAAGTGCTAGTTTGTAGAAAAATACCGATTAAAACAAAAATGAGAGTTGGACATGGAGGTACACACCTGTAATCCTGGACACAGGAAGATCGAGACATGAGGATCGTTTGAGCCCAGGAGTTCAAAGCTAGCCTGGACAACTAGCAAGATCCCCTTTCTAAAATAAAACAAAATGCAAAACAAAAAATGTGACATGTTTTCACACACATCAGATTGGGCAGGAAGAGAAAGATACATTATTACATTCATTTTGGAGAGTAATCTGGCTCTATCTAGTTTAAGATGGAGTTTCACATTCCATTTGGTATGGTAATGCCACTGCTAGGCATATGCCATAAAACAAGGGTCAGCAAATTATGGGCCATAGGACAAATCAAGACCATTGACGGGTTTTGTATGGCTTATGAGGTAGGAATTTTTTTACACAAACATTTTAAACAGCTGAGAAAAATAATCAAAAGAATAATAATGATGGGAAAATGATGTGAAATTCAAATGTCAGCAACTAGTTTCATGGACACACAGCCATGGCCACTAGTTTATGTATTTTCTATGGTAATTTTCATGTTATAACAGCAGGGTTCAATAGTTGTGACAGAGGCCATTCCAGCCTGAAAAGCTGAATGTATTTACTATTTGGCCCTTTACAGAAAATGTTTGGGAACTCTGGCCCTAGGGAAGCTCTCATATATGCGTACAAGGAGGATGTGCAAGAGTGTTCACTGGAATTTTGTTTATATTAAAAGAAACTGGAAGCAATGTTAATTAAGAAATGACTGAATAAACTGCCGTATATTTATACAATGAACTAGAATAGTTAAAAAAATAGACCTACATGTATCAACTTAGATAAACCTTTAACACCCAATGTTGAATGAGGAAGAAAAAGCATGTTGCAAAAGGATACAGTAAGAAACTACTTATACACATTCTGATAAATACCCTAAGTGATACAGTACATGTTGCATGAATATATATATACATATATATATAAATAATAGAAGGTAGGTAATTAAAAAATACACACCCTCAGGTTGCCAGTTATTTTTGCAGAAGAGTGGAACGGGATGGGGACCTTCATCTGCATCTATAAATTATATTGCTTTAAAAAGCAATACTTGTAACAAATAAAAAGCTCAGTGTGTTTAACCGGGGCATATATATGTTTATTGTGACATGCTCTGTATCTTTGAAATGTATGAAATATTTTCATAATAAAATATTATTTCAGAATTGCAAAACCACTCCAATAAGCTATTAAGTCTATTGTCCACATTTTCAGCTGACTGCCACCTTTTCTGCAAATGCCCTTTGAATTATGTAATACTTAGGGAAAGAAATCAGACAGGAGGTTTGGCTAGTGTCAACTCTGAAATGTTGGATGCTAGGAAATGCACACAACCGGGCATGATTAATTACATAGTGCACAAAGCCATGTTATTTGACTATACACCTAATTACAGTGAGCAACATACAGTACGGGTGACAAAATAATTGCTGTAACCCGATACAAATGCTTTATGAATTTTGGAATGGAGATGGAAATGGGAACAAATTCAGTAGCAATATATTGCATGAGGAGTAAGGTATCTCCCCATCATTCCTCTCTTAATAAACAGTGTGAATTTCCCAGACACGATGAATTAAAAACAGCTTCATTTTCAACAGCAGCATCTGAAAAAGAAATAGAAATGTGCTGTTCCCAGCTATAAGTCGACAGTGATATTGCTATGAGTCATGATTAAACACCAATGAAGGGCCAGGTGTGGTGGCACATGCCTGTAGTCCCAGCTACTGAGGGGGCTGAGATGAGAGGATCCCTTGAACCCAGGAGTTCAAGGCTGCAACGAGCTATGATTGCACCACTGTATGCCAGCCTGAGGAACAGAGCAAGACCCTGGCTCTAAATAAATTAATAAAATACAATAAAAATAGATACCAATGAGAATGATGTCAGACGTGGTAAACTTTAGACCATTTATCTAAACGTAGGGAAGTTTGAGGTTTCCTGGGGCCAGAAAGTGTTCATGGAAGTGCATTTCCTTGTATAATCACTCATTACTGGGTCACATGCCTGCCTGGCCAGTTCTGGTCCTTCCTTTGGCTGGTAAGGGTGGAAGTGGAGCACAGGGAAAGTTTTCACCACCCTGTAAAAGCAGAGAAAGGGCAAGTAGCAGACACGGGTGGCTTGTCAGGCTATATCAGCCTCACAATTGTGCCTGTTTGCCTTCAATAACAAGGAGACAAGCGGGAGCAGAGATTATGCAGCATTAGTGTAAGAGTCTTGGAATCATGCAACCTGGATTTCATTATCAGCATTACAACTTGCTTTCTGTGCTTGCAACTCTGAGTAAGCTCCTTGTTTCCTTGTCCTCTCTGAGGCTGAATTAATGAAATTGTAATCTAATAAGAGTAAACATCTATCTCATAGGATTGTTGAACATTTTAAAGAAGAATTTCTGCAAAATAAAATGCCTTATAAAGAGTTAAGTTCTGCAAAGATATTAGGTGTTCTATCAGATGCTTTGGTTTGTGTAACATGCAACTTATTGAGACCATTTCCGCTGATATGTGTGTTATATGTCATGGTTCCTGTCATTTAAAAAGGGGTTATAGGCAAGGAGGGAGGGAGGTAGGAAAGGTGCAAGAGGGACATATAGGAGGAAGAAGGAAGGAGGAGAAAGAGCTGTATGGGGAGGGTGGCAAGCTAGGAATGACGAAGCCAGGAGGAGGAAGGGGAAAGGGAAGCCTGTTTACCACCCCAAAGGAACATCTTGACCAAGTCTGATCAATACTCAGAGACCCATTCTATTGGCGCTATTTATGGGCTCTGGGCAAGTAACTCAACCATCTTATTATTGTCATCTGCAACGTGTGGATTATTTAGCCAGTCTCTCATAAATCCTGTGAAATAATTTTCTAAGACAAAAAGTTGACTCTTCAAGATAAGTTCAAAGGGCACACTCCCCTGAAAGATCTTAATGACAAAACCAGCCACCAAATCGCTGTGATGAAACCAGTGGTTTGCAATGCAAATGTCCAGGAAGCTTGAAGGCTTGCGCTTTAAATGATTTAGTTCAATTGGAGCTCATCTTTGAAAAGACTGGTTCATCACATGGACAATATCAGTTCCATAATACATATAGACTTTTGTCCCAAAGGGCCATCTTTTATATGAGATGATGCTGACACACAGTCATTGGAACTATTTTTTTTCCCCAGTAGTGACGAGGGCTCTGCAATAAATTAGCACCATGCGGCTCATGCACCCTGGCCTTTATTTATATGGTTCACTTTAGTGGTGTGGTCCACAGTTGTAGAGCAACTATTTATCTGTTTAGAGGCGACAGAATGACATTAGGCTAGAGATTTGAACAATGGCCTCAGCATAACATTCTAACAAATGAGTTAAACAAACCAGATATAATAACTACCACTCAATTGGATAGTTGCCTATATATGTGGGTTTTCTATGAAAGCCCAGACTTTAAAAAATATTCTGTCGTCTTGTTCCTGCTAAACCATGAAATTACCCAGAAATTTCTATTTTTTTAAATTTTTGGATCAAAATCACATTTCTTGAAACACCTCTCACATCAAGAAGTGGGAAAAAAATTCTCTATTAAAACATATATATCCCTGTAAATTGTTGTGAATGCATGTGAGCTGTCCATTCACTACTTACAAGATCCAGCTTTCCACCTGCCTGCTGGACCCACCCCTCCTCTTGGCCACTCAAGCTCACGACTTTAGCAACTGTCTCTCATCTATGCATCCTCAATTTCCCCCTCTCTATGTGATCATTGCTAGCTGCATTCAATACTCTGTAATATCACAGATATAAAAAATTCAAAAGCCTTTCTTTGGTCCCACATTCCCCACTAGCTCCTGCTCATTTCTTTGTTTGTCTTTAGAAAGGTTTACCCACATTCACTGACTCCTCTTCCTGTCTACTATTTCTCTTTGGACCTACTGCCATCAGGTCGTTTTTTCTCCATCATTCCACCAGACTACTCATACAAGGTCACCAGTGACTCCCATGAAGTCAATTCCCATGATCCAGCCCATCTTTGTCATCTCATTTGCATATTTGATATGCTAATCTCTCCCTGCTCCTCAAAACACTTTCTTCATAAACTTGGGGAACTCCTCTCCTGCTTCTCTTCCCCCTCATGGGTGAATCTCTCTCAGTCTCATTTTCTCTACCTCAAAACACTGGGGTGCCCTGGGCCCAGCCCTCTTCCTTAGGTGAGCTCATCAAGCTTCCTGGATTGAGTTACCTTCCACCCACTGACCTTTCTAAAATTTCTATCTTCAGCCTGGACCCCTTGTCAGAACACCAGATTCATACCCTATATCTCACATCCAACCCATGAGAAAATCCTATTGGCACTTCTAAAGATGTATATCCACTGTTTGGTGACTTCTCGGCACCTCTGCTGTGGCAACTGACATTTAAGATGCCATCACAAGTTGCCTGGACTCCCATTCTCTCTGCTTCCACCCTTGCTGCCTATAGTCTAATTTCCATGTAGCAAACCGGGTGATACTTTTAAACTATCAGATACACTGCCTCCCGAAGCTTCCCTTCATACTCAGGGTAAAAGACAAATCCCTATGCATGGCCCTAATGACCAGCCCAATGTACTTCTCTGACCTTGCTACCAGCAGTCTTCCCCTCGTTTGCAAGGCTTATCTCCACAAGCATCTCTTTATATGTCATTGAACCTGCAAAGCATCCTCCTGGCTCAAGGATCTTGCTCTTGGCTGAGAAAATGGTATTGCTCAGTACCTCATTTTCTTCCAGTTCCACTCAAATGTTACGCTATTGGAGAGGCCTTCCCAGCCTCCCTATATAAAAAACCTCAACCTAACACTCTTCATTCTGCATGCTCTTGATTTTTCTTCAAAACACAGATTACTGCTGGAGAGACTATAAATTTATTAGTATTTGTCTATTTGTTTATTGTCAGTGTATACCCTCCAGATGTAAGCACTTCAGGAGCAGAAAGTTTATTTTTTCTTATAAAGTTCCTAGAATTTAGTCTGACATATGGTAGACACTCAACAAATATTCACTAAACATTACATTTGTTACTTAATGGGTATTTATATAGAGTGCTCTGTTTTAATAGCATTCAATCCATTAATCAACTAATCGACAAGTTAACCAATTATTGATCTACTGTGTGTTAGGAATTTTGATAAAAGTCAGGAATGAAACCAAAGAAAACCGAGCTCTAAGAGTTCACAGTTAAGGAGGAAAGTTAGAAAAATAAACAGCCTAGTTCCATAGTTTCATTTAAACATACTCTGTCATACTGCATACATAGACTTCAGCAGTGGGAAAGCAGAGGAGGGGAGGAGCTTGAGGGTCAAAAGGTAACAACACAGATTAGTTGTCAATAGATCTGCTGTGTTCCCCAAATGATGGTTTCCTTCCTCCCTTTATAGTTTTTCTGAAGAGTAAATATTTTTAAAAATCTGAGCTTATTATTATAATCAGAGAAAAGTAGCTTTCATTTGAAAAAAAACAAAATTTTTATTGCGTTAGTTTCTTCTTGCTGCTATAGCAGATTATCACAAATTTAGGCGCTTAAAGCAGTGTTAATTTATTTTCTTACACTTCTGAAGGCCAGAAGTCCAAAATGGGTTTCACTGGGCCAAGGTCAAGGTGTCAGTGGCACTGTGTTTCGTCTAGAGTCTGTAGGAGAGAACCTATTCCATTGCCTTTTTCAGCTTCTAGAGGCCACCCACATTCCTCAGGTCATGGTGCCTTCCTTCATTAGCAAAGCCAGCAGCATAGCATCTTCAAATCATTTCCCTCTCCCTCTCTCACCTCTGCTTCCATCTTTCTCAGACACTGACCCTACTGACTCCCTCTTATAAGGACCCTCAGGATGACATGGAGTCCATCCAGATGATCCAGGAAAATCTATCTCCCCATCTGAAGATCCTTAGCTTAATCATGTCTGCAGATTCCCTTTGGCATATGAGGTAACATATTTACTGGTTCTGGGATTAGGACATGAACACCTCTGCAGGGCCATTACTCTGCCTATACAACAGTTAAGTACTGTGAAAATAGGGGAAAAGATGTACTATACTGAGTAATCAGATCAGTAACTTGGGCATGCCAAAACTGTGACAGAACTTGAGAACACACAATTTTGTTTTACATTAAAAGTATCTCCACTGGCCAGGCACAGTGGCTCACGCCTGTAATCGCAGCACTTTGGGAGGCTGAGGCAGGCAGATCACAAGATCAGGAGTTTGAGACCAACCTGGCCAACATGATGAAACCCCGTCTCTACTAAAAATACAAAAATTAGCCAGGCATGGTGATGCACGCCTGTAATCTCAGCTACTCGGGAGGCTGAGGCAGGAGAATCACATGAACCTGGGAGGCAGAGGTTGCAGTGAGCCGAGATTGCACCATTGCATTCCAGCCTGGGAAATACAGTGAGACTCCTCTCAAAAAAAAACAAAAACAAAAACAAAAACAAACAAACAAACAAACAAACACTTTGTTTTTGGCTTTCAGTGACCAAAAACAGATGGGTGAGCATTGGCATCCCTGCTGGCCATAGGAATTTCTGGGAACTGGATAATGTCTGCAAGCCAGTGGAGAACCGGGGATCAAAGGTGCGGTGGCTATCTTCTGATCTTCTCGTGTGAAAGATGTTCACTGTGCACTAAACCTGTCATGGAGTTCAGTGCTTCCTTAAAACTTGGGGACTGCTAGCCAGGCTTGGTGGCTCACGCCTGTAATCCCAGCACTTTGGGAGGCCGAGGTGGGCAGATCATGAGGTCAAGAGTTTGAGACCATCCTGGCCAACATGGTGAAACCCCGTCTCACTAAAAATACAAAAAAAACTAGCTGGGCATGGTGGTGCACGCTTGTAGTCCCAGCTACTTGGGAGGCTGAGGCAGGAGAATAGCTTGAACCCAGGAGGCGGAGGTTTCAGTGAGGCGAGATCACACCACTGCACTCCAGCCTGGGTGATGGAGTGAGGCTATGTCTCAAAAAAAAAACAAAAACAAAAACAAAAAACTTGGGGACTGCTGCTCTGTTTTTTTTTTTAGGTATTTGGAATATAAACTAGAGAAAATATAGTTTGAGTTTTACAATAGGGTTTCCCACCAAATGATGCCTAAAATATAGTGTTCCTATAAAAAAAAACCATCCAGATTTTTTTTTAGAAAACCTATAATAAAACATTATTTGGGGAACTTAGGTGGTCTACAATATATGAATTCCCTACATTTTATTGACTTCCAAATATCCAAAACTTTTAAAAACCTAAATATTCCATAATTAAATTCTTCCTACCCCCATGAACATGCCCAAAGTAGTTATATTTGTTAAAGTGCAAACAGAACTCAAGTTGTTTAAAGGGCAAAAAGCAGAAAAGAAATAATGAACATCCCAACAAATATATTTGTTTAATTGATCCCTTTCATTGTTCCTGTGCGCATCATGCTCACAAAAAGGCATATTCTTGGGAAGTTAAATTTCAAGGGTTTATCTCCAATCATGAAAGATTACAGAAAAGACAGTCTTAGAATTTGATTTGTTTCCTAGGTAACACCCCTTCAAATCTGATATTAGTGCCACATCATTTTGCTCCTACACATGGATAAAGATCCTAAAACTACATAGTGTATATTTTGGGAACAGAAGATGACTTGAATAGACATCCTAAAAGAAGGATCTCGGGTGGGTATTATTTTTTGGAAGAAAATTTAATTTATTTGAGTTAATAAAAATAGCAGGAGAAGGAAACAAAATTGGAAACTTGCTGAAACTTAATTCACTGCAGGATATTTTTATCTAACAAGTTAATCTTGGACCCCAACCAAATGATTTCATTTTCTGAAACACATGAAATTTCTCATATTTAACCCAATAGCTGTGACATGATATAGTTCCCAGAGGAGGAATAGAGTTAGATTTAAATGTTTAAACAATAGTGGCTGATTTGTGAAACTTAATAATGAGTAAGACTAGAACTACAACATAAATGAGACTTATATAGACTGAAAAAATGAGTAATTTCTCACATAATTCCAAAGTACAAATTTGGATTTCTAAACATATAAACATTAAAATTACTTCGATCAAAAGAGAGCCTTCCTTCAAGGTATAAAAACCAAGGACAAATCATAAGGTGTGTCTATGTCCCCATCTACTTCTGGAATATTAGTATTTAGGGAATACTTTGTTCGAAATAATCATCAAAGGCAGCCTTGAACCACCAAACCAAAAGCAGAAACAAGAACAGCCACAGTAGGCAGACTGCTGCAGCAACACACAAAGCCAGAAGAGCTACTCACATTCAATATGCAGCCTCAAGGGTTGAGATGGAAGTGGAGAGGGAGGAAGGAGGAATATAGCCATCAGGCAGCCAGGCCTGATCCATCTAGTCAGCCAGCCCGAACGCCTGCGCCTTTTCAATGGAACTGTCCTAGGTTCTGAAATAGGCATCTGAATAAGCCTTGGTTCCCCTGATGACAATATGAAATTGTCAACAGTCACTGTTTGGCGTTGGCTGGAAACACTCTCCCTTTCTTCCCTTCTTCTACCATGAGTCACTGTGCATTTCCAGCCACCTGCTTCTCGCAGTGGCTCAGCACCTAAGCCTGGCCAGGAACAGCTCTGTTTGAAAGGGATAAACCAGAATACCTGGAGCTCATACAGAAATCTGTTTAAAGGTTTAGTGATTTATTTCCTTCTAGTATTCACTGGCTTCTTAAAAGTTATAAGACCCACTCAATTTGCCAACTGAGAATGATTTCAATAGTATTCAATAGGATTTGCAAGTAGGAATCTTTACATCCTTTAACAAACTACACAAGCTTAATTACTCTATTTTTATGTTAATTGCCTTCTCTTCCTTTAGTAAATGGATATTATTAATATGCACACTGACATATAAAAATCATATGGATTCTGTGTACTTATTACTAACCTGAAGGGTTCAAACCATATTTCTTCCTTCACAAATAAGCCCATTATTGTTAAACGAGACAGAAAATTTTTAGTAATCCTTATTAAAAACTGTTATATTAATCCACTGAAATGAACATTTTCAATTGTTTTGGAGCTCAACTAATTACTGTATAAAGCTCCAGAATAAATTTTATCCCAGGATATATTGTCAGGGATTCCTATAACCTGTTTCCTTTTTGAGCACTGGAAGAATCACATAATAATCTGGATGATGATTTCTTACTCCTGCACAGATTACCCTCAGTGTACCTCACTTTTTACTCATCTGCACCTCACTTTGATTATCAACAATTCTAAAGCTCTACATTCAAGTATTTTCAGTAATAGATTTAAAACATGCCTTCATTCACCTCTAGAAAAAGGCACCTGACTAGTAAGTCACACATCAGACACATTTCCTGGCCAAATGTCTGCCAGGCTTAAAATAGGCACAGGAGGCATATTCTTGGAGTATACAGATATATCTAGATCCCTAAAAAGCTCTAGTTCTATAACAATTCAAATCTGTGCCAGGGATATGGTACTCTCTCATGAATTTTCCCCTGCTGCCACAAAATTTGGTTCAAATCCCAACTCTGACACAAACTTGTCCTGGAACGTTGAAGAAATACAATATTGCCTTAAGTACGTATTATATCATTTGTGCAATGTCAGTGATTACATATGTAAAGTACCTAGAACAATGCCTGGAATAAGTAGTGGTCAAAAAATAATATGGTTTGCCACAAACAATTCCGTGATGCACAAATACAGTTGACTTTCAAAGATGCAACTTCCTGGCTTACAGCTAAGTACAGAACAGCTAAGAATGCCAATGTGTCAATTGCTTTTGAACTGATAGGCACATATAGACATATGGAAGGTTCACTGGAAACTCAGCCCACAAACTTCAAGTATTTTAAGTAGAATGAGGTGCAACATTATACTCTGAGTGGAATTTAGATGTCTTTATCAAAACAAAAGTGAATCCATTTGTTTTTCTCTATACATGACACTAATTTGAAAACCTAGATGAAATAAACAGTTTTCTATGAAAATATAAATTTGCAAAATAAGGAGATACAGATAACATGAAATGCCAAATAACCAAAGAAGAATTGGAAAGGGTAGTCAAAATTAACCCCCACAAAGGCATAGATGGGTTTTGTTGTTAGGGTCTTGCTCTGTCACCCAGGTTGGAGTGCAGTGCTGCAAGCTTGGCTCACTTTAGCCCCAAACTCCTAGGCTCAAGTGATCCTGCCACCTTAGCCACATGAGTGGCTAGGACTACAGGCATGTGCCACTGCACCTGGATAATTATTTTTCTTTTTATTTTTGTACAGATGGGGTCTATGTTAAATAACAATGCAATCATTATTTTAAAATGTATATATGGATTTAATTGCATTACTCTGTTAAAGCAGAAAAGCTTATTATCTTTTCAGTAGATAATAAAAAGCATTTGATAAATTTCAATATTTGTTCTTTAAGAAAAACTAATATAGGAATGGTGAAAAACATTTTTTTGTTTGTTTGTTTGTTTGTTTCTTTTGAAATGTGGTCTCACTCTGTTGCCAAGGCTGGAGTGCAGTGGTGCAATCATGGCTCATTGCAGACTCGACCTCCCAGGTCCAAGTGATCTTCCCACCTCAGCCTTCCAAGTAGCTGGGACCACAGGCATACACCACCACACCAGCTAATTTTTGTATTTTTGTAGAGACTGGGGTCTGCCTATGTTGTCCAGGCTGGTCTCAAACTCCTGGGCTCCAGCTATCTTCCCACCTTGGCCTCTCAAAGTGCTGGAATTATAGGCATGAGCCACTATGCCTAGTAGCATTCTTAATTTGAATAAAGAGGTCTACCAGAAATCTATGGTAAACATCACTCTTGGTGATAGAATATTAGAAGCATTGCCATAAAGCCATTAATAAGGCAAACATACCCATTCTCATCTCGACTAATCAACATTGGACTGGAAGTCCTATATGATTCAATATATAAATAATATAAGCATAAACATTGGGAAATGGCTATAACTGTTTTTGTCATAATATTCTGACACAAATTTTCTATCTAGAAAATTCTAGCAGCTCAATAGAAAAATCAGTAAAACTAACAAAACTCAGTAACATGTGAGATAGAAAATCTTATAAAACCAAAGTTGCCCTATAACCACCAATAACCAGTTAGAAAATATAATTAGAAAAAAATAAAAGAGTTTTTGACAACAGCACAAACAACCTCTGCTCCACACATTTATCTATCCACCCACCCACCAAACATGAAGAAAAGAAACAAATACTAAAACACTGCTGAGGAGAGAGAATGACTTGAGTCTTGGAGGCAGAGGTTGCAGTGAGCCGAGATTGCGCCACTGTACTCCAGCCTGGGTGACAGAGTGAGACCCTGTCTCAAAAAACAAAAATAAAAATAAACTACTAGGAATAAGCTTAATAAGAAATGTGGTGGCCCTATATGAATAAAATTATAAAATATTAAAGTGTATTTTAAAAGATTGAATTAAAAGAGAAACTGGAAGGGAAGACTCAATATTGAGAAAATTGGGCATTTTCACCCAAATAATCTATATTAATGGTTAAATTTATTACATACATATTTTGGAATACCATAAAGCTACAAAACAGCGAAATGGATTTGTATGTACTGAAAAAGATAACCGCAATACATTGTCTAGTGAAATGTTTCCCAGAATGTTTCCAGTAATGAAAAAAAGTTTAGTCCATGAGCATTTATGCATAGACACAGAGGTTATATGGAAACAGTAGAATCACAGTGGAGCTCAGGGCAGGAGGAGGCCAGGAAAGTGTAATTATATTTTATTCCTATGACTGTACTCTGGTATTTTACATCAAGTTTTAGTTTATTAATTAAAAATTTTAAGGCTACTAAGACTGAATAGAGACTTATTTATTTGTGTCTTCTAAATGCATTCAGATACAAATTGTGTTTCACATCTTGCTAAGCATAAGAACATTAGTCTCCTCAAATTAGGTCAAAATATATTTTAGTGAAATCTCCCTAATATCAGCTCAACACACCTTAATTTATAATAAATATATGTTTGACCTTGAGTTTTTGGGGTAACAAAAATGTTCTTCAATATAATGGAACAGAAAAATGCATGAAAATAAGTGAATTATTTTAAAATGGATTTTAAAAAGCAAATACCCCTATAATCATATTTATTCTTACTATAAAATGTAAGATTTCATTTTTGAGTTTCCAAATAAATATCACCTGCCTTTAGCATGTGGCAATCATAAATTAAACATGACTTAGTTTCTTTCTTTTGTATTTGTTTGCTTCTTTGTGTTTTTCTCCAAATTGTAGGACTCCATTTGGCCACTCATTTCTGTATCTTCCTAACTGGTTAACTTCATCTCTCTTTTTACCACTTACCTCATCTCCCCAATGGGTATTGCAGGAGACCAGATTATGCCACCCCAAAATATGCCTCTTTTGCATAAGAATTATTTTGAGCTGATTATTTTGAGAAACTGCAGATACAGAGAAGCCCTGAAAACAGAGTAGAAGTTACCCTGTTGTAAGGGAAATTTACACTGATAAAGGAAATCTCCCATTTGTAAGGGTAACTTCCTCTCTATACCAGAAACAGAAGGACAACTAAATCACTAGAGACTCACTCACCCAAGTCTGCACAACAGACCTTATTCTTGTGTTTTTCCTGGTCACCTTCCCATAACTTGCCTCCCCCACACCCTTCTTTCTTTGTTTTAGCTGAAGATGATATATAACCCAAGCTCTAAGCCACTTCTTTGACATTTACTCATTTTCCTGGGCATCTCCCACATACACATGAGATAAACACATTAATAAACTTGTCTTTCTCTTGTTAATCTGTCTTTTGGCATAGAGGCCCCAACCAAGAACTTGGAAGGCTAGAGGGAAAATTACTTTTTCCTCCCCTGTAGTAGCCTAATCTTATCTACCACACAGGAAGATTTAGTGAAGCACATAGTAGATATTATGCAGGAAAATAAATTGTTACTATTCCTAAATAGCATGGGATCAGAGAGAAATGTGCAGCAGCAGACTCAGATACACAGCACATTAAATTACATATATAATCTTGACTCATTACATGTAAACACAAAGAATACATATAATAACTATGTAGGAGAGTAGTGACTACAAGGCATACAATTTTAAAAGAGATGTTAGATGAACGGGGAGACAGGACAACCAGATACACACAACAGGTAAAGACAAGTGAGTAAGAAGTGAGGCGACTTCATAGATTGACTCTTTCATTCCAGGCCAATGATCCATTCAGCACTAACTTTTACATAAAATAATGTTCTTATCTTATAGATAGTGGGGGGAAGTCTGATTCTTTATAGATACATTATATAAATAGCTAGGAAAATATATAGTTGGGGCTTCTTTCACAGTATTGGAATCATTATTTAAAATAGCTTTGTCCATTAAAAAACGGGCAAAAGATGTGAACACACACCTCAAAAAAAAAAAAGACACATAAACAGCCAGCAACATATGAAAAAATGCTCAACAATATTAATCATCACAGAAATGCAAATAAAAACCACAATGAGATACCATCTCCTGCCAGTCTGAATAGCTATTATTAAAATATCAAAAAAAAAAAAAAAACCAGTTCCTAGTGAGGCTGTGGAGAAAAGGGAACGTTTATACACTGTTGGTGAGAATATAAATTAGTTCAGCCACTGTGGAAAGCAGTCAGGAGATTCCTTAAAGAACTTAAAACAGAACTACCATTTGACCCAGCAATCCCACTACTGGGTATCTACCCAAAGAATACATATTAATGATATATGTTAAGAAATGGTACTGTCTCTCACTCCCATTCTCTCCAAGGTGTCATAGAAACTAGAATCCATCTTCCACAAGGCAGGTCATAGAAACCAGAACCCCTTTTCCAAAAGCCAGCCAGAGGATAGATACCCAGTAGTGTTATTCTACCAAAAACACACATACACTCACATGTTTATTGTACGCTATTCACAATAGCAGACATGGAATCAACTTAAGTGCCCATCAATGGTGGATTGGATTTTTAAAAATATGGTACATATACACTATGCAATACCACCCCACTATAAAAAAGAACAAAATCATGTTCTTTGCAGCAACATGGATGCAGCTGGAGGCCGTTATCCTCCATGATTTAATGCAGGAACAGAAAACCAAAAGTTGCATATTCTAAGTGGGAGTTAAACATTGGGTATGCATGGACATAAATGTGGCAACAATCGACACTGGGGACTACTATGGGGGGCAGGAGGAAGGGGGACAAGGATTGAAAAACTGTTGGGTACTATGCTCAGTACCTGGGTGACAGGATCATTCGTACCCCAAACCTCATCATCACGCAATATAACCAGTTAACAAACCTACACATGTACCACCTGAATCTAAAATAAAAGTTGAAAAAAAATTGTGACACTAGTACTATCAGACAAAAAGACATTAGATGAAATATTATGAGTACGGATAAAAAAGCACACCAAATTATGATGAAGGGAACAACACTTTAACAAGATAGGACAATCATGAATTTGTATGTACCTAACAAAATAGTTCCAAACTTTTTAATGATACAACTGCAAATAAAAATTGAACAAAACAATAAAAGTGAGAGATTTCAACACACCATTATTAGATCAAGCGTACACAAGTTAGTAAGGATTTAGATCTAACATTAGATACATTTTTTATTTAGTATATTTAGAATCCTGAACAGAGAATGTACGTTCTTCTTAAGCACATGTGGGGCATTTATAAAAGGTGTCTGTACACTAAGTCAGGTGAAATGTCTCAATAAATGTTAAATATTTGAATAATACAATTGTTTAAAATGAACAATAAAGATAGCTTATTAAAAGTGTAAAAAAATGACATAGAATAAAATAGGTTTAGAGACTGCTTTTTTCACTTAGTACAGTTTCTAAACCCCAACACTATTGACTATTGGCCTAGATAATTCTTTGATACGGGGGCTGTTGCGTGGATTGCAGGATATTTAGCAGCATCCCTGGCCTCTACTCATTAGCTGCCAGAAGCAACCCGTCCCCCAGTTATGACAAGGAAAAATGTCTCCAGACATTGCCAAATATCTCTGGGCAGGGAGGGGGGTTGCAAAATGACCCCTGGATGAAAAATCACTCACTTAGTGAAATGAAATAGTCGCTAAATGCATCTTTTAATCATTTTTAAATATAATCACATATAATAATTTTAATAATTATATTTAATTAGATATTTTAGTTTCATCACCTTTTGTTTCATCGTAAATAAGAAACACTTGCACACTTGTGTGTATACTTGTACACCACATCATGGTATAAAATTCTTATTTATTGGCATTTATTTTCCTACTTACCTTGCAATGAGCTTAAAGCCATTTTATTTTATGATTGACTCTTGTTGGGGCCCAGAAACCGATATCCAAAATATGGCACTTTGACATGCTGGCCTGAAGAAGTCGATTCAAAGTCTCTCTAACATCCCCTCATTCCCCCATCTCTCAATCTTTTGTGTCTCCCAAAATAAAGGCTGAAGGTGTTCTCTAAACTTCCCCTATCTGCCTCATGTCCGGACTTGCCAAAGAAGAAAACAATTGCCTCTGGTTCCTTCCTGGAGTTTTTGTTAACTTAACTCATATTTCAGGAAAAGATACTGAGCACAGGTTAAGTGGGAAAAGAGACTGAAGTTTGTCAAGACACATGGACAGACTTTAGTCACAAATCATTGTCTGGTCTGTGGGCCTAAGAGACTTTGTCCCGGGCCACTACATGTTCTGCAAGACCATTAATTTTCCCCTAAAAATTATTTACTACAACCCCCAAATTGCCACATTTCCCTCATCTCCCTTCCCCTCTGAAACAAGTAAATTAGTGTGCATAACATGCAGATGCTTATATAAGCACTTCCCATTAATTTTTTATCTAAACTGTCTAGTAAACTCAGGCCTCTGGAAACCAACCCTCAAGCAAAGATTAAAAGGCAAAGGCAGAAGTGATTGTTTCTGTAACTCAAGAGCTGATAGAGAATTGTGTTCTATATAATAGCAAAGTATGGGAATGGATATTCATAATGTTGCTCTGCATTTTCAAAATTTATTAAATGAAGTATAATACAGTCTGAGAAGATAATCACGGAAAGACAGAATTCTAAGGTGATCCCCAGGCTCGTCACCCTCTTGGTGGCAACCTGATGAGATCCTGAGCAGAGGACCCACTTAACCTGTGCTCAACTTCCTGACCCATGGAAATTCAGAGAATAAATGTGCTGTTTTAAGCCACTGTTTGTGGTTACTAGGAATAGAAAACAAACACTCTAAGAGGTGACTAATACTGATTTAGGATCACTTCCATTAAAATGGTTAAAATATTTTCAGAAAGTATACTTCAATTTATTGTATCTGAAAATACATTCTCTTAGAATATCTCAGGCCCCAACAAGACTTGGTGAAAGGGGGGCAATTTTTTGTTTTTCACCATTTCTTAACATATATCATTAATATATAACATAATTCCAAATTTATAACACACAGAACAGCAGACACAAATCCAAATTCATGATCTAAATATTTAAATAGCTTCCATTTATGCTAAAAGTAAGAAATGACACAAGAGAAATAACTAAAAATAGTAATTGTGATTTCAATTCTTTTCAGTGATGCTGATGAGACGAAATTAGGCTCTGTTCAAAAACACCATCATCAGTAATGTAACTAATTGATAGAGGAAAGCAGAAGGGACATCTGCCAAAATTTGGGTAATTAAAATAAATGCCTATCTTTATTATGTAAACATTAAATTCATCATACAATTACTGTATAGTGTTTTTATTCCTTGTTTCAAAGCATTTTATAATACTAAGATTTTTAAATAAGCACCAGAAATTGGACTTAGTGGCAAAAAAGAAAACATAATTTATTCTCAAAGAAGCTTCTATTTTAAAGCAGACTATATTTTGTAAGTCATTTGAATAGACATAATTCCTAACAAATAAACATTACAGCATTATTTGCTATAATAAAACATAGAAACACCCCATATACCTATCAATACAGGAACTGGTAAATAAATTTTAGTATGTTCGTATCATGAAATGTTATATAGCCATTACAAAGAACAAGTTTGCCAGCATGTACTGATGTGGACACATCTATATTTTATTAAATGAAATAGTTGTAACAGTTACAGTACAGTTTGATGATGTCGGGACTCAGAAAACAATACCCCAAAAATGAAAGCCTCAAAAGCACTCTGAAAAGCAAAAGTTTCTCTTTGACCTTCTCCTGCCCTCCTGTCTCTCACTCCCATTCTCTCCAAGGTGTCGTAGAAACTAGAATCCATCTTCCCCAAGGCGGGTCATAGAAACCAGAACCTCTTTTCCAAAAGCCAGCCATAACACCTAAATATATTACTCTAACTTCCTCCCCCAACGTTCCTGTGTAGAAACTGGCCATGAAGAAATTATCTGACCTACCTTGTTTGACTGTAGGTCCTAAGACCCCCGTTTCAGAGAGGGCCCCTATAGTATTAGATTAGCCCTTTTTGTCCAATCCTATTTCTGTACAACTGTCCATATTTTACTGAACCTAAGCATAAAAATAGAAAATTCTCCCTGTACCTATGGGCTCCCATGTATACACGTTAAATAAATTTGTATGCCTTTTCTCCTATTCTGATTTTTGTGAGTTGATTTTTCAGCAAAGCTTCTGCTGGCAAATGGGAACTTTCCCCTTAGCCCTGACAATGATATTTTATTTTTTAAATATTATGTACAAATTTTTAGTTTGTACACATAAAATGGTTTGAAAAATACAAACTTTGTAAAAATTTAAAAAATAAAGTATAAAAAATCAATCTGCTAACAGAAGATAATACTTGGGGAGAAAAAATGAGGAGGAGGAGGAACTTGGGAAATTTTACCTTTATTTTATTCACTATAACTCCTATGAATTCTGTACCCACAAGGCCCAAACAAACAGAATACTTATCGTTTTAAGTGTCTCATTTCTAATCTAATTTCTAAAATGTCTAATTATCCATATTGCAGACATGAAATCAGATTTAAGTCCTATCACCCAGAAACATCATATTACCCTCCATCCTCTCTAGTTGGACATGCTTCTTCCTGACCTGTGGCCTTTTATGAACTAAAAGATAGATGTGGCCTATTATAAGCAGTCTCCCCCATGATTCAAACCCTTAGGCCTCATTTTCCTCTAGCCACATGTTAGGCTGTTCTTGCATTGTTATAAAGAAATACCTGAGGCTAGGTAATGTATAAAGAAAATAGGTTTAATTGGCACGTGGTTCTGCAGGTTGTACAAGAAACATGGCACCAGCATCTGCCTGGCTTCTGGTGAGGCCTCAGGAAGCCTCCAATCACGGCAGAAGGCAAAGGGGGAGCAGGTGTCTCAAATGACAAGAGTAGGTGCAAGAGAGGGGTGCAGGGAGGTGCCACACACTGTTAAACAACTGGATCTCGTGAGAATTCACTCACTATCACAAGAAAAGTACCAGGCCATGAGGATTCCACCTCCATGATCCAGACACCTCTCATTAGGCCCCACCTCCAACATTGTGGATTATATGTCAACATGAGATTTGGAGGAGGCAAACATCCAAATCGTATCAACTCATTCTCTGGTTCACTCCAAAAACCTTCAGAAACCGACCCAAAGCAGGCAAACTCTTATCTTCATTGAGTTAGCTCAGGCAAAGAGATTTTTAAAAATAATTTATCCCCCAGCTTTATTAGGATATAATTAACAAAACTATTTATTTACAGTGTACAATGTGATGTTTTGATGTATGTGTATGTTGTGAAATAATTAAATCAAGCTAATTAACAGATTCCTCACCTCACATACTTATCATTGGAAACATCTACATATTAATAAACTGACTTGTCACATCACACTTCTATAATAATTTTTTTATATCAGACATGTTTTGGCTGGCCCAAAGGTAATGAATTATCTCAATTGACTGTTCACAGATTAAACTCCTTGTTCTACCCTTTCCCCGCTTCTCACCACTGAATTTGACTAGTCTTAAAAAAATTTTTTTAAACATTTTATTTTAGATTACTTAAAAAAATTGATATACACTTCCTTTCCATTTGCTTTTCAGGAGTAATATTTGTTCCAAATAAAATAACCATTTTATGTTCATCTTGCCAGAGTTAGTTAAACTTAATTCAACAAATATTTCCTGACCAGTTTTTGGCCAAAATGAAAGGAGTGACCAGACAAAGATTAATGCCCTAAGGGAAATTACATTCTAGAGAGAAGAGGCAAAGGCTTAAACAACAAACAAAATAAATTAGTAAGTTATATGGAAGGAAAATGGAAAGAGAAGATGTGGGTAATGAGAATGGGGGGTCAGGGGTGTTCATATCAATTGAATGTTTAGGAAACTAAGCAAAGTTGTGAGGTGCCATGATGACTCAAACACCAGTCATAACACTGAAGACCAGTCCAAGGAGCAGAGGGAGGTGCTGGCCTATAGGAGGTATCTATCTGCCACCTTTCCCCACCTGCTTGTCCTTTAAACCATTATCTGTGGATCTGCAAATGCTGACGGCCCCTCACCCTGAAGCCCATAATTGGAATTGATTGGCTGATGGGGTTTAGGACACACTACCCCCAAAATATTTTAAGCTGAAAGAATTTAAGAAAACTGCAGAAGTAGAAAGGCCACTCTCACCTCCCCTCTCCCCAAACACCACTCATCTCCTCTGGAGCAGGTCATAAAACCTAGGAAGGGTTTTGACTTTTCCCTAAAGCAGACTGTAAAACCCTCATGAAACCCTCATACGAGAGGCGCCCTCTCTATTCCCAGTGGAAAGGAACATCTTTATCTCTGAAGACATAGCATAAAGAGAAGAATCAGAATAGACAGGCCTTGCTAAATTTCCCCAGTTTATTACCATTAGATCATGCACTCTTTGTCCAGTTATATTTCTCCATAACTGTATACTCTTCATGAAACCCAGCACAAAAATATACAAGTTTAACCATTTCTTTAGGTCTTTGTTTTCTTATAATGGCTCCCATGTCACATAAAAGTTATATTAAATAAATTTGTATGCTTTTCTCTTGTTAATCTGTCTTTTGTCATAAAGGTGAGGAAAATATATTTTTCTTCCCCTACAGTGGCTATTTACCTTTGTTTCCCAGGTGTCATCACTGAGAGATTTTGAAGAGGCTTAAGAACTGGCCACAATTCAGTTGTTCACCTAAAAGTTTTCTTTTCCCTTTTTTTCATATGTGATGTGCAGGCCTCGATTGAGCTTGGTCCAATATGAAACTGTTTCCCACCAGAATCTGTAGCTTAAGTTCAATTTTCCTTCCTTCCTTCTTTCCTTCCTTCCTTCTTTCTTTCTTTCCTTCTTCTTTCCTTCCTCCTTTCCTTTCCTTTCCTCTCTTCTCTTCTCTTCTTTCTTTCTCTTTCTTTCTTTCTTTCTTTCTTTCTTTCTTTCTTTCTTTCTTTCTTTCTTTCTTTCTTTCTTTCTTTCTTCTTTCTTTCCTTTCTTTCTTTCTTTCTTTCTTTTTTTCTGTCACCCAGGCTGGAATACACTGATACGATCTCAGCTCACTGCAACCTCTGCCTCCCGGGTTCAAGTGGTTCTCCTGCCTCAGCCTCCCAAGTAGCTGAGATTACAGGCATGTACCACCACACCCACCTAATTTTTTGTATTTTTATTAGAGAAGGGGTTTCACCATGTTGGCCAGGCTGGTCTCGATCTCCTGACCTCAAGTGATCAGCCCGCCTCAGTCTCCCAAAATGCTGGGATTACAGGCATGAGTCATTGCATCTGACCTTAAATTCAATTTTTAACAGTGTTTCACAAGAATCCCAAATCTTGCAATATGTCATAATTTAGCTAGAGAGAGCGTGATCCAAGTTTAGAATACACTGTATGTTGACTACTCTCAGACTAATCTTTTAATTTCCCTTAAACACTCCTCAACCTTCCTTGATAGCTTGGTTCTTGGCCTTAAATACGGCCATATTTATGTTGATAATATTAGGAAATTGTTGCTAATTTATTACAGGTCCCTTTTTGTTGGTGGTGATTGTTTAAAATAAGGTAATTGAGAGAATGCTTACTAAATAAGAGACTTAGGAAAAGCTCAATTGTAAGTCAATAGTCAAACTTTTTTTTTTGAGACACAAAATATTAGGAAAAGCCCTGCCTGTATGGTAACTGAATGGCCGTGGGGATAAAGCAGATAAAGAGACCTGCATACTTAATGATTGCTTTGGAATGGCTGATTGATTTGCCCAATGTCGCAGAGTGACAGAACTAACAACATGACAGAGTTTATGTATTTTCGGTTTTCAACTCAGGGCTTTAAGTATATATTCCTTTGCCCACTCATACAAACACCAAGCATTTTATTTGTGGGAATACTGTAAAGACACTGAGTACTCAAATGCCCTCTCTTCCCTACTCCCTTCTGACTCTCTCACTGAGTGAGATCAAAACTACAACCCCATAAATTTCTTGGATATGTTGGTTAGACCATCAATATAGCAAGCTCTAGGCAGAAAACAAAGGGCATTTAATGACCACAAGAAACACTTTTACAAGCTTCCTTTCTCTATAAATCTGACACAGTGATTTACAAAGAGCTCATTTGACTCTACTCCTGACTAGCAGAAATAACCTCAAGAATAAGGAGCCTGGTAAAATCTTGGTGTCTTTATTTGGCACAATACATGTAAAAGGCCGAATGCCATTGGACCTTATTGCCATGTTTATTAGACATATCTCATATGGTTAAAAAATTAAAAATATCTTTGAGGTATACCTTAAAATATGTCCAAATGAGTAATAAAATTGCTGGCTCCATTTAATAAAAATAAATATTTTATAATCTCTACAGTAAACACAGCTGAAAAGTACCTCCACTGACCAAGTTATTACTTCCCTCTTCTGTGCTTCTGAAGCATTTGTAATATATCTCTACCCATACGGTTATGTGACTGTTTTCTTCCCTAAAGTTCTTTCTTCTAGACTTGTAGGAAAGGGACCATGGTTTCTTTCTTTGTCATCACTTCAACCACCCCAATGATTGACACAATATTGGGCATTTATTGGTTGAATAAACAGATGGATGGAGGGTGAATGGATGGATGATTGTATCACTGTGACATTTATAAAAGGAGGGGGTGGGAGAATTGGACCAAGTCATCTCTAAGATCATTACAATTTTAAACAACTCTATTTTTCAAGCTTCAAATGCAATGCAAAGAAAAGGACACAATGTTTTAGCTTTCTCAATGTTATCTTATTTTGTACTTCTGAGTAAAAAGCTTCAAGTAAGTTCAAGCTAAAACAGATAAAACTGAAGCTTATGAAGTTGGAATATAAAGTATTCTAATTTATTATATTTTTTACACTTTGTACCTGATCAAACAATTAAAAATTATCTTACTACCTTTGAAATGCCCACATTTCCCCACTACTATCATCATAAAAGGTTTTATCTAAGAGTTTTCCTTCTCAATTAGTATATACCTCATGTAGTAATGTTTCCGTTGCTACCTTGGATACCCAAAAAAGTAAAACATTTATGATTAAAAATACTTATGTACTCATCACCCATCTAAATAAAATATTACAAACATATTTCTCTGTATGTACTTCTCTCTACACTCTCTAAAGTTGCATTATTCTGAATTTGTTGTTTATCATTCCCATGAACACCTTTATACTTTTTACTACATAGACATGTATCCTATAAACATACATAGTACTGTTTTGCATGATTTTAAACTTCATATACATGGTATTAGCCTGTATGTATCTTTATGCAATGTGCTTTATGTCATTCAACATGGAAGCTATCTATATTAATACATGGAGCTCTGGCTCATTCATCCTCCCTGCTGTGTGTGTTTCATTGTAGTAATGTATCACAATTTATCTATCCATTCTCCTCTTAATGGCTACTTAGGTCGTTTGTAATATTTGGTTCTTATGATGTTAATATAAACATCTTGTACAACTCTTTTTTTATTTGTGCACAAATATGAACTGTGTTTAAGTATGATTGGAACTATTTTTTGGCACTAGGATATAAACATCTTTGGCTTTACTAGATACTGCCACATTACTCTCTAAGGTAACTGTATCACTTTGTATGCCCACCTAAAAGTTAAAAAGCTAAGCATTCCAGTTCAGCTGTTAGAATAAACCCCTCAAAATTAGAAACAACTAATAGGGTAAAAAAGAAATGGAAAACAAAAAATGATAGAAAAAATCAATAAAACCAAATTTTGTTCTTTGAAAAGACTATCTTATATACACATATACAGTCATGTGTTGCTTAACAACAGGGAAACATTCTGAGAAATGTGTCATTAGGGGATTTCATTATTGTGCAAACATCATAGATTGTACTTACACAAATCTACATGCTATAGCCTAATTCACACCTCGGTTATATGATATAACCTATTGTTCCTAGGCAACAAACCTGTACAGCATGCTACTATACTAAATATGTAGGCAATTGCAGCACAATGCTAAGTATGTGTGTATCTAAACATATTTAACCATAGAAAAGGTACAGTAAAATATGGAATAAAATAATAAAAATTGGTATATCTATATAGAGCACTTACTATGAATGGAGCCTGCAGGACTGGAAGTTGTTCTGGGTCAGTCAGTGAGTGAGTGGTGACTAAATGTGAAATCCTGGGACATTACTGTACACTACTGTAAACTTTATAAACATGATACACTTAGGCTACACTGAATTTATTTAAAAAATACTTTTCTTTCTTCAATAAATTAACCTTAGAACCTTAGCTTACTGTATATTTTACTTTATAAACTTTAAATTTTTTAATGTTTTGACTCTTAGCTTTAAACTTTAACTTTTTGACACTTAACACAGAAACACATTGTAGAGCTGTACAAAATATTTTCTTGTTATATTCTTATTCTATAAACTTTTTTCTATTTTAATACTGTTTTCTTTTTAAACTTTTTTTATTAAAAATGAAGACACAAATATACACATTAGCCTAAGCCTACGATGGGTCAGAATCATCACTATCATTGTCTTTCACCTTCCCAACTTGTCCCACTGGCAGGTTTTCAGGGGAAACAACATACATGGCGCTGTCATCTTCTATGATAACAATGCCTTCTTCTGCAATACCTCCTGAAGGATTTGCCTAAGGCTCTTTTTACCATTAACTTTCTTTTTTATAAGCAGAAGGAATACATTCTAAAATAATAGTAAATAGTATAGTAAATACTAGGCAACAGGAATTTTTCAGCTCCATTATAATCTTATAGGACCACCGTCATACAGGCAGTCCATCATTGACTTCAACATCAGTATGTGTGAAGTCCTAGCCAGAGCAATCAGGCAAGATAAAGAAATAAAAGGCATCCAAATAGGAAGAGAAGAAAAACCATTTCTCTCTGCTGATAATATGACTCTATACCTAGGAAACCCTTAAGACTCTGCCAAAAGGTTTGGAGAACTGATAAACGACTTCAGTAAAGTTTCAGGATTCAAAATCAATGCACAAAAATCAGTAGCATTTTTCTACACCAATAACATTCACACTGAGAGCCAAATCAAGAATGCAATCTATTTACAACAGCCACACAAAAAAATAAAATACCTAGGAAGACATCTAACGAAGGAGGTAAAACATCTCTACCAGGAGAATCACAAAACATTGCTGAAAGAAATCATAGATTACACAAACAAGTGGAAAAACATTCCACACTAATGGATTGAAAAAATCAATATTGTTAAAATGGCCATACTGCCCAAAGAAATCTACAGATTCAATGATATTCCTATTAAACTACCAATTTCATTTTTTTACAGAATTAGAAAAAAAATTCTAAAATTCATATGTAACCAAAAAAGAGCCTGAATAGACAAAGCAATCCTAAGCAAAAAGAATAAAGTGGGAGGCATCACATTATCCAACTTTAAACTATACTATAAGGCTGCAGTAACCAAAACAGCATGGTACTGGTACAAAAATAGACACATAGACCAATGGAACAAAATAGAGAATCCAGAAATAATGTCACACACCTACCGCCATCTGATCTTCAACAAAGTCAACAAAAATAAGTGGTGTAGAAAGGACTCCCTATTCAGTAAATAGTGCTGGCATAACTGGCTAGCCATATGCAGATGAATGAAACTGTACCCATACTTTTTACTATATACAAAAATTAACTCAAGATGGATTAAAGACTTAGATATAAGACCTCAAACTATAAGAACCTAGAAGAAAAACTTGGAAACACCTTTCTGGTCATTTTCAGCCTTGGAAAAAAATTTATGACTAAGTCCTCAAAAGCAATTGTAACAAAAACAAAAAAGTGGGGCCTAATTAAACTAAAGACTTTCTGCACAGCAAAAGAAACTATCAGCAGAATAAACAGATAACCTACAGAATGGGAGAAAATATTTGCAAACTATGCATCTGACAATGGTCTAATATCCAGAATCTATAAGGAACTTAAACAATGCAACAAGCAAAAAACAAAAACGTGGGCAAAAGACATGACAGACACTTCTCAAAAAAGACAAACAAGTGGCCAACAAATATATGAAAAAATGAGATCCACATCACTAATAACCAGAGAAATGAAAACCTAAACCACAATGAGATACTATATCATACCGGCCAGAACAGCTATTATTAAAAAGTCAAAAAACAACAGATGCTGGTGAGGCTGTGAAGCAAAGGGAATGCTTATACACCACCGGTGGGAATGTAAATTAGTGCAGCCATTGTGAAAAGAAGTTTGGAGATTTCTCAAAGAACTTAAAACAGAACTACCATTCAACCCAGCAATCCCATTACTGGGTATATATCCAAAAGAAAACAAATTGTTCTACTCAAAAGACAAATGCACTCACATGTTCATTGCTGCACTATTAACAATAGCAAAGACATAGAATCAACCTAGGTGCCTGTCAACAGTGGATTGGATAAAGAAAATGTGGTACATACGTATACGTCATGGAATACTATGCAGCTATAAAAAAGAATAAAAACATGTCCTTTGCAGCAGCATGGACAGCTGGAGGCCATTATCCTAAGTGAACTAACACAGGCACAGACAACCAAATACTGCATGATCTCACTTATAAGTGGGAGCTAAACATCGGGTACACATGAACATAAAGATGGCAAAAATAGAACTGGAGACTATTAGAAGTGGGGAGAGAGGGAGGTAAGGGTTGAAAAACTGTTGGTACTATGCTCACTATCTGGGTGATGGGATCACTGACATCCCAAACCTCAGTATCACACAAAATACTCAGGTAACAAACCTGCACATGTACTCCCTGAATCTGAATCTAAAATAAAAGCTGAAATTATTTTTAAAAATTGGTATGTACACACACATATACGCTCTTTAATTTTTTTGGATTTCTTGTGTTTATTAATCTAAGAATTTAGGGTTATAAATTTTTCTCTGAGAACTTTAGCTACATATCATAAGTTCTGAAATACAGTATTGTTTTATCATTGTTTAATTACAAATATTTTATAATTCTATTATAATTTCTTCTTTAATTTTCAAGTTCACAGGTACTTTTTCTTATATGTTTGTGGTGTTATATGTACTTTATATATGTGTGGTATTATGATATATACAACCATATATAAACCATATATATAACCATACATATATGTAGCCACATATATAATCACATATCTATAATTACATATATAAAAACACATATATAACCATATATATAACCATATATACACAACTATATATATATATAACCATGTATAAATATTTATACATAACCATATATATGGTTATATATTGGTTTTCACTCACAGTTCCTGGCTTGTAACTCCTAAAACCTTTGGGATATCCAAAGTTCTGTGGATCTTTTGTTTGATAGGTTCAGAGTGGGGCTGGTCACAGGAAAGATCAAGGCAGGATTAGAGAGTTGGGACTTTCAGACTTTCCAAGGAGGGAACAGAGACTGAAGGTCAAGTTCATCACAAATAGCCAATGGTTTCATCAATCATGCCTGTGTAATGAAGCCTCTATAGAAACCCAAGAGGACAGAGTTCAAAGAACTTCCAGATAGCTGAACACTTGAGGGTTACTGGAGGGTGGTGTGCCCAGGGAGGGTGTGGACATTCCCATGCCCCTTCCCCCATCCCTCACCCTTCACATGTCTTCATCTGTATCCTTTGTAATATCTTTCATAACAAACCTGTAAGTATGTTTCCCTGATTTCTGTGAGCTGCTTCAGCAAATTAATCAAACCCAAAGAGGGGGCTGAGGGAACCCCAACTTGATGCAGGTTGGTCAGATGTTCTGGAAGCCCAGACTCACGACTGGTGTCTGGGGGTCGGGGGCAGTCTTGGGGAATGAGCCCTCAAGCGGTGGGGATCTGACACTACCTCCAGGTAGATAGTGTCAGAATTTAATTGGAGGACACCCAGCTGCTTGGCATGTGGGGAAAAACACGCACATGTTTGGTCACAGAAGTCTTCTGTGTTGATGACCTCTGCGGTGGTATCAGAGCAGAGAAAAAAACGTGGTGAGTTTTTCCTTACACAATGTTTGTTACTGATTTCGAACTTTATTGCATCATGGTTGAAGAATGTGGTCCAGATGATACTAATATTTGAAAATTTGCTGAGACTTATTTCTTGGTCAATTTTGGTAAATGGAACATTTACCAAGAATAGTGTATTAATTCTTCTCACCATGAATTTGTTGGTTTCTCCTTGTGACTCTAAACAGTCCTTTTTATATTCAAGATTATATTCTTACTTTATCATAAAGGTTTAGAATGTGCGTATCTTTGTAGCTTTTTTCATTGCGTAGTGGTCTACTTTATCCCTAATAATAATTTTTGACTTAAAGCTTATTTGTCCCAAACTAATGGACATGTCTACTTCTTCCAGAGAATACAGGAAACTTAGAGCAATTTAACTCTGAAAATACCCCCATCTGTTTTACGTGTCACTGAAGCTCATTAATTTATTTTACTCTTGCTTTTTTTGCCTCTAAAATTTGGGCATTTACATTGTCTCATATAGTCATAATATTTAGATTTATCTACCTGTTCAGTGATTTTTTTCATCTTCTGTCCCATTCTTAAATCTCAATTCTGAGTTCATTTTTTCTCTTGCTAAGGATCCTTGGAGAACTATACACACTTCAGCAAAAGGATAGACTTGGGAAAAATAATCCCCATACTAGCCAAGAAAATCAGGGTAATGTATCCATCTCAACATGGGCTCTTGCAGGGGAAAATGGAAGACTTCCTCTGCAATTTAAAATCACAGACCAGCTCTCATATGGGTTTTGGGTTCAGATTTCAATATTGATATTATCTAGGAGCCTCAAAGCCAAGGAATGAGTGAATAATTTAAAATGGTTACCTATTGCTAATGCCCCAGGATGCAAAGGAAAAACAACCTTGAAAAGCCCACCCCAAGAAGTAAGTAATAAAAGATGGCTTCCCATTAGTAGTAATCCCGGAAGTAAACATCAAACATATTTGGAGAGAAATACCTTCAACTTAGGCCTCAAAATGATTCATTATCATGTGGGGCTTGCAAACCTTTTCCATAAAGAAACAGATAATAAAATTTCAGGCTTTGTAGGCCATGTGGTCTCTGTTGAAACTACTCAGTTCTGCCATTTTAGCACGAAAGCAACCCACGGACAATATGTAAATGAATGAGCATGGTTGTGTTCCAATAAACATTTATTTATGGACACAAATTTGAATTTTATATAATTTCCAAATGTCAATAAATATTCTTATTCCTTTTTCAAGATTTAAAAATGTTAAAAGACATCGTTAGATTGTGGGCCATCCAAAAACAAGCAATGAGTCAGATTTGGCCCACAGGCAAAAGTTTGCCAATCCCTAGTTTAGCACATTTTCTAATACATAGTAAATGATGTCTGTATTTGCTATTATTATTATAACCAAGCAGATTAATAATCGCTAATTAAAAAGAATACTTTCATTTCCATAGCATTTTCTCAGGAAACTGGCAAAGAGAAGCCCTTATTGTGCTTCTTAAGGCAAATTCAGAGAGCCTATGATACATGAGATCATAACTTTCTATGTATTATTGATCTAATAAAATAGTCGGACCTGCACTGATCTGAAAGAGCAGAACTTTAGACCTAAGACTTAGATAGTTGGGACCTGAAATGTTTAAGTGACTTGATTAGTGTCTGACACTAGAAGAGTGGCATAGAAAACCACACTCATTATTCAAAATCCAGCTCAAACTGGTCACCTCCTCACAGATGCCTCCCTTGAACTGTCCAATGTTAATGTTTCTGTCATCCGAACTTACTTGACCCTTTGCACATCCTCCCTGGTAGCACTTATCAGTTCACTGGAAACTTTTGCTTTCTCTCTTGCTTGAGTGTTCCATACTCACCTTCCTATCTCTTATATCTGGACCAATGAAGCTGACACCAGCAAATCACTCATTTAAAGATTATTAATGAATAAATGTGACTCCAACAGAGCAGAGCTCATGTATTTCCAGGACACAGGATGAACTGACAGAGTTAAGAACGAGCTGGTTGCTTATCATACAATATAAGAAAAATGACATGGTATATAAATCCCTTGCATATGCATACAAAGCTCTGGATCTTTAGAATACAAGTTTTGTGATAAGATCATAAAAAATTATATGAACATTATTCTAGATTGCTCATTATAAAAATTATTGCTAAATTGATTTAAGACAGAAAGATTTAAGAGCTATGGATGAATTTTTCCCCAGCCCAAACAAGGTTTTATCATTCAGAAAACTGGTAAAAAATTAATTCAAATAGCCAAATTACACAAAAGGGAAAGCAGTAATTCATTTTCCTGTTAGTTATATAAAAAGCCTTTCTCATGAAGAATAAACTATATTTTATCATAAAAATGATATTTTTTACACTAAAAAAACAGTAAAATTGAGAAAAGCATGTAATTTATCAGAAGCTGCAGTGAATTTTCAAAATGCTAGAGAATAACATGCAGTGAAAAAAAAATAATTTTGCTAAATAAGACTATGATATGTATATTCTTCTATTACCAGCATTTCACAGAATAGAAGGAATATTTTAATATCAAGATGTAGGAAGAAAATGTTAAGTTGGCTAAAATGTAGTCCTTTAAATTAAACAGATTTAGCTTTATGAAAAGCATGTTAAATTGTTACTTTTTTTTAATTGTGCTATAGATTAGAGAAAACATTTTCACAGGTCCCAAAGGCCCCAATAATCTACAGCCCAGTATTTGGGGACCACTGGATGAGAGAACACCTAAGGTCTCTTCTAGCTCTGATTTTTAAAACATAATTAAATTCTGATTATGCATGGTCATATAGTGTATGATGCCTGTACCCTTTAGAGCAAACCTCATAAGAGAGCACCTGAGATAGTTTTTTTTCAGAAGCTTCTTAAACGTTTCTTCTCCTGAAACTTGATATTGAATTTACTTTCTAATTTAAATCTTTATCAATTTCAATTATCTTATTGTTTGATTTATAGGTTTTCATCATTAGCTCACTAAATTAGCTGGATATCATTTCGTTTACCACAAAAAAGTCATACATACATACATATTTATTTTAAAATCCTTACGGTTCATAGGGCTTTCAATGTATGACAGAGTGAAGATTTTGGCAAATTCTGCCACCAACAAACATATATAAAGCTAGGAAAAAATGGTCACAAACAACCATTTCAGAGCTCCAAAAAGTGACCAAAGGCAAACAATAAACAGAAAAGCACTTATCCAAGAAAAGCTCCCAGAACTTCAGGCAAGAACTATGAGAGTTTGTGACCTTCTTGCCTGGGGCTGCTCTCATCCCCACTGTCTGGTTCAGTAGATGAGAATGGTAATTGTAAGGGTATATGTCTAGACTAAAACCCAGCAGCTTCACTGCCAAAGAGGGCTAACTTGATCTGAAGCAGAGCAGAAAACTCATGCTCAGCAAAGTTGTCAGTAAAAGTAGCAAACTCAGTATAAAACGAAAGGGAGAAACCCACGGTCTTGCTAGCCTTAGGTTCTAGGGCAAGTGAGAAGCCAACCACAAATTTCACAAGGACATGGTTCTGGAAATGATATCACCTTAGAAGTACAAGAAAAGCTCTCCACACATCTTTCACTGACTAGGAAAATGTGTGTATTGGCAGGATGAAATGAAAGGGCCCAGTGGAGAGTAAAAGCCGAGGTAGACGTAAAACTGCTTGAATTTTAAGTGTGCTCTCAACCCACACACAAATTCACTGACAGAGTGTGAGAGTCAGACAGCTTGAAGTGTCTAAGCAAAACCTCTACCCAATTATTGCCTGAGTGCTAAGCTATACAGATTGAGCACAGGCAGGATATAAATAATGCAGGATAAAAATAAAAATTAGGAAAAAAATTGAACGAAGAGAACAATGACCACATACTACACATTACAGGAGAGCCAGATTCTATAGTCTAAGCAAGTTAATGAAAAAATATATAAACAAACAAAAATAAAACCTCAAGAATCCAAAATTGCTACAACATAAATACCTAAAATGTCCAGCATTCAACAAAGACTTATGAGACATGCAAAAGAATAGGAAAGTGTTTCCCACACTCTGGGAAAAAAAAAAAAAGCTGTCAAAAGAAAATGACTTTAAATGAGTGTAGATGTTGGAGTTAGCAGACAAAGACTTCAAAGTAGCTATTACAAATATGATCAAAAGCTAAAGGAAACCATATTTAAAAGATTAAAAGGAAAATTTATGACAATGACTCAACAAATAAGGAATATCACTGAAGAAATAGATACTAAAGAACCAAATTGAAATTCTAGTCAAATTCTCTACCCCTGAGCCATACACCCAGTCATCCAAACTGAAATTCTAGAGGAGAAAAGTCCAATAAGCAAAATGCAAAATTCACAAGATTAATTCAACAGAAGATTTGAGAACACAGACGAATCAAAGAACTTAAGATATATCAATGGAAATTATCCAATTTAAAAAATAGAAAAAGAAAAATAATCAAGTTTCCCAGATGCATGGGACTCCATCAAGAATACCAACGTATTTCCATGGGAATTTGAGAAGGGAGGAGAGGATAAAGGAAGAGAAAAAAAGGAAGAAACTGTGATGGTAAACTTCCCAAGTTAGATGAAAAACCTTAATTTATAGATCCAAGAAGCTCAATCAGCCCCAAGTAAGATAAACACAGAGATCTACATGTATACAGATGATAGTCAAACTGCTAAAAGCCAAAGACAAAGAGAAAATCTTGAAAGCAGAAAAAAAAAAATGACTCATGATATACACGGGCACAACAATACAACAGCTGACTTCAAATTAGAAATCTGGAGGGCAAAAGGAAGTATATGACATATTCAAAGTGCTAAAAGAAAAAAGTTAGCCAAGAATTCTGTCCAGCAAAACTATCCTTTATAAATGAAGATGAAATAACATTACTGTGAGATAAAGAGAGACTTACAGAATCTGTTGCTAGATCTACCTTAAAAGAAATACTGAATGAATCTTTCAGGCTGAAAGGAGTGATACCAGACAGTAAGTCAAATTCATAGGAAGAAAGTAGGAACACTGAACCATATATGTGTATATATAAAAGACTCAAAGATATTTTATCTTTTCTTCTCTTAATGTCTTTAAAAATATATTGTATAAAGCAACAATTATAACACTATATTGCTAAGTTTATAACACATATGTAATTTATAAGACAATAGTAACACAAAAGGGAAGGGGGAAAGGTAAAGCTGTATTGAAGGAAAGTTGCTATATTTTGCTGGAATTAAGTCAGTATTAATTTGAAGTAGAATGTGATCATTTAAGATGCGTATAGTAATCCCTAGAGTAACCACTAAGAAAACAATGGGGAAATTTTTTTTAATAATAGAATTGAAACAAAGCACCAAAACATATTTAATACAAAAGAAAGCAGTAAAGGAGCAATAGAGGAACAACAACAACAACAAAAAGAGATGCAGAAAGCAAATAAAATAGCAGACATAAGCCAGGTGCGGTGGCTCACGCCTGTAATCCCAGCACTTTGGGAGGCCGAGGTGGGCGGATCACGAGATCAGCAGATTGAGACCATCCTGGCGAACACTGTGAAACCCCGTCTCTACTAAAAATACAAAAAAACCCCACCGGGCATGGTGGCGGGTGCCTGTAGTCCCAGCTACTTGGGAGGCTGAGGTTGCAGTGAGCAGAGATCACACCATTGCACTCCAGCCTGGGTGACAGAGCGAGACTCCATCTCCAAAAAAAAAAAAAAAAAAAAAAAGGCAGACATAAATCCAACTATATCAATAATGACATTAAAATAAAAGGAATAAAATCTATAATCAAAGGCTAGAGATTGCCAGATTGGCTGAAAATCAGTAGACTTCTATATGATGTCTACAAGAGAAATATATACATTGAAAGTAATAAGATAGAAAAAGACAAACCATACAAATGGTAACTATAGAAGCTGGAGTGGCTATATTACCACTAGAAAAAAAGACAGATTTTAAGACAAAAAAAAAAAAAAATTACGAGATACAAGAGGAACTTTCCTAATGAAAGGATCAATATGTCAGGGAGACATAATAGTTATAAACATGTATGTACCTAGACATAGAGCATCAAATTATATACAGACAAAAATGACAGAATCAAAAGAAGAAATAAACAATTCAACATTTCAAGTTACAGATTTCAGTACTCTCAATAACTTATAGAACTACTATACAGTAAATCAATAAAGATGTAGAAGACTTAGACGACACTATCTACCAACCTGACCTAATTAACATTTATGGAATACTGCACCCAATAGCAACATAATACATTCTTTTTTCTTTTTTTTTCTTTTTTTTTTTTTTTTTGACAAAGTTTTGCTCTTGTTGCCCAGGCTGGAGTGCAATGGTGTGATATCAGCTCACCTCAACCTCTGCCTCCCTGGTTGAAGAGATTCTCCTGCCTCAGCCTCCCAAGTAGCTGGAATTACAGGCATGTGCCACCATGCCCAACTAATTTTGTATTTTTAGTAGAGATGGGGTTTCTCCACGTTGGTCAGGCTGGTCTCCGAGTCCCTACCTCAGGTGATCCACCCACCTCGGCCTCCCAAAGTGCTGGGATTACAGGCATGAGCCACCGTATCCAGCCTTACATGTTTATTTTTCCTAAGCATACACAAATGTTCCTCAGAATAGATCATATTCTGATCCACAAAACAAATCTGAATAAATTTAATATTATTATTTTAATGTATGTTCTCCAACAACAATGGAATTAAATTAGCAAAACAACAAAAAAATAGAAAATTAAACAATAATTTTCTAAATGCCATATAGGTAAAGAAGAAATAAAAAGGAAAATTAGAAAGTATTTGAGCTGAATTAAGACAAAATCAGGTATATTAAAATTCCTTTGATGTAGCCAAAGTAGTAAAGGATAATTTATAGCTCTAAAGATCTATATTAAAAAAATAAAAATCTCAAACCAATAATAAGTTTTCACCTTAAGAATTTAGAAAAGAGGGGCTGTGCACAGTGGTTTACACCTATAATCCCATGACTTTCACAAGCTGAGGTGGAAAGATTGCTTGAGCCCAGGAGTCAAAAAAAAAATAAAAATAAATAAATAAATAAATTAAATGCAAAAATAAAAAATAATAAAAATAAATAGCCAGGCTTGTTGGTACATGCCTGTGGTCCCAGCTACCTGGGAAGCTGAGGTGGGGGGATCGCTTCAGCAAGAGAGGTCAAAGCTGCAGTGAGCCTTGCCACTGCACTCCACTGCACCACTCTGATCATGTCACTGCACTGCAGCCTAGGAGACAGAGTGAGACCCTGTCTCAAAAAAAGAGAAAGAAATTAGAAAAAAAAGGAACAAACTAGAGACAAAGCAAACAGGAAGGAAACCATAAAGATCAAAGGGGAAATCAATCAAATGGAAAACAAAAAAAAATAGAAAAAATAAATCACTAAAAATTGATAAATTTCTAGGCCATATGACAAAAAAATAGAAGAAACAAATTACCAAAATTAGGAATGAGTGTACATCACTATCAATCCTAGGGAAGTTAAAAGCATTATAAGAAAACATTATGAAAAAATTTATGCCAAACAATTATGCACATCAGTTGACATAGACAAATTCCTAGGAAGACATTTTGATCACAGACCTAAATGTCAGAGCTGAAACTAAATCTTCTAGGGGAGAACATAGGAGAATATTTTTGAGAAGTTAAGTTAGCTACTGATTTATTAGATATAGATATAAAAAGCACACACTATAACAAAAATTAGTAATTTGGACTTCATCAAATTGTTTTTCTTCAATAGACACTGTAAAGAAAGCACAGACACTCCACAGAACTGGGAGAAAATATTTCCAAAAAAACATTCTAAAGAAGGGTTTGTACCTAGAATATATAAAGAACGATTACAACTCAAATAAGCTGCTAAAAGCACATTTGGATGAAAAACTAAAATTACAATGTTAGATTACTATACATCTCTTAGAATGGCTAAAATGAAGAAGACTGAAAATATCAAGTGCTAGTTTGGATAAGGAGCAACTGGAAATCTCATACATTGTTAATGGGAATACAAGGTGACGCAGCCACTTAGGAACTAAATGCTAAGACTTTAGCATGTCTTAAAAACTTAAGCATACCACTTAATATCCATCCCAGATATTCTACTTTTGCTAATTACCCAAAAGAAATGAAATTATATGTCAAAATACTAGTATATTAATGCTAATAATGCATTTATTCACTATTAGTCAAAAACTGGAAAATAAATACCAAATCAATTGGTGAATGAATAAATAAATTGTAGTACATCCATACAATGAGATACTATTCCGCACTAAAAAGGAACAAATTACTGATACACACAAAAACTGGCTGAAACTCATCATAGAAAAGAATAAGATCATGTCCTTTGCAGGGACGTGGATGGAGCTGGAGGCCATTATCCTTAGCAAAATAATGCAGGAACAGAAAACCAAATACCGCATGTTCTCACTTATAAGTGGGAGTCAAATGATGAGAACACATGAATGCAAGAGGAGAACAGCAAGACACTGGGGCCTACCTGAGGGTGGAGGGTGGGAGGAGGGAGAGGATCAGTAAAGTATCTATTAGGTACTAGGCCTAGTATCTGTATGATAAAAGAATCTGTACACCAAACCCCCATGATACGAGTTTACCTGTATAACAAATGTGCACATGTACCCCTGAACCTAAAATAACAGATTAAAAATAAAATAAAAATAAATAAATAAAATGGTTGAAACTCAAAAGCATTATGCTAAGTGAAACAAGCCAGACCCCAAAGGCCACACACTGTATGATTTCATTTATATAATTCCGTGGAAAATGCAAACTCACAAGAACAAAAATCAGATCAAGGGCCAAGGGTGATGGGAAGTAAAGATAAGTATAAAGGAGCAGGAGAAACTTTTTGGTATGATCGAAATGTTCTATATCTTAACTGTGGTGGCAGCTGTATAACTATATACATTTGTCATAATGCATCATGAATAAATAGGTACAAATGGAGGGTAAAGATTATTGACAAATATAATCCTCATGAGAAAACACAGGTATAGAAGTAGGTCTCCTCATGTTCTCATTCTAAAAACTCTAAATATTTACCTATCATCCAGCTGAGAACATTGGAGAACTACCTGGAAGTTTCATGAGTCAATACATTGCCTGTATGAGGAGAAAGACACGATACAGCTTTTCTGTAAAGTTCTAGTACCCGGCAAAGGTACTAGACAATCTCATAGCTACTCAATAAATATTTATGTTAACAAATGGACAGATAAATGTATCCTCACAAAGATACTTAGCCAAGATCAGATACTCTTCCAGGTGTGGAGGTGGAATAGTAAATGGTGAAATATGAAAACAGATAAATCGTATAAATTAATGAAAATCCCCACATTACCGTGTCAATGGCATCTGGATGGCTGTTTTAGAATCTTTGCACATAATAATACTTCCAAATCAGTAAACAAATAAACACTTCTTAAAAGGGATCATGCATAAATAACAAAATGACTCTCTTAAAGATTAAAATAAACAAATTGAAATAAAGTCTACCCAAATCTCAAAATTCTATGCAAGTGAAATTAATCTGCATAGATTAGAAATTGCCTGAGCTGAAATAAGGTTTTATAATAAACTGTTTCACTTAAAATAGGAATAATTACTTATTTTATTGAATTTTTAAATAATGAAGCAAACTCAAAGGGTTCTCCGCAAGCCATTACTTTCTTAGCTCTAAATTATTTTCAAAATAATTTTCAAATCAATTCATATTATTTCTAAAGAAATGTCAAAATGTTCTCACTTGTTCTCAAAGATACCACTTTTTTTCTTGTTCAATTTTTATCTTGCAAATTTTCCTAATAATATTTTTTATAACAATTTTGTTTTTCTGATCCAGATGTAAGTTATTGCATTTATTTCTCATGCCTCTGCCTTTGTCTTTTATGACATTGTCATTTTGAAGAGTGTCACCAGTGTTGTTGTAGAATGTCTCTCAATCTTGGTTGGTCTGATGTTTCTCATGATTAGATAATGATTAAGCATTTTAGGCTGGTATATCACAGATTTGATATTGTGTCCTTCAAGCTACATCACACCAGGAAGCACTTGATATTCATTGGTTCTATTATTGGAGATGTTAACTTGGGTAATATGGTTTAGGTGGTATTTGTCAGATCTTTCCATCTTTCCATGGTAAAGGGATCTATTATCCTTTGTGATTAATAAATGATCCATGTAAAGTACTTTGATAGCATATAATTTACTTCTATTACATATATTTTAACATTCAAATATTATGACATTGTAAAGTATAATATCTTTGAAAATAAACACATTTAATCATTAGTAACTTCATTCAGTATAGTTTGGAATAGAATGATACATTTAATTACTATGCATACTTCCAGAAGCTATCATATGTGCCTATCATTTCAAGGCACAGATTTAAGTAGAAGTTGATAGAAAGGCTCTTCAGAAATTACCTATGATTTTTTTCCTGTAGCAACGTGAGGCTTGTGGTTTGTGCTTTGGGCCCATGATCTCTGTTGGACCTCGCTTTAAAATTCAAGAGCAGTGCTCTTCATTCTAGAGGAAATAAAATGCCTTTCCAATGTACTGAGAAATGTACCATTTTACCAAATATCAAGAAACCCAAGAGGCCAGACTAGATCAATAAATAAACTTCCAGCCCCTGGCCTAAGCTCCAATGATTTAGTTCCATTTATAAAGTGTTAACCTTGAAATACAGCTTGAGAAAAAGTTGAACACACTTTATTACAATACAAACTGTTAATACAATAGAGACCTCACTTGCTCAAAGTTACCATGTTATAATAGAAAGATCCCTAGAGTCTAAGACAACCAGTGTTTTTAGCTTGACTCCATCACCGAAACCAGCCTTTGATTGTTCACTTTTCCCTTCTGAAAATCCATTTACTGATCTTGAATTAGAGCTCACGGTACCAACTTTGTGGTGTTGTATAAGCAATAAATCATCATACATGAAAGAGCTTTGGAAACCATATAACACTTACAAAGGTTAGCCAAAGAGGGGGAAAGACTCTCCAAAATACATACTCCAAAAATTATACTGTTATTTCCTACATTGAGAATCACTCAACTTGGACTTGATGCCAATGAAAATCTATTTATTAAAAAAATTTTCAACACTTTGAATGTCTGAAAACGGAGCATCCTGATTGTGCAAATGAAGCAACACTGAAAAGAACAGAATTTTAATGATGCCAAGAACCAGGCATAAACTGTTCAAGAGACTGACTGCTTTCTCTGCTGACTTCATGGAGTGAAGCAGTTTTAAGAGGAACAGCTGCCAACTTGAGTCGTCAGCCCACCGCATACCTTTTACAGTGATGCTAGAGCTGCCTACACACAAGGCTGTAGGAAACACTCAAACGCTGGTTGCTTTTATCAGTTGTGTGTATACACGCACACATACGCATGGCCATGCATACACACAATGGTTCTGGCAAAGGAATAAATCAGTTAACCAAAGTATAACTCCCTTCAAGGACTGCCTACATGCTGTTTTATGTATTCACCTAATCCAATTCTTGAATGGTTAGACTACAGGGACAGTGGCTGAGTGTACCTTCCCAGTAAAAAAAACCGAAAAGACTGGAAACGAATGGTCTAGCTGTATCATAGTTCCTGCTCGACTCCCAAGTGCTGAAACAAGCAATGGTAAAGCTAGTGACTGGAGCAGAAGCGTTATATAAAACAACCATGTACCAGATGAAAATCTTTTCAGGTAATCCAACTCCCAGATGAAGGAAGCAGCAGATGACAATAGCTAGATATATTGGGGCTCATAATGAAGGATAAGCAAAAGGAGCACTGAAAAAACTTGCAGCCCTTATAATACAGATAATGTTTAGGAAATGACATTTGAGGTAGGAAAATTAACTATCTGAATGCTGATCTTGCTTACAATCATCTCTCTCTCTCTATCCCGACCACTGCAGCCCTACAACGAAGACTGCATTACCTTTTTGTCTCAGTTGTCTTCCCACTCTGACCAATTCTTACCCCGTCTCCAGGACAGTCTTCTTAAATGTGTTGACAGTGATTGCTCAGGATGATGAAATTATGGTTGACTTTTTTTCTTCTCTCCCATATGTTTCCTCAAAGATGTCTCAAGTGAAATCTGCATAGTCTCCTCATCTTATAAATAGTATGGTTGGGAAATAAATCTACGGCCTCTTCACCCCACAGGGCTACTTCTGTAGATCATCAATCCAAAATGCTTGGCTTAAAATACCTCCTCTGGCCAGGCGCCGTGGCTTACGCCTGTAATCCCAGCACTTTGGGAGGCCGAGGCGGGCGGATCACCTGAGGTCAGGAGTTCGAGACCAGCCTGACCAATATGAAGAAATCCCGTCTCTACTAAAAATACAAAATTAGCTGGGTGTGGTGGCACATGCCTGTAATCCCAGCTACTCGGGAGGCTGAGGTGGGAGAATTGCTTGAACCCGGGAGGCAGAGGTTGCAGTGAGCCGAGATTGTGCCATTGCACTCCAGCCTGGGTAATAAGAGTGAAACTCCGTCTCAAAATAAAATAAAATAAAATAAGATAAAACAAAATAAACTAAAATACCTCCTCTGTGTATGACACCCAGTACAACCCTCCTCTTCCCACCTGCTTGCCATTACCTTTAAATCTCTTCCTTTATTCCATGAAGATGTTTATCCCGTAATAGTCCACATTAATTGCCTCTCTAGCACATATTAATTTGGATATTGCATTCAATATCTTTGTCTCTCAATCCCCTGACTTCATCTGCAATTACTTTCACTTTTGCTTCACTTCTGCCTTCTCCCATGGCCACATTTTTATATTGCCTTCACCTGAAAATCTCTGTGTCTGAAATCTTAAACTCAAATAATTCTCCTTGGACCGCAACTTCTTCTGCCTCTAGTTCTTTCAGTTAGCTATTCTTTGGCCTCGGAGGGACTTCCTGTTTCCTTGATCACTCTACTATTTTCTCCAGATCCATCACCCTCACCTCTTGTCATTCCTTCTTTCTCCACTTAATTTAGTTTTATGGACATTTATTTCCATAATACACTTTCTTCAATCCCCTCTCAAATTCACTTAGCCTAATCTTAACCCTAACAAACTCAACTCGCTAAATTGACACCACTTACACCAAGATGCTGACAACCACTGTAGAGAATCCAAAACAGAATGGAGTGGTTGCACCACAATGAAGGTAGTCAGCCTTAACTGGTCTTTGGCATTCCTTTGACTAGTAATTTTTGTGTATTTCTGGTAATATCTCTTTCCCAATTTCAGCAACTATTTCAACCTTTCTTTGAGCTTCTCAAAATTCCTACCTACACATTTCCGAGCCTCACATTTATCATCTGTCAAATGAGAATTATCTTAGATGAATTTATCTTAGGCTTCCCAGAGAAGCAAGAAGTTCTCAGGCAAGTACTTATTTTCAGATGACTTTATCTTAGACTTCTTAGAGAAAAAAGAAGTTATCATGTTAAGTACTTATTTATTTACCACTGACAGATTCATAAATTTACCAGCAACTTCCATCATCGTTTTGCTTATGCCAGAAGGTGTTCTTTCTTCCTTCTAAGGCTAGTCTCTCCATTTGTGCTGTAGAAACCATTTCAGTCCAATTTTCCACTCTCGTTTGGTATCGACTTTCAGCATTCAAACATGTTCCAGTTCCTAACATTAATTTAAAATTTCCTCTCTTGGACCCATAGTCCTCTCTAGTAGTTTTCCTATTGATCTCCTCTCCTTTAAGGGCAAATGATTCCACTGAAACTATTCTCCTTGTTATCATCAATGATTACTTTCTTGCTAAATCAAAGGATATTTCCAGCTAACTTCTTTATACATTAAATACTGCCAAGGACTCACTCCTTTCAAACATTCACTCTAGGAAACACATCTTGCAATGTTCCTGTACAAGCGTAGGAGTTCTTTCTCCATTCCCTTGGCAAACTCCTCTTCTCTGCCTATCTTTGAAAAGCTGGAGCTCTTCCACCTCCCTCTTGGTTAGTTATCTTTTCAGTTTCAACTTCTATGGCTTCAAGTACTGTATGATGATGATTCTTAAGTTCATATCTCCACCCCAGTACTTGCTTGCATTTTCAGATTCTCCCCTGCCTGTTGGATCACACTACTTGAATATCCAAGCATGCATGTTTATTTTGTATATATTTTTTCGTTCCCATCAAAATCCTCCTGTTTTCCTGTCTTAGTGGATGATGCCACCAAACCAAAACCTGGGGTTAGCTCCAGAATTCTCCCATGCCTTCATCCACCACATCCAAAGAAACATCAAATTCTGCTGATTCCACTTCTTAAGCTTTCTCAACTGTGTCCATATCTTGTCACCTCCCACTGCCATAGTTTTGGTCCAGACCACAGGTATCCCTTGCCCTGATGGAAGACAACTTATCTCTTAAGAAGTCCCTCTGACTCCATTCTGGCCCTGTTTCAGAAAGCAGAGGGAGCTTTCTAAAATACACACCTGATTACGTAAGTCTCCTGTACACAAGCATTCAACAAAATCCAGTTGCTCTTACAGTTCAAATTCCAGACCAGCCCCTTGTTGTGGAAGCTGTCCTGGACATTGTAGCACGTTTAACAAGTATCACTGGCCTCCACCCACTAGATGCCAGTAGCACCATCTCTCTTCCCCTAAGCTGTGACAACGAGAAAACATCTCCAAACACTGCTAAATGCCTCCTAAGTGACAAATTCATCCCTGGTTGAGAATCACTGACCTAGAGTAATAGAAAAAAACCTTGACTCCTCAGCTTTTATCCTCCCAGTTCATCATCTATACTTATCATTTCCACCTTGCAATGGGAAGTTCACAGCCATGAACATTGTCTCTAATGTTTTGAGCTTTTGTTCTGGACATTCTTTTATTCCTCCAAGTTTGTTTTTAACCTGCCAAATATCTCTTGTAGAATTTATTTTGGAAGATTCTTATAAATAACACTTTTTTCTGAATAGCATTCATCACATTGACAAAGATGATGCATGCTTGTATTCACTACAGTTTCTACCAAAAGACTGCCCTCCTGGGGAAAACATGACTGTTCCTGTTACTGAAAATTGACCAAGCACGTTGAAATATGCTGTTCTGTATTTACTCCTCCTCTACCCAATCCTCTCATAAATTACTGTGAACATTGGTGTTGTTACATTATAGTTTTTCCCTCTAGAGAAAGTGCACTGTATACTACTCATACTACTCTTTCTAAGAACACTGCTAGTTAGCATTTGTTACATGTGTTCATTACCTGACAGACATTATGGTAGATATTTTATAAACATTATCAATCATCCTCACCCAAACCCACCTGTGGAGGCATTATTGGAATCTGTTAGAGTACCTTAGAAAAGGAGATGCTCAGTTGGGTTTGGGGTGAGGGGTATTAGATACTCAGCTCAAGAGGGAAATGTCTACCACAAAAACATAGCCTTTATTCCTCATCCTATTGCTTTGTTTTAGCTAATATTCTGTCTTTATCTCTAGTAAGTAGATGGCTACCTCCAACTTGCTTTTAGGCTTCATTTTCTTTTTCTCCCTGCTAGTGCTTGCTAATGGACAGTGTCTTCTCTAACAATGTTGATGTCCATTTGTCTTAGCATGGTTCAGGTTCCTCTCGTAACAAATAAATTGTTAGATGCCTGTGGTTTGTTGCCATTCCCAGATTGCCCATAGAGAATATATTGTTTTTGTTGTCTGCTGTGTTACCTAATGCTGTATTTTCAGAAATTTCAGTTGCCAAGAAATAAGGTCCTCTCCGAATAGCTCAAGATGAGGGTTTCCAAGTTGATGACCAGCATCGGGACCTCCCCCCCACAAAAAAAAGCTATTAGAAGAGGACCCCAAGTACCAACAGGTCTACCTGGGGATGTCTCATTTGCAAGTTTACTCCATCATCTTGACTGTGAGTGTCCTTTCTCTTTACTGTGGGGTGTTAATGCTAATAGAGTGGTGCTGAACTGGAAGGGAACAACAAAAGATGTTGCAATGTAGATGCTAACTTTTCTAGAAAACCTTTTGCTTTGAGATGATCTAGAAGACATAGCATTCTCCTACCAGGATGCCAGTGTGCCTCATGAGGTCTGGAAAGTTTCTTATGATTCTATAAGTTAGACTGGTTTTTAGCGTTACCACAATAGCATAAAGGTAAAAACACAGTGGTGCTGTTAGGGGTGGGGTCCTAATATATGTAACAATTCTCATTTGATCTACAATAATTCTCATTTGACAGATGATAAATGTGAGGCTCAGAAATGTTAGGACCAGAAATGAGTATACAGAATGTGTTATGTTGAATTGGAAGGTCTCCAAGATTCTCACCCCCTTGGTATATATGCCCTATGTAATCCCCTCCCTTAAGTGTAAACATGGCCTGTTTTTATGATGGTGGAGTCATTCTCATGATTAGGTTATATTAAATGGCAGGGATGAAGGCATTTTTGTAGATATAATCAAAGCCCCTAATTAGTTGACATTAATTTAATCAAACGGGATATTGGCTGAGTGAGCATGACCTAAAGAGGTGATCCCTTTAAAACAGAGTTTATGCAAAAAGAAAAAAAGTAATGGAGACACAGACTTTACACCCTTCAAAAAAATTAACTCGAAATGGATCACAGACGTAAATGTAAAATGCAAAACTATAAAACCCCTGGAAGATAACATGGGAGAAAATCTAGATAACTTTGGGCTTAACAATGACTTCTTAGATACAACACTAAAGGCATGATCCATGAAAGAAAGAACTGATAAGCTGGACTTCATTAAAATTAAAAATATCTGCTCTGCAAAAGACACTGTCAACAGAATGAAAAGATATGCCACTGACTGGTAGAAAATATTTGCAAGAGATACATCTGATAAAGGACTGCTATCCGAAATATACCAAAAACTCAATAATTAAATAAGTAACCCAATTTTTAAAATGGGCCAAAGAAATTCACAGACACTTCAACAAAGAAGATATACAGATGGCAAATAAGCATATGAAAAGATATTCCACATCATGTCACCAGGGAAATGCAAATTAAAACAACTAAATACCACCACACACCTATTAGACTGACCAAAATCCAGAACATTATCAACAACAAATGTTAGCAAGGTCGTGTAGCAACAAGAACTCCTACTCATTGCTAGTGGGAATGCAAAATGGTACAGCCACTTTGGAAGACAGTTTAGCAGTTTCTTATGAAACTAAACATACTCTTACCATACAATCAAACAGTTACACTCTTTGGTACTTTCCCAAAGGAGTTGAGAACCTATGTCCACACAAAAACTTGCACATGGATGTTTACAGCAGCTTTATTCATAATTGCCAAAACTTGGATGCAACCAAGACATCCTTTAGTAGATAAATGTATAAACTGTGGTACATTCAGACAATGGAATATTATTCATCACTAAAAAGCAGTGGGCTATCAAGCCATGAAAAGACATGGAGAAAACTTAAATACATATTACTAAGTGAAAGAAGCCAATCTGAGAAGGCTATATACTGCATGATTCCAACTATATGACATTGTGGAAGTCAAAACTATGCAGATAGTAAAAAGATCAGTGGTTCTCAGGAGTTGGGGGGAAATAAGAGATGAATACGTAGAACACAGAGGATTTTTAGGGCAGTGAAACTTCTCTTTATGATACTATATTGGTAGACACATGTTATTACACACTTGTCTTAACCCATAAAATGTACAACACCGAGAATGAACCCTAATATAAAACATAGGCTTTGGGTGATAATGATGTAGCAATGTAGGTTCATGAATTGTAACAAATGTACCACTCTAGTGTGAGATGCTGATAATGGCGAAGGCTATGCATGTGTGGGGCTAGGGAGTATATGGAGAAATCTCTATAACTTCCTCCCAGTCTTGCTGTGAACCTAAGAATGCTCTAAAAAATAAAGTCTATTCAAACAAACAAACAATCCCCACACATTAACAACAACAAAAGAATGCCTAGAGATTAGAGAGATTCTCCTGCTGGTTTTGAAGAAGCAGCTGGCCACCAACAAGAAAAGTGGGGACTTCAGTCCTATAAGTGCAAAAGACTCAATTCTGCCAAAAACCTCATGAGCTTCGTAGTGGACTCAGCCTGGCTGACATCTTGCTTTCAAGCTTGTGACGTGCTGAGCAGAGAACGTAGTTAAGCCACACATGGACTCCTGGCCCATATAAACTGCATGTTTTTTAAGCCACTAATTCTGTGGCAATTTGTTATGCAGCAATTGAAAACGAACGCATCCTTTATGTTGGGTTATAAAATTCAATGGTTGGCAACAGAAGAAGACTAGTGACTTATTTAATAAACTTGCTTCTTCCATCTTATAGGAACTTCAAAGATATGAGCACTATTTAAACACCAGACAATAGAAAATGGTTTATTTTCAGTGGTTTATAAGCAAATGATTTCTTTATATTTAAGATTACACTGGCCATTTCTCAGGAGTAATTTCATCTATACAAGTAACCTAACCCAGATATTAGTTTTACTATTCCTTTTGACTAGGAAAACAATTTAGTTTAAAATATTTCATTCGATGTCAATAACTGCATTATGAAGTCCAATTTAAAAGAATCAAGGACTGAAATATTTTTATTTGATTTTTTTTTTGCATCAGGACTATTGTTGCTTATTTTATTTATACCTCAGCAAATTTATTTTCAGGAAGCAAAGGCTGAAGAATGAGTATTGACTTCCCTGAACAGTTATTGCTGATCACTCTGTCACACTCAATGTAACAGGAAGAAATTGTTTCAGGCTGATTTTAGTTTTCCTCACACAGATTACTCACTCACATCACATGATGGCATCAAATATTTATGTGGTTGAGGAAATTATAGTTTCTCACAATTCAAGATTTGAAGATTGTCTCTAGCTATAGATAAAGAATACATTGGACTGATGAGAGAACAAACTGAATTAACTTTGAAGACCTACAAGTAATAAGCCATCTAAAAAGCCTTAGTCATAAGGAGTTTAAGCCTTTTGATAAGAATTTTCAGAGTAACAATGAGCCCTAGATTAGATTACTTCGTTTTTGCAAGTAAACAGGTTGAACAGATATAAGTCAAAAGGAAGCAGAACTCTAAGTGATATAAGAAGTTACAACAATTTCATCTTTTTAACAATCAAATAAGCTGCCTTGTGAGATAATGAGTTGACAATCACTAGAAGTGATTATGCAGAAGTTGGAAAATCACCAGTTATGAAGGCTATAGAGCAAATTCCTATACTATATGGGAGAGTGAACACAAAAACCAGTAAAAGTCACCATTTCAATCTAAGAGATTTCATGATTCTAAAAACATGACGTGATCAGTTAAAGAGAAATCCTACACCATTACACGCTTGTATTAAGCCATGATTTATGACATGAAATATATATATCACCCATTATATATTACAAGAAAAATACGAATTAATGTTTTTTTTTCCCTCCTTAGGTATAATGCAATCTTGATAATTATTGCTTGACCAACTCATTGATGGTGAAGGGCAGAATGCCCAGACACAGTTGCTGGTATTTAAGACTTCACTCCTAGTGATTCATACATGGGGAGGGTAATTAAGGAAGGAAAGAGAACAATTAAAGGATAGAATACAATGGCACATGCATAGCTTTATCAACCACCACTTTCTGCACAGTGCTTGAAAATTATGCCTTAAACAAGTTGGGATCAAGAAAGATCCTCAATATCATTTCCTTGAGAAATCATTAGTATATTGGGTAGCAATATGAAATAATATGATCTTCTTCTCATAGAACCAATTATCTCCTTTTCAGAGACTTTTCACATTTCTCGGTTAAATTAATTTATATCTCCCTTATTTTATTGCAAAATCCATGATGCAGGAACAATGTTAAGTTTTTATCTCCATCCCTAGTACTTAAAAAAGGACCTCAGTGATACATAAAAATGTATTAAATAAGTAAACAAATAAATTGATAAGGAAAAGAAGACAGGAGGATAAAACAACCTTAACATTCCCTAAGGATTCTGTCTAAAGACCTCTTATTTCTCTCTCAAGGCAAGAGATGATGGTGGCTTGGCCTAGTGTATGCCAACGGAGATAGAAGCTACAGGACTAGCAAATGGGTTGCTGTGGAGGATAAGAAAGAGGCATGAGTCAAGAAAGACTTTATAATCTGAATATCCAAGTGAATTGTTTATTGATATGTAGACCACTGAGAGATGAATAGGACTTGTATTAGTTATATTAGTTATCTAATACTATGTAACAAATTACCCCCAAAATGAGCAGCTTAAAATAACAAACATTTATTATGTCATTATTTCCGTGGGTCAGGTGCCCCAGTGTGGTTTAGCTGCACCCTCTCTGGCTCAGGGTTTCTCACAAGAGTGCAATTGAGGTGTCAGCAGTAGTTGCAGTCATCAGGCTTAACTGTGGCAGGAACCACTTCCAAGTTCACACTCCTGTAGTCATTGGCAGAGTCCAGTCCTTTAACAATCAAATGGTTGTTGGCCCAAGGCTGTTCTCAGTTCCTTGATATGTGGTTCTCTCCATCAGGCAGTTCAGAACATGACAAATGGGTTCCTCAGAGTGAACAAGTAAGGAAAGCCACAGAGAATGCAAACAAGATGGAAGTCAGTCTTTTGTAACCTAATCTTGGAAGTGGCATCCCATCATTTTTGCCATAGATTCATTAGAAGCAATTCAGTGAGTCCAGTCTGTACACAAGGGAGGAGATTACACAAAGATGTGACAAAATGTGAATACTAGGAGGCCAGCTTGTTGAGGGCCATTTTAAAAGCTCTTTATTACAGGTTTACACAGAAAAATCAGGAGTTCCTTTTTTTTTTCTTAGATGTCCTAAGTTTGACCTTGAATGGCCTCTGAGATACCTAAGAGGAGGAGTCAAGTAGGCAATTGTCATGATTCATGAGTCTGGAGCTTAGAGGGGAGGTATGGACAGGAGACACCACTTTGAAGAGTATCAACCTATATTTAAAGTCACATAAATAAGTGAGATCTTCCAGGAAAAAAAAAAATGGAAAGAGAGATAAGGGAAAAGGATTCAAGACCAAGAGTGGGGAATTTTGACATTTTTAGGTTACACAGAAGAAAGAAGGTAATGAAAACCAAGAAGTAGCCAGAGGAGAAGGGGGAAAAACCAAGACTCTTGAGGTTATAGAGCCAAGAGAAAAAAAAATTGTACAATAAAAGATGGTCAATTATGGCAAATGTTGCAGAGAGGCAGAATAAGATGCAGACAGTGACATTATTGTTTTTTAAATAAAAATGTGGAAAAAGAATAATTATATATTGGCAAGAGACCAGGTAAATAAATTGCGGAATATTCATACAATGGACTACTGTGAGCAATTAAAATGAATGCAAAAGGGAGTCACTCCCATCAACATGGAAAAAACTCAAAAACATAATGTTAACAAAAAGCAACTGCTGCAAAACAGATATTACTTAAAAGCTTAAAAGCTAAAACTAAGTATATATTTGTATAAATCCATTTGTATATAGAAATAATGTAAAAGCAAGCATGTGAATTATTTTTTAAAATCATGAAAATGTTACCTCTGGGGAGGGGGTAGGGAAAATGCGATCAGGAAGAAGTATACAACAGCTACTTCTCTGTAAGGCATCATTCCTTTCTAAAATGTGAAAACAAGTATAGGATAATACATGGATTTTCTTGATATTATTCTCTCTTTCTGTCTATATGCTTAAAATGTGTCATAGTGAAAGTTTTAAATTAACAAAATTTGACAAGATTTGGCAACTCTTTCAAGAGTGGCTTTAAGTGGAGTAAGTTAAAATGGACTAAAAAGAAACTAAACTTCACTCTCTGAGTGACCTTGGAGAAATTATTTTACTTCTCCGAACTTCAGTTTTCTCATCTGTACAATGGTATATAAGTGCCTGAATATGTGGGTGTGTACATGCATGAGTATGTATGTGTACATATATATGCATGACACATTCATAAATGCACAGACACACACATATGCACGTATCATAAATGTATTGCAGGCAATAAACAAATTAGAGCTATAATTCAACCTTCATGGTGAGAACTAAAAAAAGACAATCTTTCAGAGCTTAGCTAGAGTACAGATTATAGATAAAAGAAATGGAAATGGAAGGCAAAAGAAAATGGCAGGGAATATTGCCAAATGGTGTTCATATCTGTCTGAATTAGTACAAAGAAAGGAGAAGTAAAAAGAACTTCAGAAGCTTTGTGGTTCGACTGCAGTTACCTGACTTTAGAAAAAAAAGTAGTCTCCCAGCCCTACCTTCTTCACCACTGCCACTCTCCCAATAAAGATTCAAGGAACAAAGCGAATGGGCATCTCTTTAGCAACTGCTTAACTAAGAAATGGCAGGCTGAGGCAGGAACCTAAAGAAGATGATCACTGTAGTTATGACTAGGATGGGAAAGGCAAACTAAGCTTAAAGACCCTGAGCAGAAACTTAAAGGGAGTTATTGCTTAAAAAAAAATGGAGCAGAGTTCCTGGAGGTGGATGAGAGAGCATAAAGACCTGAGAACATTTCTCCAAGTGCCCCGTGTCCATTACTGGCAAAGAGTCATCCAACCATTGCCTTTCAAGTGACTACTAAGTGCCAGGCACTGTTCTTTGCATGAAGACACCATCAGTAAATAGGAAAAAGCCCATGGCTTCATGAAGGTTATATTCTAGTGGTAGGAAATGGTAAATAATCAAAGAAATTACAAGCAATGGTAACTTAGAAAAGCAAAGCAGATGGGCACTATGGGGAAGGGTTGGAAATTAAAAATCCAGTGAGCAGGAACAAACTCATTGATAAGATGTCATGTGCCATGCGTGGGAATTTGAGTCCAGGAGATGAGGGATGACTGAGGGGTCTGAACTTCTTGGGTCTCCTGGTGTGTCTTAGTCTGTTCAGGCTGCTATAAGAGAATGCCATAGACTGGGTGTCCTATAAACAATAGAAATTTATTTCTCAAAGTTCTGGAGGCTGAAAAGTATACGATCAAGGCATTGGCAGATGGGAGTCTGGTGAGTGTCTTCTTTCTGCTTCCTAGTTAGCCATCTTTTCACTGTAACCTCATATGGTAGAAGGGATGAGGGAGCTTTCTGGGTTCTCTTTTGTAAGGGCACTAATCCCATACATGAGGGCTCCAACTTTATGACATAGTCACCTGACAAAGGACACAATTCTTAATTCCATAACCTTGAGAGTTAGGAATTCAATATCTGAATTTCAGGACAACACAAACATTCAGTCCATAGCATAGTGCAGACAGGGATAAAAAAACAAGATGAGATTTGAACTGATGGTTTCAAGTCACATCGATAGTGGCAGCAAGACTGAGTGTGGTAGGGGGAAAGAGGGAGGATTGGGGGACGTGAGACAGAGTGATCTAGCCAGCTGCATACAAATCCCCAGGGCTCCTTCTTGACTCTGGTTTGTTTTTTATAAGAAGTTTGAGATAAATACCCTACCGAAAGCCAAGACTAAATTGGCGGTAGAAGAAATACATTGTTGGTTCCCAACTCTGCTTCAGATGGGAGACACTGTGAAGGATTCTGTGATTAGAGGCATCAGCACAGGGGAGAGCCTGCATCCGAAGAGAGATGAGCATGGAGATACCTAGATCTGGGCTTTCAGAGACATAATGATGCTGGTGATGTCTTGAGCATAACTGAGAAGGCTGGGTGCATCATGTCCCAGCCCAGCTTCATGCTGATTTAACATGGAATGACCTAGGAGTGAGCTGCTCCTGGCAAGGGAGAAGAGAAGTGCAGAAGTATTTAATCTTCATGTCCATTTCTGAGAGAAACCCTAGTACTGAAAATCTCTGATGTGTGTCTTTTAGCAGGGAAAGAGTGGGCCTAACTCTCAAGGAAGAGTGAACTCAGCAACTTTCCTGTGCTAGCACATGGGCTGAAGGTGTGCATGCTGTCAGCAGTTCTCACAAATGCAGATGGCCTTTTAGTTGAAATACTAGCAAAAAGTTTCCCAGTGCTTATACTGACCAGACAGTTTCTAAAGTGCTTTATATGTATTATGTCATTGAATTTTTTTCATTTAAACATACATACTGTACCAACTATTGATTAGGCATCATACCAAGTTCTGGGGACACAAACGAATGACACATTTCTGGCTGAGAACTCATGATCTATGGGAGGGGATCCTGGGGATTTTCCAATCCAACCTTTTGATATGCAAGGAGGAAGAAACTGAGGCCCAGAGAAAGTCTTACTTGCCCATGGTGACACAGCAGAGCACAGCTTAGCACCAGAGCAGAGGCTGTCACCCAAGCCTTCCAGCTCTCACTCTGTGCTCTTTCAGCTATGCTGAAGGTCTCAACCAGTAACATGGTGTTGTTCTGGGACACAGTCCAACATGTCACCAGCAAGTTGATAAGCTCAAAAGACTTAAGGCTCCAAAATGCTCCAAGGAAAATATCTGCCTATATGCTTGATGTGAAAACGGGACTTCTTCTGACTAGTGATCTAGTAATATCCCAGGAACTAGCTGTGCATAAATTTCCAGGGTCAAAATTTAACACTAGATGAGTATTTTAAGTGTTGAGAAAATAATCTTCCCAAGGGCCAATGGATTTTTAAAAAACACATTTGGGAGCAGATAGAAGCAGGCAGGGGAGGCTTTTCCTAATAGAACCTGTGCTTGCATAGGTTATGAAGAACTGAATAGAACTGGAATAATAATTTTTAAATTACTGTTATGCTTATTTCATGTTTGAACCTTGTTCCTTTAAATGATATTGAGTTATTTAAGCCCCAAATGAATATTTTGTTAATATTTGATGAATATAATTATCAATTCGATTTGTCAGCCATGTAAACCAATAATTTTTTTTTAAAGTAAGAGAACTGTTCAGTCCCCTTAAATTCACAGCCTTACAGGATGTAGAGAGAAGAAAGCACAGAAGTGTTTTTATATATCACTTGAACACTGCTCTAACACTTCTCATTTGGGAAAGAAAAAAGAAGTATGTTAAACAGGTAAATATGTTATTATTTTCAGTTATTTTTTATATAGGTTTGAGGCTAGAAAAAACAGACTCAGCAAAATACCTCTCCACTCCTGGGCAATTTGATTTTAAATAAACTGATGCATTGACTCGTGGGTATATCTATCTGCATGCAATTTTTAATTTAATAGACAAATAATCTCTTATAGTCAGCTATGAGAAGGCAGATGAGATCACAGGATTCTTGAATAGCACAGCTCACTAGGACAGACCTCTGTAAAACCATTTTATTTCAATACAGATTTGAAAGCTGATTAACATACATGTTTGTGGGGGAAATAATAGAAATAGGGTATTATAACCAGATTTTGCCAAGACTTTAGACAAAAATTTTCCCAATATCCTAAGGACAAGGTAGAGAATCATGGCCTGCATGATGATTTGGTTTGGGGAATTTTTTTGAATGGTAGAAAGACTCTACTCAAAGGGGGTTGATTAATTAATTGAAACCCTACAATGGATGCATACTGCAGGGCTCTCTATAGCATGCATTCACTCAACATTTATTTGTTCTCGTGCAATTTCCTTTTCCTCCTGGACACATACATATGTAACTCAATTACATCTTTCAGCCTCCCCTGCAGTTCCATGTGGCCAGGTGACTGAGCTCTGGCCAGTAGAGTAATGTGCACCATTTCCAGGCCTGGCTCATGAAAACTTCCCTTTCGCAGTTCTTCATACACTATCCATTCTCCTACTGGCAGGAAGAAAGACAACCCTGGGGCAGTCCTGGAAGCCAGGTGATGAAAACAACAGAGTCATGAGGTGAAAGAAAACCAGGCCTTTACATTTTCCCTGGGAGAAGAGCCACCTAACCAGAAACACCTACAATGACTGGTTGTGTGAACAAGAAATAAACTTCACTGTGTTAAGCCATTAAGATTGCAGGGTTAATCCATATATTACTGTAGGTTGCATCACCTTAAACAGTAAATAAATTCTTGCTATGTGCAAAGTACTGTGCTGAAGGTTATGGGGGATACAAATATAAAAATCCAGATAACTTTTTAAATTAAAGAGTTAGCACCTAGATCAGGAGATAGATGTTGATATTCATAACCCAAGAGAGAGTGATAAATGATACAATAAGAGTACAATAAAGGGTACGGTGGTTAAACATAAGCTCTGGAGCTAGATGTCACGTGTTCAAATTCCAGATCTGCCACTAACAACTCTGTGACTTTGGGAAAGTTACTTATTTTCTCTGAACCTCAGTTTCTATATACATAAAACAAGGCTGCAAACAGGACTTATCTCACAGATTGTCGTGAGGATTAAACTAATTAATACATGCAAAGCACTGTGAACATTCCTGACACATAGTGAGTGCTTAAAAATGTTATCGTCATCATTATTATGGGGCAAGGGGAGGAAATGAGGTTGTATCCAACTGAAAGGGCCAAAGGCAGCTTCCTGCAGGTATCATTTGAACTTGGCCTTGATAGATGGGTAGAGCCTGGATATTTAGAAGTCACGGCTTGGGGTCCATATCTTCAAAGCAGAGAGGAAAGGCACACATACAGGGAGGACATTATGGGGCAAGTGATTAAAAAAAAAAAAGTGAGCAGTCCAGTTGAGTTCTCACCCAGGGAACCTGCAGGGAAGAAGAGGGTCCAGGTTGTAGAAGCACGAAAGCTCTATTGAGGAGTTTGGCATTTCTTTACGCCAAACTCTTTTATATTGGGAGTAACAGAAGGTACTAACCAGGGGAATGGCTTAGTCAGAGCTGTATAAGAGAAAGATTAATCTAGCAACAGAGTGTAAACAGGATTGAAGAGAGGAGAGAGAGGGAGAGAGAGAGAGAGACACTGGTTAGAAAGTTATGAATATGTGAAAGCCGGAGACAATTAGGAACCTGGTATGGTGGTTTAGCTGTGAATTAATGAGGACCAGAACTAGGATAATGACAACGGGGCTGAGGAAGAAAGATATTATGAGACAAAGATTTTCAGAGGAATGGTATCCAAGTCAGTATTTGATATTGGCCCCAAACTCATTATCTGCCATTCTGTTATCCAAAAAAAAAAAAAAATCTCTAAACAAAAAATTGAAACTCATTTGGCAGTAAAGTGGGTTCTGAATGGATAAGATCATATCAGAGTTCTTTATTTATCTCACTTAGTGTTAATATAATTGTATTTTCTGTGAAAATAATACAGTGTTTGAACACATGGTGTTACTCTACAACGTGGTGGGAGTAATACTTAATAGATGGTATATGCACTGTACTGCCTTTCTACTATCTGAAAACATCTGAATTCCAAAACACCTCTGGCCAAAGGACTTTGTGTAAGAGATTCGTGCATGTGTTATGAGTTGAATTGCATCTCCCAAAAAGATATGTTGAAGTCCTAACCTGTGGTACCTGTGATTGTGACATTATTTGAAAATAGGGTCTTTGCAGATGTAATCAAATTAAGATGAGTCATTAGGGTGGGCTCTAATCCAAAATGACTGGTCTCTTTATAACAAGGGGAAATCTGGACCGGGAATGGTGACTCACACCTGTAATCCTAGCACTTTGGGAGGCCAAGGCGGGCAGATCACCTGAGGTCAGGAGTTCGAGACCAGCCCGGCCAACATGGTGAAACCCCCATCTCTATTAAAAATACAAAAATTACCTGGGTGTGGTAGTGGGCACCTATAATCCCAGCTACTTGGGAGACTGAGGCAGGAGAATCTCTTGAACCCTGGGGGTGGAGGTTGCAGTGAGCCGAGATCGCACCACTGCACTACAGCCTGGGCCAAAGAGCAAAAGTCTGTCTCAAAAACAAAAAAAACAAAAAAACAAAAAAAAAGAAGGGGAAATCTGTACACAGAGACAGACACACACAGAGGGAAGAACACCCTGTGAACATGGAATATGGAGGCAGAGTTTGGAGTTAATGTGACTGCAAGCCAAGGAACACCAAGGATAGCTGGTAAACACAGAAGCTGAGAGAAAGGCATGATACAGATTTTCCCTCGATTCTTCAGAGAAAGCATGACCTTGTCAACACCTTTATCTTAGACTTCTAGACTAGAGAGCTGTGAGAGATTAAGTTCCTGGTTGTTTTTTTTTTTCCCACTGTAGTTTGTGGTTCTTTGTTACAGCAGCCCTAAAAAACTAATGCAAAGTGGTATAGTTTGTATGGTTCTCTTTTTAATTTATAAAAAATTGCTCTCATTATCTTAGTTACAAAACTCCTTGTGGAAGAGGTGATATTGAGCCTCATATTTCTCATCTATTAAATGGAAATGAAAAGACTAGGACAATGTCACTCAGCTAGCTATCCAGATAGCCAGGACCCAATTCAATAATTACTTCTCAAATACATACCATGCTCCAGTTACCAAGCTAGAACCTGGGTTAAATGTTGAAAATAACCCTTGAGCTCCTTTCAGTCTAGAGAATCAAGGTGCTGTGAATGTATACTGCTAATCCTCCCACATAGAGCCTCATATAGTCCATCTTTTGAGAGAGAATAAGGACCCCAAGATTTGAATTTGAACTATCAACAGAAAACCATATAGTCTTTAGTTCCTATTCCCTAGGGACAATAAAAGCATTTACAATAGGAGACAAATTACAAAAAATAGAGGAGAAATTAATAGTTTTATATCATAAACCTCTCCCTTATTTTTGGACAATATACTCTTGACCCTTCACTGACCATTTATTGGGCCTGAACGAGCTCTTTCATGAAGGGCTGTGTTTGATGTCCCTTTGACATAAAAAATGTTTTAAAAAAAGAATTGATAGTTAAGTACTTCAAATGTGGACATCTGAAACTGAGCTTACTCATAAAATCAGATTCCAGGGAATAACCAGTTCCTGACTTGCTGAGAGAGGATGTTATAAACACAGCCATGGGCAGAAAGTCTAGCTTCTATTTTGTGGCTGGAATATGTTCATGTTACATACTCATATAAATGTCCTGAACAGTCCCATCCTCTTCTGCTTCTCTGCATTCAGCCCTGCAAAATAATTCAATGAGTTACAAGGGCCCAGCCAAAGAACCAAGGAAGCAGAGGCAGAGTGTTAGTAGTCATTGCTTGAGAAGGTACTAGAAGTGAGAGCAGGAAATGGATCAGAATCCACAAGATAAGCCAGTAAGGAAGCGTACACAAACTATCCAAGATCAGGGCAAGTAAAGAGCCCAAAGCTAGGTCAATCAGCATGAAGCAGGAGGATATAAATAGTAGCAGTATATGGAGCAAGCCTATTCTAAGGCACACAACAGCCTAGTCAATGGGGAAAGAAAGGAACAGTGTAAAGCTCAGGTCAAGATGCAAGCTCTGGAGAAGGAAGGCCAGGGTTTGCTTCCAATAGAGGCTTTGGCTTGCTTCATTGGAAAGGTGAGCTTTTCCCCTGTGTGGACAGGCTGAGGTCCATAGCTGGCGTCATTTGGGAAAATCTCTCCTGAGGAAGAAATGGAGTCGGGAGAGGAGAGAGAGAGGCGTTCTCTAACTTTAGTTGTACTTTGGCCTATATACCTCACCTTCCAAAAGCAGAGATTTCCATTTGTTGGCAATGTACTCTGTATATTTAAGTATGGAAAAATTATTTTAACCTAAAGTTATAAGGATAGTGCTCCATGTAATTTTTTTTTCCTTTAGCTAACCTTCCTTTGCCTAATGACAAGAGGTATAACTCTCAAGGTCAAATAAGCACACTAAATATTCTATAACATAGATGAAAAGGGATTAGGTAAAATAATCTCCCTTCCCCAAAAGCTTTTCCGGAGAAACACATTTGCAGGAATGCATTAGTCATTATTTTTTTTAAAAAAGACAGCTGAGGATAGTTGTATAAAATCAATTCACTCCACATTTAATGCACTCTAGTCTGCTTAATGCACATAATAAGTACGCTAACCACATTGAGCCTCTCTCCTCCAACTCAACCACACTTCATAAGAGGAGCATTAGATAGCCCACAGACCTCATATTTTTCCTTCCATTTCCTTTGACTTAACTCATTCAAGGAGCAACTCTCTCATTTCTCTCTAGGGGTGTCTTGGCCTCACTCTCAACTTTCTTCTCTTCTACTGACTTCTCCAATCATGAGTTCCCAGGAAGGTGTATAATTTTCCCTGCATTACTGTCCAAAGCCAAGTTATAGAATCCAATGGAATGCAACCCTCTTCTCTAGGTAAAATAGTTTTCCTATCGTTCCTTCTTTGCTTATCTTTCTGTGCCACTGCAAGTAAGAGAAACTCTGAAAAGAAAATGGCAATGAAAATCAGCAGAGTGATTATTTTTCTTGTGTGAAAATAAAGCCCCAATGAGTATGGTGGCTCTGTGATGTCAATAGGGAGTCTATTTCACATCTGTCTTTCTGCTCAGCCTCAGCATAGTGTGTGGCTGTCATCTCATGCCTGCTGCCTCATGGTTACAAAGTAGCTGCTTCTCCTCTTCCAATATTGTGACTGTGCCCAAAGTAGGAACAGAAACAGGATGATAGGCAAAAGCTACCCAAGTCAGCTGTATTTCTTGCTATTCTAAAGAACATCCCTTGAAGACTAACTGTATGTATTTTACCTACATCTTAATGGTCAGTCAGAATTATGTCACATGGCCAGCCATAAATGCACAGGAGACTAGGAAATGTAGATTTTACATGGAAAAATTTCCACCCCAAACACAATAGGATTATTTTAGATAGAATAAAAGGAGCAAAATATGTAAGCTATCTGGTGACAGACACAAAAGAAACAATTACAAAAATGTACAATAACAAGCTTTGGTAAGTCGAAAAATGAAAAAAGTGCAGGTTGGTATGAAAGCATCCAATGAGGCAATGTGATCTAATGAGGGGAAGATGAAATGATCACAAAAGAATTATCGATAAGTGAAACCTGAGAAATAAATAGGAATTAGCTAAGATGAGGGGCAGTGTGTTCTCTTCTTTCTACCTTCAGACTGGGGAGATGGCCAAACAGACCTGGAAACTAAGCTTTTTAAACTTACTATGAAATGAACTACAATATAAGATAGGGTAAGGGATGGTAGCATGTATTCTTAAAATTCCTGAACTTGGAAATGACAATCTTGCCAAAGTTAGTCTACATAAAGATCAATCCCTTTGACCACACTTTTAGAATTAAAAAAAAATTGTCAAGAATGTTGCTTTTTTCAAAATCCAAGCATAGTGTTGCCAGTTACAGAAATGCAGCAAAGAATTCGCCCACTCTTCTTCTTCTTTATATATCTGTGGGTCCAACCACAGAGTCCTCATCAAGCTAATTTATTTGTCCTTTACTGTCTAGAATGGTGTTTTACACTGTTATTTATTGGGAAAGGGAGGAAGATTTGCACTTTAATCATCACAACTCCACCTTTAGATCCTTATATCCCACTTCTCTGTCATGGGCTACGGTACTTATGCAGTTATCGCCTCCACTGAAGCTTATACTCAATAAAAATCACAGAGTACTTGATGCTGTATATTTTCAGCAGCTATCCAGACACAGCTCTCTCTCCCTCAAATTCCCTAAACACACACACACACAGACACACACTCCAGTATGTATATAATTCTGTTTTCTGCATCCATAGACTTTTTTCTTTTGCTCCTTCCTCTTTGAAGCACAAAAATCTCTAATGGAAAAATACTATCTTTTGCTTTCTTGCTTGCTTGCTTCCCATAATACCTCGCTTAACTCTCTGTAAAACGGGCACCAAGTACACAGGGATGCCTATATCCTATCTCTCAAGTCAGACCTAGTCAAATGTTTTAGCTTGCAGAAGTGAGCTTCCAGACCCATGAAACAACTGGAATGTAGCATTAAAAATAAGAACTTGTAAATATTAGGGCAGATAGGATTCACTTGTCATTATAAATTCTAAATGCCATAAAAATAGTTAATTTAGAGCAGAATGATGAATGTCATGAGTTACTGGAACAGCAGATTGGCCCTTCATGGATAGCAGTTGTCTTCTCTCTTGTTTGAGCAGAGAGACCAGAGGATAGACTTTAAGTAGCTCCTGCTCCCTGTCACTTGTTGCTGTCTATTATCAGCAGTAGACTGAGGCACGGTTGAAAACCAGTGACTGTGCTGTCAAATCTGGGGCTGGCGTCCTCTGAATGAAGGTATAGAGGAAATCTGAGTAGATGACTCCTCTCCATTCATGGCATGGGGGAAAAGTGAGACCTGGCTCTAGTAAGGTTTTTAATAAGCACGTTATATGCTTGTCAAGAAAACTAAAATTAAAAAAAAAGTTATATAATATGTCTGATTTGAGGATCATTTTCTAAGAACTGCTAATAAATGGTTTGCATTAAATCAGTTCCATAAGGGTTAGTTCTCAGTATACCATGATGCTTTGTGATTTACATAATGGGCTTAAAGAATATACTCATGTAATATTTTCCTAATAATGCCAAGTTGGCGGATGTGACTGACAGCTGAAGGGAAACATTTGAAATAATTCTGACAAGCTGGAGAATTCTGTGGATACAAACATGGCACAGCCTGGGTCAAATGATAAAGGAAGAAAAAACTAATAACCTCAGAAATTGGCCTATGCCAGGTTCATGTACTAATGGTAATTGTAGCTGGATACCCAGGAGGCAGAGGGAGCTGTAAAATGGTAAATGTCTCCGGAAGGGGAAATGGACAATAAAGAAGCTGATCCTAGCCCTTCATTGATACAGGAGTTAAGATAGGAATGACATTACTGGAGCTTGAGAAAATAGCCTGTGGTCAAGTAAACTAAACATGAGTCAGCAGACTGGCACTGCAGCCAAAACAAGGTAACCTTGAAACTGAGCTGGATAGAGAGGAATATAATGCACAAGGGCCCTGGAGATGATGCTTACCATGTACCCCACAGTGGCGAGATCTTTGGGAGGTCATAAATCTGTTCTTGACATGAATACAAAGGGCTTGATTGATGACTCCTCAGATTAACATACAGAACATAATGGAAAGTTGGGGATATAATGGAGGGAAGGTACAATAAAACCTGTTTACCTTTCCTGGAGAAAGAAAGGCCTCTGAAACAATGTAATACAATGCTAAGCTTGTGATTGTAAAGAAGTAGAGAGTTAATTTTTTTGTTCTGCTGAGAGACATTTCCTTAGAATCCAAGACACTGCTTAATGACTCCCTCTGAACCAGAGACCACTATAAACAATGGGATTCCAGAGCTGGGTTTGGTAGATCTGACCAGAGATTGAAACATTATGGGAAGACCTCTAGGATTCACATACTACCTACTTATGCTGTCAAAACAACTGAACTCAAATACGTCAGTTTAGTCTCATCACTCACTAGTTCTTGAATTTCCCATCATCCTTTCCACTTCTGTGTCTTGTTCATGAAGTTTTCTCAACTTAGTGTCCCTTCCTTTCCCATCCTTCATTGTCTCTTATCTCCTTCTTCTGTCTTTTTCTGCCCCATCGAAGGCTACTATATAAATCAATAAACTACATTTTTTCTTGACAAAACAATAAGTTATAAACACTAATGTTATATAGTTCTTCTCCCAAGAGACAGCATGTTTCCTACTACAGTAAGACACAAATTTTGCATTGATTCTTTAGCAATAGCCTTAACATAGATGCCATGGATTTGCCTAATCCATCCATTTACTATTGTCTGGCCTTCCTGGTTTCCAGAGATAGAAGATTCTTTAGGGAATGGTAGGTATAACCAGTCACATAGCTGGTTTCTAGTACCATAACGAGCTAAGAGAGCAAAAAGTAAATGAAGAGCTAAGAAAAAATGTTAAACAAATTGAATGAACAAAAGGGAGCAAGGACCAATATACCTTCATGATTAAACAAAAAAATAACCCAACAGACTTAGAAAAAAAGGGAACTTCCTCAACCTGGTAAAGGATGTCTACAAATAACCCACAGCTAACTTCATACTTAATGGTGAAAGACCAAAAGCTTTCCACCTAAGATCAGAAAAAAAGACATGGATGTCTGCCTCCACCACTTCTATTCAACATTGTACTGGAGGTTCTAGCCAGGGCAATTAGGCAAGAAAATGAAATAAAAAGCATTCAGGGCTGGGCGCAGTGGCTCACGCTTGTAATCCCAGCACTTTGGGAGGCCAAGGCAGGTGGATCACGAGGTCAAGAGATAGAGACCATCCTGGCCAACATGGTGAAACCCCGTCTCTACTAAAAATACAAAAATTAGCTGGGCGTGGTGGTGTGCGCCTGTAGTCCCAGCTACTCGGGAGGCTGAGGCAGGAGAATCACTTGAACCTGGGAGGCGGAGGTTGCAGTGAGTTGAGATCGCGCCACTGCACTCCAGCCTGGTGACACAGCGAGACTCCATCAAAAAAAAAAAAAAATTCAGATCGTAAAGAAAGAAGTAAAACTATCTCTATTTGCAAATGATATAGAAACAAGCAAAGAAATAATGAGAATTGCCTGAAAGCACAGAGATGGTATCACTGAAATGACAACAATGTCTTATATTTATGTAGCATTTTACAGCTTCTAAAGAGCAATCCACTATTTTGCCTTCATAACCACCTAAAAAAAAGTACAATTATTCCTCCATATCACAGATGACAAAACCAATACTTAGAAAGTAAAGTATTTGCTAATGAACTAACAGTTACCAAATGTCTTAACTGTCATCCAAACCTCCAGCCCTGGGAGTCTAAGCCAGTACTTCAAGGTTGCTTGGTTTCTCATCTCCTAAGAGCAGCATGGTCCAATAGAAATTTCTGTGATGATGAAAAATCTTCTATTATCTGCATTGTTCAGTACTGTGGCCACTAGACACAAGTGGCTATTGAATACTTGAAATGTGGCTAGTATGATTGAATCACTGAAATTTAAATTTAAATTTAAATAGTCACATGAGGCTAGTGGCTGGCCATGTTGGACAGTGTAGCTCTAGAAAGTTAGTTCCTGCTCTGAATCAGACACACCTCCTCATGGTTCTATCCTCGGAGTGGCCAACCTACGTGCAACTCTTCATGGATTGATGAGTAATGTGTGAAGCAGCATGAAGGTAAACAAACCACCCCTGGGGATGATTACAAGTTGCAGAACATCCTTAGAAATACCTAAAATGATTCTGCAACATAGAAACATGTAAGAGTTTTCTAACCAACCAAAAATAAAAGTAATTCTTTCCTAACAACTACAGCTTAGTATTCATTAAGGGGGTGGGTTGAAGTCAGAAATAGTATAGCTTATGTTTAACTGACTATATATGGTTTTCCTGTCTTACACCCACTCCAGTGCATTCTTGCTTCTAACTCTACCCCTATAGATCTGCCAAATGCGTTGCTTGCTCTTTCTCAAATATCTTCTCCATGTTTCCACTTTTGTACTTTTTCTTGGGCTATCTTTTCTTCTGGTGATGTCTTTCTTCACCTCTACAAGTCCAAACATGATCACATCCTTGAAGGGCTATCTCAAATCTACAATCTCCTAGAAGACTTTCTTGCCTTAGCTGGATGCCATTCATTCTTCATCTATTTTGTTTGTAATATTGAGTATTCTGATCTCATATTATAGTTTTAATTGCACATCATCTATCTGATTAGAGGCAGGATGGGCAAACTGCAGCACATGGACTAAATCTGGTCCTTTGCATGTTTTTGTAAATAAAGTTTTATTGAAAACAGACGTGCTCATTATTTTACATTTTGACTATGGCTGCTTTTGTGCTTCAAGAGCAGAGTTGTATAGTAGTAGAAACAGAGACAATCTGGCCCACAAAGCCTAATACATTGCCTAACTGGCTCATCACAGAAAACATTTGCTGACCCTGTATTATTAAAAGCTCTGGAATGGACTATAGAAACTACATATTATTTATTTTTTTAATCTTTATAAAAACCTAGAATATTACCCTAAATAGAGCAGTAACATCATAAGTATTTTAAGAGAATTTTTCGTTTACAAGAATTTAATGATAATATCTGCTTGTGTATATCAATCTTCTATTTGCACATATTTATCCCATCTAATTTCTCATTTATGCATCAAGGTAACTTCCTGGCACAGAGAAAGTAGGTGTCATTATCCACATTTTTACACTGTGAGAAATTAAGGCACAGAGACTTGCCTATGGTCACACAACTACTCAGGAGGTAAAAAACTGGGACAGAAACCCAGATATTCTGATTTCTACTCAGTATACCTCATTCGGTCTCTCTGTGCTTATTTGCTTTCCCTTAAGTTGAACTAAGATGCCAATGGAACCCAAAATAAACATGTATATACATCTAGTTAGTAAATTAATAATCATGGCCCAGATAAGCCATGTTTACTTACTATTTTTATGAGAACCAGTCATTTAAAACTATTTTGTTTCTAAATTCAAAAAAATAATATAAACATTAAATTTAGAAACTTAATTAAGATTTTAAAAGGTTTACAAAAGAGCTCTCCCACATCGACCAAAGTAGAGGGAATTCTTTTCTCCAACACTTTAGAAGATACAAGCAATGTACGTTTCCTGTGCTGGTTACACTGATTCTCCCTTCTCTGTTTGTCCTCCTTACAAAGACAGTTGCTTTCTCTTTTTCATCCAACATTTTAAAGCTATCAACTTCAAGTTGGTAGCTATCAGATTAAACCGTAAGTGAGAATAATACGCCCCAATGGTGTATTCAGTCTACCCAGGCCAAGTTTATCTAATTCAAGTCCATTATCTGCTCAGCGACACTTCTTTACTATTTGGTATTGATTGTTTACTCAGCTGTTATGAAACACCGGAAAAAGCAGAATAGTAATAATAACAGGACATTTGTTTTACATCTTCTGTAAAAATTTTCTGGCTTTGTTCTAAATATATTAAACACTAGACTCATGAATTTTTAAACAATATTTGTAAGGACTTTGCATTTGTATTGGATAGCTACATTGTTTTGACATATAAGTAGGAATTTTAAAAAAATAACCGCTTTTCTAAAATGGGTCATATCTTTTTAGCTTTAAGTATAACTGACAAATAAAAATTATATATTTAAGGTGTACAACTTGACATTTTGACATATTATGCATTGTGAAATAATCAACAGAATCAAGCTAATTAAAATATCCATCACCTCACATAGTTACTAGTTTCCTTTTTGTGTGTGGTGAGAACACAAGATCTACTGAAATGGCTCACATTCTTTACAGTTACAGACAGTCTACTTATTTCTGCCCAGTGAGAAGAAATCGATTCATTTTTAAGCCTCTAGGAGGTGTTACAGTCAGCTTAAATTATGTATTCAATTTAAAGCAAACGAAAGATTTCAATATAAGCAGGTGGTTCTCTGAACTGGAGGCTATCCTATTGGCAAAATACATATCATGAAATATTCATTTAACTCTCTGTGGGCACCCAATAAATGTTTGCAAGCTAAAATAATCTACATCTACATTTTTTTAAAAAAAAGCAAAAATTAATATTTTCTCAAGCCACAATGACAGGGGATATTAGAATGTCCATAAATGCAGGAACACTTGCCTAATGTAGATGTGACCTACTGTCCTGGTTCATCATAGCAAACCAGTCATCCAGTCCAACCAGGCCTTCCTTCTTGGTATTCAGGGGTCAGCATTTCTGCTGAGCTAAAACCACTGGGCTAGCTGCATGATGGGCTACACCCCAACATCTTAATTCTTATTTCATGGAGCTACCATGGATCTTACATTTTCCTTCATAACTTATCTGTGTATTTGTTTATTTATATTCTGCCTTCTGCTGAGGATGACTTTGAGCAGCCTGCAAAGGCACATATATTTGAGATTACAATGTGTTTAAAATAAGAAAAATGAAGTACCCCTTAGCCCAATTCCTCTGGTGCTTGACATAAGCCAAAGACAAAAAGTGTATTGTGAACTCAGACTGGGCTTCCCTCAGCTTCTGTGCCTAAAGTCCTGATGTCAGCCAAAGCCAATGACAAATAATAGAGCCAGAACCCCTGGGGTTGAATACTGGTTCTGAATTCTGATAATACACTGCCATGCCCACGTGACTCTGGCCAAGTATCCTCTCTGCTCTATGCCTCAGTTTCCTTGGGCATAAATCAGGGATACTAACAGCACCTACCTTAATTCATACAGGGTGTTGGAGCAGTACTTGGCACAAAGCCTCACTATGTCAGCAAGTAAAAGGAGCAGTAGTACTAGCCACAGTAATGATTTAGCATTGGCCCAGCACGCAGTGACTCACAAGCAGCCTCTATTAGTCAGTGATAAACCACCTAAGTATATTTCTGGTGCCCTGCCCATTTCCTGTTTCCTCTTCAGTGTCTCTCTCCTTCCCCCTCTTAATGGTGAGTGTCCTTACCCTCCTAGCATTCATGGGGGCATGGGGTCCATCCTGTGCCCACTGACAGGCCAATCCTTACTCTTAGTTGATGTCACCAATCCCTGCCAAGAATGTAACAATATCAAAGATTTCAGTTATTCCTGTAAGGGCATACTTATGTCACCTAAGTGGGGATATAGAGGACCGAGAAGCTTTTACTCTTTATTAAAAAGCTTTCTGTTGGTATGGTGACCAGTAGCAGGTAGGAAATCTCAGGCCATTTCTTGCTCTTGACCCCAAACATGTTACCTAGCTAATCACTGGGCTCTGGAGGAAGGAAGGCAACAGTGTGTGGATGATGGAGCGAGGCTAAGGTACAGAGAGTATTTTAGATGACAGCATTTGCCAGGGAAAAGGATTGAGAGGACACATCCAAGGTCATCCTGGGTTTCAGAAGCTCCTGCAGGACCCTGTCTGAAAGGCTCTGGCCTTAGAGCTCTTGTCTAGTCTCAGTAATGGCTCTTAGGGAAGCCATGGGAAAGAGTAGAAAAAAGAGATGCTATTATTCTGGATATCTGTTACTGCAAGAAGAATGACTTTGAAACTTAGCAGTTTGAAATAACAGTCTATCATCTATCTACGTTTCTGCTCAATCTCCAAGGTGAACAGGGCCACCTTCAGCTGGGGTCAGTTCTGCTGAAGCTAAAAACGATCCAATTCCAACATGGCTTATTCATGTGGCTGGCAAGCTGACACTAGCTAGTCTTAGTTACTCTCAATGTGGTCCTTTCCACAGAGCTGCTTTGGCTCCCTCACAGCATGGAGATTGGGTTCCAAGAATGGGTGTTTCCAGTGACAGACTGTGGAAGCTTCCTGTTCTTGAGGTCTGGGCCCAGAAACTGACACAGCAGCATCGCAATGAATTCTATTGTTTAAGCAATCACGAAGCCCACTCAGATTCAAGTAAGGAGACATAGAGATCTTCCTTTAGTGAGAGAAAAGTCAAAGAGTTTGGGCCATCTTCATTTGCCACACTTAACTCTTTTAAGTAGAAGAGGAGAAGACTGACCTGGACTCATATACCCTCACTCTCCTCCTCCATCATCTCACCAAAGCAGACAAGCTACAGTTGGCTGCTTTACAATGATGGGCCCTTCCTCTAGTTTCGGACCACAGACTTGGACTTCAGGTGGTCACATTTTAGAATTCCTTCTCTTTGAGTTCCTTATATCCTTTTACGAAAATCTACCTCCTGCTCTCTGAAAATTGATGGTCTCAGTCTCATCGAGTAAGATTAAATTGTAAAAGTAAGATGTGGCAGCTGTGGAGAAGGAGGGAGTCTGGAGTCTATAATGCAATGTGTTATATCCCTCCTAGGGAGTGGCTGGGCCTTATCAGCCACCAGGTGATTATGAATTTTTGATGAGCTTCTAAATGATGACATTTCCAACTATGCATATACAGATACAGTTTAATTAAGAGCAAAAATTGGCAAATGTGGTGGCTTTTCTGGTGGTGAAACCATTAATACCACATTTATTTAGCCTGAAGCAATGGAAACATGTTAAAAGTTCTTTTAACACCAAATTTAAAGATATCCAATAAAGCTCATTTTCAGTTATCCCTTCTTCAATATAAGATGATATCTATCAAATCCTCCTGTTCTTATGTGAAATTTTGTACATATCTAAGCCAGAGGGCTATTTTGCTAAGAATCAACTTCCATCATAAGAATTTATAATAAGCTTAAAGGGTAAATGTTCAGTGTATGATAAAATTAGTTTTTGAAATCCTACGTTTGAGGGGACCAGAAAATCAAAAGAGGCAGGAGCTTTTCTAATAAGATGTGAAAGATCAAGCTGATTTGGATATTGGATGTAGGGACCAGGAGCTTCAGGCAGTGACTGCTGTGGGAAGTCTGCCTTTGTCTAGAAGGGAGGCAAATGGGTTCATTGTACCAAGGCTACAATCATTACCATTTTTTTTTTAAAGCCTGAAAATTTTCTCATAAAGATCAAGTTCTTAAAATTTACTCAACGGGAAAAAAAGAATCTTGGGAGAGACTAATGACTAATGATTTCGTCTCTAAAAATATATCCCACTTTTGAATGTGGCAGCCTGGGAGGAGACAGATCTGCTCACACATGCATGGAGTTGGGTGGTTTGAGAAACAGAATCACAAGCCCACCCCTTCCCCACTTGGCACCAGCCAAAGGGTTTTCTGTCACAATTCTGGGAACCCTCCCAAGTCAGAGTCGCAGCATGGTGGGCACACTGAAGCCATCATTTCACATCAGACCAAAGGCGTATCAGTTCTCTCTGTGGCGCTCAGAAAGATGACATAATGCATTTGCTGAGGGCTCACATGTCTGTCGAAAGATGATTCATCGGGGTAAAAACTAGGACAATAAAATTCTACAGAATGGTTCTGCATCTCCAGGTACTTAGGGATTAAAGGAAACATTGGAAATAAAATGGAGTCAGTCTAGGCTGGAAAAAAATAATAGTCAAAGAGAAGCAGTAAATGATTATCTTTTTCTGTCATAGGTCCTTCATGCTGGGAATTCTCAATAATGCTCAAGCTGAATTTCAGATATAAACTGTGAAGCCAACATCGGGTGTCTGTGATTTAGGCCAGGGCTATATTCAAAGCATGGCCTGTAGACCAGCATCATCATCATCATGTGGAACCATATTAGAGATCCAGATTCTTCGGTCCCATCCCAGACCTACTGAATCGGAACCTGTGGGAGTGGGGTCCAGCAGTCTGTGTTTTACCAGCTCTCCAGATGATTCTTAAGCACTCTATAGTTTGAGAAGCCCCACTTCAGACTGTGGATAAAAGAAAAATAATAACATAGAAAGACATTTGGTTTACTAAGGCTTAACTCTAATAAATACATATGAAAATGAGGCATATTTCATGTGTTATTTAGGCATTTAAAACATTCCCTAAAGTTAGATATGAGTCTAATAAATGCTAATCAATGAAACTTGACAAGTTCATCGATCTTGCTACTAAAATAATTTGTCTCCAAATCACTGATGGTCTATTCTAGATTCCAGGGGATGGTGATGAAGGTTATATGTGGGGTGTTAAAGATCTACATAATGCAAGGAAGAAGTTAAGCAGAGTGCCAGGCCAGCAGGCTGTGGTTCCTGCTCCAAGGATGGGGGATTACTTGGCCCCATCACAGAGGCCTAGCAGCCAGGTTGGGCTGGACAGAACGTTTACCCCTGGCAGTGAGAGGCAGCAGAGACAGACAGTCAACATCAACTGAGGATGAAAAAAAAAAAAAAAGGTCAGCAGACAGAAAACAATACCAAACATTCAGATATAAAGAGACAATTACAGATCATGAACAGAAAACACAACCACAAAGTCAGAGGCAGAAAATCTAACCTGTTCCAATTTGTTCCTATTTTTAAGTGGGTCAGCCAACACCAAGGCAACAAACAATATAAGAATTTGAGGGCCTAACTTCCTTAGATGATGGTTCCTAGTTTGAGTTGAGCCAGGCCAGGCTTGGTGGTGAACAGAGCCTGGCAAACACTATGTGGGCTGCATGGAGATTAGATGTGGTGATACAGATCAAAGGCCATGTTCAAAGTTGTTAAGCATGCTGTTGGTCTGTCCAAACCAGGAAAATTGCCATTCATGTATCCCATGACAGTGACTGAGCAAGCACCTAGTGCCAGCTGAATCAGAATTCCATGGCTTTGGTTTGGCAGTAGTATTTACCCGAATCAGAATGGCAGACCTTGGCCTCAGGCAGAGGTCCTCTTTCCTACCAAGACATACATGGAGCTCTGGTTTAGAGCAGGGGTTTTCAACCTCTGGAACTTTTGATACATAATGATGTTCAGGCTCAAATCAATTGTATAGCTGAAGGTAAGACCCAAGGGTATTTCTAGAGCACCCACCATGTCATTCTATGATACAGCCAGCATTGGGAATCAAGGCAGGGGGAAGAAGAGGGAGAAAAAGCCAGTCCTGGCCCAGCCTGCCTTTGTGGAAGTAGAAGGAAGGAGAGATGAGGCAGATTCATGACTGGAACCTCAGCTGAGCTCATTATGTTAGGAACTCATGTGTCTGAAATGTCCACATGCAATCAGTTGTCTGCAGCCTGAGATAAAGCATAATGAAAAAAATTGTGCATTTTATATTAATGATGTATATTTGGGTGGATGAATTTATTTTTTTAAAGGGGAAAGTGAAAGGAACCAGGTGACAAATGAGAAAGGGAACTAATAGATCCCCAACAGAATCTCAATATATACTTGCCTGGGCCAGGAGCGGTGGCTCATGCCTGTAATCCCAGCACTTTGGGAGGCCAAGGCAGGCAATCACTTGAGGCCAGGAGTTCAAGATCGGCCTGGTTAACATGGTGAAACACCATCTCTACGAAAAATACAAAAATTAGCCAGGTGTGGTAGTGCATGCCTGTAATCCCAGCTACTCTGGAGGCTGAGGTGGAAGGATCACCTGAGGTGAAGGTTACAGTGAACCAAGATTGTGCCACCACACTCCAGCATGAGTGACAGAACAAGACTTTGTCTTAAAAAATACACACAAACACACACACACACACACACACACACACACTTGCCAAACTGAATTAAGTTAATGGGTGTATATGTACCAAGCCCTAAATAAGGTGTAATACATTACTTCCCTTAGTCCTGTAACTGGCTCTATTAATCCTATTATATCCCTATTTTACAGATAAAGAAATCAAGGTTTAAAAAATATAAAGCAACTTGCAGAGCTAACATTTGAAATCAGTCCTCTCAGATCTCAGACTCTCTTCCCCTACCAGGCTTAGAACAGGTAGGAATGACAGGAGGTGACCCAGCTCAATGTTGCTGCTGCTTCTGAGTCATTGTAGCTTGTGTTTTTGAATTTGAATTCCTGGAATGAATGGGGGTGTGCTATGAGTAGCTTAATGCCAGAGCAGCTTCTAGAGTAGTTGGTGGACACCTATTCAGTCCCTGCTTATTTTACTAAAACTCCACCTAAGAGTATCTCAGGGTCTGGGTCTTTGGGGGAGAGGTTCCCATTCCCTCCTCTGTTAGTGGGATTACTGAAGTTTGTGTCTACAGCAGCAAGTGTTAGTAAGTATATATTAATGTGTCTGCCTGTGCCAAACCCTATCTCCCTAGGCTTGAGAAGCTTAAGCATGCAATATTCAGCCTTGCACCTCCAACGCTCAATACTATGAGATACATAGTAACTGCTTAATAATGGTCTGATGAATGAATGAATAAACACAGGGCTGACAACTCAGGGGATTCCTTCTTTAGTTTCCAACAGGGTTTCTTCATGCATTCAACAAACATTTATTGAGCACCTACTATGTGCCATACACCATTCCAAGAAGTGGAGATATAGAAATGAACACAAACAAAGGCTCTCAGTTGTCAACACTATTATGCTAAGATTCTGGGTTTAAAAATTGGGCATAAGGTAGACAGAAATAGGAATGCTGTTTGGTCACCTTTGACTTCTAACATTACTTAATTTTACTTGGCTTTTTTGTTACATACTTGTTTTAAATGAGTCCATAGCATCATCCTGTAATTAGAAATACAATTCTAGGAATAATGCTACCACATTTCTGCAACTGCTGACCTGAAACACAATCAAAGCTGCCTGCCTATGAAAAAGCCTGGAAAATAACTGATTCCTATACCTACATGAACAGAAGCAGGCCGGCTATTGCTCCTATATATCATTTGAGCTGTGTAAAGGGGAGTGAGGGGCCAAGAACTCACTGGAGAGATAGAAAGTTAATTAAAATGCATCCTTAATTGTCCAGAATTTGGGTAATAAATGCTCTACAGAATGCATGAGAAGGAAGTCCAACACCCTGTGGTCACATTTTTGTATCTTCCCTTCTGGCATTATGAGAACTGGCCTCCAAGGAACCGCCTAAACCTGTGTTTGAGGCAAAGCTTTGTGTGTCAATGAATGCTCTTCTGGCCCCCAGGAAGAGTAACAGCTGCAATTATTATTTACTTCTTAGATTCTGATTACACACAGACATCATTACATTCATGGTTCCACTCTAGTTCATCATTTCTGAAAGCCCACTGGTTCCAGCCTGTTAATGATGGCAAGTCAATCTTTATTCAAAACCAATAATCTCTGGAAAAATATGATGGAGAGATTATTAATGCAATGGCTATTCTAAAGAATTCATTTATAGGGAAGAATTCCGAGTCTCATTTAATTACAAAGATAAAAATATGTCAATTTTGGAGGTCAAGTCATTCTAGCAAGCCTCTAGTTGGGAAGAAAAATTCAAAATTGAAAATTGATATTCTGAGTGTACTAGATAGGATGACTTTCTCCCCTCCTCTTTAATTGTTTGATTGGTTTTGTTTTCTAACAATGCCTGTTTCTTAGTTTCAGGCACTCTGTGTTGGAGGAGATGGTATGGACATCATTGTTTTCCTGAATCAATATTTGTCCATACTCATAAAACATCTGAGAAACATATGGTCATTTGTATAGTCCCTTCTTTCTCTAGGTTGACTGCCTTCTTAATTTAAACTATCTATCACAAATCACCTTCTCATATTTTCGATTAAGGTTCTGAGTGATTGTCAAGTAAATCATCAGAAAAGTCAACTGAAACTCCTGCACTTCCAATTCAGTTCAATTTCACATGATCCACCTTGAAGGAGTGTTAGGAATCATATAATAGATGTGGTTGTCTTTCAGTCTTTGTTATAGCGGCTAGCACAACCAACCTTAATTAATGCAAATGCCTACACATTAAATGTTATGCCAGGGAGTGGGGTGTATATAGAGAGATACACCAGCTTCCATCTGAAACTCTTAAGGTTATGTGCATACCTGACTTCATCCTCTTTCTTCTGATTTTAGAAAGGCAAACAGTACAGATACCTTCATTACATAACCCATCAATAGAGACCAGAACAGCACCTTCAATGAAGTACTTTAACATTTCTGTAGCTGAATGCATGAATATTCACACTGGACAAGATAAATAAAGACTATAAATAGATTCATATTAGTTGTTTAAATGTACCCAATGAGTTACAAATTGTATCAAGTAGAAAACTCAGATTTACAAATAAAAGACTCATTCATTCAAAAAAAATCTTATGGCACCGGGGACTCAAGAAATGAAAGACGCAATTTTATGAGGAAAAAGCTCCCAAATGAGTAAAGTAATTCAGTGTGATAAAGAAGGTAGCCAGAGGATGTTATAGTTGCAGAGAGAAAAGACACCAAATCTAGTTTGAGGGATTGGAAAGACCTTCTGGGGTGGGTGATGCCTGAGTTCAGTCTGGAAAAGTATGATTGTAAACTGAAGAAGGGAGAGGGAAGTATGTTCTGGGCAAGGAAATTATATTCCAAGGCAGCTACTGTAAATAGGAAAGAATGAGTAGAGGATGGCTCTGACCAACCTGAACTCAGCCTCATGTTTGACAATTTCTCTATAAGCCAATCATCTATCTTCGAACTATTATACTAGTACTATAATTGAACTTTTTCTGTTAAATACTGCTGCATATTTATATCAAAACTGCCTTGTATTTGACTCACTGCACCTTTGTTTCTCCTGCATAATTCCAATCACTGTTGTAGGGATATTTTAAAATAAGAGTTGAAATACAGATATGCTTCTTTGGCTTATGTACCACTTTATCTCCATGTAACAAAATCTTCACAGATTTTTTCACAGCTCTACTCTATGCCAAAATTAATTGGGGCAAATTAATCCAAGCTTGTATGAAAACCTACAGAAAATATTTCATGTGGTAGGAGCTGAGAGGGGGTAGAACAGAGATGGTAAAAGAGTTCAAGTGGGTAAAATACAATAAAGTGGGTTTTTAAAAATATCATTAGGATGTGTGATTTGGTATAATTAAAAAAGTAATAAATCTGAGAAGGCATATCATTTTATCACCTCAAGCTTAATTCTGAAGCATGGGCTTTTTAAATGTCAAGTTGAGTTCTTTTCGTCAAAGAGTAGGAGAGAATGCAAAGCACAGAAAATCTTTTCATGGTGTGCTTGATGTGGTGACAAGGAAAGGCTCGTCTATACTACGTTTTGAATATCGCTGATGGGCTCCCAAAGACAGACAGAGCCATCAGCAGCATGCACAGATGTTCATAATCATTCTGTGAAGAGGTTTTTAGTTGAGGGAGCTGGTGTGTTCTATTTGCTAATTGCTTCCTCTGCCTGTTTCCCTGTAATCTCCCATTCCGATTTGCTTTCTACCTTTTAAGAGTCTGTACTGTTATCAGCAGCAGGAGATGCAGACCCAGTCCCCATGTGATTGTCACAAGTATGATTGTCACGTTGCTTTGCATGTGCTAACTTATCTTGCCATGGTAAATTTGTCAACTGCTCTAACTTCCCCCATTATGTTTCAAACATGCTTTAACGTCAAATTGAGGGAATAGGTGCAATACACCCAATGTTGTTTATCTTAATGCATTTGCTTTTATCAGAATTGCTAAAGAACATTCACTCAACTTGAAGGTTTTCTGATTCAATGGTTACTGTTTCATTATTAATACTCCATGTTAATTTATGAGACTGTGCTGTTTCTAGATCTCTTTCCTTCTTGGGTTTCTTTGGAATGCTTATCATAGAGATGGTGCAAGCTGAACTATTCAGTTTGGATGTTGTATAGCTAGCAATATCTTTATTGCTTTTAGATTGAGTGGCACATCATGGACAAATATGGCAACTCTCAGGGGTGCCAGCCCTGTGGACATGGATAGAAACAGGATATCAGCTCCCAGGATAAAGTTATGTGGTAGGTGAGGCAGTTCCACAGGAAACCATCTTCCAAGCCCCCTCCAGGAGGCAGCACGTGCAAGGGCTTTCTAGATGAGATCCTTATACAATAGCGGTCAGATGATCAACTATTATTTACTGTGTATCCCATAGACACATAAAATTATCCAGAGATTACACAGCTTATATAGATAGGGATCCTGAACTGTCCCTGCATTAAGAAAGTAAAGCATATTTCTCTTTTATTATTATTAAGCAAAGGAAAAATATCTTCCCATACAAACTGAAAAGCACTTAGTCAACTAGTTTGTTTAAGTGACTGTGCAGCTGCTCCTGATGCAAGCTGTTTGGAAAGACAAGTTGTTTCCTAAAGAAACATTCAAAGTTTTCATAACTTTTCATCAATACTAAGAAATAAAAATTTTGGAGGTAGGTTACATAAAGCTAATGAAAACAATAATTTATCCTCTGAGTATGAACAATCACACATTACCTATGGTTTGGATATGATTTATGGATTGACTACAAAGAGATTTTTTAAACAATCCCCTTTTTCGGCAGAACTTTCAAAAACAGGATTTTAGACTGCAGTTAGGCAGAAAAGACAGTAAGGCCATGGTCTAGATTTCAATCTAAGTTTAATGCGATGGTAGCCAAATTGGATTTTCTCACCTAGATCTCTCAACTTTGTTCCAGACCCTACTTTCAGCTAATGGATGTCCTGCCCTCACCTCACACCTAAAAATGCCAAAACAGAAGAATCTTCATTTTCCTATCTCTCATCCCCCTACACAATAACAACCACAAAAACAAAACAAAGAAAACCTTTGGTTCTGCTTCCCAAGTTCCCAATTCTTTCTAAGGGCACCATCATTATCTGTCTCATTCAGTCCACACATGAAAGGGATATATAGATCAATGAGCCACATGTCCAACCCTCAGGGCACAGCATCAAAATGTAGTAGGTGTTATGCCGGAGTTACACATAAACTATCTGGGAATAAAGATAAGTAACATTGATTGCGGCCTTGCAGGGGGTGGGAATCAGAAAATCCTTCAACACTTAGAGACTTGAGGGACTGAAAGGACAGAAGGAGCATTTAGGCACAAAGAACACTGTGTCATAAAAAGGCATAAAACTTCATGATGAATTGGAAATAGGTCATTGCGATCAGAATAAAAGATAGGTGTGGGAACACAGCAGAAGAAGGATAGAAATGTGAGGAGATTGTGAAGAACCCTATTTAGTAAAAAGTGTGACTTTTACACAAGCAGGGAGCCATGTAAAGGTTTTAAGGTTAATGACATTTGCAGATGCATTTCAGAAAAATCACACCAATTGTGAAAGTTTGGATTATTGCCCAGAAAATACTCACTTAGCCTCTCTTCTCCTTGAGGTACATTAAGTACTTCCCTGCCCCATTGATTTGGGCTTTGCCATGTGACTTACTTTGACCAAAGAAATATAACTTGAAGAGAAGTCTTAAATATGTTTGTGCAAATTGGCTTGGCCTTTTGCCCTCCTATGATGACCATAAGAAGAGAATATCCTAGGTAGCCTCTGTTCCTTCAGTCTGGGCCCCATGAGACCCATGTTGTAGAAGTGAAGCCTGAAATTCAAAGCCTGGTGCACAGATTCCAAAACCTAGAACCAAGCCCCACCAAGTTGCAGCCAGAAACAAAGCCACCCTGGCCAGCCCAAAGACTTATAAGCAAGATAAGTAAATGCATATTATTGTAAGCCACTAAATTTGGGAGGGATTTGTTACACAGCATTACCACAGCAGTAAGTGACTAATACTTGCATGTTAGGAAATATGACAATTTGTACTTTCCTTTCAACCTTGAACTCCTTCTTCTTCCAAATCCAAACTACCAAGAAGATATTTTTCCAATCCTTCATTAGAATTGAATTACTGAAGCAGCCTCCTAACCAACATCTTTGAGCCTAGTTTTGCTTGGTTCCCATTTATTCTGAAGTCTACGTCTAAACCATTTTTCTTAAATGCCCCTTCATGTCATACCCTATCTCATAATCTTCAGGGCTTGCTATTACATATTATTTCAGGTTAAAATTCTGCCTTGTTTCCTAACACCACCAAATAGTTAAATCCCCTTTTGCATCCCAGGCTAATTCTCAACGCCATGCCTTTGTTTAGACAGAAGAACCTCCCTCATACTGAAGTCCATTTAGAATATTCACTTCCTCTTTTCACTCTGTCTATGCTTCATTTTAAGCCATGTAGTAATCACCCTCTCCAGACTTTTTAGAGCTGCAAGGACTATACATTCCTACGGCATTTTCAATCTATATCCCAGAAACATTTAATTAAGCACTGATTTTGTATATATGCATATATGTCTATCTTGTCTTCCCAGCTACCTTGAAATCTCCTTGAAAGGCGGAACTACATCACATTTTCTATATTCTCTTGCCTCCCTTCCCCCACCAAAGTTCTTTGCAGAATGACTAAACATAATAGGTAATAGATATTTGCTTGATAACCTATGATTAAGCACCTACTATGTGCCAGGCACTGTGATTCATATTGACTGAAAAAAGACAAACCATTGTCTACAGCCTCAAGGGCTGTACAATTAATAGCAACAGCAAATGATTTCACAAAGGAAGCATTATTGTTTTCCTCTGAAAGAATTTTGTTTTATTTGCAGCTTATATTTTAAATGTTTATACCTATTGTGGGAGTTAAAAGATGAAAGATGAGCACAATAGATGCATTTCCTAAAGTCACAATCATATCTTACCCGGAGAATCTTCTCAAACTAATTGTCACCACTCTGGGAACATGATTGTTAATCCTTAATTATTTTCTTTGCAAAGGCAGTGAGGGAGGTTCAAAAGGGTGTCTGGAGAGGGAATCTTCTGCTAAAGCACACACTATTTATAGTTTTCCAGAATTTTCCAGAAGCAAATATTTCAATGTTTTCTTAATTTTCCCCCTTGTCATCTGACAGAAATGTAGCAACTTCCATAATTTATCAAAGAGGCAGCACATTGTGTTACAAAAATCAATGCACTACCTAATGGAATTATATTTTTTAGGTATACTGTCTGCTTTATTTTTTTTTCTTTTTATAAATGGAGAGCCTATCTAGACAACCAAATCTTTATGCCTGGCAAATCTGGGGGACAATTTTAAGTTCCATTGTTGATTATGAAACAGAACTCACTTATTTTTAAAGTAATATTGCCAAAAGATTCTGAAAAAAATGGCCTTGATGCACTTATAAAATGTGAAATTTGCTTGAAGACCACTTCCTGTCTCCAATATTTCAGCCACGTCCTAACGCACATAAAGGTTGGAGCACTCTTATGCTATTTCAAATGTATTTTGATATTAATTATGGAAATGGACATTCAACCACATAAGTGAATCATTTTATCCACACTTCTAGTTCAACTACAGTATGGTCCCCAGGAACGACAGATGCCAAATGAGAAGAGAAGTTGATATGCTTGTTTGGCCAAAGCCTTTGAATGACCAAGAAGGATTATATTAGCAATTATGGTGACAGACACAGTGAGATTTTGACAATTTAAATAAGTTTTTATTAATACTTTATATAAATGCATGTTTAAATACCTAAGTGGTAAAAGATATCCAAAAATCTATTATCTTCAATTTTAAGGAGTATTTTCCAAGTAGAATCTTCCCTTGTGCCTGTTGGTTAAGGAAAGAAGTCTGAAATATTGAAGATTAAACTCTATTTACAGCTTACTGGCAGCTAAAATGGGAAACCTCAGAAAATAAAGATAGAAGGACCCAAGCAAGAGTGGGAACGATTGGAATGACAAAATTAAATTTCTCTGGGACCTCTTCCAGGCTGATCTGTGCCTGAAAAAAAATAATAAGATGCTACAGTATGTCACTGTGAAGAAACAGATGTCAGGAAAGCCCAATTTTAGGGACTGCTGTGTCTCAAAGAACTGTAGTGTGACATTATTGGTGATCAACTTTGTTCTTCAGATCTCTTTGGAAAGTTTCTTTTAAACTCTTAATTAAACCCACTTTCATTGTAAAGAACTGTAATTTGGCAATGAGAAACATTTCAGCACACAGAGAAAGTACTTATTCTAGAAAACATAAAGGCCCAAAGACCACTTATTCAAGCTGTTTTGATAGAAAAAAAAGAGAAGTGTTGCAAGTATTTTAGAGCCTTAAGTGGAAAAGTAACCAGGAAAAAAGGATTTTTAAAGTGATACCAGTATTTCAAATTATTCTAGGCCTACTTCAGAGCAGACATAACACATCAAATATGCAACAATGAGAAGGAAAAACATGGAAGCAGAGCTGGAATGAAAGACTAAGCATCAATTCTTACAGAACTGATGTCTTCTAGAAGTCTATGGACTAAGTGTAAACTCTGGGCTGTTCAAGTTACTGAGATGAATAAGCCCCCTTATCACTCACAAAGTGAAGACCTAGAAAGCATGGGAAGTTCATCTGATAGAAATAGTATTTTAGATCTAATGTAAAATACAACTCTTATGCATACACATACACACCTGAACATACAGTTTGCCATCGTGTGTGTGAACCAAAGAAACAACCAACCACAGGAAATGATATAAGAAATTGAGGACAAACTTAACAGACTCCATTGCCTCTTTCAGCAGCTCCCCCCGTAAGTCAAATACTCTTCTTCGACTCTCAAACGCACTCCTCAAAAGTACTCTATCCTGCAATCTTCTTATCACAAGAGCAAATCATCTATAGGGTCCTGACTATATTGTAGTAACTCAGTATTTTACCTCTCCCAAGATTATCTGCCTTTTAAAAGAAGAGAATGAGAGGTCTGTACTAGAGCCAAAGGAATGAAATTCCACAGGCCATTAGGGGAGTAATTTTGGGAAAAAATAACATCCCTCTGACTTTCAAGTCACCTTTTGTGATAAAATCCATCGTTCTCCTATATCTGTGCCAGGGCTTTTGAACTTTGGCACTATGGACCTTTGGGGCTGGAGAATTCTTTCTCAGTGAGTAGGGGCTGTCCTGTGCATTGTAGGATGTTTAATAGCATCCATGGCCTCTACCCACTAGATGCCAATTGCACCCCTTCGTGCAATTGTGAAAACAAAAAATCCCTAGACACTGCCAAATGTCTTCTGGGGGGGCAAAATCACTCAGTTGAGAAGCACTGGTCTATATGAAGACAGGCCTTACTTGCAAACACCAGTAACCTTAAATTTATCACCTCATATTTTCATTCTGTTGCAGTTGCTATTAGTACATAAATCACTCTTTGGAAAAAAAAATCAGGAAACCTGTTCATCACAAAATAATTAGCAGAATTGGACCCTAGTCAAGAGCTTATGTTCTTCCTTCACTGAATATTCTTTGCCCTCAGACATATTTACAAATACCTACTTGAAAATGTATTAAAGAGCAAAAAACTGACTGTATTCCTTTAAACTCATTGTAGCTCTTGAAATTAATGCAGCACAAAAACTCTTGAAAAGTAACTTTAAAGAGCATGAAGATGCAGAGCTTTGTTTTCACAAAAATGCTAGTGTCAGATCCCTGACTTATACAACACATCTCTGGCTCAAGATAGACATAGTAATCTATAGAACACGTTGATTTAAAATGAATGTTTCTGTTTTTGTTTTTGTTTTTGTACTCTCTATTTCCATCCCTTATGGTTTCCCAAGACCAGTGGTTATCAACAGGGAGCAATTTTGCCTGCAACCAGGGTGCATTTGTCAATGTTTGGAGACATTTGTGGCTGTCACAACTGGCAGGGGGATAACAGACATCTAGTGAGTAGAGGCTAGGGTCACTGTTAGGCGTCACACAATGTGTAGGATAGCCCTCCACCACAAGGAATTATCCAGCTCCAAATGTCCATTGTGCTAAGGCTGAAAAACTCAGGACTGGAGACACAATTAGAATTCCTATTCATGGCCCCTGATTTGCTTACAACCTGTGGGGGAGGGAGGGTACCCATACCTTCTCCATAAATGTAATCACCCATGATGCTTAATATAGGGATGTAGCCACAGCAGGTACCCCATAGACATTGTTATCTGAAAAGCCTAATGTTTTAGAAAAAGATATAAAAATAACCTATTCTCTCCAGTTAAAAAGGTGTTTGGTAAACAGAAAAAAATAAACTACAATTGGAATAAAACCTTATTTTTAAATGGAGGAATTGTATCATTTGCAAAAACAAAACAAAACAAAACCAAAAAAAAAAAAACAAAGGACCAGGAAAGTCATACATCATTACATCATTGATTGTGTTGGAATGCAGTATTTGTTGGTTGTGCATTTGAGCCTCCAGGGGGAACTCAAGGGTCTTTTCATCACCCTGAATCCCACCTCTACTCCCTTACCTTCCACCAAGAAGAGACAGCAAACTGAGGAGGAATAATGCCGAAGTGGCTTGTGAGGCCACAAAGAGGCCACCATGCTGCTAGAGGTTGAGGGCAAATAGCAGGTGATAAATAGAACTCCAGTGGGGCTTGAATTTTCTTCGCCCTCTAAGTAAATTTCTTCACCACCTATTTATTTTCCTCTTTGCATTTCTTTTCTGGAATTCCAGATACAATTTTTGAATGAAAGCTCTATCTGACTTATTTTTTTTAAAGATTGATGTAATCATATCCCTTTGCTCCAAGTTCTCTAAAGGCAGTGGAATTCAAATTACAACAAAAAAGGGCAATCAAAATATTGAAGTGCAAAACATCCAGGGAATGCAGGCATCTCACCCTGGGGACTCTGGGTAAGCCACATTAGGTTCCTATACTGAAAGACTAAAAACATGGCCACAGCAATAGCATGTTGGTTTTGTAATAAACCTTGAATATGTATAAATAAACCAAATCTCTGTAAATAGAAATCCTGTGAGCTCTTCTTGTGATTAAGAATTTAAAGTACTAATCTTCTCCTGGGCTTGCAGACTTTTAGAATAAAAAGTTTTAAGTGAAACTGGAAAACAGTTAAATATTACTGATGCGCCCATATTGCTCATGTAATATTTATGAGCCATGGAATGATCATTCTGATTATTCCCAGCTGATTTTAACAAGGGATTTTTTTTTTCTCTTTTAATTAGGTGCCTGCGTGCAAACAAAAGCCTATTATAGCACTCAGAAAGAACACACTGAATAAAATTAGAGCAGATCTTCTAAATCATTGGATAGTAGTCTAGATATAAAAAATACAATGGTTCCCTGTGATCTGGATGTGAGTGCACTTGCAATAAAACTTCAATGCAATTACAATTGGCCAGTCTTTGCAATTAGGGCAAGCAAACCTAAAATCAGCTCAGCTCTTCGGAGTCGCTGTAATGCATATCAACTAAGATACGTGCTTTATCAACGTCAAAGGTATTGTTATCTCCTACTCTGTTTAGAGGAGAAGTACCTTTGACGCTGATAAAGTATGTATCTTAGTTTACATGTTTTTAGTTTATAAAAGTTTTTATATCTTAGTTTATTAAATGTTTTTAGGTAACTAAAAGGCAAATGACTTAAATTTAAAGAAAATCAGTTATCCTACTGCTCAAAGCAAAGAAGAAATATTTCTGGTTCAAAAGGGTGTGAGAAGGGTGAGGCTTTTACAAGTAATCAATATCCTTAAGCTTGACTTGAAAAGTCTATTCAATTACAATTAGCATCTAAATTTAAATCCCTACCTGTTGATGGAATAGAGGTTAGAAATTCTAGTATAGTGTACACCTCCATGGTCTATTGAAATCTTATCATTTATTTCTGTCTTTCCAGAAAAAAGACAAAGTAAGTTCAAAGGTGTGGAATCTTTATAGGCAACGATAAGAGCTTGACTCCTTGTTTTACATGATAGTTTATGGAATCATTACTTCCATGGACTAATTATGGAAGTGTTTATGCCTGAAACACTGGATCTCATTTTGAAATGCTGTTAAGGATTAGACCCTGTAGCAGACACAACCTAAAATGACCCCCAGTGAGTCCCACCTCCTGGTGTTCACACAAGCACATGATCTCTGTCACTGAGTATAAGCAGAACCCATGACTTGCCAACAAAATATGGTAGAAGTCATGAGGTTTCACTTTTAAGATTATGTCACTTTATATAAGACTGCATCTTTGCAAACTGGAATGAGACTCTCCTCATAAGAATGATTTAGTAAATGACCATTATGGAGAAGGTCCCATGGCAAGGAACTACAGATAACCCCTAGAACATGAGGATGGCCTCTAGGAGCTAAGCATGGCCTCTATTCACTGGCCAGAAAAATACCAGAATACACAGTCCTACAGTTTCAAGAAAATGAATTCTCCCAACAAACTGAAGGAACTTGGAAGTTGATTCTTCCACAGTCAAGCTTCTACATTAGCATGCGGTCCAGTCAGTAGCTTGCGGCTCTGTAAAGCCCTGTGTAGAGGACCTAGCTCCACACCAGATTACAGATGCAGGGAAATTGTGAGTAATAAACATGTGTTGTTTAAAGCCACTAAGATTGTGGTAGTTTGTTGCTCAGCAATAGGAAACTAATATAGACACCAAGAATTCCATGAAATAAAGTAGAAAAGAAACATGGTGGAGGATATTATGGATTATGTTTAATGGTCCCCAAACATGTGAATGCAGAAAAAAGTATCATAGAAAGGAACTAGGAAAACAAGCCCAGTTCTCTGCTTTGGCACAGATATTTAGTAAGCTTTAGGGGTTTTCAATGTCTATACTTTCAGTTTTCCTGAGATTTCTTTTTTAATTTTTAAATTTTATTTAGGTGAAATTTGCAGAACATAAAATTAGCCATTTTAAAGTAAACAAGTCAGTGAGGTTTAGTACATTAACAATGTTATGCAACCACCACATTTATCTAGTTCTGAAATATTTTCATCCCCCCAATGGGGGATGTACCCACTGAGCAGTCACTCCCCATTCCTGTTCCCTTAGCCCCTGGAAACCATTAATCTGCTTTCTGTCTGTATGGGTTTGCCTATTATGGATATTTAATATAAATGGAATCATACAACGTAACCATTTGTGCCTGGCTTGTTTAACTTAGCATCATGTTTTAAAGGTTCATCCATACTGTAGTATGTATCAGGAATTCATTCTTTTTTACAGCTGAATAAAATTCCATTGTATGTATATACCATGATTTGCTTATTTATTTATCCATTGATGGACATTTTGGCAGTTTCTATCTTTTGGCTATTGTGAATAGTGCTATTATGAACATGTATGTATACATATTTCTTTGAATATCAATTTAGTTTTTTCGGGTACATACCTAGGAGTGGAATCACGGGGTATTCTGGTAATTTTACATTTAACTTTTTGAGGAATCACTAAACTCCTTTCCTTACTGGCTGAACCATTTTACATTCCCACCAGCAATGTACAAGGGTTTTAATTTCTCTACATCCTCATCAACATTATTTTTATATATGTTTTAATTTTTAATTTTTGTGGGTACATAGGTGTATATAATTATGGGGTACATGAGATACTTTGATATAGGCATGCAATGCGTAATAATCACATCATGGAGAATGAAGTAACCATCCCCTCAAGCATTTATCCTTTGTGTTAAAACAATCCAATTATACTCTTTGTTATTTTAAAGTGTACAATTAAATTATTACTGACTATAGTCACCTCATTGTACTTTAGAATACTAGGCCTTATTCATTCTTTCTATTTTTTGTGCCCATTAACCATCCTCACTTCCCCCTCACTTCCCCACTTCCCCCCACTACCCTTCTCAGCCTCTGGTAACCATCCTTCTACTCTCTATCTCCATGAATTCAATTGTTTTAATTTTAAGCTCCCCAAAATAAGTGAGAATAGGCAAAGTTTGCTTTTCTGTGCCTGGCTTATTTCACTTAACATAATAACCTCCAGTTCCATCCATTTTGTTGCAAATGACAGGATCCCATTCTCTTTTATGGCTGAATAGTACCCCATTGTGTATGTGTACCACATTTTCTTTATCCATTCATCTGTTGATGGACACTTAGGTTGCTTTCAAATCTTGGCTATTGTGAACAGTGTTGCAACAAACATGGGACTGCAGATACCTCTTTGATATACTGACTTCTTATCTCTTTGATATATTTACTTCCTTTCTTTTGGGTATATACCCAGTAGTGGGATTGCTGGATCATATGGTAGGTCTATTTTTAGTATATTAAGGAACATCCAAACTGTCCTCCATAATGGTTGTATTAATTTACATTATCACCAACAGTGTGTGGGGGTTTCCTTTTGACTACATTCTCAGCAGCATTGGTGATTGCCTGTCTTTTCAATAAAAGCTATTTTAATTGGGGTGATATGATATCTCGTTGTAGCTTTGATTTGCATTATTCTGATGTTCAATGATGTTGAGCACCTTTTCATGTGCCTGTTTGCCATTTGTATGTCTTCTTTTGAGAAATGTCTATTCAGATCTTTTGCCCATTTTTAAAATTGGATTATTAGATTTTTTTCCTATAGAGTTGTTTGAGCTTCTTATGTATTCTGGTTATTAATTCCTTGTCAGATGGGTAGTTTGCAAATATTTTCTCCCATTCTGTGGGTTGTCTCTTCACTTTGTTGATTGTTTTCTTTGCTGTGCTAAAGTTTTTTTAACTTGATGTGATCTCATTTGTCCATTTTTGCTTTGGTTGTTGCCTGTGCTTGTTGGTATCACCCAGGAATTACTTAAGAAATTTTTGCCCAGACCAATGTCCTAGAGAGCTTCTCCAAAGTTTTCTTGTAGTAGTTTCATAGTTTGAGGTCTTAGATTTAAGTCTTTAATCCATTTTGATTTGATTTTTGTATTTAATGAGAGATAGCAGTATAGTTTCATTCTTCTGCATATGGATATCCAATTTTCCCAGTGCTATTTATTGAAGAGACTGTCTTTTCCCCTAATGTATTTCTTGGCACCTTTGTAGAAAATGAGTTCCCTGTAGGTACATGGATTTATTTCTGGGTTCTCTCTTCTGTTCCATTGCTCTATGTGTCTGTTTTTATGCCAGTACCATGCTGTTTTGGTTACTATAGCTTGGTAGTATAATTTGAAGTCAGGTAATGTGATTCCTTTATTTTTATTCCTTTTGCTCAGCATAGCTTTGGCTATTCTGGGTCTTTTGTGGTTTCATGTAAATGTTAGGGTTGTTTTTTTCTATTTCTGTGAAGAAGGTCATTGATATTTTGATAAGAATTGCATTGAATCTGTAGATTACTTTGGGTAGTATGGACATTTTAACAATATTCATTCTTCCAATTCTTGAGCTTGGAATATCTTTCCATTTTTTGTGTCTTCTTCAATTTTTCAAATCAGTGTCTTATAGTTTTGATTACAGAGATCTTTCACTTCTTTGGTTAAGTTAATGCCTAAGTATTTGTAATAGCCACAAAGTAATTTTCTTTGTGGCTATTACAAATGGTATTACATTTTATTTCTTTTTCAGATTGTTCACTGTTGGCATATAGAAATGCTACTGATTTTTGAATGTTGGTTTTGTATCTTTTAACTTTACTGAATTGGTTTATCAGTTTTAATAGGTTTTTTTGATGGAGTATTTAGGTTTTTCCAAATATAAGATCATATTATCTGCAAACAAGGATAATTTGACTTCTTCCTTTCCAATTCGGGTACCATTTATTTCTTTCCCTGGCCTTATTGTTCTAGCTAGGACTTCTAGTACTATGTTGAATAACAGTGGTGAAAGTGGGTACCTTTGTCATGTTCCAGATCTTAGAGAAAAGGGCCTCAGTTTTTCCCCATTTAGTATGATACTAGCTGTGAGTCTGCCATACATGGCTTTTATCATGTTGAGGTATGTTCCTTCTACACCCAGTTTTTTGAGGGCTTTTATTGTGAAGCAATGTTGAATTTTCTCCAGTGCTTTTTCAGCATCAATTGAACTAATCATATGCTTTTTGTCCTTTATTCTAGTGATATAATGTATCACCTGACTTATTTGTCTATGGTGAACCATCCTTGAATCTCTACAATATATCCCACCTGATGATGAATGATTTTTTAATGTATTGTTGAATTTGGTTTGCTAGTATTTTGTTGAGGTTTTTGCATCAATATTCATCAGAGTTATTGGCCTGTAGTTGTTTTTTTTTTTTTTTTTTTTTTTTTTTTTTTAATGTGTCTTTGCCTGGTCTTGGTATCAGAATTATACTGGCCTCATAGAATGGGTTTGGAAGTTTGCCCTCCTCCTCTCTTTTTCAGACTAGTTTCAGTATAATTGATATTAGTTCTTCTTTAAATGTTTGGTAGAATTCAGCAGTGAAGCCATTGGTTCCCAGGCTTTTCTTTACTTGGAGAGTTTTTATTATGGCTTTGATCACATCACTTGTTATTGGCTGTTTGGGTTTTAGGTTTCTTGATGGTTCAATATTGACATGTTGCATGTGTCTAGAAATTTATCCGTTTCCTCTAGATTTGGCATATAGTTCCTCATAGTAGCCACTAATGATCTTTTGAATTTCTGCAGTATCAGTTGTAATGTCTCCTTTTTCATCTCTGATTTATTTATTTGGGTCTTCTCTCTTTTTCTTTGTCTGGCTAAAGTTTGTCAATTGTACTTATCTTTTTAAGCAACCAATTTTTCATTTTGTTGGTCTTTTATATCGTTTTCTTCATTTCAATTTTATTTATTTCTGTTGTGAACTTTATTTCTTTTCTTCTACTAATTTTAGGTTTGGTTTTGTCTTGCTTTTCTAGTTCCTTAAGATGCATCACTAGGTTATTTATTTGAAGTCTTTCTTCTTTTTTGATGTAGGCACTTATAGCTATAAATTTCTCTCTTAGTACTGCTTTTGCTGTATCCCACAGATTTTGTTATGTTGTGTTTCCATTATCATTTGTTTCAAGAAATTTTTCAATTTCCTTCTTAATTTCATCATTGACCCACTGGTCATTCAGGAGCATATTGGTTAATTTCCATGTGTTTTGGATAAAATCTGGGAGAATTCTTTGGATTACCCAGCAGAGATTCTTGTTCTCTCCCCTTACTTTCTCCCAAACAAATGGAGTTTCTCTCTCTGTGCTGAGCCTCCTGGAGCTGGGGGTGGCATGACACAAGCATCCCTGTGGCCATCAACACTGGGACTGTACTGCATCAGGCCTGAAGCCAGCACAGTACTGAGTGTTGCTCAAGGCCTATTGTAACCACTACTTGGCTATTGCCTATGTTTGCTCAAGGCCCTAGGGCTCTACAATGAGCAGATGGCAAAGCAAGCCAGGTTCGTGTCCCTCCCTTCAGGGTGATGAGTTCCCCCAGGCCCCAGGCAAGTCCAGAGATGCTGTCTGGGTATGAGGGATTAGAGTAAAAAACCTTAAAAAACTACCTGGTCTTCTATTTTACTGCAGCTAGACTGGCATTTGAACCACAGGACACAGTCCTTCCTGCTTTTCCCTTCCCTTTCCATGGGCAGAGGAGCTTTCCCCATAACCATCAACACCACTCATCCCCAGAGAGTTCTACCAGGCCACTGCCAATGTTCACTTAAAACCTAAGAGCTCTTCAGTCAGTCTGTAGTTAATAATGTCAGGCCTAGGGCTCACCCTTCAGGGCAGTGGGATCCTTTAGACCAGAGCAGGACAGGAATAATGTCTAAGAGCCTAAGCCTATACTCAGGGACCACAAGAGCCCACTTGGTGCTCTTCCTCACAGCGCCTGGTACCTATGTTACAAAACAAAGTCCCCTTTACTTTTTCCTCTGCTTTTCCCAAGAAGGAGTCTTTCATCATAGCCACCACAGCTTGGAATGTGCTGGGTCTCATCTGAAGCCAGCAGGTCTCAGCATCTCACCCAAGGCCCACTGTGTACTACCTGGGTATCACTCTTGGTTATTCAAGGCCCAAGGTCTCTTTAGTCATCAGGTGATAAATCCTGCCAGGACTCTGTCCCTTCCTTCAGGACAGCGGGTTCCTTTCTGGCCCAGAGTGTATCTAGAAATGTTGTCCAGGAACTAGGGCCTGGAATGGGGGCCTCACAACTCTGCCCTGGTGCCCTATCCTACTATGGCTGAGCTGGTATCCAAGAGGCAAGACAAAGTCCTCTTTACTCTTGACTCTCCTCTCTTGATTTTTGGTTCTAATGACGGTGCTTTTTTCTGTGTAATTAGTTGTTAATATTTGGTGTTCCTGCAGGGAAGACAATCAGTGGAGGCTACTGTTTGTCCATCTTGCTCCACCTCTCTCCATTTTTTGTGTTCTTAATAGTGGCCCCCTAGTGGGTGTGAAATAGTACCTCATTTTCATTTTGGTTTGTTTCCCTAATGATTAATGATAAGGAGCATCTTTTCTTGTGTTTGTTGGTCATTTGTACATCTTCCTTGAAGAAATGTCTATTCAAGACCTTTGCCCATTTTTTCATCAGGTTATAGTTTTGTTGTTGAGTTGTAAGAGTATTTTTTATATTCTGGGTAGTAGACCATTGCCAGATATATGACTTGCAAATATTTTCTCACGTTCTGTAGGTTGTCCTTTCACTTTCTTGAGATGATATTGAAGATGAAGCCTATAGTGGCAGACTATCCACATCAATTTGTGAGGCAAACATTCATCTTGTTCATGCCCTAATTGAAGAGGACAAATGATTAACAGCAGAAACAATAGCCAACACCATAACCATCTCAATTGGTTCAACTTACACAATTCTGGCTGAAAAATTAAAGTCAAGCAAACTTTCCACTCTGTGGGCAGCAAAACCATTGCACCCAGATCAGCTGCAGACAAGAGCAGAGCTTTCAATGAAAATTTTAAACAAGTGGAATCAAGATCCTGAAGTGTCTCTTTGAAGAATTATAACAGGAGAATGAAACACGGCTTTACCAGTATCATCTTGAAGACACAGTACAATCAAAGCAATGGCTACCAAGAGGTTGAAGTGGTCCAGTCAAAGCAGGTGTGGACCAGTCAAGAGCAAAGGTCATGGCAACAGTTTTTTGGGAATGCTCAAAATATTTTGCCTGTTGGAGGGCCAAAGAACAATAACATCTGCTTACTATAAGAGTGTTTTGAGAAAGTTAGCCAAAGCTTTAGCAGAAAAACGCCCAGGAAAACTTCGTTGGAGAGTCCTTCTGCAACATGACAATGCTTCTACTCACTCTTCTCATCAAACAAAGGCAATTTTGGGAGAGTTTTGATAGGAAATCATTAGACGTCCACCTTACAGTCCTGATTTGGATCCTTCTAACTTCTTTTTGTTTCCTAATCTTAAAAAATCTTTAAAGTACATTTGCTTTTCTCCAGTTAATGTAAAAAAGACTACACTGGCATGGTTAAATTCCCAGGACCCTCAGTTCTTTAGGGATGGACTAAATGGCTGGTATCATCAATTACAAAAGTGTCTTGAACTTTTTTTTAGTATAGGTGCTGCTGAAGTGAGCACATGTCTTGAACTCTATATAGGTTATGTTAAGAAATAAAGTTAATATTTTTTATTTTTATCTTTTAATTCCACGAACTTTTTGAAGTCCTCTTGTATTTTGTGCCAGGAATTTTACTGTAAAACAGCAATGAACAGCAGGAGTGACAGTGGATGTGACACCTGTTTTCACGGAACTTACAATCCAGAGTAGGAGGGGAAGGAAGTATTTATTACATTCTCTGTATGACCTTAAATATAATAAATATATTGAACAATCCTTCTGATGAAAATGACTAAAATGCTGAGTTAAATTATGAAAAAGAAAATATGCTTTATAATGTTTCACTGAGCTAGCATGAAAGTAAAAAATCCGGAGGGCAAAATTGAGTAAAAGCAGAAATCCCAAGAGGTAAATAAGCAGCAAAGTCAACTTTATCCTCTCAGGATTCTGCTAAAAGCAAAAGATGCTGAAATTCTGTGGTGGTACAGTAAAGAGGAGATAAAGACAAGGATCCATCTAAGGCAGACAATGTAATGGAAGTATACTAGACCACCCTTTCACTAAGAAGCTATACCCCTTAGTGTAAATGTGAATAAAAAATGAATCCACAATAAAAGTGGAGTCAACAAATAAATATCTATCTAGACCTTAGTGTTAGATAGAGGATAAAACAATTCCCTTAAGTATGTTCCCTAAAGCTTGTCCACACATGGGTGAGCTTTCCTAATTCATGTTACCTGTGTGACATGAAAAGCTTTAAGCTGGAACTTGAATTAAGAATAACCCTGGGTTGGTGGTACTCCTAGGTGACTGATAGGAACAAGCATCAATATTTTCTGCAGAAACTAAATCTTAATCCAGACCTAAAAGAATGACAGCAAATAAGGTTCCAAGGTACAAGAGATCTAGTGAAAAATAACAAAATAGACAAAACAACATGAGTAAGAGTCAGCAGAAATAAGACAGCAGAATCAGACCCGCTTCAGATATTAAAATCAGCAGATCCAAAATATAAAATAACTATTAAACATTTTTAACAATATAGAAGAGTAGCTTGAAGGTATTGGTAGGAGAAAGACAGCAAAATAATCATGAAACAGATTTGAAAAACAATCTTTAAATTAAAATGTAATAATTAAAATTTTAATAGATTTTTTTAAACCTTAATAGACAGATTAAACAGCGGATTTGATATCATTTAACTGTTGAGCTGAAAGACATCCAATAAAGTTCTTCCAGATACAGTCCACGGGACAAAGAGTTGAAAATATGAAAATGACAAGAGACATGGTAGATAATGCAAGATGGTTTTATTCGTCTAATCAGATTTAATGGGAAGAAACTAGAAAGAATGGATAGAAGCAATATTTGAAGTGCTAAATCATTGAGAGTTTTACAGAATTGTTGAAAGACATCTCAATCATACAATGTAGGAGTTTTAATGAATTCCAAGCAGAATAAATAAGAAGAAATCCATTACAAGACACATCATAGTGGAAATGTATAGCAACAAAAGAAAGAGAAGATCTCAAAAGACGGGGAAAAAAAAGAAAAGATCGTTCACCTACAAAGAACTGCAATTTGATTGATGACTGTTTTCTCAACTGCAACAGCAGAAACCAGAAGATAGTGCTGAGAGAAAAGAACAATTCCACCGAGAGCACTATACCTAGAAAAATATCTTTCCAAAATATAGTGAAATAAATATATTTGCAGACAAACAAAAATAGAATATACTCACAACAAATTCTCACTAAAGGAAATTCTAAAGCATAGATATTTGGCAAAAGGAAAGTGATGGAAGGTCTGAGACACAGAAAAAAGTAGTAAGAAATTTATAAAGAAGTGTAATAGACCATTGAGCACATAAAAATACTATCTAATTTGTAGAGTTACAAAGATACACCTAAAATGCTATACAGTGATATATAAGCTGAAAGGGATGAGTGGAGTGAAAGACTTCTAGGTTTCTGTTATTTGGCAGTAGTATAGCAAGAAGTTGATTAACTTTGTAACATTTACATGGTAAAACATCTGGAATTAGCAGTCAAAATAGATATAATTCATAGCTTCAAGTCTAATGGAGAGCAAAAATGCATTGAGAAAATGGGGGACAAAATATATCATTCCAAACAAAAAGAATAACACAAAAATGCATAATAAAATGATGAAATAATCAAAGTATATCATTAATAAAAATAAATATGATAGACCGTACTTGCTTGTTAAAAAGTGAAGTATGTCAGACAGAATTGAAATCAAGTCTTGTACATATAAGCACAGCTAAAACATAAGAACATAGAAACTGAAGTCAGAGAATTAGAAATTAAGAGTATAGCTACATTAATATCAGACAAGATAGACTTTAAGGAAAAAACAGGCAATCTTGGTATTAAAAAAGATTCACTACATAAAGATAAAAAGATCAACACATGATTTAGGCAAAACAATTCTAGCCTAATAATAATATAATGGCTAAAATTGAGCATCAAAAGATATTAAGCAAAATTGACAGAGCCTTAAAGAGAAACTGACAATTCTATTACATTGAGAGATATTAATATTACCTCTCTTAATTATTGATAGGTCAAATAGACAAAAAATTCAGGAATAAAGATAACTTGAATATCATAATTATCAAGCAAATATAGAATATCATACTCAATAATTGGAAAATACACTTAGAAAATTTGAATGTATCCATGCTAGGATCATACACATTGTTTTCCTAGGCTAGAGGTTGGCAATTTTTTTCTATAAAAGGCCAGATATTAGATGTTTTAGGCTTTGTAGGCCAGATGGTCTCTCTTATAACTACTTGGTGCTGCTGGTGGTGTAGCCTGAAAGTTGCCATAGATAATAAGGAAGCAAACTAGTGTGGCTGATTTCTAACCAAGCTTTACAAAAACTACAATGGCCCAGGGGCGGTAGTTTGCTGACCCATGTCTTAGCTTTTGGACAATTATTTTAAAAATCAGTAACAAGGATAACCAGAAAAAAAAAACCATGTCTGGAAGTTGTGAATTACATGTAAGCAATATGTCAAAGAAACCACAATGAAAATAAGAAAATAATTTAGAATGGAATGAACATGGCAATCCTACAAAACAAAACTTTTGAGATTAGTTTAGGGTGATAGTTAAATGAGCATGTTCAATTTGTGAAAACTCATCTAGTTGTAAAGGTATGACATGCTCATCATCCTATATGTATATTATGCTTCATTAAAAAGTGTAGAAAAGGTAAAAATTGAAGGGATAGAAATATAGTAGTATTTAGAAGGAAATTCACAGTCTAAAATGCTTACCTTAGAAAAGAACAACCTAATTTATTCAGCTAATTAACAAAATTAAGAAGTTAGAGGGGAAAATATCAGAAACCCATATGTTGAAATTGGGAAGGGATAAAAAACCCAGTTAATGATATAGAAAACAAACCAAAAATGGATCAAAGCTATAAACGGGTCCTTTGGAGAGATTATAAAATAGACAAATCTCTGACAATATAAATAAAGAGAGGAAACAAATAAGAAAGCACAAATTTTAAAATATTAGGAAAAAAGAAGGCCTTAAACGTGCTGCAGAGATAAAAGAAATAAGAGCATTTCATGAACAGTTTTATGCAAACGTTTGAAATAGATTAGATGAAATTGACAAATTCTTGCATAAATACAACCCAACAAAATACTCAAATACAAGTTTTTTTAATGTTTTAAAAATTTTAAATAGTCCCATAAATATAAACAAAATTGAAGCAGTGGTTAATCTTCCACAGTGACAAAATGAGGACGAGACAGCATAAATCTACCACATACACATGTGCATACACACACAAGCATGAGCGTGCGTGCACACACACATTAAGTATTAAAGACTTAAATTTGAAAGGACCAGAAACCTTTAGCAAATAGAGAAAAGCTTTATGACTTTGGGTATGGAGAATTTCTTAAATAAGATATAAAACATAAAGGAATATTTGGATGAATTCATTTATAGTAAAATAAAGAACTTCTATTTATCAGAAGTCACCCAAAAGAGAGTAAATATATAGACCACAAACCATAAGTAGACATGAGCAACATATAGAGGAGACAAGGACTTATTATCCAGAATATATGCACAAATCCTCCAAATCAATAAAATGACAACTAGATAGAAAAACACACAAGACATGAATAGACATTTCCGAGGGGAACAAATCCTACTGACCAATAAACATATGAAAAGATGCTCACCCTCATCAGTAACCAGGAAATAAAAATTAAAACCACAATGAAAAATCACTTCATGCCACTAAATTGGCAACAATTAAAAATTTGGATAATGCCAAGCATCAATGAGGTATAGAGTGATGAAAGTTTCATCCCACAGTGATGTGAACCGAAATGAACACCGCTACTTGGCATTAATTAGTTAACTTGCACATGTTCCCAGTCTATGATCCAGCAATTCCAGTCTTAGGTATAAGATAAGCAGGAATGCTCAGAAGACCATTATTCATAAGAAAAGAACAAATAGGGAACAAACATCTATTAACTGTAGAATGACTAAATATATTAATTTGATACATCATCCTGGATGAATCCAAAAACATAACCTTGACCAAAGAGACAGAACTAAATGGCATATTTTCTAGTGATATATACCTATGTATTAAAACCATAAAAAACAGCAAGACAATTTTAACATGAAATTCAGGGAAATGGCCACTGCTGGGTGGACAGGAAGCGGTACTTGGGGAGTGGCATGAAGGAGACTTCAAAAGTACTGGTGCTAGTCTATTTCTTTATCTGGGTGGTGGGTACATGGGTTTTTACTTTACTTTTCCTTCTTTAAACTGTACTACCCTATACATTCTTTTACATATATACTTTACCATAATTAATTTTTAAAGGTAGTAATAATTACAAAAGTGCTTAGTGCTACAAAGTACAAGGTATTATGGGCATAAACAAGGACCTATCCTAGTGTGAGTTGTTGGGGGCAGGGTATGGAAAGGGGAAAAAGACAGGGAGCATTCCAGTTCTATACACACCGAATTTCTGAAAACGCTGAAAAAGCAGCGACCCTAATTTGAATTAAGATCTTAAAAGATGTTCTTTTCTTTGGTCCTCTAAATTTCTAATTGCTTCAAAGTAAAGTTTTGTATTGTCGGGCATGATTTGTTCTCCACAAACACTCTACTCGTTAAGATTCCATTTTCATAACAGCCCAGACTTATAGTGCTCATAATAACCATTTCATTACTTCAGTGATTCAGTTTAAAGTTCTCCTACAGTAATTACCAGAAGGATTTCTTTTTCTTCCCCTCTAAGACAAGTAGCATATATTCTTCGAATTGGTTTCCAATGCCAAATGTATTTTGTTTTTTTTAATCAGGCGAAATGCCCTAGATATTTCAATCTTGCTAAAGCAGATATGCTGCAGTATTCTTGGATATAGTTCTTGTAAACCAAAAATAAAATTCTAAGGCCCCCCAACCATCTGAATGGACTTCCTCCTCAGCCAGGGAACTTTTTTTTTTTTTTTTTTTTTTTTTTTTGAGATGGAGTTTCACTCTGTCATCCAGGCTGGAGTACAGTGGCACAATCCTGGCTCACTGTAAGCTCCGCCTCCCGGGTTCACACCATTCTCCTGCCTCAGCCTCCTGAGTAGCTGGGATTACAGGTACCTGCCACCACACCCGGCTAATTTTTTGTATTTTTAGTAGAGATGGGGTTTCACCGTGTTAGCCAGGATGGTCTCGATCTCCTTACCTCGTAATCCGCCCACCTCGGCCTACCAAAGTGCTGGGATTACAGGCGTGAGCCACCGAGCCCGGCCGGAACTTTTAAAATTTAATCCAAGAGACTGGTTCAGGCCATGATGGGAAGTGGGGGTCGGACATGCCTCATCATACCTCTCCAGCATTAACATCAACACAGAATTTAAGTCTGATAAGAAACATTTTACAATCTGTTCTCTCTGAAGCCTGCTACCTGAAGACTTCCTCTGAAAATAAGAACTTTCTTTTCCACAATTCTTTATCTTAACCCAGACATTTCCTTTCTACTGATCCCAGGTTTTTAGGTTAAACTCAACCAATTATTAACCAAAAAAGTTTTAAATCTACCTATAGCCTGGAAGCTGCCCCTCCCCCAAACCCCCAACCCCAGCTTCCAGTTGTCCTGCCTTTCTGAACTGAATCAATATATTTCTTAAATGTATTTGATTGAGGTCTCATGTCTCCCTAAAATGTATAAAACCAAGCTACACCCCGACCACCTTGGGCACATGTTCTCAGGACCGCCTAAGGGCTGTATCACAGGCCATGGTCACTCACATTTGGCTCAAAATAAATCTCTTCAAATATTTTACAGAGGTAGACTCTTTTCATCAACACTCTCTTCTCATATTCCCATTTAATATGATTTCACATATCCTACCCTTTTAAAAACGGATAGTCAACGCCTTTTAAATCACAGGGAAGGACTTCAGGCTTGGAGATTTCCAGGAGGAATAAGCAACACAAAGTCCCAATGGCATCAGATTGTTCTCAGTACGCATCAGAGCACCAGAGAATAAAAATATGTGCACTGATAGATCCTTGATACCACCATTGTATAGACTCCATTTCTAAGACCAATGACTACATCAGAATAATTTTTAAAAGCAAATTTACACAAATGCAGCCATTTGCTCAGAGTTTGTTTTCCACAGTTCCACTTTTTAATAAGCAGCAGCAACATGTATCAATCTAAGTGCCTTTTTAACTTTTATTAAAAAACTCATTGTACATGAGAGAAAATACTATTTGCTTGGTAGTTCGGTATAATTTACCCGACTGTTTCCTTGAAGCAGAAATTATACTTTAAAAAAAAACAAACAAATGAGCAAAAGCCCTTCTTCAATAAATATGATCCCATGCAATGGAAAATTAAAATAAAAATCAGATGCATTTTTTTTAAAAAAAGAACAAAACAAAATGAAAATGATCACAGAGTTGGTCCCATCAAAACTGATGAGTCATGGCAAATAAGGAGGAAAGAATTAGATCTAATAAAGGCTGCTGAATCACAGCCATTTGGGGGCTCTTTTTGAGCAATGTTAATCTCTTAAATTGGCTAGCCATTGGTAATTTGTTTGATGTTAATTCTCATAAAGAGACAACTTGAATGGCAATGGGCTTTTTTGAAACAAAACAAAAGTGTGTGATCTGAAGAATTGCATTATAATTGATCAACTGATCTAATATTTAAAACTATGGCTTCCAATTCTTTGAACAATTGTAATTAACACATTCAAAGGGTCAACCAGATTGATGCCCTTGCCAGAAAAGTAGGTTTTCCTTCTTATTTAAATAAAAATCAATTTATTGATCAAGACAACAGCTTACCTGAAAATGGATGTGTAATCAAGAGTGCTATGTTTTAAAGGGACTTTTGTTGAAAAGGAAGACCATGCCAGAACATCAAAGCTGCATGATTTTTTAAAGGAAAAACAATAGCTTTTAGAGGAAATACTTTTAGCTACCATACTCATCACTATCAAGAGGCCAGTAAGCCCAATTTTTTTATTTCCTTACTTTTTCATGGGAATTTGTCTTTAATTTTTGTGTGTGTGATAAGCTACAGGTTATTCAGATATTTCTATTGCAGAATCTAAAATCTCAGGCCAGAAAATAGCTTGAGAAGAACCCACTCCCCCATTTCAATGTCAGGGAAATCCAGGATTAACGGGAGAAAAGAGGCTCAGTCAGAGACAGAGTGTTCAAGAGCACCAAGGATAGGAAAATCTGAAAGCCTTCCTGTCTCCAAACTGCTCTCCCATGTACCTGCCACAACACTGAAAATTCCCAGTGTAAAAGAATCTCTGTTTTGAATGGTAGCTTTTTTTCTGGAGACCCCTGTTAAAATGCAAATGTCTTGTCTGTAACAGGTAGGATACTAATCTATACCCATCCATTAACTTCAATAGTAGCTGGCATTACACATAATTCAGCAAATAAATGGCATTTCTTTGATTTAAGCCTCACTTTATAGACATGGACTTTTCAGGGATAGCACTTAAGAGGCTATAACTTTCTTTGAGGCTCTATGCCCTCCAACAGGTAAGTGGGCAGTAAATGACAGTTGTTCCTGGGGCTGTGCTGTGTGCAGTCTCTAGGTAAAGTTCAATTTTCCCCTCTATCATTTATATTTTTAACGAAGAATTACACCTGTCCTCATTCTCATTACTCACCAGAAATAGAATTAGTATTTTCATGCAGTAATACAAAAAAAAATTTAGTTATCTTCAAATGAAAAAAGAATAAAATTTTCACAATGAGGCAATAGTAGGTAGACTGTTCAGAAAGCAAGTATGAATAATTTCTACTCCCCGTAGTTATATTGTTGCAATTTATCAAACTCCTCCTATGTGTTTGGTGTTCTTGTGCTAGATGTTCTACATGTTTTAAACTTTTTGAACAATCCTGCCAAGAAAGGTAGAATTGTATCAGTTTTATGGATATGGAAACTAAAGCTCAAAGATAATTTTCCAAAGCCCCAGTGTGTCTGATTGCAGTGCCTGCAAATTTTCCTGATAGCATGCTTTATTCCATATTCAAAATGATATCACCTCCTTTGGATTAAGACTTAAACAACAGAAAATTCTAAACCTAGGTCCAAGTCTCACTGATTTGCAGATTCTTGCTCTTGCTCTCTGTAAGTCTCTGCCCTCCTTTGTGATATGATTTATGCTCAGGGTCATTCATGCCGATCAGGCTCTATGAAAGAACACAGAGAACAAATGGTAAAATCCCAGCATCCCAGGCCAACAGCCTTGTTTGTCTGACTCCTGCTTACCCTTTTGACTTAAGCTGACCTCCTTCTGTTGCTTTCCTGCCCCCCAAAAATCCTCAGGAACTCTTTGCTCCTCAGCCCTAGCATATCAGGAAAACCAGGGCTCCTCCATTAACCCTTCTCACTCTAGCTTCTTTGACTCAGTGGACTTCATCATTCCTGCCCAGCCTTGCCCTGCTTCCACCCACACCACAGAAGTCTACCTGGGTCAACAGCTTCTGGGTTTGCAGCTGACTCTCCCAGTGACCCTCTCTTTCTACTCCAGCCACAAGCCCTCCTTTCATAATAACTTCAGATTTCCAAGGAACCACACACAAGGCTCAATGTCCTACACTCATCAAGAGCACATCACTGGCTAAGAAAAAAAGATATTCTCCTTAGTAAAGCTGTTTATATGGCTGATGCCCCATATCTCCTGCTTTACTTTTTTCATACCTCTTAAACTTCTGGGAATCATCTGGTTTCTGATTATTGCTTTGGGCTTTTGTCTTAGTTGCCTTAGTGTTACCATAAAGGAATAGCTGAGGCTGGGTAATTTATAAAGAAAAGAGGTTTACGTGGCTCATGGTTCTGCAGGTTGTACAAGAAGCATGGTGCCAGCATCTGCATCAGGTGAAGGCCTCAGGCTGCTTCCACTCATGGCAGAAGGTGAAAGGAAACAGACATGTGCAAAAATCACATGGCAAGAGAGGAAGCAAGCGAAAGAGTGGGAGGTGCCAGGCTCTGTTTAACAACCAGCTCTCACGGGAACTAACAGAGCAAGAATGCATTACTGTGAGAACAGCACCAAGCTCTCCCTCATGGGAGAGATCTGCTCCCATGACCCAAACACCTCCCATCAGGCCCCATCTCCAATATTGGGGATCAGATTTCAACGTGAGGCTGGGAGGACAAACATCCAAACTATAGCCATATTGAACCTCTCTTTCTTAGCTGTTTCCTATCTCCTGACTTTGATTTTTTCTCTGCAAATTCTTTAACTCCATGCTAAGCAGAGTTCCACTCGAAACCACTCACTCCAGATCGCTAGGTCAAGCCTGACTCTCAGACTTAGTCCCTCCTGGGACCTAACTCTATGCTAACCTCTTTGAACTGTGCCCTGGGTCTGTTAACCCCACTCCATCTCATCCCTGGGTGCACAACCTTCAATCATTGCCAACAGCTGCTGAATCTAATCCTGGTTCTCTTCAAGACTTGCCACCCTTACATTTTGTGAGATTTCTGTGGCAGAAGACATATTTTCCTGCCTATTCCTTAGCGTTATATAGCACTCCTTATCACCAGTGGATCTCTATTGTTCTCATTGCCCTCCTAATAAATGGTAGGTTTCTCTCTCAGTAACAAAGGAGAAGAATACAAAAGACAAAAAATGAAGAACGAACACTTATCAGCATAGAATCATACAGAGGCCTTCTTCCAATCAGAAGATAAGCTTTATAGTCAATTAGCTGCCTTTATCCAGATATGCTCCTGAGAGAGCAGTGATTCTCAAACTTTTGCAGCTATTTAAAGCACCTATAAAAAAATTTAGATTCTGGTTCAGTAGGGGAGGGGTGCTAAGATTTTGCATTTCTAATATGCCCCCAGGTGATGTCCTGGCTACATCAAGGTCCACACTTTGAGCAGCAAAGCCCCAGATCTACAGATACCTGGAGATGGATTTATACCTGATTTCCTTTTCAGGCAGTACACACAAAATTAGCCCTGATCTCTGATTCAGACTATAGCATCTTTCTTTGAAACACAGCATTTTATAACACGTTTGAGCAAAATCAAGTGTTTTCAAACATAAAAAATGATTTCTTTATTCATAGCTATAGATGGAAGTCTGAATTAATAGACACAAAACTTGTTTCTTTCAACAAAAGAGATGAAAAAGAAGAGAAGAAGCGTGAATTAGAAAGAGGCACTGAAGTGGCGGTTACTGGGCAACCAGGCAAAAATAAAGTTACTGAATTCCATTGCTGAAAGAATAGAACAGCCCATGGGAGAGGGAGGCAAAGTCAAGCCTTCTATTTCAAAATGTTTTACTAGACCAACTCAATAGAGGATTTTACATAATGTAGACAAATAAGAATCTTACTTGTCTATTATCTTGTGGTCTAGCAGCTTCTATGGGCCAAAATGTCTTCCTTTTTATCAACCCAAATCTTTGAGCTTTCACATAAACTAATTTATTCTTGTATACTCACTCACAAGGCTAGGCCACCTGATTATGAATTTTTCTGGGTATGGAATATAACTGAAAATGATTTCTAAATTTCTCCAATATTAATGACTAGCATTTATAAGGCACCCATTATGTGCTTTACATGTATCAATCTCATTTGATTCTGTTGACACTGCAAAGAATAGGTATTCTATAAGACCCATTTGTCAGATGAGGAAAGAGGAGTTAAAGAAGTAAGCAATGTGCCTGATGTCCTAGGAGTGAGAAACAATAGAGTAAGGATTTGAACTCAGGCATCTGACTCTAGCCCCTGTGCTTCAAAATACTACACTATCCTGTCTCTCTATTATTTCTTTTGTTCTTTTCCCCCAAACTGGACAATTTCAATTTATTTTCTTATAAAGTTTCCCTGGAAAACTCCTCTGCAATTCTAATGGAAAGTCCTCCAAGTTGGCTCAAGAGCAGAAATAGTTACTATCTGAGAACCTAGCTAGAGTGAGTGCATGGAAGGGATGTACTCCTCTTGCATATCATTCTTTCATTCATATTTCATCCCAGATTATGGCTTGGATTTTTCTTCCCCAACAATTCTTACTCCTGTTCAGTGTATTGGATGTCCTTTCTGAGCTAAGTGTCCTTTATTGAAACTCATACGTGAATCACGATGCTTTAGGTTACAAATTAAAAAAATAAAACTAGAACTGGCTTAAGTGATAAAGGGAATGTATTAACTCACATAACTGAAGAAATCTTGAGCAGAACTGTGTCAAGAACCTAGCTTCTTTTCAGCATCCTACATCACTTTGAAATTTTTGGCCACATCTAAAGCCAGCTACCCTCAGAATTGTAGGATGTTGATGACCAGGGACTCCCAGGGCCACAGTTTCCTCATTCTCACTTGAGAATAGGGGCATCTGTTCACCAAACAACCAAACAAAAGTCCTAAGCTCCACTCTGATTAAACCAACTCACCATATCACTTCCATTGTAAGAGGCATATTTGTAATATTGCAGTATATCTGAAGTGAAATACATCTTACAGTTGATGTAGTTATAATTATTGGCGTTTTTATCTCATTCTTTCTTAGGGGTACCTAAAATAGTGTCCCCTTCTTGGTATCTAACACTGGGACAATAGGCCCAGACCAGTCAAAAATTATCCCTAGAGCTGGGGTGACTCCAATCCTGGTAACAAATGCATTACTGCTATTTCCCATGGGGAAAGGTGGAATAGATGTTGGGAAGACAATAGAAGTGTTCTTCAAACAACTGAGCACATACTAATGGGGGAAAATCTAACAGTGCAAAGTCATTCTTTAATTTATTCATTAAAATGAAAGCATTTATTGAATGCCAGCTATGAGCTGATACTCTTCAAGGTGCTAGGATATAAATGATTAATGAAACACAGACCCTGCCATTGAACAGCTCACATTCTACTGATATTTACATTGTTAAATTTATACAAATATGTGTTTTCACATAAATAATAAAATTACAATATTGCAATAATTTCTGGGTAATGTTCTATGAATAATAACGAAATAATAATCAAATACAGGAAATGGTAAGGGAATAGATAATGTTAGGCAGAATGCTATACCCAAAAAGCATTGCTGCAAGTGAAAGAAAACATGTTTCCCTGGCCCTAACAAAATCTGGCGCATGTAAGGCAGCAACTCAGACTCCAATTTTAGAGTAAGGATGGCAGGCCAGCTCACAGCTAAGACACATTCAGTGACTCACATATTTCAGAAAGACAGGAAATAAAGAAGCCCTGGAGATCAGATCATGACCTGCAGAAATGTAGGACGCCCAGTAGAAAAAACCCTGACAAATTCAGTCATGGTAACTATGTGAAACACACAAATGATCTGGAAGAGGGGGAAGAACAATTGCCAATTTCATATGCTAACCACCAGATCAATACTATATTTATTTGTTGGGGAGGCTTAAACTGGGGGACACTCAAATGGAATTGGATTGAGCCACGGGGTAATTATCCAACTTCTATGAGATTCTTGGCTGGGAATAAATTTCTCTGCCTCAGCTGTGTGTGGTATGAGATAAATGACAGGCTTTTGGGATCAGAGCCCCAGTGAGGTCAAATCACATTAGCAAAACTAGCAAATGCTTTAAGCAATCACGAAAACTTTTCGGGGGAAAAAATCATTTCACACAGCTGAAGGGGCAGAGATTTGCAATCAGCAGAAATTTTACTCCCAACTTGGCTTTAACATCTACTCTCTCTGTTTCTCTGGTGGTTCTTGTATAGTTCATATCTATGAAGAACATTCACATGCTACAACTCACTTGGTCTTAGAGCATTATTAATTAATTTCTGTGTTTCCAACATAGTCAGTCAGTGCTGGAACCAAGTTCTTCTTCCCTGTTTTCTAGGTAGAGTCAGTGTGATTGTGTATTTGCCCCAATGACGGAGCATGGATGCTGGACAATGGAAAGGCAGAAGAGCGATCAAAAAGCTTGCGCACATGTGGTGAGCATCTGATCTCATCTGGGAATGTAGGTCTAATGGTTGTGATCAACTATACAAAGTACAAAGAGCCTATAAGAAGAGAAGATCACCAGATAGACCCCAGGAAGAGACAAATGTACTACCAAAAGCTTTCCTCTTTAGCCTCTGTTGATAATCATTGCTTATTATGGGATGAAGGTACTGAGTTGAAAAGGAAATGCAGAACCTTAATAATATGCGGCTTTGGAAAAGTACATACCTTTGACCTGGGTAGGAGACCCAAATTGCCTACACTCTTGGTGCCAATAGGCATCATAAAATTAGTAGTTTCCAAAAATACAGCAAACTGCACCTGTCTCTGGTTTTGCTACAGTATCCTAGAAACCCCCAAAATGCCACAGCTACTGGAACTGAGGCTAGGAGAGGAATCTACTCACAATGGCTTATAACTGTAACTCAATAATAAGACTACCTGTGTTTTGCATAGTCCCATGAGAGCTGGTGGGAGTGGAGAGAAACAAAATGAGGGGGTAGGGAGAGAAAGGATAAAGCAACTCATTAATAGTCTACGAAACGATTATTTGGAGAGATATAAGAATGAATGCACATGTGTCTTACATATTGTTAAATTACAAAGAAAACAATGTTTTATAAAATCATACAGATTACAGGCTTCCTGTACCTCCCTAATCCCAAATTTAGCCAGCCTTTCACCGACATGATTTTACACTTAAATTCATCAGTGGGTCTATAGCAAGACAGCCTTAGGCGCCTAACACTTTGAACCTGATGATCACTGCAATTTATTTAGGCAACTTTCAACTTAAACCCAATTTCCAAGCTGCAAGTCAACCCCCTACAATTGCTTTAAGGCCCTTTGAAATCTTTATATATATGATTCTTTTATTCCATTATCCACGTCACTGATGAAAGCCTCTCTATTTTCAGATTCAAGGCCTAAGCCCATGGAAATCCACTGTTGCTTTCACTCTTAGGATGGCAATGCCCATCTGCAATGTTCTCGGAGTACACTCCTCCACAGCAGAATTTGTGACTAGTAAATTCAGCAACTTGACCTAGTTTCAGTAAACGGGGTAGGGGCTATACTAGAGATCACCCAAGAAGATTTTCAAGGCATTTTGCCATACTGAGAGAGCTGAGAAGCAGCTCCTCCTAGCAGTCCTGTTACAGAAAGGAAATGTTGATTGAGAAATAGCCTCAGTATTTGGTCAAGTTGCCACTGACACAATACAGCTGGAGATAAGATCCAATTATCCAGAATGTTGAAGCCAAAGCTTACTACCCTCGTACCCAATCATGGCCTGCCCGGGATTTGGCTTGGTTTGTTTTCAGTAATCATCTGGAAGTGACAGAAATAATTTCACTGCCTCACATAAGTGGGAAGGTTGGAGTGGAGATGGTATGTAAAATAACTGCATGACAGTGTAGCTTGTTGGTTGAGAACGTGGGTGCTAGAGCCAGGTTGCCTGGATTAAAATCTTTCTGCCAGCTATTACCCATGTGTAACTTTGGCTAAGTTATTTAATCTCTGTGCCTCAGTGTATAGCAGATGCACCTGACAGTAATAACAATGTAAACATACCCTGAGAATGACCCTGTATGGCAGACACACCTGTCAGCAATGAAAGCATACCCTGACAATGACCCTATGGTGTAAGAAGAATGCATGTTTGGAGTTCCAAGCTAAGGAATTCAGGAGTGGCCAACCGAGAGATTCATTCCTTACCTATGAGGAACATCTGAAGTCCTGGCCCATTTCATGGAATGCAGGCCATACGGGGGATTGAGGCCCTTTGTGTGGGTTGAATGAAGGTTGCCAGGAGATGGTCGCTAGGGGGAGAGTGCTAAGCGAAAATGCTATGTAAACTGCATGCTTTTTACAAACAGTAGCAGTTCACGAGTCCAGGCTGCCACTACTGAACCACCCTGTATATAATTCACCTCAATAAACCCTGTGTCTCATTTGCTGGTTCTGAGACTCCTCTTTGGCCTTTCAAACATGGTACCATCCCTACTGAAGTCAATAGGGGTCTGGTATGACACTTAGTTGTCTGATCTTGGACAAAAGAGAGGAGAAAATACTAGCATCTTTCAACTGGGCTGTTGCCAATATTAGCACAGTGCATGACACATAACAGTAGCTTTTATCATGAACTAGATCCAAGGCTCAAACAATGGGCTAGCAGGATCTGTGGTGAAGGGAGGTGACCTCTATCCCTTGACTTTACTGTTCTCTTTCTTTTGACCTCATTTTCCCCTCCTGCAGAAAGACTGGGGCTACTGGGAAAATAGCCTACTGCCCCCGCCTCCAAATCACAGATGCTGTTACTTTATGCTGCTAGAGGTGAAAGGTTCCCCAGCTGATCACAGGAAAATGGAATGCAAGACCAAGAGAAGATGAAATGAAAAGAACCGGTGGACCTATGTGGTCAAATAGACATAAAAGGCAACACAAAATTCTAGATACTGGTCATCTCCCCCTAGTGGAGCTTCCTGCCAATCTTCCATTTCTTCTTCACAGAGAAAACTACAAAGACAGTGCCAATAACATCTGTAATGAACAAAGCTACTCCAGCTGCCACTGGTCAGCTTCCTTAAAAAAAAAAAAAAAAAAAAAACACACACACACACACACACACATCTGCCTAGAAATCATCCTCTTCTCCGTGTATTCCCGGTTCCTGTTAAGTCCAGCTCTGCAAGCTGAAGGAAGCTGATGAGCTTTCCCTCCATTCACGAGTAAGACCAGTATTTGGTTCTGAGGGACAACAAGAGCAGGTGCTCATTGTAAAAATGCAAATGATCAGATCCTACTGTAAGGGTTCAAGGCACCAGAAATTTACAAATGCAAAAGCATATTGCTGTGAATACATTGTGCAAATAAAAGTTACTCAATGACATGAAAAGCACTGCTCTGATTAAGGAAGTAAATTGTGACTCTAAAGCTAAACTTACACAAAAAAGAGCATCCATCAGGGTCTCACAAATGCCTCGTCTTATAACAGTGCTGTACATGCAGAACAGTTCATTACACTGTACACTTTCAGTAGTAATGGCTAGGGGAGATCATTAGCGGAAGGAAGTCACAACATGGATAAGATATGTTTACATGGAAAGTCTTTGTACAGCCAGGAATAGTCACAAATCTGTAGTCCCAGCTACTTAGGAGGCTGAGGGGAAAGGATTGCTTGAGCCCAGGAATTTGAGACCAGCCTGGGCAATATAGCAAGATCCCATCTCCAAAAAATAAGTATATATAAAAATAGTCTTGCACAGTTCAAACTCCAGGAAGGGAGTAAGATTTTCTTTTCTTTTTTCTTTTTGCTGTTACCTCAGCCATGGTGAAAGAAAGAAACCTAGATAAAGGATTAAAACTCACACCCATGCCACTTACTTGCTGATGGGGTGGGTGCTAAAATTAGCATAATTCAAAGAGAATCCTCCAGTGTAATCCAAATAAGTGTGGCCACCCAGAAATGTTTAATCTATATTACTTGAAAAAGTCAGTTGCATTCATATAAGTCAGTCTCTTAAAAATAAATGAAACTGGAGATTTAAGGGAAGAAGCATTCAAGAGGATTTTAGATCAAAGCAAGAATCTGTGAATTAAAGAAATTGTCATTTGGCATTACTGGAAAGGTTAAATGAGGGGAAGAAAATGATATTCAACTTAGTTTGGTTGACTTATTGATTCTGCTTAAAAATACGAGATTGGGGAGGAAATTAAAATCCTTGGATAAAACCACATTTTGGGATCAATGATTTTTTACACAACCATGTTATCTTTTCAACCCATTGCCTTGGCAAATTGAGACTTGAGGCTATGATGATGATGATGATGATGATGATGATAAATCTGGGCTGCTATAATAAAATACTTTAGACTGGGTCATTCAGAATCAATAGAAATTTATTGCTTACAGTTTTGGCAGCTAGAAAGTCCAAGATCAAGTCACCAACAGATTAAGTGTTTGGTGGGAGCTCACTCCCTGCTCCAAAGATGGCATCTTCTTGCTGCATTCTCACATGGAAGAAGGGGCAAACAAGCTCCTTTATTTCTCTTTTACAAGGGCACTAATCCCATTCATGAGGGTGGAGCCCTCATGACCTAATCACCTCCCCAAAAGCCCCATCCCTTAATATAACCACAATAGGGATTAGGGTTCAACATATGAATGTGGGGGGCACAAACATCCAGACCATAGCATATTATTTGATGCAAATATGTTTCCATGGCATAGAAAAGTTTCAATTAATTCTAGCCTTTGTACAGAAGCTCTTTCCCTCCAACTTGGTGTATATTTTCACTCTATTTTAAGCCTCTTTTAGGTGACTTTTATGTCTTAGATGTCTTTTATCAAGTATAGTGCTTAACAAATACTCCCTGATTGAGTCACTAAATATTAAAATAGGAGTTCAGGAAGCGTTATTCTATTGTGATAAATGTAGGAATACTATTATTTCCCCTTTGTAGGAAAGAACTTCTTGCCTCACGAGACTGTGGAACATAAAGTCGTTGCTTCTAAATGACAACCAAATCAAGACACTATTCAAACTCCATACTGGGGTGGAAATAGCTAATACCGCTTTCTTTTGCATTCAGGCATTGTTTGATTTTGATTTTTTTTAAATTTAAGATGCTGAGAGAGTGGAAAGCAACAGACAGGAACCATGTCCTATTGACAAAAGAATGGTGATTTCTATTCTCAACAACAATGATTAAACAGGAAGATGATTTTGCTGAACTCTCATTCTGCCAGAAATTCCAGGGACTCTTGGGGCAGTGAAATATTTACAGAATCAGACAATGAGAAGAACATGTTCCTGGAGAACTAACAGCTTTGGAAGGATGTAAATTGATCTAAATAGGCAGAAATCATGTTTTTAGACTCTGATATAAGTTATAGTAAATGGATGTGTCATATTTCTATTAAAATCCACTTAATAAAATTATTCTGGAATGCAAACTAAGTCACATGAAGGAATCCTTTCTAGGGGAATAAAACTAGGAAATGAAGATACTTTCATTCAGCATTTAGCCCAAATTCAACCTTAATTATTGAATGATTGCTTCAGCAAACACCCTTCTAATTAAAAGAATAACATGTAGACCTGTCCTCTTGGAAGCCTAATTTGGAAAATAGGGCATGTGGTAGGCAGAATAATGCCTCCCCCATCTACCAAGATGTCTATGCTCTAATTCCTGAGAACCTGTGAATATGTTACGTTACATTGCAAAGGAGAATTAAGATAGCAGATGGATCAAATTCGCTAATCAGGTGACCTTACAATAGGGACATTAGCCTGGGTTATCCAAGTGAGCCTAATGTAATCACAACAATCCATAAAACTAGAAGAGGGAGGCAAAAAAGAATCAGAGAAATGGTAGTGTGAGAAAGCCCGCTATCACTGGCTTTGAAGATGGAGGAAGGATGCCCAAGCCAAGGAATGTGGGTTGCCCACTAAAAGCTGGAAAGGGCAAGGAAATAGATTCTCTTCTAGAGCCCCCAGAAAGAGATGATGCCATGCTGACATCTCAGTTTCAGTCTAGTGAGAATCATTTCAGACTTCTGACCTTCAGAACTGTAAGATAGTAAATTTGTGTTGTTTAAACCACCAAATTTGTGGTAATTTGTCCTAGCAGTAATAGACAACTGACACAGGACATAATCTTAAATAGATAAATAAAAATCTACAGTAATAATTGTCTAGTACCCAATGATACAGACCATACATTTCATATTAGTACTCTGAGACAGTGTCTCAATTCTCCTTAAGGGTCTAGAGATTTGTAAGACTGTTGGCAGTTCCCAGACAGGACACTGTGGGAAGTCCTACTATATTTGATCTGTAGTGCAGGTAACTGGTGTCAAAGCCATGAAGAACATTAGTAGAACATTATAGTGGAGTGTCTTAAAAACACTGAATCCCGGCCGGGTATGGTGGCTCACGCATGTAATCCCAGCACTTTGGGAGGCCGAGGTCAGGAGATCGAGACCATCCTGGCTAACACGGTGAAACCCTGTCTCTACTAAAAATACAAAAAAATTAGCCAGGTGTGGTGGCGGGCACGTGTAGTCCCAGCTACTCGGGAGGCTGAGGCAGGAGATTGGCGTGAACCCAGGAGGCGGAACTTGCAGTGAGCCGAGATTGCGCCACCACACTCCTACCTGGGCGACAGAGTGAGACTCTGTCTCAAACAACAACAACAACAACAACAAAAAAAGCACTGAATCCCAATCCCAGACTCAGATTCTGATTCAAGTAGTTCTGAAGTGGGAGTCCAGCATTTTGCATTTCTGAAAAGCTTGTCCCCACCTCTATGTGTAGGCAGCTGAGTTTGAGAAACATGTGCTAGGAAACCTTTTGTGGCACATCTAACCAACTTAGAGCAACTCAGGAGCAAATCAATGAAGAGTTTGTTCATCTTTAAAAACAAATGGTTGGACTACATTATCCCTAGGGAATTTTTTCACCTATATAGTCTGTGAGTCCCTGAGTTTGACCTGCATTCTGCCTCCTATCAATCCCCTACCCCCAAATTTCCCTTATAATCTGTCAACTTACTCCTGTTGTGATTCCCCAGAATTGCTCTTGCCCTTTGCCTTAGGCTTGCCAATTTTAACCTAGCCTTTCCCCACTTTTGTAAAGAAAATATCTGTCACATCCAGCACAAACTGGCTTGCCCATGCATCTCTGCCCTCAGCTTTCTGTTCTACTCGTCTTCAATTAATATATTCAAGCATTAGTTCTTGTCAGTTTCATCTCACTTGCTGGGTAGGAAATAGTTGGCCAGTAGACCAGCAATCATTGTCTTTCTCAAAAAGATTAGATGAATAAATTTATTTGAAAACATGCTAATGACAGACCTCTTGGCAAACAAACTAAAGGCTGGTGGGAGATTCCTTATCTGTAGATTATTTTAGCAGGATGTGCCTGGTCTGTTTAGGATTGCTTATGGCAAACAGGACTGAAATCTACTAATTTATAGGACATGGAAATGTCGTCTATGCCATATAAGATAAAAATGTTTTATGTCCAAAACATTTCCCCACTGTGTAACTACTGTAGCAGCAGACATCGGTTGGAGCCTCATATGTTAAATCTGAAACAAAGTACACCCTACACAAGAATATGCATGAGGACATGAGTGAGTGGCTCCAGCCCTCTCCATGTATCACCTGTGCTTCACAATTATTTGTATTTTTGAAGTTATTAAGATCTCTGATTCATGTGAGCCTGATTTAACATTTCTTTCCTTTGTGTTATTTCACTTGCCCACCCTAGTATACATATTGAAAGAAATTTGATCAATGAAAATAAGAAAGGTATTGCAAGAAAGAGCAATAGTACAAATTCTTATTATTAGTAGTGGTGATGAGGGGTTAGTAGGAGGGAGAAAATGAAACCAAGTCAGCTGGATGTATTTTATGTGTATAACAGGGTAACAAAAGAAAATAGATCACATTTAAAATAGAAGAGATTGTGCTGAGAATCCAACCCCACCCCAAAAGGAGCTATGCCAGGTAAGTTATTGTTATTTAGCTAAAAACCAACCCTTCCAGATTCTGCTCTGTGGTGCTGGGGCTGGGACTCTGTGTCCTACATGTCTGCTTTGCCAGCTGTTCCCTGATAGCCTCTTTCAATAGGAGGCACTAGAGGGAAACAAAGTCAGGAGGAAGACAACAGAACTTACTCCTTCCAGTTTTGCTTTTCTGAAGGCAGGGTGTCAGCATGCAGTTGCTGTGCATGCTACCTCAGTAATGCTTCATCACTGCAGCAGCAGGAGTTTGTTCCTGTGGCTGAGCAGTGCCCCTCCTCAAAGGTGTTGGTCCCAGAGACATCAGCTGCTATTGGTTTGAATGCATGCGTTTCTCTAAAATTCATATGTTGGAACCTAATACCCAATGTGATAGTGTTAAAAGGTGGGAACTTTTGGAAAATGATCAAGTCATGAGCACTCTACCCTCATGAATGGGATTAGTGCTTTCATAAAAGACATTGAAGGGAGCATCCTAGTGCCCCTTTTCCCTTCTGCTCTTCCTGCTCTGTGAAGATACAACATTTGCCCCTTCTACCATGTGAGGATGTGGCAAGAAGCACCATCTATAAGCACAGAGCAAGCCCCCACCAGACACCAAATACTTTAGACTGGGTAACTTATAAATAACAGAAATTTACTTCTCACAGCTCTAGAAGCAGGGAAGCCCAAGATCAAGGCAAATCTGCAATCTAAAGTATTTTGTTATAGCAGTAGGAATGGACTAGGACAGCAGCTTTATGAGAGGTCTTCCTTTAGTTTCTAAGCTTCAATAATTCCAACGTCTTCCCTTTTGTCCTTCGGCCTTAGAGGTTGTAGTAGCTTTTAGCAATGGCTACCTCTGCTACTTCCTAGAATTCTCTTTTTATCTTTTCAGTGGTTAATAACTTTTTATTTAACTAAAAATTCTTTAAGTTTTTTTTTTCTTTTTAACATTAAAGCTCTGTTCAAATTTTTGGTGTGGAATGTGGAAGAAGGCCTGGGAAATAGATCATGAAAAGGAGTACTCTAATCCTCTACAGTTTGGGTGTTTGACTCACACTCAAAATCTGAAAGGTGACTGTTGAGCTGGCTAATTTCTTTGAAGGTACCGCATAGTGAAGGGGCTTATTGAGATGTTGGTGTTTGACTCACACTCAAAATCTGAAAGGTGACAGTTGAGCTGGCTAATTTCTTTGAAGGTACCGCATAGTGAAGGGGCTTATTGAGATGGATCTGAACTCTCAGTGTCTGTCACAAAGAATAATGCAGAAGTGTTTCCCAGGGACCAGGTGTCAGCTCTGTATGAGGGTGAGCTGATATGGCATTGCTTTAATCCAACCCAAGAGGACTACTAAAAGGGGCAAACAGATCTTAGCAAAGAAAAGCTGGAGATATTTCTAGATTCCTTGGGACTGACAAGAGCAGATGAAAATTCCCATGATATGAAGAATCAACTTTCCATCCCTGCCAAGTGAGGACACCAAGGCTAGAGCACTCTGGCAGTACAATCAAGTAAGAATTTTCTTGCCTCCTTTCCTCTTCTTTCTTTTCACTCTAAAGGAATCAGAAACCACGGTTAGCAATCTGAGAGAGGAGGAGAAGCTCCAGAAGAGGAGAGAGAGTAAAAGCCAATCATGTACCATTCTCTGGCTGTAGATATCCTGCTTCCAGTAGGCCCAGCTTCAGGGTTTCATAGTATGGCACCAAACATTTTAATTACTGAATTAATCTAGTACTGTGCAACCTGAAGTGACTATAGAAATTTGTACGATCAAAGAACAGTTAGAAAATTCCAAGGGCAAGAGAAAAAAACACCTCCACAGAACAGATTTAAAGAACGAAGACAGCAAAACTAAAATTGCTTTATGATTCCATCCCCTAGGTCCTTCTTGTTTCCAATACTGGTTATACGCAGATAATCAAAGAAAAATAAAGTAAGAAGTTAAATAGGGTTTTGATTGCCAAGCTAAGAAGTTTGGACTTATCCCTTAAGTCAATATGAAATAAATTCAATTTAACTCAAATATGTATAGAACATTGTGCCAGGTTGTGAGGATATAAAAATGAATAGAACCAGGTTGCTTCCATGGAGGTAGCAGATATATACATACGGTTGAATTCAATATACTGACAAATGTTATGATCAAGATATGCATCAGGTACAGAGTGGATGGTGCACACAAGGCAGAATTTTATAAACTGCAGGAATTAAAATAGAGAATAAAGACAAAATAAATCCATAAGGAGATATGGCACATATATCTTTGTATTACAGGATATTTAAATCTTCAAATATCCATGTGGAAGTCAAAATTCTTAACCACACTTTGAGCCAAAAGAATCTTTAAAAAATTGCATCAGGAAACTGAGATAACTGACAATGATTTCAACATATCAGCCCCTGATATGTATCTCTGATGCATCTGAATTTCAAGCTGCTTCTCAGGTCCTCTTTGGCAGCAATGCATGGCCTTCCCAATGACAGAGCGAACATGATGACACCCGAAGGAGGAAGGAGCTGGCAACCAATCAACCCCAGGTGAGAAAGAATTTGACTTATTTTTCAGCCTTTAAAATCCAAATGGTTCTTGGCAACACACATACACACAAGCTGGAAAGGAAATCTGGAGGGAGGAGCAGGGAGGGGAAGCATAGGAAATCCTAACCGCTCCACAAGAAAGTAGTTTCGTATTGACAATTATTCCCCAACATTGTAATAATTTGTGCTGTGATATGCTGGGCTTGTTCTGGGATACACACCCCAGCTGCTGGAAAGGCTAACACATCTGCTGCTTGCTGTGTATGCTGTTCCTTCTTAACACTGACAGATTAGGGTTTCTTGGATCCATCTTGTGATGCCCCATCATTTGAAACACTTGAGCCACCAACAGAGCTGTTTTTAGCATCACTGATCACTGTTTGCTGAGGTAGTTTTTCCCCACCATGAAAGAAACAGGAGATGGAGCATATGTCAACTAAGGGCATTTATATCGTAAGAAATAAAAATAAAATTCTAAGTCCTCAAACTGATTGAATGGACTCCCTCTTGGCCAAGTGGACCCCAGAGAAACCTGAGAAGCTGACAGGTTGGGAGGTCAGACATGGCTAGTTATAACCACCCTTCACTAACTACCATTAGGCTTCCTTCCCTAAGGGTTAAACAGAAACCAGCCCTTTCAAAAGACTCCACCACTGATATCAACCATATCAACCAACCACCTGACTGCTGTCCTTCTGCAGTTTCATCACAACAACCCACCAGCATTCCTTCCTGATAAGGGCCTCCCATTATGGAATGGTTCTGGCCAATCTATTGAGGACATGCAGTGAGGAGTTTCATGTCCTCTGCTTCACCTTTTGATGTCAAATGGCCAAAAACTCCACCCTTGGATGGTGCTAATGCTGCCATTCTTTGTACATGGGACCCCTGAAGGGACGTGACACTCCATTGCACATGACATACACGTTTCTCTTTTCATAAATAACTATGGCTCCTCCTGAATATGTATATTTGGCCACCTTGCTCAGCATAAATTCCTGTTCTCTTTACCCACTGCCTTGAAGTGTCTGTTTCTAGCTTCTGGCCAGAGGCTACACTTCCCAGTCTGCCAGAATGGCCACCCTGCAGGCTGCAACCCTTTATAAGAAATAAAGCTCTCCCTTCCAAATTTATGAATCTTGTCATTCTTCAGTTGACATCTTTTCCAGAAAGCACCTGTGGTGGGAACAAGATGTGCCTGCTTCACTTATGGAAATAACTTTAAAAAATACAACCTGCAATAATAAATAGTTTGGACTTTCTTTTAAGATTTCAGGATACACCCTCACTGTGATTTTTGGTTTTGGTAGGGTTTTTTTTGGCATCATGATTTAATAAAACTCAGTGGAGTCCAAACATAACTACCAAACACATCCTATGTTGGCTTTTTGTAGAAAATAAAATGTGACCCTCTCTATTGTATTGTTCATATACTATCACAAAATGCATCTTTCTAAAGTGATTCTAACATGAGAATTAGTTCCAAATTTGCGGTGGAGGGAAAAGCTATATTAAAGTATATTAGTGTGATATGAGTATCTTAGGGATCTAAATATTATAAAGAAGATAATGGGTTCTATCACCATCCAACAAGTCACTTGTTAAATAAAATTTAGAGGTGGTCATTGGTTTGGACTGAGCTTCTGTAATTGGCTCAACAGACCAAATCAAAATGGAGTTATTCATGCTGAAGTTCCATGTCTGTAATGTGAAACTAAGTTGTTTATCTGACCTTCCATGAAATCAGGAGAGAGATAATAGCCAAATCCCCAAACAGGCCAGTTTTTAGCCAGCCTGATAAGGACTTGTCCTCTGCTTTAACCTCTATAAAGAAAGTAACTTGGAAGTGACCTGTCTGTTTTTTGTTCTGTTTTTGCTTTCCTCAACTTTTTTCTGTCTATAAAGCCAACCTCCTCTGATCAGCTCATCAGAACTGATTCTAGAATCACAAATAAAAGTCCATTAAGATCTTTAAACTAAATTTGTTGTAATTTTGTCTTTGGACACACTCAATGACCAGAAGTCATCTGCAACTCATGAAAACCTCCACCCCTAACACCTGCTAGAATATTCAATTTGTCAACTAGGTCTCTTATCCAGAGTATATCCACAGACTCCTCAAATCACTAGTGTTAAAGACATATGTCCTTGAGAGTCTGGATCAGAAAATCCAGAGATGGGTCTGGTAGCCTGTATTTCTAAAAATCTACCTGATTCTGATCAACCAGGTTTGAAAATCAATGTATTAAGTGCTCAAAAAATTGTAACTGAACAAAAGACCAATTGGGGGTTCTTTTAAATAATAAAAGATACTTCCTTAGGGTATACTGTTAAGGAAACTTAGTTGTAAGCCAGTGAAAGAAAAAGGAGAGAAGAAAATTATCCCAAGGCCAGGAGAAATCAGTTCTACAATTGACCTTCAAAATAACTACTTTCAGTCAAAAGAAGATGTCAGTTTGTAGGAAAATTTGGAATTAGGGAAAAAGATTACTATCTCCAAAGGGAAAACTATGCATTGTGTACAGCACAATTTTCTGAGTTATCCGATTCTAGCTTTTTATTTTCTTTGAGCTATTTTACAAATAGTAGAGTTGTAAAATAGCTCAAATAAAATATAAGCATGCAAATAAAATCTGTCTGGCAGCAGTTCAATTGACTCCTTCAATCATAGCCCTTGGGAAATAGCCAGGTTTGTGTCCACTTATAAGTTAGTTTCAATATGTTTTACTCCATATAAATCAGTGGTTCATTAATTCTACTTTTATTTTATTTTATTTTATTTTATTTTGAGACAGGGTCTCACTCACTGCAGCCTCAAACTCCAGGGCTCTAAGGATCCTCCTGGCTGAGCCTCTTGAGTAGCTGGGACTATAGGCATATGCCACCACACCTGGCTAATTCTATTTTTTAAATTTTTTTTGTAGAGACAGGATCTGGCTATGTTACCAGACTGGTCTCAAACTCTTGGGCTCAAGTGATCCTCCTGCCTCAGCCTCCTAAAATACTGGGATTACAGGTGTGAGCCACAGCACTTGGTTCTCATTACTTCTACTTTAAAATGGTTGTGACATTTTGTTGGCTCCCTCATTTGATTGAGTCACATAAAATATTTTACGTGTTCATTTTATATTTGTATGTATGAGAGTCATGATTTTACCTTTTGTTAAAAGTTATCTTTTAACAAGTTCTGCCTAGGAAGTTGTTAATCTTCAAGGTGGATGACACCAACCAGTGAGCTTTCTTGTCCTATTTCCCATGACTCGCTAAAACCTACAGCTTTCCTGTAAGGGAGAAAATGTGCTACACAGATAAAATAAGTATTCTAGTCTTCTTGAAAATTGGATTTCTCAGTGTAAACAAGTGTTACTGTGATTGTAAGCCAGCCTCTTGTGAGTATAGTTAGGCTACGTATGGTTAAGGCTGATTGACTCTGAGCACCACACAATTCTAATTTCTGAAACTACAAACCTGCGGACCAGATCCTGGAACATATGTTAGTAGTCAGCCTCCCACCCTCAGTGCAATTCTACCTCAGTTCTCTCTAACTTTAATGTGGAAAAAGTATTTTAATACTCTTAAAACATTCTAAGTTTATTTTCTGAAAGGCCAAAGATGAAGAAAAAAAAGATGCTATTTACAACTGGTACAGAAGAATGTTTCAAAGAGTTTGCTATGCTAAGAAAACATATTGATAAGAGGGGAATTTCCACAAGCAATGAAGTGTTAGGTTACACTAGAGGCTAATTTAAAAAGTGCATACATTTATCATGGGACTATAGGATCCCGAATCTACTAAGGATTAACCTAACTCCATACTTACAATAAAGTGAGCTCCTGCTATTACATTCAATGTCTTCTAGGTCTGGCTTTCTTACATTAGAATAGAAAATGTTCTCTAAAGAAATCTCCCCCCTCCCCTCCAAACCTCACATACATCTTTAATTGAATTTATTATAATACCATCCTTTGGAAAGCAAGAAATAAGAGTACAGAATCAGGGTTGCCTCCAGTTTCAGTAGGGAAAATGGAGCACTAATAAGAAGAATGGGGAGAACAGAGCGCCTAGTTCTAGCTATGTGAAGAGCTGGGTCGGCTTGAGGATGGCTCTATTTTGGCGGATACAGCAGCGATCAAGCATATGGCAGACAATAAGAATTCCAAAGTTCATCTTCCAAAACTTGTTTTGACTGTCTGCTTGTGTCAAAACTGATTTGACAACTTGGCAAAGATGAGCCTAAAATGCAGTCATTATGGTTCACAGATGAGAGAAGCTGGAAAGACCAGCCCTACTTCTGCCTCCTTCATGACCCCTTACTGGTCCTTCAGAAATCTGGGCTCAAAGAGGGATACCTTTTTCTGCCATGCATGTTAGAAACTTCCTGAAGTGTAGTGAAAAGACTTGAGTCTAACCTTTTGGAAATTTAATTTTGTCATCTGTGGAGTGAAATGATGCCCACTTAGTAGGAGTGAAATGATACCCACTTAGCTGGTTGCAAGGTTTAAACAAAATAAAGTTGATAAACTGCCTATGTCTGGCTGATTCTTTTTCCTTTTTTTTTTTTTTTTCTTTTTGAGACGGAGTCTTGCTCTGTCGCCCAGGCTAGAGTGCAGTGGTGCAATCTCGGCTCACTGCAAGCTCTGCCTCCTGGGTTCACGCCATTCTCCTGCCTCAGCCTCCCGAGTAGCTGGGACTACAGGTGCCTGCCACCACGCCCAGCTAATTTTTTTGTATTTTTTTAGTAGAGACGGGGTTTCACCGTGGTCTCGATCTCCTGACCTCGTGATCCGCCCACCTCGGCCTCCCAAACATACATACATACATACATACATTTATTTATTTATTTAACTTTTTTGAGATGGGGTCTCACTGTGTTGCCCAAGCTGGACTCTAACTCCTGGGCTCAAATGATCCTCCCATCTCAGCCTCCCCATTAGCTAGGGCTACAAGCATGTACCACTGTGCCCAGCAAGCCTGGCTGATTCTTAATGTCTTCCTATTGCTATGGCCTGAATGTTTGTGTCCCCCCACGCACCCACCCACCAACCAAATTCATATGTTGAAATCCTAACTCCTAAGGTGATGATATTAGGAGGTGAGGATTTTGGGAGGTGGTTAGGTCATGAGAGTGCAGCCCTCGTGAATGGGATTAGCCTTCATGATTGGGCCTTTATCAAACAGATGCAAAGAAGCCCCTTTGCTCCTGTCATGTGGAGGACACAGTGAGAATGCACCGTCTATAAGAAGTGGGCCCTCACCAGACATCAAATCTGCCTGAACATGGACTTTTCAGTCTCCAGTACTGTGAGAAATAAATGTTGTTTATAAGTTACCCAGTTTATGATATTTTATTATAGCAGCCTGAATGGACTAAGACACCTATTCTTGTTATTGTTGTCACTGGTTTTTTTTTGAAGGGGTTTTAGACTCATCCCTGATAATAAGACTTTCCTATTCTGCTAAAAAGCCCCCAAGGACACCAACAAGGTCAGGAACAAATCTCCCATAAGGAATTTGCAGTTTCTACCATCAATTTATGATGGTAGAAACTATATTGACAGATATAATGATAGAGAACAATAGTGTAAAACTGTAGAACATTCTGTCAAGACCCCAAGATGATATTAGAAAGGATTTCCATTATTTTATAGAGGCTGTAGGCAGCTAATGGTCACAGTGTACCACAGCACTAAAAAAATGTGGTATTTGAAAAATTAACCTTTTTCCCTCCTTACTTCCTACCTAAAGATCCCCCTGCTCTTAGTTGCTTTGCTTTAATTAAGCTTTCCACATGAAAAAAACACTTCAACCATGATGATTATTTTTAAGTGGTGCTAACCGGACAACCTGTGAACACCCTCTTAGCCACATTATTCTCTCATTACTGTGTAATTCATGACTCCTCAGCACTTCTTTGTTCACCAGCATGACATATTGTACGTACCAGATTTACTGACGTGGAAAAAATATGTAGTATCTCTTTCAGTTCCAACTCTTGCATCCAGCTTTAAATAGTTCATCCAATTCTATCCTCAAAGTATTTTTTTAAATCTCTGTTATGTATTTGCATGTATTTAATGCTAAGTTTGGTTACTACTTCCTCTCCTAAAAGAGGCATTTAGCAATTTATCTAATAAAGCAAATTCCATTTAATTACAAAACACATAGGTTGGCCAAACTGAAGTCAACAAATGTGTTTTGTAATTAAAGATAATTGTGTTATTAGATAAATGCTAAGAGGTTTTTATTTTTAAATGTTTCAGTGATATATACTGACAATGATATACACTGCCTGGAAGACAACACAGGTTAAGAAATTCCTCCATCCTTTGGTGTCCAGAGGAAGGGCTTACTACACAGAACCACTCTTCTTAACCATATGACTTTAAGAAGACTTGTGAATAACCCCTTTGTTTACCTAGGACAGGCCAGACACAGACACTACAAATTTCCATTCATTGCCACAAATGATTAACTGAACTGTTTGTAAACCCCTGACTAATCTGGATAAAATGCCTGCCAATAGCATCAATATGCTGAACAACCAATCCCCCTTGAATGGCCCCTTAAGAGAACTGGCTGACTCTCAAGGAAAGGCATTTCCTGCTCATCGCTCTCCCCATGTCTGGTTCTTTCTAGCCTTGTTTATTCCTTCTTATAAAAGAAAATTCCTTTCTATCTGACCTTTGCGGTGCTTGCAGATCTTCTGGTGGGACCATTCGTCCTATTGCAAAGTTCTCTCCCCATATGCAACAATCCCCCACCCCTCATCGAAATAGTCCTTTTGAATAATGTTTCTCCTTAGCTAAACCTGGATTTGCTTTTTATTTGATAATGGAAATCTAGGCAAAAGTTTTAAATAGTACCATGGTTAGGAATCTTAGACTCCTAAATTCCATTGTCAGAAAATGCCACTCCTGAAAAGGGACATCTTTAATGAGACTTATCTTTAAATTAGAGTTTTAATGCTAGGTCAACAGGCACAGGATACAGCAGGGTTAAAAAAAAGTTTCCCTTCTTTTCACTCCATTTCCACTATTTTTTCTTTTCTTAATTTAATCTATTTGCAATGACATTGACAATATAGAGCTGCTTGAAGGAAGAAGGATATTACCAAATGAGAAACCAACAGGTGTAGGTAGGAGAGGGTAAGTCAAATTCATTTTTAGCCTACATGAAATGATACAATGTGTGAGTATTTATGGCCATGTGTAGATAAGCTTCAGAGGTTTGAGTTGGTCTACTTATTTTTTTGTATTGATTTTGCACTAGCTTTCACAGCCATGTCATTAGGTTTAGCACCCCGAGCCCTACCTGATCAAGAGTCTTCTCAGTGCATTTCCAATTTTAACGTGCAAATAGATCTCCTGGAGGACTTACTAAAACACAGTTTGCTGGGCATCACCCTCAGTGTTCCTGATTTTGGGGGTGCCTGAAATGTTGCATTTCTAACAAGCTTAAGGTGACGCTGATGTTGCTGATGGTCTCCACCTTGACTGGCACTGTTCTATTCATTATCCAGCCATCCTTGGCCCAAAAGTCCCAAACCACACTGCCCAAGGCAGCCATTGCCAAGGAAGGTGTTAGTGAAGAGGGGAGTTCCCAGGGTAAGATGCTATCGAATGTGGGTGGGTGATGACTGCAAATATATCCCTTGGGTTAGCTTTCTCCCTCTTAGAGTCTTTAAGATAGGAGGAAATGCAAAAAATCAGGGCAAAAAACTGAGTTAACTGCTTCAGCCTCAAGCTTTCACATCTGGAAAAGGGAGGCATGGGCTGGATGGCTGCCAGGTCCCACTGCCTTTCGCAGATTACAATTGGGCTCTGGGGAAAGCAGAATTAGTTTTTCTCCCCTGGGATGCAAACTGCAGCATCTGAGACAAACTTAAGGAGGAGGTTCCTCTGATAAACATGACTTTCCTCATACAGCTCCAGCTGTGATCTAACGCTCCTACTCTGCTCTCCCAAGGAATGTTGATTTTGCGGCTTCAAGAAATAAAAGCACCAAACTTAGCCTGCCTGGGAAGGAGCCTGCTTCTTGTTATTCCTCTAAAGGTCTCCTTAGGGAGATAAAGCTCCCAGGGCCCTAATCCACCCATATCAGTGACCACTGGCTATTATATTCATGAAAGAAGGGCTGATTCATTTATAATATGCAGGAGGCATAGTGCCTAAGGCCTGACCTTGTGAACACACTAAACACCACTGAATTGGGCTCTTACTTGAAAGGGGTGAATTTTTTAAAGTATGTATGCATGTACGTATGTATTTATTTATTTTTGAAACAGGGTCTCGCTCTGTCACCTAGGCTGGAGTACAGTGGCGCCATTATGACTCACTGCAGCCTTGACCTCCCAGGCTTAAGTGATCCTCCCACCTCAGCCTCCTGAGTAGTTGGAACCACAGGTGTGTGCCACCACACCAGGCTAATTTTTTGTTGTTGTTGTTAGAGACGGGATTTTGTCTTGTTGCCCAGGCTGGTCTTGAACTCCTGGGCTCAAGCAATCTACCAGCCTCAGCTTCCCAAAGTGCTGGAATTACAGGTGTGAGCCACTGTGCTTTTCTAACTTTTAATTTAAGTTCATGGGTACATGTGCAGGTTTGTTACATAGGTAAACTTGTGTCATGGGGGTTTGTTGTACAGATTATTTCATCACCCAGGTATTAAGCCTAGTATCTATTAGTTATTTTTCCTGCTCCTCTCCCTCCTCCCACTGCTCACCCTCAGGTAGGCCCCAGCGTCTGTTGTTCCCCTCTATGTGTCCATGTGTTCTCATCATTTAGCTTCCACTTATAAGTGAGAATATGTGATATTTGGTTTTCTGTTCCCACGTTAGTTTGCTAAGGATAATGGCCTCTGGCTTCATCCATGTTCCTGCAAAGGACATAATCTCATTCTTTTTTATGGCTGCATAGTATTCCATGGTATGCAGATACCACATTTTCTTTATCCAGTCTATCATTGACAGGCTCTTAGGTTGATTCCATGTCTTTGCTATTGTGAATAGTGCTGTGACGAACATACATGTGCATGTGTCTTTATGGTGGAATGACATATTTTTGGGGGGTATGTAACCAGTAATGGGATTGCTGGGTCGAATGGTATTTCTGTTTTTAGGTTTTCAAGGAATCACCACACTGTTTTCCACCATGGCTGAATTAATTTACATTCCCACCAATAGTGTATAAGCATTTTCTTTTCTCTGAAATGTTGCCAGCATCTGTTGTTTTTTTCCTTTTTTTTTTTTTTTTTTTTTGAGATGGAGTTTCACTCTTGTTGCCAAGGCTGGAGTGTAATGACGCAATCTAGGCTCACTGCAACCTCCGCCTCCCAGGTTCAAGCAATTCTCCTGCCTCAGTCTCCTGAGTAGCTGGGATTATAGGTGTGTGCCACCACATCTGGCTAATTTTTTGTATTTTTAGTAAAGACAGGGTTTCACCATGTTGGCCAGGCTGGTCGAGAACTCCTAACTTCAGGTAATCCACATGCCTCGGCCTCCCAAAGGGCTGGGATTACAGATGTGAGCCACTGCGCCCAGCCTTGACTTTTTAATAATAACCATTCTGACTGGTGTGAGATGGTATCTCATTGTGCTTTTGATTTGCACTTCTCTAATGATCAGTGATGTTGAGCTTTTTAAATATGCTTGTTGGCTGCATGTATGTTTTAAAAGGGTGAATTTATGGCATGTAAATGATATCTCAATTTTTAAAAAGAAATAAAGGAGGCTTTAATAGTTACAAGGGAGAAATGCAGAGATGCTGGTCAAAGAGTACAAAGTTTCAGTTACGTAGAATGAATAAGTCTGGAGATCTAAGGTCCAACATGAGGAATCTAATTAATAATACTGTGTTGTATACTGGAAATTTTCTAAGAGAGTACATTTCAGGTGCTCTCACCAAACAAACAAACAAACAAAAAAGTTAACTAAGTGAGGTAATGTACTTGTGTAATAGTCTGTTCTTACAGTGCTATGAAGAAATACCCAAGACTGGGTAATTTATAAAGGAAAAAGGTTTAATTGACTCACAGTTCCACATTGCTGGGGAGGCCTCAGGAAACTTACAATCATGACAGAAGGCAAAGGAGAAGCAGGCACCTTCTTCACAGGGTGGCAGGACAGAGTGAGTGCAATCAGGGAAAATGCCAGACAGTTATAAAACCATCAGATTTCTTGAGAACTCACTCACTATCATGAGAACAGCATGGGAAAAAACATCCCCATGATCCAACTACCTCCACCTGGTCTTACCCTTGACACGTGGGGATTATGGGGATTACAATTCAGGGTGAGATTTGGGTGGAGAAACAGAACCAAACCATATTACATGTTAATTTGGTTGACCATTAGTAATTATTTCACTATGTATATGTATATCAAGGCAGCATGTTGAACACCTTTAACATATACAATTTTATTAATTGCAAAATAGTTATATAATCTAAAAAAACCAAAAACAACTGAGCACCTTCTGGGAGTCTAAAAGTTGAATTTGACATTGTCTCAACCATCGGGCAACTCACTGGCAAGTAGAGGAGCCCCAGATTCTGCCAAGCCACAGCCCACTTGCCCTACTCAGGCTTCTGGGTCAGTGTGATCACCACCTATTGAAGCAACCAGCTTGGTCTCACTTGAAAATCCTGGGAATCAGAGACATTCCAGATAGGAGAAAAGAAAAAAAGGAAAAACATTCCACTTCCCACTTCTACCTCCCCTTACCAACACATGCGTATACACATACACACACACATATACACACTTTTGCAGGGTTCACTCTTGCCAAAATTTTGAAACAATCAGACTTGTCTTTGGAAACTTGCCACCTTCTGAATGTCTCCAACTTAAGATTAGCTGTTCTAAGCAGTCCTCCTCCCTCTTTTACTTCTGGACAGACACATGCTCAGGAAGTTTCAAGTTTCTTTTTTGTTTTCCCCACAAGACTCTCAAAATAGGAATCCTTGAAGCCCCAGTGGGGAGGAAAGGTGAGTAAGAAAAGCACCTTCTTGTGTGAGACTACATGAACCAGTCAGTTCATAAGGGAACGGCCATCTTGTATACATGCACCAGACACCACACAGTCCTAAATCCACACTGAGCCAATGTTACTCAGTGGCATTACATTCGCCACATTAATAGGACCATGAAAATGGAATCCATGTAACAGCCTCTTCTCCAAGTCTCTAATTTTGCCTTAAGTCAGAACACACTAATAACCTGTGCCCTTCAGAGCCACTAATTCATGAGCCAAGAAGAAGATTCTAGGAGCTTTAAGGAACATCTCATTAAATTCTAGCTAAGCAAAGCCCTCATGTGATTAACCTACAAATATCTATCTTTTGGTTTTTGAGGAGGCAGGGAAAATGTAAGGATATATATGCTCATGACTGCCAGAGCATTGCATATTTTTTTCAAATGTTATCTCAAGATGCTACATTAAAATCTTAATTGGCCAGAATACCAGGATTTATGAGTCAGTTACTAATTTATTTTATTTTAAAATAAAATGTATCAAAAAGCCTTGGTTTTCAACAATTGCTGCTGAAGATCTTTCTAAAATATATTTTTCAAATGGCTTTCAAGATTCCTTTTATCCACAGGACCTTTTTTTCAAAGAAAATCCTAATCAGATGCTAATATGTGATGGCAGTAAGGCAGAGTGGTTAAGGTTGAAGCAGGCATTGCTAGGTCAGGCCCTTCCCCTTCCCCTTTCCAAGAGCTCTGACATTCCCCAGCCTAGGGGAACTAAAAAGGTGCTTCAGAGTCCCTATGTCTCAGTTATCTTGGGCTGCTGTAACAATGCATCATAGACTAGGTGACTTACAAGCAACAGAAATGTATTTTTTCACAGTTCTGGAGGCTGAAATTCCAAGATCAGGGTGCCAACAAGTTTGGACTCTGGTGAGGGCTTGCTTCTGGGTTGCATTCTTAAATAGCAAAAAGAGAGCAAAAGATCTCCCTAGGGCCCCTCATATAAGGGCACTAATCCCATTCATGAGGACTCCACCCTCATAACCTAATTAACTCCCAAACACCTCACCTCTTAATAGCATCACATTGGGGATTAGGGTTTCAACGTCTGAATTAGGGGAGGGAGGCACACAAACATTCAGTCCACAACACCAAAGAACACAGTAAAGCCCAGTTTGAAAATGTTAGTGTTAGGCAATTGCCTTCTCTTATATAGAGTTTCACAAGGATTGCTACTTTTTTTTTTTTTTTTTTTTGTGATGGAGTTTCACTCTTGTTGCCCAGGCTGGAGTGCAATGGCATGATCTTGGCTCACTGCAACCTCCACCTCCCAGGTTCAAGCAATTCTCCTGCCTCAGCTTCCCGAGTAGCTGGGATTACAGGCATGCACCACCATGCCCGGCTAATTTTTGTATTTTTTTTAAATAGAGACGGGGTTTCTCCATGTTGGTCTGCTGGTCTCGAACTCCCAACCTCAGGTGATCCTCCTGCCTCAGCCTCCCAAAGTGCTGGGATTACAGGCGTGAGCCACTGCACCTGGCCGAGGATTGCTACAATTTTAAAGTTAATATTGATAATAGCTAAAATTATTGCAGGTTAAGTATAAATGAATTCCATGCTAAGAGCCTTACGTGTTCAAATGACCCCAGTTAGTCCTCATCTCCACTCCATAAGCATTTATTTACAGCCACTATACTGTCCTTTCAAACAGGGTTTGCCCTGACTCCAGTTCATTATTTAAACAAGGCAAATTGTGAAGTAGCTGGAATAGATAACTTTTGCCTTCACCTCTTATGTTCTCTTTCTTTGCTTTTTGCCCTGAAGACTCACATTTCAGGAACTGTCTTTATGCCACCCATTTTGTTTAGCACCTATTTACTAAGTGTTCGCTTTATATCAAGCATTGAGGCTGCCAAGATACATGAGACAGTCCCTGACTTCCAAGAGCTCAATCCAGATGATGTTGCTCAGAGGCTAGTTAACTCTTTTCAGGAAATAGCTGTACTCACAGTAATGACACAGTTCAATTTTTCTTAGGGGAACATATCCTGATTCAAATATTCAAGTAAAGATCCATAATCTCTTATCTGAAACCCTAAGTGATTTATGTTTCAGAACTCAGGATCTTTCAGATTTTAGAAATGTAAGGTGGTATACTCTTGTATCTGTCAGGCTAGACTACATTAGGCTTCAGTAACAAAAATCCCCCAAATCCAACTTGTGGCAGGGGTGGGGGACTCTGCTCTATATCTCTTCAAGGTCCCAGGCTGTAAGAGTGTATTAGTCAGGATTCTCTAGAAAAACAGAACCAATGGGATATGTTTAGGTATATGTAAGAGAAGATTTATTATGGGAATTGGCTCACCTGGTTATGAAAACTGAGAAGTCTCACAGTCCGCCATTTGCAAACTAGAGAAACAGAAAAACCAGTGGCGTAATTCAGTCTGAGTCTAAATGCCTGAGAATCAGGGGGCTAATGGTATAAATTCCAGTCATAGTCTGAAAGCCAAAGAACTAAAAGCACTGATGGCTGAGGGCAGGAGGAGATAAATGCCTCAGATCAAGCAGAGAAAATTCACCCTTCCTTCACCTTTTTGCTCTAATTGGGCCTTCAGTGGGTTGTATGATGCCTGCCCATACCAGGGAGGGTGATCTTCTTTACTCAGTCTACCAATGCAAATGCTAATCTCCTTTGGAAACACCTTCACAGACACACCTAGAAATAATGTTTCACCAGCTACCTAGGCAGCCCTTAGCCCAGTCAAGTTGACACATAAAATTAACCATCACACAGAGCAAGCACCATCAGGGGTGTTGCTGGTCAGAGTTCCAGCAACTCTGGAAAGAGAGTTACAACTAAGTGCAAACCGTCTCTTAAAACTGCTGCTTGGAAATGACATATATTACATCAGTTCACATTTCATTGGCCAAATCAAGTCACACGATCATACCTAACTTTAAAAGGGAAGGAAAGTGCAACCCTACAATGTGTCTAGAGGACGGAGGGCTAGAAACATTTGGCACACAGCACTTTGGATTTCCATAGCCATATATTACCTAACAGCCCTAGGTGAGTCTGCCGGAGCAAAGAATAGTAAAATGTAATAACTGTGCCACAAAAAATGTGAATATTTATACTATGATGGGCAAAAAAAAGGATTAGACATGACCTCACATGGGTTAGATTCAGGTCTTAAAGGCAAATGAGTTTTGGGTCCAAATTTCCAAAACTTTTTAAAGCTTTGGGAGATTTCAGAATTGAGATAAAAGATTGTGGACATGTGCTGTACCCACAGATTTTTATTTTTACTCAGTTTTACATTTATTATAATTTGATTCTTTTCTATGAAGGAATCATCTATTTGCAAAATTAGATGTAGAGGCAGTGTAGCCATGATCTTAAATGCTAGGGATGGACCCCGAAGTCTGCCACTTACTTCTTGTGTGTAACCTTGGACAAGTGATATGGTTTGGATATTTGTCTCCTCCAAATCTCACGTTGAAGTGTGATCCCCAGTGTTGAAAATGGACCTAGTGGGAGGCATTTGGGTCATGGGGGTGGGTCTTTCATGAATGTCTTAATGCCATCCTCTTGGTAATGAGTGAGTTCCCTCTCTATTAGTTCACTTGAGAGCTGGTTGTTAAAAGGAGCCTGGCACCTACTCCTCTCTCTCTCCATGTGACATGCCTGCTCCTCCTTCACCCTTCCACCATGAGTAAAAACTTCTTGAGGCCTCACTAGAAGCTGAACAGATGTTGGTGCCATGCTTGTATAACCTGCAAAACTGTGAGCCAAATAAACCTCTTTTCTTTATAAATTACCCAGCTTTGGGTATTCTTTTATAGCAACACAAAATGGACTACTACAAGTAAATTAACCTCCTTGTGCTTTAGGATCTCTTTTGGTAATAATATGAAAATGATAATAATCCATCACAGGTTTGTTATGAAGATTAAATGAGATGATATATGGAAAGTGCTTAAAATAGTGCCTAAATTTGAGCTTTTATTAAATATGACATAACTCTCATAGTCTTATATTTAAAAAATCTTATGTTCTAAAACCATAATTATACTCTACAGTTTCCTAAATTTCCCGTCCCAAGTCAGAACACTCTTGCTCTGTGTCATGCCCTAGTGTCAATTTACCTTTGCTGAGGAAATGAGCTGATAAGAAAATCCATGGGGGGTTGGAGGGGCAAGAAAATGAGGTTTCAACCTGGTTGTTCACTGGAATCCTCAAGGTAGCATTAAAATGCTAATGCCTTGGCCCCACCCTCAGAGAGTCTGACATCAATAGTCTAGGGTGGGGCCTGGGCTTTAGGAGTGTTCAAAATTCCCCAGGTGATCACAACGTGCAGTCATGTCTGAAAGCTGTTGCTTCTATAACATTTATTTAAACATTGAACAGTATTTTCATTGGAAAACACAGAGGATTTATTTTCCAGTTCTCTTTCCTCAGCAGTAGCACACTGAGAATGGCTGTGATTTGCTCTGGGAGAGGAAGGGAGGGGATTGTGGAGCATAATCACAGTTTGGGAACATATGTGCTGCTACTCCTGGCTTATATTTGGGAGCTGCTGACTCAGAGAATGGCTTCCTGTCCTATTTGCCACCATTGCTCGAGGTCTCGGGGTGCGAGGACTAGCAACTGCTCTCAGTGGCCTCAGTTCTACCCCTGGTGGGCAGTCAGAGAAGCTGCAGCCTCCCGATTATCAGCATGTTCTGCTGATCCTAGCCCTTCTTTGAAAGGGCTGTTTTTCTCACCTGCCCTTTGCAAGTTAGTCTCCTACGCTGACTGCACTGCCCATAATCTAGGTTCTATTAATTTTACATGAAATCACAAATGCTAAGATCCTACCTATTGCTGGAAATAGATTTCTAGATAAAGGCTGAAATGACAGTAAAATCTGTGTTACAAGAAAGGAAAATGAAGATTAAAAGATGCAAATTAGTGGGTGTAAAAAGCCTGTGGTATCTGGGTCCAATTACAGAAAAAAAGTAATGGAAATACCAGACTTTCATACTTCACACTACCCCTTATTCATGCTCACCTGTGGTATCCAGGTAAAGATGATGAAGAAGCAAAATATTTTACTTTCACTCCTAAAACTCCAGTAAGATGACTATAAAAGCATTAAAAATATACAGTCTCAAAATAACAAGAATTGGAGTGGGGACAAATGACAGCAACAAAAGCTTGGAAGTTGGAAAGGAGATGGATCATAAACCAGCGGTCAGTAAAGAAAGTTTTACTGGAACAAGGACATGCCCATTCATTTCCGTATCATCTATGGCTGCTTCCCTAATCCAATGGCAGAGTTGAGCAGTTGTGAGCAGTTGTATTTGATAGTTGAGCAGTTGTATGTCTTACAAAGTCTAAAATATTTACTACCTCACCCTTTAGAAAAGAAGTTTGCTGATCCCTGCTATAGATGACTTAAAAGCCTCAGGAACTGGCAGCATTAAGTACCTCAGGGAGTTGGGGAGAAGATGGAGTTATAAAAAAGGGAAAAAACCTGAAAGTAGGTTTAAGAAGCAATTAGATTTCCAGTTTCCCAGATCCTGTAGAAAATGAACATCCAGAGATTTTTTAAGAGTTTATAGGAATTAAAAATAAATAGCATTGTCTCCCAAAATTCACTTGTTGGAAATAATCCACAATGCAACATTGTTGGGTAGTGAGACCTAATAAGAGATGATTAGGTCCTGATGGTGGACCCTTCATGAATGGAATAATGTAGTTATCTTGGGAGTGGGTCAGTTATCCAGAGAGTGGGTTGTTATAAAAGCAAGCCCAGCCCCTCATGCTTTCTCTTTCATACACACTCCCTTGCCCTTCTGCTCTTCCGCCATGGGATAATGCAGCTTGAAGGCCTACACCAGATGCCTGTGCCATACTATTAAACTTACTAGCCTCCAGAACTGTAAGAAATAAATTTCTTTTATTTACAATTAAAAAAAAAGTAAATAAAAATAAATAGTATGGAGTAAATGCCCTAAAAGTAGAGGGGGAAGAAATGACAAAGGATCAGCAGCCCAGTGATCCAAAATCAGAATGTAATAAAAATTTTCTGTCTTTACTCCAGAAAGAGTAAAAAGAAAAAGGCAGGCAGAAAATTATCGATGAAATGATTTTTAAAATTTCTGGGACACAGGAATTCACCTGAAATTCTAGGCTCTCATCTATAGTACCTAGGTATTCCAACGCTCATTTCTGTTCAATAATCAAGATGTGCCTGTTTGTCCTTCACTTATGGTATGGCTAGCTTGCAGAAGGAAAGGTCTACTGATTGTGAAATCCGACTATTTGCTTTTATGCCACTTACCAAATGATAACTATGGCTAGCTTTGATTTTCTCCTTTTAAAAAATAGATCCAATTTATATGAAATATCCAGGATAGGCAGATACAAAAGACAGAAAGTAGCTTTTACCAGTTGCCTAAGTCTGGTACTTGGTTGCCAGGGGTTAGGAGGAGAGGGGAATGGGGAGTGACAACTTAATAGATACAAGATTTCCTTTTGAAGTGATGAAAATGTTATTGAACTAGCTAGTGCTGACAGTCGCACAACATTGCACTAAAAGGCCCTGGGACTGTATACTTTAAAATGGTTAAAATTGAATTTTATGTATATTTTATCACAATAAAAAATTGATCTTGTGCTTTCCTTTTACATATTCTAAAAATAAGAGACCAACATTGTGGAAGACAATCAAATCCTTAACACCCCTTTGTCAGGCAAAAATCTGATCCTAAATGGATAACAAATGTTACTGTGTTTGGGGAAACTTCCACTTTCTCATTTCCATTAGATTTCATGAGGCAGGAGGTTACTACGTCACCCTTAATTTTACTACAACTAGAGTTCTCCTTGTGCTTCCTCTCTGCCTTAACTTTTATTTAAGTCATTACACTTTAAGTAATGATAAATTTTAAACTGCACCTTGCAATTAGAAAAACAATCAACATAGCTGGGCACAGTGGTGCACACCTATAATCCCAGCTACTCAGGAGGCTGAGGCAGGAGGATCACTTGAGCACAGGAGTTCGAGACTAGCCTGGGCAACATACAACATAGTGAGACCCCTGTCTCTCAAAAAAAAAAAAAAAAAAAAGGAAAGAAAAACAATCAACATAATTGCCTATGAAATTCCCCCAGGGTAAGAGGTTGAAACAAATTTACCATAAAAATGTAAAATCTAGCACACAATTATGCTAAAATATGACTCTTTTTAAATACGTAAGTTTATACTGAGAAAGAACAGTATAGGCTTTGACCTTGCTATTTCATTACATCAAAACCAGAAGCTAATTTCTTTAACCTTTGTCTATCTTTAAAGCTTTAACATTCATATGCATCTGGAAAGTGTGTTTTCTTCTTATCTCCACTGCACGTTCTTTCCAGAAGCCTCTGGTCACAACTGACGAGTGACAACTGACAAGACTCCTATTAGCCTCACAAACACTGGCTTAGAAGCTAGTGTTGCCTTGGGAGGAAGGAGACCTCATGTTTTAAGCACAGCAGAAAAACCTTCTCAACTTGCAGAGCAGTAAAATTGTCCCTCCACAATTTCAGTGGTGCTAAAAATAACTTCCATGCCTTTAGTCTCCCTTGCCTAAGTCTTTTAAACTATGGGATAAATCTAGACGCTTGCTTGAAGCCGACCGGATTTCTTCAAACTTTGAACACTGGATTTATTCCAACTAAGGTACTGCTCTCTTTAAGCTTTTAAGTACTTGAGGCTGAAGTATTTCTTAAACACATTTTAGAATAAGCCACTGTATATTGGAGCTGTTTTTCCTCTCCAAGAGGGAGTGATGTGTACAAAGCACCTACAGATATAAAGTGGCATACGGCTAACTGTGGGAGAGGAAGAGTAGAATGCTTCTGTATTTTATCAAGTGCTGGGGGCTGTGGAGAATGCAATTGTAAGCAAATACCAGAATGACCTATAGGTAAACATATGGGATTTCTCATAATAATCACCTCTTAAACCTCCCAACAATACTGTTAAAAAAAATCACCAGGGAGGGAGGAGCCAAGATGGCCGAATAGGAACAGCTCCGGTCTACAGCTCCCAGCGTGAGCGACGCAGAAGACGGTGATTTCTGCATTTCCATCTGAGGTACCGGGTTCATCTCACTAGGGAGTGCCAGACAGTGGGCGCAGGCCAGTGTGTGTGCGCACCGTGCGCGAGCCGAAGCAGGGCGAGGCATTGCCTCACCTGGGAAGCGCAAGGGGTCAGGGAGTTCCCTTTCCGAGTCAAAGAAAGGGGTGACGGACGCACCTGGAAAATCGGGTCACTCCCACCCGAATATTGCGCTTTTCAGACCGGCTTAAGAAACGGCGCACCACGAGACTATATCCCACACCTGGCTCGGAGGGTCCTACGCCCACGGAATCTCGCTGATTGCTAGCACAGCAGTCTGAGATCAAACTGCAAGGCGGCAACGAGGCTGGGGGAGGGGCGCCCGCCATTGCCCAGGCTTGCTTAGGTAAACAAAGCAGCCGGGAAGCTCGAACTGGGTGGAGCCCACCACAGCTCAAGGAGGCCTGCCTGCCTCTGTAGGCTCCACCTCTGGGGGCAGGGCACAGACAAACAAAAAGACAGCAGTAACCTCTGCAGACTTAAGTGTCCCTGTCTGACAGCTTTGAAGAGAGCAGTGGTTCTCCCAGCACGCAGCTGGAGATCTGAGAACGGGCAGACTGCCTCCTCAAGTGGGTCCCTGACTCCTGACCCCCGAGCAGCCTAACTGGGAGGCACCCCCCAGCAGGGGCACACTGACACCTCACACGGCAGGGTATTCCAACAGACCTGCAGCTGAGGGTCCTGTCTGTTAGAAGGAAAACTAACAACCAGAAAGGACATCTACACCGAAAACCCATCTGTACATCACCATCATCAAAGACCAAAAGTAGATAAAACCACAAAGATGGGGAAAAAACAGAACAGAAAAACTGGAAACTCTAAAACGCAGAGCGCCTCTCCTCCTCCAAAGGAACGCAGTTCCTCACCAGCAACAGAACAAAGCTGGATGGAGAATGATTTTGACGAGCTGAGAGAAGAAGGCTTCAGACGATCAAATTACTCTGAGCTACGGGAGGACATTCAAACCAAAGGCAAAGAAGTTGAAAACTTTGAAAAAAATTTAGAAGAATGTATAACTAGAATAACCAATACAGAGAAGTGCTTAAAGGAGCTGATGGAGCTGAAAACCAAGGCTCGAGAACTACGTGAAGAATGCAGAAGCCTCAGGAGCCGATGCGATCAACTGGAAGAAAGGGTATCAGCAATGGAAGATGAAATGAATGAAATGAAGCGAGAAGGGAAGTTTAGAGAAAAAAGAATAAAAAGAAATGAGCAAAGCCTCCAAGAAATATGGGACTATGTGAAAAGACCAAATCTACGTCTGATTGGTGTACCTGAAAGTGATGTGGAGAATGGAACCAAGTTGGAAAACACTCTGCAGGATATTATCCAGGAGAACTTCCCCAATCTAGCAAGGCAGGCCAACGTTCAGATTCAGGAAATACAGAGAACGCCACAAAGATACTCCTCGAGAAGAGCAACTCCAAGACACATAATTGTCAGATTCACCAAAGTTGAAATGAAGGAAAAAATGTTAAGGGCAGCCAGAGAGAAAGGTCGGGTTACCCTCAAAGGAAAGCCCATCAGACTAACAGCGGATCTCTCGGCAGAAACCCTACAAGCCAGAAGAGAGTGGGGGCCAATATTCAACATTCTTAAAGAAAAGAATTTTCAACCCAGAATTTCATATCCAGCCAAACTAAGCTTCATAAGTGAAGGAGAAATAAAATACTTTATAGACAAGCAAATGTTGAGAGATTTTGTCACCACCAGGCCTGCCCTAAAAGAGCTCCTGAAGGAAGCGCTAAACATGGAAAGGAACAACCGGTACCAGCCGCTGCAAAATCATGCCAAAATGTAAAGACCATCGAGACTAGGAAGAAACTGCATCAACTAATGAGCAAAATCACCAGCTAACATCATAATGACAGGATCAAATTCACACATAACAATATTAACTTTAAATATAAATGGACTAAATTCTGCAATTAAAAGACACAGACTGGCAAGTTGGATAAAGAGTCAAGACCCATCAGTGTGCTGTATTCAGGAAACCCATCTCACGTGCAGAGACACACATAGGCTCAAAATAAAAGGATGGAGGAAGATCTACCAAGCCAATGGAAAACAAAAAAAGGCAGGGGTTGCAATCCTAGTCTCTGACAAAACAGACTTTAAACCAACAAAGATCAAAAGAGACAAAGAAGGCCATTACATAATGGTAAAGGGATCAATTCAACAAGAGGAGCTAACTATCCTAAATATTTATGCACCCAATACAGGAGCACCCAGATTCATAAAGCAAGTCCTCAGTCACCTACAAAGAGACTTAGACTCCCACACATTAATAATGGGAGACTTTAACACCCCACTGTCAACATTAGACAGATCAACGAGACAGAAAGTCAACAAGGATACCCAGGAATTGAACTCAGCTCTGCACCAAGCAGACCTAATAGACATCTACAGAACTCTCCACCCCAAATCAACAGAATATACATTTTTTTCAGCACCACACCACACCTATTCCAAAATTGACCACATAGTTGGAAGTAAAGCTCTCCTCAGCAAATGTAAAAGAACAGAAATTATAACAAACTATCTCTCAGACCACAGTGCAATCAAACTAGAACTCAGGATTAAGAATCTCACTCAAAGCCGCTCAACTACATGGAAACTGAACAACCTGCTCCTGAATGACTACTGGGTACATAACGAAATGAAGGCAGAAATAAAGATGTTCTTTGAAACCAACGAGAACAAAGACACCACATACCAGAATCTCTGGGACGCATTCAAAGCAGTGTGTAGAGGGAAATTTATAGCACTAAATGCCTACAAGAGAAAGCAGGAAAGATCCAAAATTGACACCCTAACATCACAATTAAAAGAACTAGAAAAGCAAGAGCAAACACATTCAAAAGCTAGCAGAAGGCAAGAAATAACTAAAATCAGAGCAGAACTGAAGGAAATAGAGACACAAAAAACCCTTCAAAAAATCAATGAATCCAGGAGCTGGTTTTTTGAAAGGATCAACAAAATTGATAGACCGCTAGCAAGACTAATAAAGAAAAAAAGAGAGAAGAATCAAATAGACACAATAAAAAATGATAAAGGGGATATCACCACCGATCCCACAGAAATACAAACTACCATCAGAGAATACTACAAACACCTCTACGCAAATAAACTAGAAAATCTAGAAGAAATGGATACATTCCTCGACACATACACTCTCCCAAGACTAAACCAGGAAGAAGTTGAATCTCTGAATCGACCAATAACAGGCTCTGAAATTGTGGCAATAATCAATAGTTTACCAACCAAAAAGAGTCCAGGACCAGATGGATTCACAGCCGAATTCTACCAGAGGTACAAGGAGGAACTGGTACCATTCCTTCTGAAACTATTCCAATCAATAGAAAAAGAGGGAATCCTCCCTAACTCATTTTATGAGGCCAGCATCATTCTGATACCAAAGCCGGGCAGAGACACAACCAAAAAAGAGAATTTTAGACCAATATCCTTGATGAACATTGATGCAAAAATCCTCAATAAAATACTGGCAAACCGAATCCAGCAGCACATCAAAAAGCTTATCCACCATGATCAAGTGGGCTTCATCCCTGGGATGCAAGGCTGGTTCAATATACGCAAATCAATAAATGTAATCCAGCATATAAACAGAGCCAAAGACAAAAACCACATGATTATCTCAATAGATGCAGAAAAAGCCTTTGACAAAATTCAACAACCCTTCATGCTAAAAACTCTCAATAAATTAGGTATTGATGGGATGTATTTCAAAATAATAAGAGCTATCTATGACAAACCCACAGCCAATATCATACTGAATGGGCAAAAACTGGAAGCATTCCCTTTGAAAACTGGCACAAGACAGGGATGCCCTCTCTCACCGCTCCTATTCAACATAGTGTTGGAAGTTCTGGCCAGGGCAATCAGGCAGGAGAAGGAAATAAAGGGTATTCAATTAGGAAAAGAGGAAGTCAAATTGTCCCTGTTTGCAGACGACATGATTGTTTATCTAGAAAACCCCATCGTCTCAGCCCAAAATCTCCTTAAGCTGATAAGCAACTTCAGCAAAGTCTCAGGATACAAAATCAATGTACAAAAATCACAAGCATTCTTATACACCAACAACAGACAAACAGAGAGCCAAATCATGGGTGAACTCCCATTCACAATTGCTTCAAAGAGAATAAAATACCTAGGAATCCAACTTACAAGGGATGTGAAGGACCTCTTCAAGGAGAACTACAAACCACTGCTCAAGGAAATAAAAGAGGAGACAAATAAATGGAAGAACATTCCATGCTCATGGGTAGGAAGAATCAATATCGTGAAAATGGCCATACTGCCCAAGGTAATTTACAGATTCAATGCCATCCCCATCAAGCTACCAATGACTTTCTTCACAGAATTGGAAAAAACTACTTTAAAGTTCATATGGAACCAAAAAAGAGCCCGCATCGCCAAGTCAATCCTAAGCCAAAAGAACAAAGCTGGAGGCATCACACTACCTGACTTCAAACTATACTACAAGGCTACAGTAACCAAAACAGCATGGTACTGGTACAAAAACAGAGATATAGATCAATGGAACAGAACAGAGCCCTCAGAAATAATGCCGCATATCTACAACTATCTGATCTTTGACAAACCTGAGAAAAACAAGCAATGGGGAAAGGATTCCCTATTTAATAAATGGTGCTGGGAAAACTGGCTAGCCATATGTAGAAAGCTGAAACTGGATCCCTTCCTTACACCTTATACAAAAATCAATTCAAGATGGATTAAAGATTTAAATGTTAAACCTAAAACCATAAAAACCCTAGAAGAAAACCTAGGCATTACCATTCAGGACATAGGCGTGGGCAAGCACTTCATGTCCAAAACACCAAAAGCAATGGCAACAAAAGACAAAATTGACAAATGGGATCTAATTAAACTAAAGAGCTTCTGCACAGCAAAAGAAACTACCATCAGAGTGAACAGGCAACCTACAACATGGGAGAAAATTTTTGCAACCTACTCATCTGACAAAGGGCTAATATCCAGAATCTACAATGAACTCAAACAAATTTACAAGAAAAAAACAAACAACCCCATCAAAAAGTGGGCGAAGGACATGAACAGACACTTCTCAAAAGAAGACATTTATGCAGCCAAAAAACACATGAAGAAATGCTCATCATCACTGGCCATCAGAGAAATGCAAATCAAAACCACTATGAGATATCATCTCACACCGGTTAGAATGGCAATCATTAAGAAGTCAGGAAACAACAGGTGCTGGAGAGGATGCGGAGAAATAGGAACACTTTTACACTGTTGGTGGGACTGTAAACTAGTTCAACCATTGTGGAAGTCAGTGTGGCGATTCCTCAGGGATCTAGAACTAGAAATACCATTTGACCCAGCCATCCCATTACTGGGTATATACCCAAATGAGTATAAATCATGCTGCTATAAAGACACATGCACACGTATGTTTATTGCGGCACTATTCACAATAGCAAAGACTTGGAACCAACCCAAATGTCCAACAATGATAGACTGGATTAAGAAAATGTGGCACATATACACCATGGAATACTATGCAGCCATAAAAAATGATGAGTTCATATCCTTTGTAGGGACATGGATGAAATTGGAAACCATCATTCTCAGTAAACTATCGCAAGAACAAAAAACCAAACACCGCATATTCTCACTCATAGGTGGGAATTGAACAATGAGATCACATGGACACAGGAAGGGGAATATCACACTCTGGGGACTGTGGTGGGGTCGGGGGAGGGGGGAGGGATAGCATTGGGAGATATACCTAATGCTAGATGACACATTAGTGGGTGCAGCGCACAAGCATGGCACATGTATACATATGTAACTAACCTGCACAATGTGCACATGTACCCTAAAACTTAGAGTATAATAAAAAAAAAAAAAAAAAAAAAAAAAAACACATTAAAAAAAAAAAAAACAACAAAACAAAGCAAACATGGAAATGTTTGTTATTTTAATTGTTATGATGGTTTCATGGCTGTTTGCATGTGTCAAAACTCATCAAATTTGTGTACGTTAAATATGTGAAACTTATTGTATGCTGGTTACACCTCAATAAAGCTGTTAAATTTAAAAAAAAAAAAAAAAAAAAAAATCACCAATAGTTGCTGCTAGAAATCCAGTGTCACAAAAGGCCAAAGTTTATTGACAAATTGGTGTATATGAAAGACCTCGACCTTCAACATTCACAAGAAAAGATCAATTGCATGTAATTTGTCTTGCCCGTAATTTTGCTGTTCACATAATATGGTGAAGATCCCTCTTACGCTACAAACAAATTAAATTAAACAACAACAACAAAACGATCTTGTCTTGAATAGCAATTGCTATGAACTTCAAGGACATCATTCATTCCTTCATCATTCAATCTATAAATATTTACTGACTGTCTGCCATGTGTCAGACCCTGTTCTAGGCCTTGGGAATAGAGCAGTGGGAGAGATAGACATTGTTCATAACTTCAAAGAGTTTATAATCTCAAAGGAACACATGTATGTAACTCATTATAAACAAGTAATTGTTTTACAAAAGACAAGGGCTTCCTTCCTCAAGTTATCATCTCAAAATACTAAATGCCCCCTAGTTATATTTGGCAAAAACAAACTACTGGAACTGGAATTGCTCCCCAAAATGCTCTCTTTACATTTATAATGAAGATCAGTGTTTCTCATGACTTAAGTAAATTACCCTTACCATGGAGACTTCCCTGGGAATGGCTACAGCCTAGAAACCACTGTCTCAAGCAGCCAGGGAGATGCTCTCCATTTCTCAATAGCCTGCATATTGGTGTTGTGCTTGGGGAAATTGCGAATCAAGTGTTCCTTCCAGCCATAACATCCTGTTTCTATGTACACTAACTACCACTGGCTGAACTGCTTATGTGAGAACTCAAGCACACTTTCCTGCTTTAAGAGTTAGGGAGACTCAAGTAAGGCAAGCAAACAGATAAAATCTTAACAACTTCAAGTCTTAGTACCAAGTGAAGTGACCCAGTAAGTATGCAATGGTCTTCCCATCTACCCAGCATAGTAGACTAATTCTACTTTTCTTGCTTGGAATTATTTGAACTGAGATTATGCGGCAGTAGACTAGTTGCATGGCATGATCAAACCATCTTGATTAGCTCAACCACCATTTAAGTATGACTGGCAATGGGCCAGGAGAGCTGGGTATATACAATGAATGAGCCGAAACTATTTAACTGAAATAAAAATTCTATACCTTAAGTTCTCTTCTGAAGAGTTCAGTTTAAAAAGAAAATTAGCACAGAGGCAAACATAAACGAGGGAACAAGGTTATTGCATACTTAGCACCAGATTTATCAAATGAATCATAATTAGAAGCCCTGCCACTAAAATAATGCAATTTGATGCTACATTTACTCTAGTGAGATATTGATTGTCCCTAAAAAAAACCCCACAAAGCCAGCCTCAATAACGTCACCAAATATTTTGGAAACTCGGTTTCAATCCTACAAATGCATACAATTATTCTCCCCATTTGGGAATGAGTACAGTTGGCTCCTGAAATAGAAGTGATGGTGGAAGCATTGAGAAACAATGACATTTTTGATTCTTTGGAATTTCTGGGCACTTATTTGGGTGTAAGAAGAGTTGAAAATCATTTTGCAGCAATAAAATAACACATTTGATATTCTACTGGCTTTTTCCTTGCTGACTGCTACTCCACACATCTGGAAAACTTTAAACAATCCAAATGAAGGATATTTCCAACCAATCATTTTAGACTGCTAAGATAGCTCATAGCTTATAATCCAAAACTAGGGCAGCCAGTGGACGGTGGAATTGGGGGATGTGTCATGAGAGGAAGCCTGTCTTCCTGAGGAGTGTTGCAAAGGCATGGTTAGTGTGAAACAATAAATACCAATGGTGAGAAATCTTTAAAGAGGAAGAAACAATGTTTATTTACGATCCATGAATAATGAGGTCAATCTGGAACCAGCAGCCTTTTCCACAATCGGTGCAGATGAATCTAGGGCTGGAACCTAAGTCAGCAGTGTTTATCTTTCTCTTTTGCAAATACGTGTACCTAGGTCTGGAGTGTCTGAGCTCTCATCTCTTGTGCATTACGTTAAGCTGACGTTTGGGGACTCGGTCTTAAACTCCCAGGTATTTATTGAGCAACTGCTAAGTGCCAGGCACTGTAGGGCTGACAGTGAGAAAGCAGTGCCCCTGCTCTCAGTGGAGAGAGGCAAATTATAAACAAGAAAGCAACAACTGTATGTATGTGCCATGAAGAAAGTTAGAACAATGGGGATGCTATTTTAGCAAGGGTTGTCGCGACAGGCCACTCTGGTGAGTGGGGTGGAATTTGAGCAGGCGTCTGAATGGAATCAGGAGCAAATCCTGCGAAAATGTGAGTTCTAGACAGAGGAGGATGAAGCATATGGCAAAGAGTGGAACAAGTAAAGGCACCCAGGAACAGACATTCAAGTTCAAATCTTTTTTTTTTTTTTATGTTTGTTTTATTCTTTGGTCCTCATAAGTACTTCCCTTTGTTCAAACAGTAGAACAGTACTTGCTTTGGGCATTTAATACCTAGTACACAGTTTTACACACCTAACTCCCATTTGGACAGCTGACTAATCTCTTAGTAACACTTTCCCAAAAAGTTATTGTTATTTTCCCTCAGAATTTTGATATGACTTCTGTATGCTGCCTAAGTCAGTAAAATAACTAGTAGTATTTACTTTATAATATTAAAGCAATAGTACTGCCTTAAGTTAGAAAACTTATGACTTTCAGGATTCCTATCATAGGAAAGGAAGAAAAGTAAATACTAGGAAAAGTTAGGCAAAGGAAACAGTGTGATTTACGAATGAAGAATTATTCAGTAAAGATGAAATATATATATTGACTTTAAAACCTTTTCATTTTATTAAGTTTTTAAGTGAGTAGCTCATCTTTCTGAATTCATGCCTGCAACAGTTTTATCTGCTAGATTATAATTCATAAACAAATGAAATATCATCAATATTTCTTTGTAATAAGTATCCCACCTAAACGGCAAGGGAGTGGACAAACAATGAGTCTTCCCCGGGCCTAGCATTGTGGTATATGTATGCACTCTGTAGTTAATAATATGATTTAATTAGTAACACCATTCTATGCCGACATTAAGCTTTTAATCAGACATGAAGCATTTCTTTTTCCAATCTAACCCTTAAACAATATCCCTGGGCAAGTTCAGTACTATATCTTAGCTATTAGCAAATCCTCTTTTTAAGGTCCCTTAGAAATGCTGAAACACGGCCAACTCTTTTGCATATATACATTCATGTATTCATTCAATCCATCCATCAAATATTTACTGAATATCTGCAGTGTGCCTCCTCCATTTCCATTTGTACTGCTTAAGGAAAATGGCAAAAGTGCAACTTTTCAAAAATAGCCTTGAAATGGACTAAAGATGGCTGCCAGTTCTTTGTCTTTTCCCATCCAGAAATGGAAGTTATTTCTCCTTCCCTGAATCTGCTTTACTGTGACTGTTTAACCAACAGAATGCAGTAGAGTTAAGTCTGTCCCAATTTCGGACTCACTTTTAAGGGTACTAGCAGTTTTCACTTCTCTCTCTTGGAACTCTCACATTAAGACCCTTAAACCACCATGTAAGAAGTCACACTGCCCTTCTGGAGAGACCATGTGGAGAAGCTATGAGGAGAGGCGAGGTACTGAGACTACATGGAGAGGGAGACAGCTCAAGGCATCCTAGTATCCAAGGTGAACCTCCAGATGACTCTAGACCCAGCTTGTTATCTGACTACAACTGTGGGAGACCCCAAGGAAAGCCAGCAGAAAAGCTGCACAGCTAAGCCTGGTCAATTCATAGAACTATAAAAGAGAAGAAAAAGGTGGTTGTTTTAAGCCACTAAGTTTTGGGGTGTTTTTCTATGCAGTAATAAATAACTAAATAAGCCTCAATGGAATCTGGGGGCTCACTGATGGGACACACACACACATGCACAGTAGCACTTGAAATATTTCTAAGGTCAGTATTACATATACTGTATGGTCAGATGATTACAAAATTTCTGTCTTTTTCAGAAAGAAATCACAGAAAATAATTATTTCTCCTCTCTTTAGTCATGAACTGGTTATTCAGGGAGCCAGATAAAGGCAGCACATTAAGTTTCCCCTGACAGGCTGCTGGGGTAACTCACAGGTTGGGAAGTGACTATGGAACCTCATGGCCAATGCAGATATCCCAGCTTCATCCCCACTACACTTCAAGACTCACCAACAACTCATCATTGACCTACTCCTCAAGCATAAGCAGACTGATAATAACTGTCCAATATCCTTCGGAGAGCCACCAGAGCTGCCTCTCTGATGTCCAAAGCAGACCATATCAGATCAATCTTAAAGATTATCAAATTGCCTCCCCTGCCCATCCTCTGCTTTCTGGATGCTGTACAATCTCCTCAGCAAGACAGAGAGAATCAGATTCATCAAATCTTCATGCTTCCTGTGGCTGCCATAATAAATTCCCACAAGCTTCATGGTTTAAAACAATAGAAATGTATTCTCACACAGTTTTAGAGGCCAGAGTCTGAAATCAAGATGTCTATAAGGTTGCACTGTCTCTGAAAATTCTAGAGGAGAATTCTTCCTTGCCTCTTTCAGCTTGTGGTGACTATAGGTATCCCTTGTTTGTGGTTGCATCTCTACAGTCTTCACATGACCACCTTCTCTGTGTGTATGTTTCTTCTCCTCCTCTTATAAGGGCACATGTCACTGGATTTAGAGCCCACTCAATTCAAGACAACACCTTTCAAGATCCTTACTAATTTATTTGCATCTGCAAAGTCCTTCTCCAAACAGGGTTATATCTACAGGTTCCTGGTGGGCATATCTTTTGGGGAGCCAACATTCAAGTCACTACATGTCATCTCTTTTCCCTGCATCCCTAGCCCAATGCAGGCTGTGATTGGGCCACGTTTTGCCACTTGCACTTTTCACAACACATTGTGCTTTTTCACATGTCTATATGATAGTGTTCCCATGACGGTGCCTTTTTTTTTTTTTTTTTTTTTTTTTTTGAGACAGAGTCTCACTCTGTTGCCCAGGCTGGAGTGCAGTGGTATGATCTCGGCTCAGTATAAGCTCCACCTCCCAGGTTCACGCCATTCTCCTGCCTCAGCCTCCCGAGTAGCTGGGACTACAGGCACATGCCACCAAACCTGGCTAATTTTTGTATTTTTAGTAGAGACGGGGTTTCACCATGTTGGCCAGGCTGGTCTCGAACTCCTGACCTCAGGTGATACACCAGCCTCGGCCTCCCAAACTGTTGGGATTACAGGTGTGAGCCACCGCACCCGGCTGATGGTGCTCTTTTGACTAGAATTCTATTTGCCACCTTGCATTTTCCAGACTTCCCAACATCTTTCAGGCCAGCTCAAATGTCACCTCTTTCATACAACCTTCTCAATACTTCACAAGCAAAATTAGTCACTTCCTGCTTCTGACAGCACATTGCATAGGGCCTCACATGGAGAGTGTCCGGGGCATGGCCAAATGCTTAATAAATACTCACTGAACCAGTCAGGTTAAGACTAGCTTTATGAACAGATGCACACAGGTTCGACCTCCATCTGTCAGGAAGATCATTGACATTTTATTCTTTTGGGGCTCACAAAGCTTTGTGATATTTAAAAGGCTTTTGTTAAAACAGATGTGTATCCAGCACTTTATGCCAAGGTCAGTTAACACCCTTGGGGCATTATTAACAGCTGGAGAAGAGCCCCCTCAGGAAGTCAACACTGAGAACAGGCAATCATGCAGAGGGAAGTTATATGTTTCCTTTTCCTAGCCCCATTCTGAAAAAGTAATTCTAAGCCTCCCCTGTGACATAGTTTGTATGTTTGTCTCCACTCACATCTCTTTTTAGTTAACTTTTAAGTTCAAGGGTACATGTGCAGGATTGTTAGATAGGTAAACTCGTGTCATGGGGGTTTGTTGTACAGATTATTCCATCACCCAGGTATTAAGCCTAGTACCCACTAGTTATTTTTCCTGATCCTCTCCTTCCTCCCACGCTCCACCCTCTGACAGTCCCCAGCGTGTGCTGTTCCCCACTATGTGTCCATGTGTTCTCATCATGCAGCTCCTACTTATAACATGTGGTATTTAGTTTTCTGTTCCTGCATTAGTTTGCTAAGCATAATGGCCTCTGGCTCTTCCCATGTTCCTGCAAAGGACATGATCTCATTCTTTTTATAGCTGCATAGTATTCCATGGTGTATATGTACCACATTTTCTTCATCCAGTCTATCATTGATGGGCGTTTAGGTTTATTCCATATCTTTGCTATTGTGAATAGTGCTGCAATGAACATGCATGTGCATATGTCTTTATAATAGAACAATTTACATTCCATTGGGTATATACCCAGTAATGGGATTGCTGGGTTGAATGGCATTTCTGTCTTTAGGTCTTTGAGGAATCACCACACTGTCTTCCACAATGACTGAACTAATTTACACTCCAACCAACAGTGTATAAGCATTCCTTTTTCTTTACAGACTCACAAGTATCTATTATTTTTTTACTTTAATAGCCATTCTGACTGGTGTGAGATGGTGATAGAGTTTGGCTGTGTCCCCACCCAAATCTCATCTTGAATTGTAGTTCTCATAATCCCCATATGTGGTGGGAGGTAATTGAATCATGGGCACGGTTTTCCCCATGCTGTTCATATGATAGTGAGTGAGTTCTCAGGAGATCTGATGGTTTTATATGGGGCTTTCCCTTTCACTCAGTTCTCATTCTTCTCTCTCCTGCTGCCATATGAAGAGGGACATGCTTGCTTCCCTTTCAGCCATCATTTTAAGTTTCCTGAGGCCTCCCCAGCCACGCTGAACTGTGAGTCAACCTCTTTCCTTTCTAAATTACCCAGTCTTGGGTATGTCTTTATTAGCAGCATGAGAACAGACTAATACAGATGGTATCTCATTGTGGTTTTGTTTTGCATTTCTCTAATCATCAGTGATGTTGAGCTTTCTTCATATGATTGTTTGCCACACATATGTCTTCTTTTGAAAAGTGTCTGTTCATGCCCTTTGCCCACTTTTTAATGGGATTGTTTTGTTCTTGTAAGATTGTTTAAGTTACTTATGGATGCTGGATATTAGACTTTTGTTGGATACATAGTTTGCAAAAATCTTCTCCCATTCTGTAGGTTGTCTGTTTACTCTTTTGATAGTTTCTTTTGCTGTGCAGAAGCTCTTTAGTTTAATTAGGTCCCATTTGTCAATTTTTGCTTTTGTTGCAATTGTTTCTGGTGTCTTCATCATGAAATCTTTACCTGTACCTGTGCCTATGTCCTCAATGGTATTGCCTAGGTTGTCTTTCAGGGTTTTTATACTTTTGGGATTTACAGTTAGGTGTTTAATCCATCTTGAGCTAATTTTTGTATATGGTATATGGAATGGGTCAAGTTTCAATCTTCTGCATATGGCTAGCCAGTTATCCTAGCATCATAATTGAATTAGGAATCCTTTCCTCATTGCTTGTTTTTGTCAGGTTTGTCGAAGATCAGATAGCCTTAGGTGTGTGGTCTTATTTCTGGGTTCTCTATTATGTTCCATTGGTCTATGGGTCTGTTTTTGTACTAGTACCATGCTGTTTTGGTTACTGTAGCCCTGTAGTACAGTTTTGATGTTGGGTAGTGTGATGCCTCCAGCTTTGTTCTTTTTGCTTAGGATTGCCTTGGCTATTCAGGCTCCTTTTTGGTTCCACATGAATTTTAAAATAGTTTTTTCTAGTTCTGTGAAGATTCTCAATGGTACTTTAATAGGAATAGCATTGAATGTATAAATTGCTTTGGGCAGTATGACCATTTTAACAATATTGATTCTTCCTATACGTGAGCATAGAATGTTTTTCCATTTGTTTGCATCATGTCTGATTTCTTTGAGCAGTGTTTTGTAGTTTCTTTGTAGAGATCTTTTACCTCCCCATTAGCTGTATTCCTAGGTATATTATACTTTTTTTTTTTTGTGGCAATTGTGAATGGAACTATGTTCCTGATTTGGCTTGACTGTTGTTGGTATATAGGAATGCTAGTGATTTTGGCACATTGATTTTGTATCCTAAGACTTTGCTGAAGTTGTTTATCAGCTTAAGAAGCTTTTGGGCTGAGACTATGGGGTTTTCTAGATATAGGATAATGTCGTCTGCAAACAGGGATAGTTTGACTTCCTCTCTCCCTATTTGGATACCATTTATTTCTTTCTGTTGGCTAATTTCCCTGGCCAGGACTTCCAATACTATGCTGAATAGGAGTGGTGAGAGACGGCATCCTTGTCTTGTGCTGATTTTTAAAGGGAATGCTTCTAGCCCATTCAGTACGATATTGGCTGTGGGTTTGTCCTACGTGGCTGTTATTATTTTGAGTGTGTTCCTTCAATACCTAGTTTATTGAGAGTTTTTGACATGAAGGGGTGTTGAATTTTATCAAGACTTTTATGCATGTATTGAGATCATCATGTGGTTTTTGTCTTTAGTCCTGTTTATATGATGAATCACATTTATTGATTTGCATATGTTGAACCATCCTTGTATCCCAGGGATAAAGCCTACTTGATTGTAATGGATAAGCTTCATGATGTGCTGCTGAATTTGGTTTGCCAGTATTTTGTTAAGGATTTTTACATCAATGTTCATTGAGAATATTGGCCTGAAGTTTTCTTTTTTGTTGTTGCATCTCTGCCAGGTTTTGGTATCAGGATGATGCTGGCCTCATATAATGAATTAGTGTGGAGTCTCTCCTCCTCAATTTTTTTGGAATTGTTTCAGTAGGAATGGTACCAGCTCGTCTTTGTACATCTGGTAGAATTCAGCTGTGAATCCATCTGGTCCTGGGCTTTTTTTTTTTTTTTTTTTTTTTTGGTTGGTAAGCTTTTTATTATTACCTCAATTTCAGAGCTCATTACTGGTCTGTTCAGGGATTCAGTTTCTTCTGGTTCGGTCTTGAGAGGGTGTATTTGTCCAGGAATTCATCCATTTCTTCTAAATTTTCTAGTTCATGTGCATGGAAGTGTTCATATTATTCTCTGATGGTTGTTTGTATTTCAGTGGGGTCAGTGGTAATATCCCCCTTGTCATTTCTTTTTGTGTTTATTTGAATCTTCTCTCTTTTCTTTTTTATTAGTCTAGCTAGCAGTCTATTTTATTAATTTTTTCAAAAAACCAGCTCCTGGATTTGTTGGTCTTGTGAATGGTTTTTCATGTCTCAATATCCTTCAGTTCAGCTCGGATTGTCGTCTGCTAGCTTTGGGATTTGTTTGCTCTTGGTTCTGTAGTTCTTTCAGTTGTGATATTAGGTTGTTAGCTTGAGATCTTTCTAACTTTTTCAATGTGGGCATTTAGTGCTATAAATTTCCCTCCTAACTCTGTCTTAGCTGTGTCCCAGAGATTCTGGTATGTTGTATCTTTTTTCTCATTAGTTTCAAAGAACTTCGTGATTTCTGCCTTAATTTCATTATTTACCCCCAAAGTCATTCAGGAGCAGGTTATTCGATTTCCATGTAATTGTATGGTTTTGAGTGAATTTCTTAGTCTTGATTTCTAATTTGATTGCACTATGGTCTGAGAGGTTGTTTGTTATGGTTTCAACTCTTTCACATTTGCTGAAGAGTGTTTTACTTCGATTGTGTGATCAATTTTAGAGTATGTGCCATGTGGCCATGAGAAAAATATATAATCTGTTGTTTTGGGGTAGAGAGTTCTGTAGATATCAGGTCCATTTGATCCCGTGCTGAGTCTAGGTCCTGAACGTCCTGGTTAATTTTCTGTCTTGATGATCTAATAATATCAGTGGGATGTTAAAGTCTCTCACTATTATTGTGTGGGAGTCTAAGTCTCTTTGAAGGTCTCTACAAACTTGCTTTATGAATCTGGGCACTCCTGTGTTGGGTGCATATATATATTTAGGATACTTAGATCTTCTTGTTGAATTGAACCCTTTACCATTATGTACTGCCCTTCTTCATGTTTTTTTTTTTTTTTAATCTCTGTTGGTTTAAAGTCTGTTTTGTCAGAAACTAGGATTGCAACCCCTGCTTTTTTTGTTTTCCATTTGCTTAGATTTTTCTCTATCCCTTTATTTTGAGCCTATATGTGTCACTGCATGTGAGATGGGTCTCTTGAGGACAGCATACTAATGAGTCTTGGTTCTTTATTCAGCTTGCCACTCTGTGTCTTTTAATTGGGACATTTAGCCCATTAACATTTAAGCTTAGTATTGATATGTGTGGATTCCATCCTGTCATCATGTTAGCTGGTTATTTTGCAGACTTGTTTATGTGGTTGCTTTGTGGTGTCACTGGTCTGTGTACTTCAGTGTGTTTTTATAGTGGCTAGTAAGTCTTTCTTTTTCATATTTAGTGCTTCCCTCAGGAGCTCTTGTAAGGCAGGTCTAGTGGTAACAAATTCCCTCAGCATTTTCTTGTCTGAAAAGGATCTTATTCCTCCTTCGCTTATGAAGCTTAATTTGGACAGATATGAAATTATGAGTAGGAATTTCTTTTCTTTGAGAATGTTGAACATTTGCCCACAATCTCTCCTGGCTTGTAGGGTTTCAGCTGAGAGGTTTGCTGTTAGTCTAATGGGCTTCCCTTTGTAGGTAATCTGACCTTTTTATCTAGCTGCCTTTAATATTTTTTCTTTCATTTTGACCTTGGAGAATCTGATGATTATGTGTCCTTGGGATGATCTTCTTGTAGATTATCTTACTGGGGTTCTCTGCATTTCCTGAATTTGAATGTTGGCCTCTCTAGCTAGATTGGGAAAGTTCTCATGAATGATATCCTGAAATATGTTTTCCAAGTTGGCTTCATTCTTTCCATCTCTTTCGGGGACACCAGTCAGTCACAGATTCCTGGAGGTTTTGTTCATTTCTTTCCATTGTTTTTTCTCTATTCTTGTCTGCCTGTCTTATTTTATAAAACTAGTCTTCAAGCTCTGAAATTCTTTTCTCCACTTGGTCTATTCTGCTATTAATACTTGTGATTGCATTATGAAACTCCTGTACTATGTTTTTCAGCTCTCTCAGATTGGTTACATTCTCCTCTATACTGGCTATTTGATCTGTCAACTCCTGCATCATTTTATCATGATTTTTAGCTTCGTTGCATTGGGTTTCAATGTACTCCTATAGCTGATGATCTTAATTCCTATCCGTATTCTGAATTCTGTCATTTCAGCTGTCTCAATCTCAGCCTGGTTCCAAACCCTTGCTGGAAAGGTGATGTGGTCATTTAGAGGAAAGAAGAAGGCACTCTGGCTTTTTGAGTTTTCAGCATTCTTGTGCTGATTCTTTCTCATTTTTTGTGGGCTTATCTGCCTCCAACCCTTGAGGTTGCCGACCTTTGGATGGTTTTTAAATTTTCTTTTATCCTATTTGATGACCTTGAGGGTTTGTGGTATAAGATGCATTCAGCCAACTGGCTTTGTTTCTGGGAGATTTTAGAGGTCAAGGCTCAACTCTCAACACCTGGACTGCATGTTCTAATGCTGGGAGACTTGTATTGGGCCCCAACTTTGTTCTCTGGCTCCTCAAGCTTGGAATCTACTGTTGGGGTGGGGCTGAGATGAGCAGCTGCAGTAGAGTGCTAGTGGATGCAGGGGTGCCTGCTTCCCTGAAGACACTCACCACAGTGTCAGAGGCAATGCAGCTGGGGTAGGGGGTAAGGGGGCCCTGTTGGAGACTGTATGCATGGTTGCCCTTAAGGTAGTGTTGGCTTGGGGTGGGGTGCTGGCCAGTGCAGGTCTAGGTGACTTCTTTGTGCCCTGCAAACAGGAGTGATCACTCAGGGTGTGGGAAGATCTGCTGTTCTCTGCACAGTGTTAGTGCAAGGGCAGGGCACTGGCAGGGGTGGGGCTTGCTGATTCTGTGCCCACCAAGGCTCCATCTGCAATAGGAGTTGGTAGTGGAGTGGAGGGGAGTGGACTGCTTTTCCACATGCTGGCATGGCAAGTAAAGCAAAACCTGCCCATGCAGACACATGCCAGCAAAGCAATGCAGGGAGTTGCTGTGGGGCTGGGGAAGCTGAAGTATGGGGAGGGAGCATGTGGGCTGCTGCATATGGCCAAAGGGGCTACCTCACTGGAGCGCTCCACTGGTCAGGCATGGTCCACCAGTGCAGAAGTTATGGTGTGGGTCCCCAGAGCACCTGAGACTGCCCTGTAAGTAGGCATGGCCTGGCTGGGGCCCCAGGAGAGGCCAGCAGACCAAGGGGTGCTCAGGTCAGACCTGCCCCATCTGATGTGCAAGACCACCTTGCAGAGATCAGGTCCAACTGTTCCCTAGGGCTAAGGTCTCTTATGGGAACAAGTTGAGCCTAAGGGAATGGCCATCCCTGGCCATGCTCTACTACAGATGCTCCCACACCGAACCCTCTGGGCTCCACATCAGCTGGCTTGCTGTCCCACCACTTCTCTAAGCAGCTCTTCCTGCCACCTCAAGTGGCTGTGGTGGTCAAGGGGTCCCCTCCTTCTGGGGTTCCAGAGGTCCGTGGTGAGAGCAGGTTGCTCTTTGCCAGTTTAAATCACCAATTCCCCTGGAGCTTTTGTGGTTCCAATATAAGCCCCAGTGTGTGGTAGCCCATGCAGGGCTCCCAGCTTTTTCTCCCTTCAGCCCAGCTTCTGTGTCCCAAATCTCATGTTGAATTGTAATCCCCAGTATTAGAGGTGGGGCCTGGTGGGAGGTGACTGGATGATGGGGGTAGGTTTCTCATGAAAGGTTTAGCACCATCCTGTTGGTGCTGTCCTTGTGATCGTCAGTGACTTCTCATGAGATCTGGTTGTTTAAAAGATATGTGGCACCCCACACCCGCTCTCTTGCTCCTGCTCTGACCATGTGATATGCCTGCTCCCCCTTTGCCTTCTGCCATGATTTTAAGCTTCCTGAGGCCTCCCCAGAAGCTGAGAAGATGCCAGCACCATGCTTCCTGTAAAGCCTGAGGAACTGTGAGCCAATTAAACCTCTTTTCTTTATAACTTACCCAGTCTCAGATGTTTCTTTATAGCAGTGCAAGAATGCCTAATACACCCTGCATTTAAGTTTGGACCACATCATTAATTCTCATCAAAGAAATGAAGACAGAGTGATATACCCCATTTCTAGGCCTGTCCACTAAAATCTCCGAATAAATCATTGGCTTTGTCTTGTTTCCAGCTGTGTAGCTACCCTCATGATACAAAGAGCTCAGATTTCTAAATTACTATTGAGAAAGACAGACAAAAAGGAGAGATACCTAACCTGCATCATACTGTAACTAAGCAAGAAACAAATTTTTATGATACTAGGTGTATCTGTTAGCTTTTGTTAGGTTACGCTGTGGTAACAATCCCAAAACTCTCAATAGCCTATGACAACAAAAGTTTATTTATAGTTCATATTACATGTTAACTGCTGTTGACTGTGGCTATGCTCCTTATGTTTTCTTTATTCCAGAATCCAAGCTGAAGGATCAGTCCCTATTTGGGGCTGTTCTTATGGCATAGGGAAAAATGGACCAGCAACAGAGCTGCTATGCAAAGCTTTTAAGCTTCCGCTAAGATACAGCATCTATTACATTTGCTCAAATTCCACTGGCCAAGTCCTAGTCAATGGGAAGGAAACTCTACTTTCCCCCTGTTATGGACTGAATCATGTCCCCCCACAAATGCATAAATTGAAACCCTAACCCCCAATGTGATTGTATTTGGAGATAAGGCCTTTAAATGGGTAATTAATGTTAAATGAAGACATAAGGGTGGGACCCTAATCCAATAGGACTGGTGTCCTTATAAGAAGAGGAAGAGACACCAGGAATGCACATGTACACAGAAAAAGGCCATGTGAAGGTATAGCAAGAAGGCGGCCACCTGAAAGTCAAGGAAAGAGGCCTTGGAAGAAATCGTACCTGCTGGCACCTTGATAATGGACTTCCAGCCTCCAGGACTGTGAGAAAATTAATTTCTGTTGTTTAAGCCATGCAGTCTGTGGTACTTTGTTACGACAGCCCAAGTTGACTAATACACTCCTCATAGAAAGGCATGGCAAGTTACGGGGCAGTGGATGCGGATGACAATCTCCTTACGTAATAGGACCTGATCTATAACTTTAAACAATTGGGGGCAATTAAACCATTTACCACATTACAGCACCGAAGTTGGGGAATGCTTGCTAAAGCAGTTGGCGAGCATTACCCTGACTTTTCAGATGCCTCAGATTGTCCAGCTAGACACATGCACAAAGGTACTTTGGGGGATACTGAAGGTAAAACATCTCTCTCTCTTCTCCCTTTGTCTAGGGCTGCCTCTGCTCCTAGACTTCCTAGAATGAGCAGCAGCTGGGCCCAGAGGAAAGAGGCTGGTGGCATAGCTATAACACTTTATCCTTGGAATCTGATCTCATCGTCTATTAGCACTATGGCCTTGTGCAGATTTCATTAACTCTTTGAGTTATAATTTATTTGTCAAATAAAAAAACTGCTATTTGCTTCCCAGGGTTGCTGTGAGAAGCAAATGAGAGAAAATCCTAACACCCAGTAGGTTTTCATTAAATGTTATTTTTCTTTCTTCTTAGAAACTGAAAAAGTTCCTCCTAAGGGGAGGTTAAAGCTTAGTATGTCTCAGTCTTATCACAAGAGATATTCCCCTTTGTTCCAAAAATCATTATTTCAAGTCGGCACATCTTACAGGACTAATGACCGTACAGAAGATACTGTGATTAATCGTTTGGGAACTGGAGAAAGTAGAGATGGGAAAGGAAGGGCAGAGGCTGCAGGGACCAACCTGCAGGCAAGAAGAAATGTTCACTGCATTTATTTAATAGGGCCACTGTGCAGCTGACTGGAGTTTACTCATCATAACAATGCTGGCATTTAAATAAAGATGTTAGAATTAATCATCGATTGTGATTAAAGCCCACAGTTAGTGAAAAAAATGAAAAAATGTTGGGCTTTTTTCCCCCTTATTTTCCCCCTGGTCCTAGCAATACAGAATCTCAACGGCCCAGAATAAAAATTCTCTATTTTTATTAGAAACACAATGGTGGGGGGAAGGAATCTTGGAAATTGTATCAGGAATTTAGATGGTAGGAGGGAAGAGAATTTGATGTGTTTGCCTAATGTTTCATAAAAGGATGCCAGCTGTGTTGTTTTTAATTTGGGAATTACAGAGCTAAAAAGAGATTTACTCACTAATAAATATCCATTCTCTGAATCTTCATTGCCATGTTATCCTGCAGTAATTCTTTGCTGATTCCAGAATAGTTTAATACTAATCCAGCAGATAGCATGCAGTGCTGTCACAGATACTGAACTCTTTACTGTGTATAAACTGACAATCTCTGAAGAGGGGCAAGGAGGAGAAGGGAGAAATTTTGTAAAGATGCTGTATTCTATTTTGGCTTTAAAACCTTGAAAATTGAGTACAATGAGGCAGTTTTAATTTGTAGCCTTGAATTTGAAACATAAACTAGTTTTCACGGTGGAGCTCCTGATTTGGGGAGCCTTTTTCCCAAAAACTTATCACCAGTGTCATATCTCCAAGTAGGCAGGAATTGTCATTGAATTTCTCCAATGATAACCACCAAGAGTGATTTATTTATGTCTCCTTGACTCCCTAGAAGTTCCCTGAAGTGTCCCAGCCACACTAATCCTCCCTCCACAGCACTGATGATCCCCTGTGCACAGCCTCCCACTCCCACTCCCTATTGGCCCTGTCCTCCCAACCACCCAAACTGTAGGCTGTTTGATGGATTCTAATGGGCTTACCAATGATTCATAACAGATATTATATAGTCCCTCTTATTTGTTCTTTAGATTTTGGCATATAACCAAACCCTTTGCCTAGAGCAGTGGTTCTCGACTGAGGGCAAGTTTGCCTCTCAGGGGGTATTAGACAATGCTGAGATATATTTTTGTTTGTTACAATGGGGAGATGGGAGGTATTACTGGTATCCAGTATATACAGGCTGGGGATGCCACTAAGTATCCTACCATGCACAGGACAATCTAAAATACCAGCAATGCTGACACTGAGAAACCTTGAAGATGGCCTAGAAGATAATGGATAATAACAAGTCCACAGCAAGTAGCAGAAAAGTCTTCAATTAAAATGACTTTGTTAGAAAGGAACAGGAGAAAGAGAAAAAAAGACAGGTCACTGGGAGAAAATTCACAGGACAGATGTCCACCATGTCTACATGGATGGGAAGAAACCCTCCAAGGTGTCCGGCATTGCCATCCCATTCTGGAAATGTCTTCCCTCCTTGGCTGCCGTCTCAGTTTCAGCCTAGTTCCACTCATGACTATCTCTGCGTTCATTTTTTCTCAACATTCACTGCTCCCACCCCTACCAGGAGGATTGGTGATCAACCCTTTTTAAAAAATTATCTGCATGCTCTGCTTAGATGGCTCACTTCCCCAACATGTCGATTTGCATGTATGTGTGGCTAGGACATACAAATCTGTAACTTTAGTCACTTTCTCTCCCATGAGACCCAAATACACATTCATTCTAGCTGTGTCCCTTTCTTTTTTTGTTTTTGTTTTGAGATGGAATTTTGCTCGTTGCCCAGGCTGGAGTGCAATGGCATGATCTTGGCTCACTGCAACCTCTGCCTCCCAGTTTCAAGCGATTCTCCCACCTCAGCCTCCTGAGAAGCTGGGATTACAGGCATGTGCCACCACGCCTGGCTAATTTTGTATTTTTAGTAGAGACGGGGTTTCACCATGTTGGCCAGGCTGGTCTCAAACTCCTGACCTCAGGTGATCCACCCGCCTTGGCCTCCCAAAGTGCTGGGATTACAGGCATGAGCCACCACGCCTGGCCTGTGTCCCTTTCTATATCTCAGAGATATATCAAATGAATCAGTCAAAACCAAATTTATTCTCTCCCTTACAAACAGAACAAATTAATAACTCAATTTGCACAACTAAACTTAAACATTTTATAAAACATTGGTATGTGCTTGCTGCAGTGTAAGCACTGGACACACATAATCCTTTTTCCATTGGAGTGATTTCAAGTGAAGTAAGAGAACATCTATTTAAAGGGCACATAAAGAGCAAGGATAGGAGGAAGTTTGTGGAGAATGGCAGTTCCATGTTTAGTCCAGAGCCTCAACAATATCAGGGCTCAGAATCAGCTTCTATGTTCTAGTCACCTTTGCCTCATTGTGACAATAGGGCAGTCACATATCTAACTGTTACATTTTCACAGAACAGTGTCTTTCTTTTGATGGCTATTATCTTTTTTTTTTTTTTTTAGATTCACGGGGTACATGTGCAGGTTTGTTACATGGGTATATTGTGTAATCCCGGGCTTTGGGCTTCCACTGAACCCATCACCCAAGTAGTGAATATAGTACCCAATAGGTAGTTTTTCAGCCCTTGCCCTCCTCCCTCCCTTCCTCCCTCCTTTTGGAGTCTGCAATGTCTATTGTTTCCATCTTTATGTCCATGTGTACCCATTGTTTAGCTCCCACTTATAAATGAGAACTTGTCGTATTTTTGTTTCTGTGTTAATTCACTTAGGATAATAGCCTCCAGCTGTATCCATGTTGCTGCAAAGAACACGATTTCCCTCTTTTTATGGTTGTATGGTATTCCATGGTGTCTATGTGCCACATTTTCTTTGTCCAGTCCACCATTGATGGGCACCTAGGTTGATTCCATGATTTTCATATTGTGAATAGTGCTGTGATGAACATACAAGCACAGGTGTCTTTTTGATAGAATGATTTATTTTCCCTTGGGTTGATACCCAGTAGTGGAATTGCTGGGTCACATGGAAGTTCTATTTTTAGTTCTCTGATAAATCTCCATATTGTTTTCTATAGGGGTTTAATGAATTTTCATTCCCACCATCAGTGTATAAGTACTCCATTTTTTCTGCATCCTCATCAATATCTGTTATTTTTTGAATTTTTAAGAATAGCCATTCTGACTGATGTGAGATGTTATCTCATTGTGGTTTTAATTTTCATTTCTCTGATGATTAGTGATGCTGAGCATTTTTTCAAATGTTCATTGGCCACTTTTATGTCTTCTTTTGAAAAGTGTCTGTTCATGACTTTGCCTACTTTTTTGCAGAACAGCGTCTTTGAGCAGGAAGAGGTAGGAAGTTTCCCAACTCTCTCCTTCAGTCCTGGAAGAAAATCTTTGTACAGCCCCAGCCTCAGCCCCAGTATTTCCCCAGTTCACATTGGTCAGGATCGAATCATGTGCCCGTGCCTTATGTGTGAGGGAGGCTAGGAACACAGGTATCTGGCATTTTAGTAGGAGGGGAGGGGAGCTCTGCTGACAAGAAAGAGGGTGTGGGAGGGTCCACAAAAAGGCACATGACAGTGCAGACATGGTCTCGTCCCCTCTTCATGGTATAGACACTGCCCAGTCCCCTCCTTATGGAATCACAACCTACCACAGGGAGAACCAGATTAACATAAGGCAGCACTGATGACTGGGGGCCGCTGCCATCTAGAGCTGGAATGTGAGACACAAAGCAAGGCACTGTCAGCATTGTCTGAGGAGGTCTAGGAAGCCTTCATGGGAGGTGAGATACCCAACCCTTCTCCTGAAGTCTCCACCCAAATCTTTGAATCCCCTCTTTCTGCCTCCCCACATGTAATTCATGCTGAACACGTACCAACACTCCTCTCCCTTCCACCTCCACACTCTCTCAGCCTGAGTTCAAGATTTCATTATCCCCCTTTTTCCCTTTCTGATTGACTGCTGGACCCCCACTTAAATCCATCTTCCACAATGTCACCATAGTTATCTTTGATATGGTCATGTCAGAAACCTTCACTGGCTCCTTATTTATAAAATAAAATCTAGCCTCTTCTTCAGCGTGGCATGCAAGGAACAGCACAGTCTTTGTTCACCTGTCCTTCTAGCCTCACTTTCTGCCATCCATTCCTCTTTCCACAGACAAATGGGGTGATTTGCCATTGCCCAAATATACCGTGTAATTTCTTGCCCCCATGCCCTTGCATAAGCTGTTCCACATGCCTGGAATACCCTCCCCCTCCCCATCCACTTCCCTTCTTCATTTTTTAAAATTCATCATTCTAAGTACAATTTAAATATCACCATTCCCACGAAGCTTCCTCAGTCTCTCTGGGTCAGAATTAATTTGCTGCCTCTTTTGGGTGTTCAAAATGTTCTGTGAAATGTCTACTGAGGAGCAACCCCAATATCTACTGTACACTTCCTATGGGTCAGGTACTTTTAAATGTATTTTATATGAATAAATTCATTGAATCCTCATAGCAGCCCTCATGAGTATCATTCCCATTTTGCAGATGGGGGAAACTGAGGCATGGGGCTCCCAAGAAACTCTTCTGAGTTCACACAGCTGGTTAGTGGTACAACTTAGCTTCAAACCCAATCAGTCTGACTCCAGAGGTGAGTTCACTATCTCTACACCAGTGCTGTCCAATGGATTCTGTGATGATGGACATGTTCTATATCTGTGCTGTCCAATATGGTAGTCACTACAACATATGGCTATTGAAAACTTGTCATATGACCAGTAGAACTAAGGAATTGGATTTCTAATTGTAATTAATTTTCATTTAAATAGCCACATGTAGCTAGTTGCTACCATATTGGACAGCACAGCTCTGTACCATATGCTCTCCATATGAGGGCAAGGACTTCTTTATTCATCAGATGTCCCATGACTCAGTTTAGATGTTTGTTAGACTGAAATATTCAAGCATATTTCCTTCTCTAACACAAATGTAGGGCAGCATTTCTACACCTTCAACTGAGGAATAAGACTATTTTGCTGGGTTTCCATTGTGCAGCATGTGCTAAGCAATCTCTATTATTAGAAAACTTGGTTAACCACTTTCATTGAAAATGCTTCCCCCCAAAATTGTTTTATTACCCTTCCATACTAAAAGCTCACAAAGCAATCTTATGCAGCTTAGAGGAGAATCTGACCTCTGTGTTCAGAAATACAATTTCTGTTATTGACAATTCTTATTTATATTTGCAAGGTTAACATCCAATAGTATTTATAAGGTCAGCACAATGTGCCAAGGAATAAGAAATAAAAGTCAACTCCAGTAAAAATAAGCACACCCTGAAAGCTCTTTTTTTTGCATTGCTAGAAAGCTCTTTTTCTCTTTTATCCCTAAAAAATATATATCCTATGGAGATTTATGCTTGCAAACTTTGGCAGATATCTGTATCAAGAAGTTACATTAATTTAAATTTCTGAATACAACTCAAATCTCAACGTGAAAATGTCTAAGTGACAAAGGCAGCATATGTTGTGTCTACACCATGTTATTTAACATATACATGAAAAAAGTTTATTTTTCTCCCCATCCAGAACAGTACACAGAGAATAATAATATCCACAGAAATAATTTTTTCCCATATGTTTAGCCACAGCTGCTACAGTTTAAAGAACACACAGGGTTGTTTGTTTGCTTCAAGTTTTGTTTTCTTTCTCTGGAGGAGAAGAGAGGCTGGCAACAAAATGGCATGTTAAAAGTTATAAAGAAATATCAAATAATTCAAGGGATTATAGCTTTAAAGCTCTACAACACACGCATACAACAGGACACCAGTTGGTTTTGCTTGGTTCAGGAGTTGCAAAGTGGTGGCCCTTGGATGTGTTTCATTCAGCCTCCCCAGTGTTCTTAAAAACGTGTGTTTAAATGCCTTTAGTTAGACTTGCATGCTCAAACTTTCCACAATTGCCATGGTCCCTTCTTGCTGCTCAGTACTCCTTTTTAGTTTACTTGCCTGGCATCCTGTAGGCATTTGAGTTTTCAGCCCCAGATGAGGTGGTATTCTGTTAGAGGAACTCAGAGCACTTAGACGTTTTCAAAAAAAAAAAAAAAAGAAAAAAAAGTCATATTTCTACGTAGTTATTATTCAAAGGACATCATAATTGAAGGACACTGTGCAATGCACTAGTCAGATGCAATATGCCATCAATTTGTCATGCTAGATGTATTAATCATTTTTAAAAAAGACAAATTCACTTTCTGCATCTATGAACCTTCTGTAAATCTGGAATTAATTTATCCAAGAGATATTATGGAATACAGAGGGAGTTTTAGACTATGTTCTTCAAGTCCCGGAATTCTAGATGAATTAAAATTCTAGGATGTATTGGAAACTCTCACTGTCTAACGTGGTTAAAATGACTACAATTACCAAATCTAAAAACATGTCATTCTCTTTCCTTCATATCTGTTTTCTCCAGAGTTTGCTTGGAGTCCTACAGAAACAGGAAACTTGACCAGGCATGGAGCCCCTGCCTCTGCTCGCTCACTCAATTATCTTCACCCCTTGCCATTCTTCCCTAGTTTGATTTCATAGCTACAGGGAAATTCTTGAATTCTTCATCTTTATTCTACAAGAAGTACTGAAACAAAATCAGATTTTATCTGTAAACATTATGTTTTTCCTTATTTACCAAAGGGAAATGATATTTAAAAATTTAATTCTAGAAAGAAAACATATATAATATATTTGGAATTTTTCCTTGAAAACTAAACAGTGCTTCCAATGTCAACTAATTTTCTTCTATGATCCAGGTGTCTAGAAGAGATCTTGAAGTTAGAGTCCAATATCTTAAATTTCCACAGAGGAGCAAAGACTATCAGTGATCATGCATATACTCAGCAATGAAACTGAGACCAGAATCAGCTAGATCAGAGATTCATAATCTTCACTGTCCATCATAATGACCATGGCTCTGAGAGGGTGGGACTTTAGCCTTGACCCCATCCCCAGACAATCTGGGGTGAGGTGTCAAGCACCGGTATTTTGTAAACCTCTGAGATGATTCAATGTGCAGTTAGCATGGAGAACCTTAGGTCCAGACCAGCACTCCTCCAAGTATTGTCCTCAGCCAGTCAGCCTCACAATCATGGGACATGCCGGGAAAATGGAAATTCCTGACTGTACTCACCAAAAAGCAATAGAATTAGGATCCCAAGAGTCAGAGGCCAGGAATGTGCATGTTATCTGGCTCTCCCTGAAATGCATAGGCCCACTAAACATTGTGAATCGCAGGCTAGACAAAGTAGACAGCTTCAAAGACAACTGGCTTTGGAGGCAGATAAGGCTATGAATTTATGAATTTCAACTAGGTCACTTAGAAGCTGCAGGCCCCCTTTAAGAGGCAGTTTCAGGCTCCCTTTAGCCTTGGTTTCTTTATCTCTAAAATGAAGTAATGGTAATGACCTCAGAATTAAGTAAAGTAAAATGAAGTACTAAAACTGCAGTACCCAATCCCATGCATGGGGCAGATTTGGTGACCTATAAATTCCCGGCCCCTTCACCATTTTTCTACTGTCTAGAAGCAGCTTCTTCTTCTTCTTCTTTTTTTCTTTTTTTTTTTGTAATTCCATTTATTCTGCTATAAATATCAGAAAATAATCAATTTGTTCTCATGTCCTACAGTGTAATTGGACAACAGAGTAGGTTCCACATGTTTAAAAAAATACAAGTATTGAAGGGGCTTTTAAAAGTTGTCTCTTTGACCAAATGGAAATCCACAGGCAAAGTTCAAAATCTTGTTTTGTTACCATGTACACACAGGACTTTTTTTCCTTCATAGGTTGAGATAAGTTCACTAGCTTATCAGGCCAGCAGATTCATCTCTCAAGTGATATTTTTGTCCTTGGAGGAATTTGAGCCTTTATATTTCTTTTATGTGTTATTATCCCAACAAGCCATTTGCTCTCTAACTTAAAAAAGCAGTATTAAACTCAAACTGTCGGTTCATTGTGTCAATCACTTAGATTGAAGACAGGGAGGAAAATACCTTTCCAGTAAATGTTCCCCTTTGTGATCTCTGAGAAAATGACAATAAGATTTGTCTTGTGTTAAGCATGAGCTTCCATTTCCAAGGGTAATATTCCAAGCCTGAGCTACATATAACAATGTGAGACCAACCTGGTTACACCAAAACTTTCAAACTGACAGGCAAAGGAAAAGAAAAGAGGCTGGGAGTGGCTTACAGAAGCTTGCTTCCCTTCCAGCTGCCAACTTCAATTGAAAAGACTAAGGGGCATGTTCTTCTTCGGTGGGGCTTCTGGATTGGAGAAGTCAGCACCTGCAGTTGAAGTAGCCTGTGAAAGCCTTCTTCTCTCTATGTACTGCTAATCTCTTCCTGATAACCAGCCAGTCAATTAAACCCACAAACAGAGCCAGGATACCACCTCCTTGCTACCATCAAAGCACCCTGAGGGAAAGTGTATGGATCTTGGCTGCCCATCTTCCATTCTCTGTCCAAATCTGGCTGTGGCACCACTTTGGCTCACCTTGGTTATTTCCTCTGATTGCTGAAATATCTTCTGGCTCAACAGCAATTACTTGCAAAGCAATTGGACTGAAGTCTCCTACTTTCCCACCTATCATTATCATTATAATCTCTCTCAATGTTCCAAAGGATGCCTTTCATGTGTCCACAAAAATGTCTGCCACCAGCAGTCATTCCCAAATGTCTACCTTTGTCTCTTTGCTTGCGTTTGCTAACCTGCTCTCCATCCCCTGCCCACTCAGTCATCAGGAGGAGCCTCCCTGCTGCCAGGACCTATCAAACTCCACCAAAATTATGCCAAAGAAGTTCTCCAAGTTGCCACCATGAAGTTGGAGTCCATTCAGAGGAAGGGAGAAGCCCTTTGCTGCAAAACAGTGTCACATTTTGGCAGCCAGCCCCATAAAGCTTCTTAAATGATTCTGTTAACTTTGTCCACTGTAGGAAGTTTAAAACCAGCTCAAGTGGGTATTCTAACCTCTTTCATCTTTCTTTCCACTGTCACCTTCCCTGAACAGAATGTCCTCTCACCTCTCTCAGTTACCAAACATATGTACAGAGACAAACGAAGTCAGTATTTGAATTGAGACAGGGCAAAACAGGGGTTACTGTCTACACCAGGAGTTGACAAACGACAGCTCAAGGCCAAATCAGATCCACCACCTGTTTTTGTAAATTATGTTTTATTGGAACACAGCCATGCTTATTTGTTCACATATTGTCCATGGTTGCTTTTGCACTATAACAGCAGAGTTGAGTAGCTGAGATCGAGATGGCAAAGCCTAACCATCTATCCCTTTACAGAAAATGTTTGCTGACCTTTTGGCTAGACTAACAATGAGCTCAATATATGGTGTTATGACACTTAAGGAGAATAGACAATCTCTCTAAAGGGATTCTTGGAAGATGTTTTTTTTTTTTTTGTGGGCAGGGGTTACATTTCTTTTTTGTAACAGCAAAATTAAATACATTTCTTGAATAATAAAAATGGTGATTTTTAATGTCTAATATAAATGTTTAATATTAATTTACAAAAGACATATGTATATGTTCTACCAGGTATATCTCTGTGTTTTGACATGTCACATACCTATGAAGAAGGCTTGATATTTTGGTTGGAAAATCATATTAAAAATGCAGTCATTGGCTAGGCACAGTGGCCCGTGCCTGTAATCCTAGCACTTTGGGAGGCCAAGGCAAGCGGATTGCCTGAGCTCAGGAGCTTAAGATCAGCCTGAGCAACATGGTGAAACCCCATCCCTATTAAAAACACAAAAAAATTCGTTGGGTGTGGTGGCACGCGCCTGTAGTTCCAGCTACTTGAGAGGCTGAGGCACAAGAATAGCTTGAACCTGGGAGGTTAGAGTGAGCCGAGATCACACCACTGCACTCCAGCCTGGGCAACAGAGTGAGACTCTGTCTCCAGAAAAAAAAATGCTGTCATAAATTCTAATCTTATATTACTATAAATTATTTTGTTCGTGTTTATATAATGTTTCAATGTGGGCATTAATGAGATCATATATTTACTTAGTGTATATGTTTTATAATGCCTCTTCTTAAATTATTTATTTTGGTAAACACCACAATACTCTGAGGTAGAAAGAGAATCAGCATTTTAACCATAAAAATTTGAATCCTGTGGCCTTAGGGGGATTGTTTACAATCATTTGGCTAGTGAGTGGAGAAGTCTCACATTTTAAATATTAAGATTCTTGAAATGGACAAATCAAAAATTATAGTTGGAGATTTAAAATTCCTCATTCAGAAGTTGATAATAACATGTAAGCAGAAAGTCAGTAGTGATATAAAATACTTGACAAACACTATTAACCAACTTGATATAAATTCCATCCAACAAACAAGAACATACTTTCAAGTATGTATGGTATATATTCATCAATATAGACCATATTTTGAGACATAAAACAAGGCTCAATACATTTCAGATGGTTGATTAAAATGTTTTCTCTGAATTCAACAGAACTAAACTAGAGATCAACAGAAAAAAAAACACTAGGAAAATCTCTCACACATTTGGAATTTAAACAGCACAATGCTAAATAACTCATGGTCTGAAGAAAAAATCACAATGGATATTAGAACACTTTTAATGGAATTTTGAAAATGAAGACACAACTTATCAAAATGTGTGGGATGCAGATAAAGCAGTGATTAGAGGGAGAATTATAACATTAATGAATATACTAAAAAGAAAAAAAGGTCTCAGATCAGTGTTTTAAGCTCCAACTCAAGAAAATCTGTTAAAGAAAAGCAAATGAAACCTAAAGCAAGCAGAAGGAAAAAAAATGAATAAAGAGCAAAAATCAATGAAACAGAAAAACGATGAATAAATTCAATGAAACCATTATTGAGAAGATTAATAAAATTGGAAAAATAATAGCCAGACTAATCAAGAAAAAAAAGAAATATACATATCAACAATGTCAGGAATAAAAAGGAAGCATCACCATACATCCTACAAACATTAAACGATATTAAGGGACTATTATGACCAATGTTACAACAATAAATTTTAAAACTCAGGTAAAATGGACAAATTTCTTGAAAGACACAAACTGCCAAAACTCATTTGAGAAGAAATGGATTACCTGAATAGCCTACATCTATTAAAGAAATTGAATTTTCAGTTAAAAGCCTTTCCCAACAGGAAACTCCAGACCAGGTGGCTTTAATGGTGAGTTCTACCACATATTTAAAGAAGAAAAAATACCAATTATACACAAACTTTTCCAGGAAATAGCATGGGGGGAATATGTTTAGTTCATTTTATGAGGCTAGCACTACCTTGATATAAAAACAAGAAAAAGATATTATAAGAAAAAGACAATAGAAACCAATATCACTTATGAACATGACAAGAAAATCCTTAATAAAATGTTAGCAAATTAAATATAGCAACATATAAAAAGGATATGTCATGACAGAGTAGGGTTTATTCTAGAAATGCAAGATGTAACATATAAAAGAAAAACTTTCGGTAATAGCAGAGTAATATGGTCAGAAAATATCTTCCCAAAACACAATTATAAAACTGGAAAAACTAACAATAATCATTTCAAGGGCCTAAAAATAGATGAAAGGCTGACAACAAATTGAGATGTATTTATTCATGAAAAACTAGTGAACTCTGAGTAAAATGGTCGTGTCTGTGGTATTCTTGCCTGGAAATGATCACATACACCCCCATCCACCCACCCATATTAATCTGCAAAGTACTGCTACTTTGTGGTAGTGTCACATGGGGCTAGCAGTGTAAAATAGAAGATTTGCCACTAGATGGGGCTACCTTGATTTGGAGCAGAGGGTGAAAACCCACAAGTGTCGCCAGTCAAATTAGCAAATTTGGTAGGAAACAAAAGGGATGAAAGTCCATAACTCTGTTAGTTTGAGGTTGTAGCCCCACTGGGAATGAGTAGCAGACTAGCTAGAAATCAGAAATTTAACAGGGATATCCTGGAAATTAGAGATCCATAGAGGGGCTAGAAATGCTCTACATATATCCTTGGCTAATTAGGAGGCTGTGTACAGGCAGAACTGAGTGGATCCAAGCTCTTCACAATCTCTGGATGATTGCAAGTCTCCTTGCACATGCAAGGAAGACCCAAGAGGATCCAGCAAAAAATTAAAGATGATTGAAAACGCCTAAACTTTGAAAGTGACGGACCTACACACGGAGCAGTCAGCAGAAAGTAGAATCTTTACTGGCATAAATTGTTTGAGCACAGTTTCTGTCTAATTATTGGCTGACAACTAAGCTATACAGACAAAAGGGTGACCCACAGGAAGCTGGGAGAAGGAAGAGTAAGAGGAAAAAGAAGAGGAAGGACACAGTAGGAAGAGGAGGAGAAAGAGGAGGAGGACAAAGAAGAGGAGAAGGAAGAAGGAAAAGGGAGGAGGAAGAGGAGGAAAGAAGAGCCACATTACAGCCACAAACTTGGGGAGTAAGGAAGAGGTGGAAAATATTCCACAGATTAAAGCAAAGCAAGTTACGAAACAAAATAAAACCCAGGGGAAAAAAAGGTGCAAAAACAACAGCACTAAGGGGAAAAAATCAAGAACCCACAGTTTCTACAATATGTTATTGCAATGAACTGAATGTTTGTGTCCCCTCAGTATTCATATGTTGTGATCATAATCTCCAATATGATAGTTTTAGAAGGTAGTGCCTTTGTGAGGTAATTAGGTCATAAGGGTGGAGCTCTCATGAATGGGATTGGTGCCCTTATAAAAGGGACTCCTGAGAGCTTTCTCACTTTCTTTCCACTGCATAAGAAAATAAGAAGATGGCAGTCTGCAACTTGGAAGAGGGCTCTCACCAGAACCCAACCATGCTTGCAACCTCACATTGGACTTCCAGACTCCAGAACTATGAGAAATAAATGTATGTTGTTTATATGCCACTCAGTCTATGGTAATTTGTTATAGCAGCCTGAACTAAGACAAATATCTAAAATATCCAGCCTTCTATCCAGGTTTCAATAACACCAACAAAAAATAATGAGAGGAAGAAATAAGAAAGTATAACCCATATTCAGGGAAACAGAAGGAGTTGATTTTTTTAATGGACTCTGAGTGGGTCCAGTTACTGGATTCAGCAGACTTTAAAGCAGTTGTTATAAACAGGTTAAAAGAATTAAGGGAAACCATGTTTAAGAATTAAAAAAAAATACGATCACAATAACTTAAGAAGTTGGAAATATCAATATAACAATATAAACATTAATTATTAGATGCTTAAAATATTAAATATTAATATTAATGTTAGATATTAAATATTAAAAATAACCAAGTGAAAATTCTGGAGTTGGAAAGTACAATAACTAAAATGATAAATTCACTAGACAGACTTGGTAGCAGAACTGAGAAGACAGAAGAATCAGTAAACATGAAATAGATCCATAGAATTATCCAATTTGAACAACAGAGAGGAAAATTTAAGAAAATTTAGCAGAGACTTGAAGACTTATGAAACAATATCAAACATACCAACCTATATGTAATGGGAGTGCTAGAAGAAGAAAGAAGGAGAAAAAAGAATATTTCAAGAAATAATTTTTACAACTTTCTCAAGTTTAAAAATACACATTAACCTATAGACCCAAGAAGCTTAAGAAACCCCAAGTAGGAGACACACAAAGATATCTACACCTAAAAACACCATAGTTGGACTGTTAAAAAGCCATAGAAAAAGAAAAATCTTGAAAGAATCAAGAGAAAAACAACTCATTATATACAGTGAAAAAAATACAATAAAAAACTGACTTGTCAGAAGTAATGGAGGCTAGATGGCAGTGAAACAATATATTCAGAATGAAAAAACCCACAAAAAAACTGTCAGCCAAGAATTCTATATCTTAGCAAAAACTACCTTTGAAAATGGAGGGAAATTGGGCCGGGTGCGGTGGCTCACGCCTGTAATCCTAGCACTTTGGGAGACCAAGGCAGGCAGATCACAAGGTCAGGAGATCGAGACCATCCTGGCTAACACGGTGAATCCCTGTCTCTACTAAAAATACAAAAAATTAGCCAGGCATGGTGGCAGGCGTCTGTAGTCCCAGCTACTCGGGAGGTTGAAGCAGGAGAATGGCATGAACCCAGCAGGTGGAGCTTGCAGTAAGCTGAGACCTCGCCACTGCACTCCAGCCTGGGTGACAGAATGAAACTCCATCTCAAAAGAAAAATAAATAAATAAATAAATAAATAAATAAATAAATAAATAAAATGAAGGGAAACTGAAGCTATTCATTTCACATGCTAGAAAAGGCAAGACTATGTGATAGAATGAAGGTCAATGTTTGTCAAGATCAGGGGATTTGGGGAGAAGACTGGCTCTTTAAAGTGATGTAAATGTTTCATATCTTGATTTTGTGGCTGTAATAGAATTATACTTGAAATTTACATTTCACATTGGTTGATGTTATTGCTTGTAAGTTATACCTCATTAAACTTTTTTAAAAGAGTATTGTCCGTTCAAAAACTTTCTGTGTGCTTCATAAAATGGAGTCCATGACCCCAGTTTTTGCTCCCATAACTTTTTTAGTCTATACCTCCATTATTATACTTGATTCATTGTATCAAAATTATCTATTTAAAGTCAATCTCTCCCACTTGTTTATAAGATCCTTTGGGGTTAGGAGCACACGTTATCAATGTTAATACCCCCAATATATATCACAGTACCTTATGAAAGTAGGCATTCAAATATAAGTGTTCTGAGACTAGAGCCCAAATCTGGGCTAACTGAGGGCTCTTTCTAATAGGCTATGCTTGTTTCTACAAAGTATAGTAAGTAGATGATTTGCCTGAAAAATACAACAGAAGCTGACTCAAATAGGAAGATTTCTTGTTGAGGGATAGAATTATTAACAATGACATGAACAATAAATATATTTTATTATTTCAAAATAAAAGAAGATAGGGAATTCCTGGTTTAATATCTCAGATCAACAATATCACCAAGGTCCCAGGCTCATTTTTTTCTTTCAACTTTGCCATCCTCAGCATTTTGTCTTAGGTTTGTAACTTCATGGTTTCAAAATAGCTACTGCAGATCTGGGAATCACATATAATCACATTCAGGGAAGGAAGAAGAGGGAAAGTTCAGTGCGGAGGAGGTATCCTTCCAAACTTTCTTTTGTCGGGCAATAAAGTATTTCCTGGATGTTCCCCCAGCAGTCTTGCCCATATGTCTCATTGGCTAAAAGTCACATGGCCACCTAATTTGCAAGAGGGGCTGGAAAAAGGAGTATTTGTCCAAGGGACATTTAATTGCCATGCACTGATTTACACCACCAGCTTAGACAACTGATTTAGACTCATCCTCTGGGCTGTGCACATTACCACCTAAACAAAATCAAGTTCCTGGTAGCAAAGAAGAAGGGGAAATGCCCTTGTGGATACAAACAACTGTGTCTGCCACAGAAAGTAATTTTAAAAACCACACTCTTGCTATTTGGAGCTATTTCTATTATCACCAAAATAGATTCCTACATGTCAATAATACTGTTGTATCATTAAAAATAATCATCTCTTAAAAGCTCAAGGGCTATGAGTACAAGGTCAAGGCTTCAGAGTCTTGACATTAAAGTGAGAACAGCAATCAAAGGATCAATAATGATGCTGTCCTAGTATGGTAATTGCTGATATTCTTAAAAGGTGGCTGATGAGTATTAATCTCACATGAGTCTTGGAGGTTAAGGCCAATGCAGAGTCAATTCTGGCTTGCTTCCTGAGAAGGGTGAAAGCAAGGAACAAGACCGGAAACTCAATGTTTGTTTCAGCTAATCATATAGAACCACTTGACTCACTGTTGGTAGAACAAAACAAAATGGTAAATTTAAAACCCAAATCAAGTTCTCACCTTTCTTGCAGCCAACATTTTAACAACGTCCCCTGCCTTTCATCTAAGAGGATCAAGGATAAACAGGACTCGATGAAAGAGACGTATACCCATATCCTTCCTTAGCTTTGAGCCTAGTGGCAAAGTCTCTCCTTGATTTTTTTGAATTCAGTAAAGGCAGCACTTTATGAGGTCTACCTTTCATGATGGAGGGCTCTGCCTGGCTTTTCTTGAAACAGACATCGTAAGAAATAAAAAGAGCAATGCTTTAAACCCGATGATGACCATATGCACCTGTCCATTTGAAAGAGACAGAGGGGATAAATGTGATTATTTCAAAATAAATTGGCAGTGCTTCTACAATATCCTGATTATTTCACTTAACATTTGCAATATTACACTCAAACAAGCAGGTCAGGCCAGGCATGGTGGCTCATGCCTATAATCCCAGCACTTTGCGAGGCTGAGATGAGGGATTGCTTGAGCCCAGGAGTTTGAGGTCACCCTGGGCACATAGTGAGACCCCCATCACTACAAAAAAAATTAAAAAATTAGCCAGGTTTGGCAGCACATGCCTGTAGTCCCAGCTACTCTGGAGGTTGAGCTGAGAGCATTGCCTGAGCCCAGGAGGTCAAGGCTACAGTAAGCCATGATCACGCTACTGCACTCTAGCCAGGCAACACAGCAAGACCCTGTCTTAAAAAATCAAAAACAAAAATCCCAGCAGGACATATTAGAAATCAAACAATAGAGGATTTAAAATAAGTCATTTTTTAAAAAGACAAAAGAAGCCCTTTACTAGCTGAAGGGCTACAATGAGAAATTTCTATGGAATTTTCAATGGAGAACAAATAATCTAAATTTACAACTATGATTCGAATATTGGGTTTCTGACATAATTTGATGACTTTTAAGTTTGTAATTTAAAAATGTCTTGACTTCAAACAAATAAAGCATGGAATTTAAAATATGGAATTTGAGGAAAATGAAATTGGAGAAGAGTAGGGCTATAAAGAATCAAGGATGTGTTTTTATGTAGTTTATTAATCAGCCTCATTATTTGTTATCTACACTGAATATTTTGAGGTTCTGGCTCAAGGAATTAAAACTGTATATAAAAATGAATTGCTTTAATCTGGTCTTCAGCCAAAGTTTGATGCAATTTGTTCTTCAATAAAAGTATTACCTAAGCATAAATATTAAAATAGAAAATATTATAGTTTAGAAAGCCAGGGCAACATATTCCATTTGGGGGTTAAAGCCTATGCTCAATACTGACACAAAAACACATACCATTTCCCTTTCCCAGCATTTTTCATTTACTGGAAAGATTTGGAAAATGTCCAGTGGTAGATTAGACTAGTAATCACACTCAAAGACTGTGAACAAAACGGAGAATGACAGCTGTCTCCTGTTCAATGCCACTTCATTCTGCCAAACTCTGCCTTCCTCAGTTTCCTTCAAAAACCTTGGAGTTATCTGTAAATCATACCATATATTTATCATTCAGCAAATCCTGTTAGTCCTATATTTAAAACATATCCACAATCTACACATCTCTTAAAACCCCACAACCAGCCCAGTGGTCCTAGCCTCCATCATCACTCCCCCAAATTACTGCAATAAGTTCCCAACAAGTCTTCCTGCCCTCACGTTTGCTCTTTATTCTGCCATTCATGTTCCTTTTGAGAATTCTACCTCATATTGGATGAAATGGAGGTAAGAGGCCCCCACCATTTCCATTTCGATTCCATTCTAAGAGATTATTTCCCATGCCAAGTATGAGCAGCCACAGAGAAAATTCCTGAAGTGAGAGTTCTTTGACAAATCTTACTGAAAGGCTATGATTATGGACTGTTTCGCCCCAAAATTCATCTATTAAAGTCCTAACCCCCAATGTGATAGAATTTGGAGGAGGGGAGGTAGGGCCTTTGGGAAGTAATTAGGTTTATTAATAGATAAATTCATAAGGCTGGAGTCCCCACGATGGAATTAGCATCCTTATAAGAAGAAGACGAGGGACCAGAGTGCTCTCTTGGGTTCTCACTCTCTCGTTCTCACTCACTTGCTCTCTAGCTCTCTCTCTGCCATGTAAGGACACAGCACAAAGGTGGCCATGTGCTTCAGGAAGAGAGCCCTCACAAGGAACCAAATCTGCTGGTGCCTTGATCTTGGACTCTCCAGCCTCCAGAACTGTGAGAAAAAAAAATGTCTGCTGTTTAAGCCACCAAGTCTGTGCCATTTTGTTATAGCAGCCAAGCTGACAAAGACAGCAATTTAATAATTTGTCAAATTGCATCTTTCATAGAGAATTGCTTACAATTTGATGAAAAAAGCAAAAAAGAAGCATTAAAGTCAGTTCCTGACAGACCTGAAACTGACCTATAGAAAACTGTTCAGAAGCATGTTCTACGCAGCAAAAGAAATAAGCAGCATAGTAAACAGACAACACACAGAGTGGGAGAAAATCTTCACAAACTATACATTCAACAAAGGACTAATATCCAGAATCTGTAAGGAACTCAAACAAATCCACAAGAAACAAATAATCCCATCACGAAGCAGGCAAAGGACATGAATAGACATTTATTTCTCAAAAGAAGATACAGAAACAGCCAACAAACATATGAAAAAATGTTCACTATCACTAATCATCAGGGAAATGCAAATTAAAACCACAATGAGATACCACTTTACTCTGCAAGAAAGGCCATAATTAAAAAGTAAAAAAGAAAAAAAAAAGATACTGTTGTGAATGTGGTGAAAAGGGGACACTTTTACACTGCTGATGGGAATGTAAATTAGTACAACCACTGTGGAAAACAGTATAGAGATTCCTTAAGGAACTAAAAGTGGATCTACCATTCGATCCAGCAGTCCCACTACTGGGCATTTACTCAGAGGAAAAGAAGTTATATGAAAGACACATGCACACGCATGGTTTATAGCAGCATATTTCACAATTGCAAAGATATGGGAGCAACCTAAGTCTCCTCAACTAATGAGTGGATAAAGAAAACGTGGTATATGTATACCAAAGAATACTACTCAGCCATAAAAAGGAATGAAATAATGTCTTTTGCAGCAACTTGGAAGGAGCTGGAGGCCATTATTCTAAGTGAAGTGACTCAGGAATGGAAAACCAAATATCATATGTTCTCACTTATAAGTGGGAGCTAGGCTATGAGGATGCAAAGGCATAAGAATGATATAATGGACTTTGGTAACTCAGTGAAGGGGAAGGTTGGGAGGGGGTGAAGGATAAAATACTACATATTGGGTACAGTGTACACTGCTCAGGTGATGGGTGCACTAAAATCTCACAAATAACCACTGAACTTACTCATGTAACAAAAAACCACCTGTACCCCCAAAACTATTGAAATAAATCAAAACAAGCACACAAATTAGGGACAAGTAGGATGATTCACATGGCCACAGAGACTTAAATATGGCCACATTACCTTAGAGGGATTTTAGGCAAGACATCCAAAATACTAAATAATGGTGAAGGGTGGGAGAGAAAAGAATGAACCACTGATGTGGTGGCCATGGGGGAACAACTTGAAGGAAGCACCCTCTTTCTGCGATGGGGGTCAACAGAATTGAATATGAGAAGAGGAGGGGGTGGCAAGTCAGTTTGGGAAAGCTCTTTATGTGGTGTTAAAGAAACCCCCTTTCTCCAATCACAGCATCTTAGCCTCTCCAGCATCCCCCCACTACCACCCAACCACCAGTGGAGGTGTCGGGGTTGTGTTTCATGATGTCCAAGACACTCCAGGGCTACCATTGGCTGCAGCAGTGCCTGGATGACCAAGCACAGCTTAAGAGTGTGTCTTTGCCTTGCCTAGGGGAGGGTATATATAGGCAGGGGGAGCTCCCTGGGACAGACCACTAGAAGGCTTCAACATGGCTGAGATTACAGACAAACCACAGACATTCAGCACAGATATGGACCAACCAACCACAAGAGCAGAAGAATCAGCCACAAGTGCTGAAGAAGAAAAGAAAGAGGGGACGACCCCTTGCCAGTGCAAATACAGAAACAGTTGCCAGGTCAGATAACCCTACCCATGCTCCTTCTCTTCTTCCCCATACATTCTCCCAAGAGTCCTATCCTGTCCTGGCCTGGCAAAAACCTTTCCTCAACCTATACCCTTTATGAAGCCCCCGCTTCCCATTTTGTCTCCGTCTTCTTCCCCTAAACCAATGCCCTTCTGTGTTCACTCTCTTGCCCTACCAGGTACACAAGACAACTATGAGGATATAAATTGTTCCTTCCCCCTTCTTCAGACAAAAAAAAAAAATCCTCTGAAACATCTATCACCCAATCAAGAAAGCATAAGAGAGGGGAAAAAGCCAACAATAATTGTCTGTTACCACATGTTAAATAAGAAATGAAATCAAAACCAAAAGACCCCCGGATAACTCCACCAATCCAAGTAAGCCCTGTGCATAGGGAGGCCCAGAGACCTAAAACTATCTGTTACATCTCCAGAAGGGGCTGTGGAAAAAAGGTCAACTGTGTAGAGCGACCAAATCTTATACCTATAGGGTATAGCAATGGTGATAAATAAAAATAAAATCAACAAGTTTTGAAAGAAAAAACATTGTTCAGAAGTATGGACCACTGAATCACAAATTTAGTATTTTTCCAAAGACTGCATTAGGATAATACATTAATACCCAGTATTTTGTATTACATTCAGATTGTAATAGCAGAAAATGATTGAAGAAAGTATGATGCTAGACTGATGGCGAATAACAGAATTGGTGAAAAACAGCAATATTGTTCAGTTGAAATTATGCTCATTATTGTTGGCAGAAACCAACCCATTAGTCAGCCATGAAAATTTTTCACGTAATAGTCCTTTTAAATGAATGTGTCCTTATATTCAAAACTCCTTATAAAAATGAAAATATTATTGGGGACTCAGCGTCTATGGCTAAATAAACATGTTCATATTATATTATCTTTTAAATCTTAATCCTTCTCTCTATGAGAGGAAAGAGAAAGATGTCACTGGGGTAACAATAAAAAGCAAAAACAAACGCAAATAAATGAAAGGGAGGTTGGCAGCACAAAGTGTCAGCTGCAAAAAAAAAAAAAAAAAGTCAACATCACTCGTGAGTCACAGCAAGTAAAAATAAGATTAGGATTGATGTCAGGTTTTAGTCTGCCATAAACTTTTCACCCATTTTCTTCTGTAATAACAAATTATTCTGCAACATTCCTCTTGCTATAGTCACCAGCCACTTCCTGAAAGGAAGCAAATACATTCTCAATCACCCAGGTGCATTTTAGGCATGACAAATTAGGATGCCACAGAGAAGAATATAGAGCATATTGCCATTAGCTACTATCATCATACAAAATGCCCTACAAATTTATAGTTCAGACTTTCTGTATTTCTCAATACTTTTTCAAATTTGCTTTGATGGAAAAGCCATTTCGTAGTTTTTAGGGAGCTATTGCACAAACATAATGTCTGGCTTTAAGGAAGTTGAATGTTATGTTCACTGCAGGGTGGAGAGTTTGTGAAACAACCTTTTAGCCCTTACTCAGACACCCCAAGCTGTCTTCTCATTGCAAAGGCAAGTCCATCTTTCCACTTATTCAGGCCCAAACCTTGGAGACATCCTTTACTCTCTGTGACTCTCATAGCACACAGCCAATCACTTAGGAAATCCTGCTGGATCTACTTTCAAAATAGTTCCAGAATCCTACTTCTCCCTACCTCCAGAGCTTCCACCTAGTCTGACTCCCCCATATTCTCTCATCTGGATAATTACTATTATCTTTTTCTTTTTTAATTAATATTATTTTAAATTAACAAGTCATAATTGTATATATTTATGGAGTACAATGTGATGTTTTGATACATGCATAAAATGTGTAATGAGTAAATCAAACTAATTAACATATTCATCACCTCACTTACCTATATATTTCTATGGTCTCACCTGGATTATTGATGGAGCAGCTCAGAGGCTCCTCCTAGGTGATGCTGCTGCCACTGGTCCAGGGACTGCATCTAGAGTGTGTTTCAAAGTGAAGGATGTTTGAGAGGAGACAGACTGATAAAGAGGAGGGTATGCTCAATTGCAAATAATAGGATACCAAGCCATCTACAAGCAGCACCTGAGAGAAGACACTGGGACAGACCAAGTGAGTGCCTGCTTTCCTCACTTCCACCCCTGTCCATAGAGTCTTCTTAACACAGCAGTCAGGTTGCCCCATGCCAAGCTGCTTAAAACCGCCAGGGCACCTCCATCTCAGAGGAAAAGCCAATGTCAATACAATCACTGATCTAGACCCATCCAGCCCTGACTGCCTCTCTTCCTGCCTGCCCCCCATACCCCCAATACACACACACACCTTTCAGTCATGAGGACCTCTTCCTTGGTGTTGGAACCTTGAACTGCTCCTACATGAGGCCTTCTCACTGGTTGTTCTTTGCCTAGAATACTCTGTCCCCATTTATCTGCATGGGCTAAACCTCTCATTTCCTTCTGGATTTGATGCAAATGTCATCTTTTCAGGGAGCCCTGCCCTGAGCACCCAGCTCCTCAATGAGCCCTTGCCTTTCCTACCCAGCCTTCCTCTCCTTTCAATTCCCTTAGCCAGCCCCGGTTTTACCATGGCACTTATGTCTAACATACTATGCAATGTATTTACTTATTGATTTTGTTCATTAGTTATACCTGTCTTCTGCACTATAATGCAAGCCCCAGGACTGTAGGAGGTTTTTCGACTTTATTCCTTGATTTATCTCCATTATCTAGCACAATCCATGGCACACATGGTACACAATGATTGTATACTGAATGAATGAATAAAAGCAGTCTTTGGTAACAATATTTCCTACATTCATAAAAAGCTTTAATCATCAGAGAAAACATTCCAACTGATAACCACTTTTTAAAATATTTTGTGTTCTGGAAATATTCACATAAATACAGCAGTAGAGAATAATACAATGAGGGCCATGTACTCAACACCCAGCTTCAACAATTACTAACACACAGTCACTTCTGTTTTAGCCATACCCCCACCCTTTTCTCCAGCTAATTATTTTGAAGTTAATCCCAGGAACTGTACCATTTATTCGTAAATATATCAGTATTATGTCTAAGAAATAAGGACCATTATCACCCCTAACAAATTTAGACAACCCCACAACCACCACCAACCCCAGCAGGCAACCACTAATTTGATTTCTGTCATTCTAGATTAGTTTTGCCTGTTCCAGAATTTCATGTAAATGGAATCATATTAAATGTACTCTTTTGTGCCTGGCTTGTTTTGCTCAGCATGCTTTTTTTCTTTCTTTTTTTTTTTTTTTTGTAATTCATCCATGTTCCATACCAGATTTTAAATTAGGAATTTGGAATGGTAATTATCAAGGTTTTTCAGGAAAGCAGAGTGAGGTGAATGTTAAGTAATTTACACTCAGATTAATTCAGATACTGAATTTAGCAGCTTCCAAACCCCCAAACACAAGACCAGTTTAAGTCCTCACTACTCCAAGTGTGGTCTGTTCTGGAGACCAGCAGCATTGGCATCCCCTGGGAGCTTGCTAGAAATGCAGAATCCCAGGCTTTGTACCAGACCTGCTGAATCAACATCTGCATTTTAATCAGATGTCCAGGGGATTCGTGGACACCTTTCTGGTTTGAGAAACACCAGTTTAAACATTCTTTGGGGAATGGCTCATTGGCCCAATCCATGGACCACAGGGCTCAGCCCCAAGCACATTTCACTGCTATGGTCACTTGACATGAACTACGCAAGGACTCCTAATGTTACATTGATGTCTTAGTCCATTCAGGCTTCTATAACAAAGCAACACAAAATGGGTGCCTTATAAGCAACAGAAATTTATTTTTCACAGTTCTAGAGGCTGGGAAGTCCAAGGTCAAGACACCAGCAGATTTGGTGTCTAATGAAGGCCTGCTTTCTGCTTCACAAATGGCACCTTCTTGCTGTGTCCTCACATGATGGTAGAAGGGAAGAGGCAGCTCTCTAGGATCTCTTTGATAAGGGCACGAATCCCATTCACAAAAGCACTACCCTCATGACCCAATCACCTCCTAATGACCCCACCTCGTAACACCATTATATTGGTGATTAGATTTCAACATCTGAATTTTGTGGGGGACATAAACATTCAGATCACAGTAACTTGGCCTCTTTACAAACACCACAGTTGGGCACTGCGGGGGGTGAAAAGATAAGGAAAGAATACTGCAGGTGAAAACGAGTCATGTGGTTGAGTTTGAATTATTTTTTTTTTCTTTAAAATACTTCAATATGCCTCTACGATTTAGGAAAGCTAATTGAATTATCTGAAACTATGATAGCCTAAAGAGCTCAAGAAGGGTGTCTGTGCAATTACACAGGGGAAATCATTCAGAACTCAATGGCTGGAAGCCTGAAATTGAGAAATCACATCGAAGAGTATCACAAGGGACAGCTCCTTTGAAGGAAAGAATCTTTGAGCCCTTATATAGTCATCCAAAGCAGAAAGAGTAGCTTGATGAGAGGGGATAAAAAATACTGGGAAACAGATTCAGGTTCAAATATAAATAGTGACTTTTAAAATAACTATAAAATCTCAGGGTGCTTATACAACTATGTCAGAACCATGAACATTGACCCAGCTACAGGAAGAAAACAACTTATGTGAGGTAGAGCTCTACCTATTACCTGGTTGAGAGGTTTCTAGAACAACTTGGCACACAGGCCCCAGGTAGGCAGCTAATGGAAGACTAAAAGGCAGAAGACATCCCCAGTCTTAACATAATGTAAACGAACCTTCACGTTACAACAGTTTATCTTCTCATCCCCTTGTCTCTGCAATGTTACCAGCAGCAGCAGGGGGAGTCCCATTTCCATCTCATTTAACTGCTGAATTTTGAAGTTCAAAAAAAATTTGCTGAGTTTAATAAGGTAATGCATGTTATATTGGATGAACCTAAGTCTCACTGTCCCCCTCATTTCCTTCTCCCCCTTGATCAAGTGCTCCCTGTTTACCAGAGTAATGATTGGCTCCATCATTCACTCTTCCTAACAGTTTTCATTAATGTTCTGAAGCCCTGATCTTGGACTTCAGTGCAACAGCCCTGTGTTAACGTTGTCTATTCCAGTGGTTCTTAACTGCAGGTGATTTTTGTCCCTCAGGGCATATTTTGCCATGCCTGGAAACATCTTTGTTGTTACAACTTGATGGCGTTGTAACTTGCTACTGGCATCTAGTGCGTAGAAGCCAGGGATGCTGCTAAAGATCCTGCAATGCACACAACAGCCCCACACAAAAAAATCACTTGGTCCCAAAGTCAATAAGTGCTCCTATTAAGAAACTGCTCTGCTGTAATCTGTTGTACAAGCAAGAGCAAGAATCATGTTGTTGAAAACAACCATTCTGGGATATTTTCTGGTCCTTGGAGCACATATTTCTGGGAAGAGGCTCTAAGACCTTTTACTGATAACCCTCATTAGACAGGTGATTCCACTTGCTTGGTCTGTCTCCAATGCCTTCCCCTATCTGCCGCATGTAGATCACTCCATATCGTATTATTTGCAACCAAGGATACACTCTTCTTTTTCAGTCTGTCCCCTCTTCTAAATTATCTTTCACTTTGAAACACACTCCAGAGCTTTGCTAGCCACGTGTGGTTCCTAGACCATCAGCATCAACATTACCTGGAAAGAGCCTCTTACAGATGCAGAATCTCTGCCCCAACCCAGACCTATGGAGTTAAAACCTACGGGATTTCTAGGTGAGTCTTACACACATTGAAATTTGAGACATGCTGCTCTAGTCTAAAGCGCTGATTCCTGAATTTTTTTTATGCATTGGAATCTGATGGAGGCTTTAAAAACATGCCTGGATCCCAGCCCCAGAGAAACCGATGTAACTGGGATTCACCCTGGGCACTGGGTTTCTATAGTTCCCCAAGACATTCCAATGTGCAGCCAAGGATAAAAATCACTGCTCTGGATTAATCATTTTTAAAATGGTTGTTACTGGCTTCTTTCATTTGTACATTCCAATGCCTATGCAAGAGCCAGTATAATATAACAATCAAGAGCCCTATTTGGAGACTAAACACCATGACTTTGAATTTAAACTGTCACTGATCATGTGATCTTGGGAAAGTTATTTAATTTCTCTGTGCTTCAGTTTCTCTAGATGTAAATGGGAATAAGGAATAACTCTCATATGATGAGAGTTTCCCTCAGTCAAGGTTCAACCAGAGCAGCGGAACCAGACAATATGTATACTAAATAGATTTATTACAAGGAATTGGCTTATGTCATTGTGAAGGCTCCTTATCAAGTCCAATGTTCAGAGTGCAGGTGGTCAGGAAGGGAAGATCACAAGCAGGCTGCAGGCTCAGGGGTACAAGTTTTAGCTTGTCCACAGGCATTTCTTAACTCAGGGAAGCCTAAACCCTCATTTAAAGGTCTTTAAGCTGATTAGGTCATGTCCACCCAGTATAATCTCCTTTTTGATGAATTTAAAGTCAACTCATTATGGATCTTAATTGCACCTGCAGAATCCCTTCACAACAACATATAGATTAGTATTTGATTGAATAATTGGGGCAAGATGTGTGTGCTACAAAATGGTCACTGCCTCTTTTTCCTTCTCTAACTCTCTAGGGACTGCCCCTTTTAGCCTGCCCTAACTGGAAAAAGAATTCCCTAGAAGGGAATCCTTGGATGGTAGTTGCACCTAGGCAAATTGATACATCCAAGGCCATCACAGAGTTAAGTACCTTACCACATTTAACTCACCAAAGACAGTACCTCACTCATAGTTAGCATTCAGTAATTGTGATTATTGCCCTTATTAAAGCCATAAAAGTTTAGTTAGCCAAAGATTCTTATATAAAGTGCTCGTTCATATAATGTATTTTGATATGCTCAAATCTCAATTTCAAATTTATATTGGCTTATATTATAGCCAAGATACATTTTCATTCCTAACTAAAAAAGGTTATTAGTCACCAAAATGTCAGAGATACTTGATAGGCAGTAAGAAATCTTAACTTAAAACCTTTAAGAATTCAGGCAAAACTTATATTCAAAGCCAAAATTCAGGTCCAAGTGTCTCTACAGGAAGGAGTTCTTAACAGCAGTGCTATTCTGAATCAAAATCTACTTGAAATTTTTATAAAGTAAATGTAATCTTGGCTAGTATTCCTTAAGACTGTCAAGGTCATGGAAAACAAGGAAAGACAGAAAAACTGACAGACCAGGGAAGACTGAGGAGACATGACAACTAAATGCAAACTGGCATCCTGGATGAGATCCTGAAACAGAAGATAAAGTAGTAGAAAAACTGGTGAAATCCAAATAAAGACTGCAGTTTAGTGAACACTAATGTACCGAAGTACCATCAAAATCAAAGGTGTTAACAATGGGGGAAACAGAATGAGGGATACGTAGGAGCTATCTGTGCTATCTTTGCAACTTCTGTGTAAATCCAAAATTATTATAAAATAATCAAGGTTACTTAATAATAAAAAAACCTAGGATGTAACCCCCAAGAATTTTTTTCTTTTAATTTTGACGTCCGGGTATACGTATATCGAGAAAGCTCTCACTGATTGTGAAGCAAATCTCAGGACTGAGACCCATCCCAAGCTTCACTTCTGAGAGAATAGATTATGTTCCCAATTCTTGTTATAAAATCATTCCTTCAGGAAACACAGGATACAATAGGGACAAGAGAGCAATCTATTCCTTGCTGGCCTCTCTCAGACTCTGACCAAAAGCAGCAGACCCCTAGGAAATGGGAGATTAGACTTCTTTCATTCTTTGCCCTTTCTTGAACTGTGAACGATTCCCCTCAGTTTCATGATCTCAGAACCTAATTATTGAGCAGGGTAACTCCATTTCCTGTCCGGCAGATTTTGATGTACTGATTCTATGGCTTTCTGCTCATCTTGTCTTCCTTCCAGATGTGCGGGAGTGAAGGAGCTGGTGGCTATCAGACCTCAAGGTCTCCAACAGGACAAGATCAAGAGGGATTCCACTCCCACAGACCACTCACTCACCCTAGGAAGACTGTGAAATGCCTGTCCTGGTGCTTAGTTTGAATTGTTGAAAGACCATCTTTACGGCAGAAATGCTTTGTCATTTCACTTGATAAGGGCCTTGGGTTTCAAGCCAGTTTACTCTTTTCTGTGAGCATGAAAGCCGCCTATAGATATGCTCCGAGGCAGGATTTTGACATCAAAGCCAAAATAAGAATTTAGGAAGAAAAGAAAGGGAGGGAGGAAAAAGGGAAGTTTGGTCCAGGAAAATAAAAATGCAGCGTCATTTCTGACCAACTAAACAGCACTTGAAAAATCTGTCTATCCCCACCTATATACATATACTATATACCTCCTAAACATATGTACACACATATACACAATCACATGTACACACATGGAAGTTTTCATTTCTCTACACATAAGCTACTGAGTCCTCTGATAAAGCACAAAATGACTGTTAGGATATTTGAGAATTTGTTCACTTATTCATTCATCAAATCATTCATTCATTCATCAAATAATACTGAGTACTACTAGGTGCCAGGAACTGTTCTTGGAGCTGGGGATATAATAGTAAACTAGACAGTTTCTACTCTCACAATAATTTTGATACTACTAAATGACATTTATCAAATATGTATTAAATGCCAGTTACTGGACTATGTAATCACTTTACAAGTATTATCCCATTTATTACTCACAGCAACCCTATGAGGAGATAAAATTATTACTCCCATTTTTCCAGATGAGAACTCTGGGGCTTAGTAAGCTCAAGTAACTTACCCAAGGAACATGATAACACAGAGATTTTAATCCAGAGAGGGTAATTACCTGAGCTAGCACAATACTGCATACCCAGTGTTAGATGTCAACTGTTAACCTATCCTGTGGTGGCATGAAGTGCTGACTGGAACAAAGCAAACATAAATATTGCTCTCTTTACTCCAATGTGGAATGATTCTCCAGCTTGCTTTCTTGGCCCCCTCTCCCCTCGGCTTCTGGGTCTAGGAAGAGGAGTGTCCTTGCCTTGCACTTGTCCCTCATTCTTCATTTCTTCCTCTCTCATTCCTGGAAAGGGAACAGCAAGGAGGAAATTGCCTTTCCATCCCACGCACAGCTGTTGCAAGAAAGCTCTGGCAGGCGCCAAGCTCTCCCAGGAGAGGGAGTCCAGGAGGAGCCATTCCCTGCTCCTTCCCATGGCTCCCCCATTTTTGGATGAGCTTTATCCATAAGCCACCTGTTATGTGCAGCTCAAGGTCTGGCACTGGCTCCCAGTCAGAACCCAAACAGTGCTCTCTGTCCCAGGTAGAGATCCGAGGAGCTGAGGGAAGGCAGGAAGACGTGTCTAAAAGAGGAAGTAGAGAAAATGCTGGACTGCACTCTCTGAGCAACAGCCCTTGGAGACACCCCAAGAGGCAGCTGCCCAGCTGGCAAGGCTTGTCTCAGGCAGCTGTGTGCCCAGGAACAGGGAGCAGCACACATACGGCAGAGCAGGCCTGCACCATCTGTCACATGCCTGTGCCAGCATCTTCACTTCAGGCTAACTGGGAGTGGGAAGGCTTCAGGAGAGAAGTGACAGCTCACCAAGCCAGCCACATGCCATGGCTCCCCTCTAACACTCTCTTCCTTTAAACATTTAGACTCCTTCACCGCTGCCATATGGCAGTTGCCAGTGGATACTCTACCATAATTAAGAGCATGCAATTTGGAGTCAAAAAGCCCTGGGTTTGAATTCAGCTTCTCCATGTACAAGTGTGGGTGACATGGGTAAATTATTTAACCACCTGTCTTTGAACATCAGTTTCCTCTTTTGTAAAATGAAGAGTTATGATAATTATCCCTCAAGGTAGTTGTGATGATTATATTTGATAATATCTGTGAAGAGCTAAGGGTAAGGCTTTGAAAAACAAACCACATAATAGGCAATAAGTAAAACAAAGCCTTTTCCATGCTGAATCAAGTCCCTGACTACAAAACAATCTTCTTTTGTAGGTGGTAGGTCTTCTGTCTCAGTTGCAGAAGTAAAAAGAGCAGGAGAGTCTCGGCACACTTTAATGTGCATTCAGAGCTCCTGGGAACCTTGGGAAAGGCAGATTCTGATTTAGTATGTCCTGAGTGGGGTCCGAGATTCTGCATTTCAAATAAGTTCTCAAAGGTGCTGATGGTGCTGGTCTAAGGACAGCACTTTGCACAGCAAGAGTCTGGAAAACCAGCTGTGGTACCTTAAACAAACTATTTCACTTCTCTAAACTTTGATTTTCTCAAATGCAAAAATTTAAAAGTTTACCTAGATAATTTCACAATCCTTCCTTGCTACCATGTTGTAATAGATTACTGCAAAAATGGCTGCCAACAGTTCCCCCAACCCTTCTGCTACATGACTTTGTCCCTCCTTCCAACAAGAGAAAGAGCCCTTCCCCTTGAATCTGGCTTGTCCTGTTACTTGTTTGGATCAGGAGAGTGTGACAGAAGTAAAACTTTGTGATTTCCAGGCCTAAGCCTTAGAAAGCTTGGCAGCTTCTGTTTTCTATTTTTTATTTTTTGCCTTCTTGGCATTCAGCTTCCATGTAAAGAAGCTCAGGCTAGAGTGCTGAAAAGGAAAAGAAAATGGTCCAGCCAGCACTCAGCTCTATTAGGCACTGCAGCTGAGATGCCAGACACATGAGCATAGTCCTCTCGGACATTCCAGCCCCAGTTGACTTCCCAGCTTTACGTAGCTACACAAGAAACCCCTGCTATGATTTCATGCAGCAAATGAACCACACTGCTGAACTCATCCACAAAATTCTGAGAAATAATAAATTTTTGTTGTTTTAAGCCATTGTGTCTTAGGATGGTTTGTTATATGGCAATTAATAGCTGTACACATGTTCTGCTCACATAGGAGATAATAGAAATTTTTAAAGCCACAACACTTGGAATAATTATAAAGAAATATGCCTATTAACTGGAGGGCTGAATATATGCTGAGAAGTGACTTTTACATTTATATAGTTCTTAATGAAGACCTCTCTTCTGTATTAAATTCAATTCATTCAGACTTACAATGGTTCAACTTACAACATTCAGTATGCTCCTGGACTTACAATGGGGTTATGTCCAAATAAGCCCATTTTAAGTCAAAAATGCACATTTAACTTAACAGCATTTTCAATTTATGATGGGCTTATTGGGATGTAGCCCAGTCTAAGTTGAGGAGCACCTATTTGTTCAGGGCTAGTGGGGAATGTGAGAAGTTGGGGACGTAATTCCAAGAAACTTGCATTATATTTGGGAATGCTATAGCATATATTACAAAAAAGTTAGAGAACACATATCAATTAATAATAGTGCACTAAACATATATTTGAGACTCAAATTATTTTAGCATCAATAATAAAATTCTACAGATGCCTAGAAGGTACTCAGTAAGTATATTCCAGAATTAGATAACAGTTCTATGAAGAAGTACAGGCATATCTCATTTTATTGCTCTTCACTTTATTGTGCTTTGCAGATAGTTTTTGCTTTGTTGTGTTTTGTTTACAAATAATGGCTTGTGGCAACCCTGCGTTGAGCAACTTTATCAGCACCATTTTTCCTACAGCATGTGCTCACTTCTTATCTCTGTGTCAGATAATGTTAGCATTTGTTTTTAGCAATGAAGTATTTTTAAACTAAGGTATGCATTTTTTTTAGAAATAATGCTACTGTACACTTAATAGACTATAGTATAAACATAACTTTTGTATATACTGGGCAACCAAAAAACTTGTGTGACTCACTTTATTGCAATATTTGTGTTCTTGTAGTGGTCTGGAACCAACCTGCAATATCTCCAAGGTATGCCTGTATAACTTAAACTTGGATAAATGAGGGGGTAAAAAGAACTATGTAATGGTTGAGTCATGGTGTTCAAATTTTCTATATAAAAATGAAACAGCCCTATTGACAAATACATTCTAGAAAGTATCAGATGTCCTTTACACAGAGGATGATAATTTTAAATAGACCTTTAAAATTATTTTTGCTATGGCACACATAATTTCACTAAATTAGTAAATTGTGAAGACACAAGGTTATTGTAAAATATATGCTATAGAAATATGAATAGAATTTCAGAGTTGTAATACAGGTAAAAAATGTGAAGGTGTAGTGTTAAAACCAAAAAAATGACAACATAGGACTCTTGAAAAGTGTACACAAAGTAGAATTTCGGAAATAAACATAAAGGATTTGATGTACATAGTGATCATCTTTAGCCCTCTCATCCACATCCTAGTTATAATATGTTTTATTTGGAAAATATTTTCTAAGTAATTGCTATTGATAATGTGAAACCTCAGAATTAAAATTTTCCAATGATAGTCCAATAAAATGAGTTCAATGGTTAAGAATAAGATGTAAGAAAAAACAAAATTAACACTTGTTTTATAATATTCTTTATACACATTTCTGTAAGAAAATTCTGCACTTACAAATAATGTTTTAACTGTACTGGAAAATAAACCCATTTTTTAAAAAAGGAAATTAATCTTGTAGGCAACTTCTCAAAACTCCATTTATCTATGTTATCATTTTGCTACCTGTTTTTATGAAAACCCGAGGGAAGAACACAATTCTGATATACTGGTAATGTGAGCCCTCAGAATAACACCCATTTTAAATGAAAGTTCCAACCAAAAATCATGATTGAGTGTTCAAATATTCTCGGAGAGACAAAGGACTAGTTTAATAATGGTATAATACTACCTTCCTACCAGCACATAGATCGGCTGGGTACACAGTTAGCATTCAATGAAGTAATTAAATAAATCTGTCCCGGGTGTGACTGGTTGGAGCCAGTGTCACAGATGAAAAAAGAATTTACCAAGACAGTTGTAGGTAAAGAAAGGCAAATTTATTAAAGAAAGTACAAACATATGTTGCAAGGGTGCAATAGGCAGCACAGCAAAGAAGGTGCTGTCTGCCAAGAGGCAGAGGATGGAGGGAAGTTTTATAGGTTCATACTGGAGGGGCTATGTGCAGATAAGGTGTGCAGATAAGGTCCTGCTGCTGGGGCTACATGTGGAGCGAGGTATGTGGGAACAGGGTGTGGTGCCTGCAGGTTGTCTGTGATTAGCCGTGTCTCAGAACAATTGTTCTCCCTGACCTGGGGCTCCTTCTTTGTTGTTGCTTACCTATCTTATTAGAACTCCACAGGATGAATGTCAATGCATACAAGCTTTCTCAAGGATGGCCTTGGATAGAGGAAACAAGAAGAAACAAGAAGGGTTAACTCAACCCACTGCAGTTAAATCTTCCTTGAATATTCTTTCATCTATTCATTTAACACTGAAGTTAAAAGGCCAAGATTGAAGAAGTTACAGTAATCTAAAATTGGAGTAAAAGGATATTCTTTGAGTACCTATATCTTGGTGGAGAAAAACAGACAATAGACACATGAATAAATGCATAAGAATGCTAGATGATTGTGAGAATGCTGTAGAAAACTAAAGCTGAGTCAGAAGAGTGGTGGGGAGGAACAATATTTAGGTGAGGTCATCAGGAAAGGTCCCCCCGAGGAGACATGTAAGCAGAGACATGTGGGAGAGAGCATTCCAGAGAAAGGGAACAATTAGTACAAAAGTTCTGAGTCAGAAAGGAGGGTTGGTATTAAGATATAATTATCAGATTTTTAAAATAATAAAATTAAATGGAGAAATAGAATAAGCAAAAAAGTTAAAAAAAAAAGTCACGATTACTGGAGCTGACTTTATGTGTATAGAATATGTGAGCACCTTCTTCACTTTAGGGGTTTGAGTTCTGTTTTAGGAAGGGGAGATGGTCTTCCTGGGCAAACACATTAAATACACAGAATTTCTAACCCATTAGCTTCAGTCCCCTGGGAGAATTGTGTTAAATCCAGTCAGCAATTATCTGTAATACTGGATAACAATCTGTACCTGAGAGTGAGCTTTGAAAGGGCAAAGCACAGTCACTGTCAGAGAAGGGTCCTTCAGGTACATATTGAATTGCCTGGGGAAAGACCTTCTGACATCTCTGTTTGCTTTTCAAAGCACTGGCTTTGTGCTTTGTAATCAGGAAAAAAAAAATGGTTTGTCTAAATCGATCTCCTCTCTGTAATTTCAACGTATTTCCCCACTGTTTCCTTCTAGAAATCCACTTTATTGAGACAGAAGACTCCTTAGTTGTCACCTTAAAAATCTTCAAAAACTTGGGGTGCATATTCGGGAAAATTATGAATAGGTAGTACAGATTAATGGAGTTTGAATCATCAATTACCATTTGTTACACCTTCCTGATTTGTGTGGGAAAAGTAGAGAAACTAACAAATATGATTCCTTGGGGGCATGTGCAGCCCTGCAGAATAAAGCATGCTCTACTCTGGGCATCTCCCAGGGGCACCTTGGTTTTATAAGTATTTGGCCATAAAATCATCTCAGCCACTAAAAGTATAGATGGATAATCAATAGCATAAATGAACCTTAATAAGATTTTGCTTTATTTGGGTATACATTCAACTCAAAGCTTCGAAATAATAGCTTTCATGCACAATTTAATAAGGTCAGTGGAATAGAAACCACCTATGGGGTTATGCTGCTAAGATTCCCTTTTTGGGCAAGGGGATAACATGCCTCTTTGAAAAACTGAAAAAAGCGATGGGCCCTTTCTCCCAGGAAAATGCTTAAACAGATATAAAATTGCATTAAGTATAGAGGAGTTCATGGATCTCCTGGATTATTGAAGCCCCGTGCCCTAAAGACAATGGAAGACAAAAAGTGTAACAACAGTAACACCTCAGGTCTATACGGCACTAGGAAAAGAGTCCTAATTTTATTGGTGGTAGGTACACCAAAGCAGGGCATGTTAACACAATGGCTATTTTTTTAACATTTAAAAAATGTTTAATTGTGGTAAGATACACATAAAATGTGCTATCTTAACCATTTTTTAGTGTACAGCTTAGTAGTCTTAAATATATTCACATTATTATGCAACCAATCTCCAGAATGCTTTTCATCTTGCAAAACTGAAAGGCTATACTCACTAAACAACTCCCCATTCTTCCACCCCCCAGCCCCTGTCAATCACCAGTCTACTCTCTGTCTCTATGCAACAGATTACTCTAGATACCTCATATAAGTAGAATAAGTGCTATAAGTAGAATCATATAGCACTTTGTCTTTTTGTGACTGGCTTATTTCACTTAGCATAATATCCTGAAGGTTCATCCATGTTGTAGCCTGTGTCCATTTCCTTCCTTTTAATGGCTGAATAATATTCCATTGTATGAATATATCATATTTTGCTTATCTATTTATCCACTGATGGACACTGGGCTTCTTCTACCTCTTGGCTATTATAAATGATGTTGCTGTAAATATGGCTGTACAGATATCTCTTTGATATCCTGCTTTCAATTCTTTTGGATAATATACCTAGAAGTGGGATGACACAACAGTTTCGGTGCATCCATTTCGATGGGCCTGTTACATGCCAAGGAACATTATGATTCAGCAATGGTGAGTCGGGATCCTTGTCAAAAGGGCCCACCAAAATGTGAAATCTGTGTTTTGTTACAAAGTCATGCACATGATAGACATCCCTGATCCTTATTCTATATTTAATCTCTCCTCTATTATGCAGATTTCACATTTTACTTTATTCACGCCAGTATTTTAAAAATTTTTATAAGAATGAATTAATTTTATAATAAAAAGGTAATAAAGCTCTTTTTAAGTCTGTTAGAACTAAGTCTCAAAGGGTAACTCAATTATCTCTTAAAACCATAAATTCAAAGGAAATTTATAATATGAATATTGGTGGATATATATATATTCATATTATGTGTATGTGTGTTTGTGTGTATATGTATATGTGTGTATATATAAATACCTAACTGTTCTTCTAATGTGTGTTTGCATATACGTATATATACACACATACACATATATACACACACATTAGAAAAACACTTAAGAATTTATTTGAAGACTTTCTGCGCAGTATGGCACTGAGAATAAGGACATGTAAATTCCTCCTCCTTCTTCCCTTGAACAAGCAACATAACACTGATCAATAAAACTGAGTGTAACCAAAAAGCCTTCAAAATAGCAGAGACGTCTATCCCCTCAATTATCAAATGGAAAAGGAAATATTTTTAAGTGTAATTCTTTATTGAATATAAACAAGTAGAGCCATCATGATTTTAAAGGTGAAATTAACATGAGATGTAGACCATTTATTCAAGGTGTCCATGACATCTCTAAGAATGAGCAATCACTCAGCTTAGAATGACAAAAGGTCCTTTATGAGCAGAGGACAAGGTTAGCACATGAATCCCTGTCATGGGTTCTTTGCCTGCCAGATGGAGCCTGTACCCTACCTCATCCCACCTCTGAATCCCACCTTGTCCCAACTCCACCACAGGGGAGATGAGGCCCTAAGATGAAGAAAGGACATCCATTTGTTTATTTCCTGGTTATCAGAACAGCTGGAATTTCAATGATTTGTTCTGGGACCACATCAACATAGTGGCATCAATAGGTACCTAAGTCACAAGAGCTCCAACACAGCTGGGTCAAAATTGTTTCAAAACGCATGTGCCCATCTGAATTATCTCAAGTCAGACCCAATAACTTGGCCTATGTCATTCCAACCCAGTGTGGATTCAGGGCATCAGAAACCAGTTTCAAACCATATGCCCTTTGGAAGTGTCCTTGACAATTACTTTACAGCTCTGCCTGTGCATACGTACTGGAAGATTCAATCTCCTTAGCAGCCTAGAATTTCAGCTAGAATTTCAATCTCCTTAGCAGCCTAGAATTTGCTTATGGCTGTCCTCAAGCACCATGGACCATTTACAAAGTGTATAGGGGTGATCTCTCCTTGTAGATTTGAAGTGTTTTCAGAACAGGGACTAGATCTACTATTTATTTTCCATCCCCCCTAGAGCTTAGTATAATGCTTTGCATATCAGAGATATTTGTTAATCTTCAGACAATCTCCTCAAGAAAGATTAGAGAGCCTTTTACCAAAATGCCATAAAAAAAGAAGTATGGGTAAATGAGCACCCTGAGATTATGGCATAAGCTAGATACATCCCTCCTCACACATAAGGACCAGATCCAATGGCAAATCATTGAGAACTGAGGTGAAAGAAATAGATTATTCAACCAATGCCTAAGTTTCCAATTTCTGTCTTTGTGCCAATGATCCCCAATTTATATTTGTAGCCCAGACTGCTCTTCACCGCTAACATCTACTTACTAGGTGTTGCCAACCTGGATGTCTCAGAGGCCCCTTACACTCCAAAAATTTGCCAAAGCTCAGCTCATTTGGCCCCTAAAATATCAGCTCTGTAAAGGCTGGGCTTTGGTTTCATTCACTGTTGGATCCCGAAGGCCTAGAGTAGCGCCTGGCAGAGAGCAGGCGCTCAATAAAGAGTGTTTGAATGAATTTAATAATGGATGAATGAATGCAGGGACCTCCCCAGGAGACACAGTCTTCCATTAAAGCCATATGTGTTGCCAAAGAGTTCTCTAGGACTTGACAGTTAAGACCAAACCCTATACCTCTTCCCATTACCTCATCCCTCCAGTCTCCTCTCTCTTTTATCAAATCACCCTCTCTGCTGCCTCATCCCTGGGAGCCCCTAAATATGCTCCAAATCTACTACAGGTTGAATATTTCTTATCCAAAATGCTTGGGACAAGAAGTGTTTCGGATTTCAGATTTTTTCAGATTTTGGAATATTTACATATACATAATATCTCAAGGATGGGACTCAAGTCTAAACATGAAATTCATTTATGTTTCATATATACATTATACACATAGTCTGAAGGTAATTTTACACAATATTTTTAATAATTTTGTGCATGAAACAAAGTTTTAACCATGTTTTTACTGCGACCTGTCACATGGGGTCAGGTATGGAATTTTCCACTTGTAGCGTCATGTTGGTGCTCAAAAAGTTTCAAATTTTGGATTTTCGAATTAGGGATGCTCAAACTATGTCATAAAACAAAATGCTCCTTTATTATACAAGGTCCTCTATAAATCTGTTCACAGTCTCTCTTTGCCAGCCCCACTCACACTATTATAATCTTGAACGCCCTAGAGTTCCCAACTCACACCTCACTCTTCGACCCCTTTGTACCTTTCTCAGGCAAGGAATGACTTGCTGAAATGTCCTCCTCCTCCCCTGAAGAAGCCCTCTCTTGGCTATCTCCTCTTTACCCTTTAATTCCCAGGGCAGGTGTTGTCTCCTCTATGAAGTCTTTCCCTGGGAATTCCCCCTCCCAGTCCGCCAGGCAATGTGTTCCTCTTCTATGCTCTCACAATACACTATGCCAAGACTCTTTTCAAACTTTTTTTTATATCTTGGCACACATAGAAAATGGTTGAGGGTAGACAAGACTGTGCTTGGCCAAAAGCAACTGGCCTGGGTCTCTGGCTTTCATAAACCTTGTGCAGCAACACCCGGATACTTTTGTAACTCATTCATTGCATACCAGCCTGGCATGTCAAGCTGGTTGGTAACTCTGTTCTTGGTATGTCTTAGTCTTAATCGCTGCATTCACTGCACTGTATTATACTTATTCGTGTTTGTGTTTTTCCCTCACTGAACCTATGAACTCCTTAAGGGCAAGAAACTAATATTCTTATTTTTCATGTTTTAAATGACTGTACAATAAAATGGACTTTGGAGGATGTACAGTCCCATAAACTTTATCACATGTATATGTTTGTGTAACCATGACTACAATCAAGATACAGAATATTTCCACCACCCAGGGTGCTGACACACCCTCCTCCAACCCCTAATCCTTGGCACCCACTGATCTGTTCTCTGTCACTGTAGTTTTGTCTCTCTGAAAATGTCTTATAAATGGAATTGTACAGTAAATAACCTTTTGAAACTGGCTTCACTCAGCCAATGCCTTTGACATTCATCCAATTTGTTGTATGTATCAATAATTTGCTTCTTTGTATCACTGAGTAGTATTCCATTGTGAGGATTTAACATAGTTTGTTTATTCATTCATCCATTAAAGGGTATTTGGGTTGTTTCCAGTCTGGGGCAATTTTGATAGACTTGCTGTAAACATTCATGAGAAGGTTTTGTGGGAATGTAAGTTTTTATTCTTCTAGGGTAAATACCCGGGGTGGGATTATATGAGCATTATGGCAGATGTATTTTTAGCTTTATGAGAAACTGCCAAACTGTCTCCAAAGTGACTGTACTATTTTGCCAATAGATTATACTGGCAATGTATGAGAGTTCCAGTTGTTCCACATCCTTGCCAGCATTTGGAATTGTCAGCATTTGGCATTGCCAGCATTTTTATTTTAGCCATTTTCATAGGTGTGGCACGGCATCTCATTGTAACTTTGTCTTCATCTTTGAACTCCAGCATTTTGCAATGTGGTAGGTTCTCAGTAAATATTTGTTGAACTGAAATACACTCATCTTGTTGTTTTGCCTCATTTAATAAACCCACTAATAATAAATTCAAGGCCAGGCACAGTGGCTCACGCCTGTAATCCCAACACTTTGGGAGGTCAAGGTGGGTGGATCACTTGAAGTCAGGAGTTCAAGACCAGCCTGGCCAACATGGTGAAACCCCATCTCTACTAAAAGTACAAAGATTAGCCAGGTGTGGTGGTGCGTGCCTGTAATTCCAGCTACTTGGGAGGCTGAAGCACGAGAATCACTTGAAAATGGGAGGCAGAGGTTGCAGTGAACTGAGATTGTGCCACTGTATTCCAGCCTGGGTGACAGAGTGAGACTCTGTCTCAAAAAATAAATAAATAAAAATAAGTGAATTCAATTTTCACTATACTTTATACTAAGCTTTGTGTTAGGAAAACAAAAAAAATTGCACAGGACAGAAGTATTAAACTATCTCTCTCATCTTCCTGTACTCACTCCTTTTCCCAAGTCCTAAATGAATCATTCTTTCTATTAGGATATATAGCAATATAGCCTATAATTTTCACTCAACAAACTGAACTTGAAGGCATGCAATCAAGAGCTTTTGAAAGTCTCTATTCTCACTGCTAATAGTACTAACAATAAGTGATGATCTAGTTATCATCATCAATAACTAGATAATTGGATGAACCAGGCACTGTGTTAGGAGAAATTCCTATAGTAACTCACTTATCTCCCCAACCAGATGAAATAGGTATTATCCTCATTTTAGAGATATGGGAACTGAGGCTTAATGAAGCTGACAAACTTGCCCAAAATCATATAGCCAATAAATGAAGGCTCTAGGGTGCATACCAGATCAAGCTGGTTTCAGAAAACACGGTCCTAACCATTCCATGTACCTGCTTTACTTGGCAAAGGAACTAGCTGCTCTTTAATCAACAGCAAAACAACAAAAACAATCTCAAGTCACTTTAATTTTAAAGAGTTATAAAACTTTAGAAAAGTAAATCTCTCTCTTTACTTGAGTCTTATGATAATAAGTCCTTCAGATCAGCCATGAGGCATACAGATGGAGGAGCATGGAGACCCCCAGTCTGGGAAACCTCAATTGCTCCATTGGAAGACAGACTAAAAATTATAGACCTTATTCTAGCGAAGCTAACAGCATGAGTAGGACTCAGCTGAGCAAACTGAACTAGCGTCACTTGTGGCTCTATGATAATTATCCCTGCCCATTGAATCTTGAACTATATTTACATAGTTCTATAGTTGAGAGTGTTCTCCACTGCAGACCTAAGCTGAAGTGATAATAATGGTTTCTTTTTATGTTGATTCTAAAAATAAAATAGAATTATATATATAAAATAATATAGTAACCTGGATAATCTAATGACTATCAAACTATTAGGTGTATCCAGGGATAACAAAAAGCTTCAGTCTTTAGAGACATATATAGCACTAATTTTAAGAGAACAAATCACAGCCAGACCTTTTACTAGATAGATGCTATAATAGTCAAGAGACTATTGAACTGGAATTCAGTGGTTTGGCCTAGTATTTTGATTTAAAATATTTCTTACCTCTTTTATTACTTACTTCCTCCCAAACCCATAAACAAGCTTCAGTGAGCTTGGAGCTGAATCTATTTCTTTGAATGTTATTGATTAGGAAAGATAGGAGGCACAAATCCCAGGATCCTATGTCTTAAGTGATGACTTTCCAGAGCCCAAACATTCAATCATTTCACCCTTCAAGTAAGAAATCAGGAGAAAAATGTAGGCGCTAAAAAGAAAAGTCATCCAGTGAAATTATGTTGCAAGCCAACAGCTTTTGGGGATCACAGTAGCTAGTTCCAAATGTCAGACTTTTTTGTGTGTTTGAGTCTCATAGAATAACATCAATTTCTAAATCTACCTTACAGTGAACTGCATAACAAAAAAAGGTTTCATTTGCACTCATCTCAAAAGTGTTGTAGACAAATAGTGCCACCAAGTAATTATTGACATGAAAAATTATGGAAACTCAAAAACATTTGGCTCAAAGTCTCAAGTAGCAAAAGTTGAGGGCAATGACTTTTATCAATCTGGAGAGCTTCTCTTAACCTGTGGCAGTTCCTCTATATTTGGGTCTGCACATAATGTTTGTATTGCCCTGCTTAAACACTCAATAATCATAGAATCTACTGAAAGAATATCATCTAAACAAATTTATAAGGGTCTTATAATATACAGTGCCAGTGATTAATGAGAAAGCATTAAATATCAGAATAACTGGAAATTTTCCAATCAGCATTCCAAAGTGTGTGCATTACTGATGAATTTCTCGTATTTGAAAGCTAGACAACCCCAAGAAAAGAATTACATATTTATATAAATCATAAGCCATTCAGCAATAGTCTGAACTTTCTGTAAAATTATGATGGTTCTCAAGGGAGAAAAACGTATTTATCAAGACCATTGAACATAAAGAAACAATTAAATACAAACCAATTTGCATAGCCAACATAGCATTTTCTGTTGAAAAATCAAAACTTTTCATCCTGACAGATATATTTGTCACTGAGAAGACAGCATCTTTAAAAGAAAATAAACACAGCACACAATTCAATTCCCTTGTAAAAAGTGCAGCCAAAAGTTTACTGTGAATTATAGCCTATTATAATACCATAGAAATGAACAGGCAGCTAAAATCAGTTTTTCTTTTCCCAAAAGTGCCTGTGGACATTTATTCCTAAGGAAATAAATGACCAAAGTAGTATACGGCTTTGTCCTTCTGTTTTACAGGATATTCATGCCTTGCCTCCAATATTCTTTTTAAATTTTTGAATTGCCTGAACAAAACTCAGAAGGACTTCATTTTTCTCCAAAGGCATCGTTCTTGTATAATTCTGAGACACAGCTTTCAATTCTTTCCAAATAAATTCATCCTACTGAAAAGCACAAGCTCATCTCAGAAAGCAACAATAAGACCCCTGATATTTTTTCCTTGAAGACCATTACTCACTGGCAAATATGTTCTCCTTCATCCTCAGCTGCCCTGCTGAAGCACCAGGGAATGGAGAAGGTCTGCCAGTTTTCTCCTTCAAGGTCCTCCTCCATGGTAGGAAGCCAAAACAGCCCACCTTTTCCTAAGGATGGAAAGAGAGAACCTCTTCTTTATTCTTTTATAAGAAGAATGATTGTATCATAACAACTGCTATCCAGGAAGAGAGAGAGAGGAAGGAGAGGAGGAATCGATGCTGAGAGGCCAATCATATTTCATCACTCAGCTACTTGGAAACCAGATATTCTTAAACAATCACGTGCTCCAAGAGATTTGAGGATGCAAAAGAGGAGTGGCTCTGCCTTTTGTAAATTATTAACAGGAACTTTTTTCCTGACCACGAGTAAAGATGTACAGACTACTTATTTAAGAAAACAGCAATTAGGTCTGACATGGAACATAAAAATGGACAAGTCAACAGCAAGATCTCTGACTGCAGTTCTGTGCTGACCCCTCTGAATCAGGACAACCCGGTGCAGTTAGAATCAAAGTGATATCAAACTGGGAATGAAGGGGCACCTTCTGAAGGTCTGAATGGGCCATAACTGCAGCTTCAGCATCTGCCTCTGATGAAAAATGTGTATTTGCTCCTCCCCATCTGAGAACTCACGATGGGATATTTGGCGCTCTGAGCTGGAGTGAAGCCACCTGCACACAGTTCTCACATTGCTCCTAGATTTCAAATTGCTGCTTAACTTCTCCCATGGCTTTCTTGTGTTTCATCCAAATTTGAGATTTAACGCATCTACCTTAAAGCTATTTGAAAGTTGCCAATTTCAGTGCTAGATCCTATCCAGTAATTTAAACTTGGCGAGAAAAAGCTGATCCAGACAGCTTTTAGAAAGCATTAGCTTCCCATGCCATAGACAGAGGGCACTAGGGAATACTCTTTTGGGTGATATGCAATGTCTCCTTTTCTCTAGACCAGGGTCTCTCAACCTTGACGTTATTGACTTTTTGGACTGGCTACTCCTTTGCTGTGGGGGGCTGGCCTGTGCATTGTAGGACGTTTAGTGGCATCTCTGGCCTTTGCCCAGTAGATATCAGTAGCATCTCCCCAGCTGTGACAACTAAAAGTGTCTTCAGACATTGCCAAATATTCCTGGGAAGCAGAATCAACCCCGGTTGAAACCACTGCTATAGACCCATTTCTTTAGTGAAGTTGTTCAAGACAGGAGGAGTATCATTTATATTTGAGATGGGCTCATGCCAAAGACAAATGGTAGGTAAACAGTCAAGGGTTTTGGTGAAACATACGACTCATATGCCCAAGTGCAGGTGGCCAATTTGATTTGTCACAATGGAGACACATTTAAAGTGGGGAAATAACTCTCCAATGACATTCTGCCAAACCTCTCATTGCTATAGTCTCCAAGTTCCCAAATCCTGCTATTTGGAATATGCTCACTTCTCCTCAGTTACATATTTCTTATTTTACCTTGGTATCTATCATCCATTGCAAGAAGGGTTTGTTCTGGAAAACTATGCCTAGTTGATCTTTGACAGCAAAACCAATCAAGGCAGAGATAATGAGGACATAAATCTTGAGCCCAATTGTGTAACTGTTATCAACCACAGGTGGGATGTTTCCTAAAGAGCCTTAGATTCAAGCAAAAAAAAAAAAATGAGGAAAAAATTATTTTCAATTAAATACACGAACAACAGTCTACTTAAATTCAATGCTGAGAACATTAGATGGATTGTTCAAAAGCAAAAGTGCAATTCAGCAAGTTTACAGGTGATGGTATTTCATTAAAAAGAATGGCACGCCAGAGGGAGAAATAGTACAGAGTGGGAGTTGTCTTGGGAGTGAATGTGATAAAAAAGAAGACAAGATCCTCAAGTGGGGAGGCCGAGGCGGGCGGATCACGAGGTCAGGCGAACGAGACCATCCTGGCTAACACAGTGAAACCCCGTCTCTACTAAAAATACAAAAATTAGCCGGGCATGGTGGTGGGTGCCTGTAGTCCCAGCTACTCCGGAGGCTGAGGCAGGAGAATGGCGCGAACCCGGGAGGCGGAGCTTGCAGTGAGCCGAGATCGCGCCACTGCACTCCAGCCTGGGCGACAGAGCGAGACTCCATCTCAAAAAAAAAAAAAAAAAAAAAAAATCCTCAAGTGGTAAAGATCCTCAAGTGGTAAGCGGTGTCAGCAAGGCTTTCTGTCCCCTCTGGGGGGCTTATTTTGGAGATTAGTGTAGGGGGGTCAGTGACTGAAGGACAGAGGTTTATGCTTTCCTATGGGAGAGGGTATTGAGTGTGCCGCAAAGAGAGGTTCTGTGTCCCATTTCCTTTGGGATAAGAAGGAAGAAAAGAGTTTTCAACAAAGCAGAATGGTGTTCTGAGATGGGTGAACTGTGTCCCCTTCTAGGGGCTGGATTCTAGGAGGAGGAAGCTTGTTGGCCTTGGGAAATTCACAGGATATTCAGTGCGGCCTGGATGGAGGTGGAGTCGGGGAGCTCCACTTGAGAGCTGGAATTTGGGAGCAGGAGCTTCAAGAAACAAAGTCTCTTGTTTCTAGCCTGTTTTCCAGATCTATTCCTTGGCTGTAGGTTGTGGATTTTTCTTTCCTTTTTTAAATTTGGAAATGCTCGTTTCTTACTAATGTTGAGAGCATTTTTATATCACAGCTGGTTATACCTATCAAATGGCCTGCACAGCAGCAAATATGAAAGAATTAAATGACATGTCCCTGCCCTCAAAGAGCTTATTTTCTAGGATTATATAGAAAGATAATAAAGAAAATATCTATGAGCAGATTTGAAAGATTTCATGCTTTTTACATAAAATTATATTATTCTTCCTAGTTTTAAAATCTAAATGTACATTTTGAATGCCTTTAAAATCATTTATGAATATGAGCTTTTTTGACTGGCCAAGAGAAAAATAATTTTATGTCCTTTTAAGAAAGGTTGAGAATTATTTAAAGTTGTTCAGATGAACTCCTTAATCCACAGCCTGACATTCACGTTCAAGGCCTCTGCCTCCTCTTTCCAGTCTCACTTTTTGGCCCTTCCTCCCTTCTGCCATTTGTCATGCTTTTAGTGCCAATCCTGTTAAGGAATATGATGAGCTCCCTATGAATTTTCACCTCCAAACATTTGTTATTGTTGTTTTTTTTCAATATTCCCTGCCACTAAAACACCATTTCTCTTCTTCTTGACCAAAACCAATCTTTCCTCAAACACATGATTCACAGGCCATTTTCTAGGATGTCTTCCACTTTCTTCCAGGGAATTAATCTCCCCACCTCAGTACTTCTAAAGGACTTTGTACCTCTGTAAAAGTAGTGATCACATTCTGCCCTACATTGCAAGTACCTGTATTCACTGTAGAATGCAAGCTCCATGTGGGAGACTAGTTCTAGGACCTCCCTCTGATAATCACCAAAATTCGAGGATGCCCAAGTCCCTTATGTAAAATAGTGTAGTATTTGCATACAACCTATGCACATTCCCCTGTATATGTTAAATCATCGCTAGATTACTTATAATGCCTAATACAATATAAATGCTGTGTAAATAGTTTTTATAGCCAGGCATGGTGGCTTACGCCTGAAATCCCAGCACCTTGGGAGGCTGAGGCGGAAGGATCACTTGAGCCCAGGAGTTCGAGACCAGCCTGGCCAACAAAGTGAGACCCTGTCTCTACAAAAATTTAAAAAACTAGCCAGTCATGGTGGCATTCATCCTGATCCCAGCTACAGGAGGGGCTGTGGCAGGAGGATCGCCTGAGCCTTGGAGGTGAAAGCTGCAGTAAACTGTGTTTGCACCACTGCACTCCAGCCTGAGTAACAGAGCGAGACCCTGTCTCAAAAAATAAAATAGTTGTTATACTGTATTGTTCAGGGAATAATGACACACAAAAAAAGGTATTTATATGTTCACATGTTCAGTACAGACACAACCATCCTGTTTTGTTTTTGTTTTTCTTTTTGAGACAGAGTTTCACCTTGTTCCCCAGGCTGGAGTGCAGTGGTGCGATCTCGGCTCACTGCAACCTCTGCCTACTGGGATGAAGTGATTCTGGAGACTCAGCCTCCCAAGTAGTTGGGATTACAGGGTCCATGTCTGGAATCTCTATTTTGTTCCATTACCTATATGCCTGACTTTTCACAGATAAGTTTTGGTAACTGTAGCCTAAAAATCAAGTACTATAGATCCTGCAATTTTGTTCTTCTTTTTCAAAATTGTTTTCGCTATTCTAGGTCCTTTCTATTTCCATATAAATTTTACAATTAGCTTGTTAATTTCTTCTTTTTTTTAAAAAAAAAAAAGCCTGCTGGATTGTAATTGAGATTGCGTCGAGTCTATAGATCAGTTAGGGACAACTGACATTTAAACAATATTGAGTCTTCTGACTCATGAATATAGTATTAACTCTGTTTAGTTCTTCTTTAGTTTCCCTCAGCAATATTTTATAGTTTTCAGTGTACAGATGTAGCTTTGAGGTTCTATGGCAAAGGGCAGCAAAGAGTAACATTCTTTGCTAATTTATCCCTAAGTATTTCATATCTTGATGTTATTGTAAATGTTAATTATAAAATTTCAATTTCTGATTGTTCATCACTATATAACTTGTACAGATACAAGTGACCTTGTATCTGTAATTTTGCTAAACTCACTTATTGTTCTATTAAACTTTTTGTAGAATTTTCTACATAGATGATCGTATAATATGCAAATGAAATCTGTTTTACTTCTTCCTTTGCTAATCTGTTTTTTTTTTCTTGCTACTCCACTTGTTAGGACCTCCAATAAAATACTGAATAGAAATTATTAGAGTGGAAATCCTTGCCTTGTTTCTGATCTTAGGGGTAAAGCATTCTTAAATAGTCCAGAGTTGATAAACTGAACCTTATAAAATTTTGAAAAGTGTAGTCTTCAACAGTGGGGAGTGTAGAGAAAATATTTTTGTGTTTCTGCAGATTTGGTGCTCTCAGGCATATACCTAGAAGTAGAATTGCTGGGTCATATGGAATTTCTATGGTTAACTTTTTGAGGAACTACCAAACTGTTTTCCACAGTGGCTACACCATATTAAATTTCAACCAGCAATGCACAAGGGTTCCAATTTCTCCACATCCTCACAGACACTTGTTATTTTACATTTTCCTTCACTTTCATGCTTTTGTTGGCTCTTCAGTAATTTCAAGCTTTTCTAAAAATATTTTATGCATAGAATTGGTCTAAATAACTGACCATGCCTTGGTATAGATTTCAGCCCTTCTTATACGGCTGATACAGTGTTAACTCAAAATGTTAAACTCTAAAAAATAGATCACCCACAGAATAAATGATTTTAAGTTGGAACTACCCTTTGGAGAGCAGCCTGCTTGCATTTTGTAAAGCAAGAGTAAAATTGAGGAAGTGTTGGCTCTACTTTTGTGTTATCTACGTGCTGTCATTTATCTTTCTTTTTCCCTTTGTTTTCTCTGTAAAAGAGTAAGGAAAATATCACATGGTTTGCTGAGAATAAAACCAATCTTTCTCAACTTTGAACTTATAGTTAGAAATAAAAAAGATAGAATGAGATTTTATCCTCCCTTTCAGCCTTCCTGAAGAAAGAAAAGGAAATGTCATTAAAAATGTAAATTGATTAGTCTTCTGAAATTGGATGGGAAATGTTCCGCCCAAACTCTTTCTCTCAATCTAAATGCTTCAGTAATATTGTTCAAGGTTCAGATAAGGTAGCTATTAAGTAAATTAGCTTTGAACATACAAGTGGCATTCAAAAACCTGTCTAACCATGAAAGACTTAAGTTGAATTGTACCTGCAATGAAAAATGAGGAAAGCATTAGAAAAGCTCATTACTTAGAATTCACACAGCAATTCATATTTTCTATGCATTTATAATCAGATGCAAGTCATTGCTCAAAAAGGCTCTGTGCATTTTTCATTGGGCACCATATTCCATAAAACTCATAGCTGGCAAAATTTCATATTTCTATCAATCTTCCCTTCCTATCATTCATTCAATGTTTACTGATCACCAAAAATGAGTTAGGCATTGTGCTAGGCAGTAGGGATAGGGAAATGAATAATGTCTGTGCAAGTTTGGTCACTTCAGCATCTCCCTCCCCACAAGGTTTGAGATTGCTGGTTGCAGTTTTGTTGTGCTGCACCTTGTTTTTGTCTCCCTGAGCAAGCCCACTAAATTGATAATTCCTTATTCACAAGCCTACACCCATCTACTCTTGGGTTCTTGATCCAGCTTCATCCCTGGACACTGTGCTTTAGGTCCACTTCACTCTCTCCACATTTTGCATCTTCTAAGCCAATCCCAATCCACCGTTCCTTTCCCCAGCTGTGGAATTCAGTCTAGCTGCAATGCTCAATGCCCTCCAACAGAGTTGAGATTACAGATGACAGAAAAATTAAGGATGACTCCCATTATGTTTGAATTTCAAGTAAACAATGAATTTTGTTAGTACATCTCATCGAATATTTGGAATAGGATATACTTATACTAAGCAATTATTTACTGTTATCTGAAATTCAGATTTAAATAGAGTCCTGTATTTTTATCAAATGTGGCCACCCTGGTAGGGGCAAATAAAATGTATTCCTCAAAGACCTGCCCACTGTGAATTAATGTGCATGCTACTAGACGAATCACAATAGAACTTGTTTGGGGCTGGTCTTCAGTTGGATTCCCCCAGATGCAGACCCTGAGATAAGGATCTGAGTGCAAGTGGTATTTTGGGAGGTGACATAAGTGAGAAAGGGAAGGAGCCAACACAGAGTGCATTAACCAACAAGTTACTGCTGTAGGTAAGAACAAACTTCAGAGATGCCTCCCCCAGGGAACAAGAATGCTAGGGTATCTTTCTTCAACTCATATTTGGCATTAATGGAGGATCGTTCCTGAAGATTTTAATGCTTCTGCATTTCCAGCCAAGCATGTCTCAGCAACCAGACCACAGCCTCTGGCAAAGCCATAGGTGCTTGCAGCACAGGCCCCAGAGATGGTGAGTACCTAGGGAATACAAACAGACACTGCCACAGCTGCATCTGCTATCGTGAGATCTGTGGAGCATGAGCTTCATATAAGCAGAGTTAATTTGGGAGGCCAATGTAAGTTCAAAAACCATAGCAAGTAAGAATTGAGTAAGACCTCCAAGTTAATCTAGTCCAATTCCCTTATTTCACACACTAGTACATTATGGCTCAGAGAGTTTCTTGTCCAAAGGCAAAAAAAGTTACCTACTGCCGGTCCAAGATGCTATTTTTATTACTGTTGGGTCACAATTGAAGAGTGATGGATGATTTGCAAAGAATTTTCACGTTTCATAGACCCCTCCCTGGTCCTCCCATTCTATATCCCAACGGAGACACAGCTCTTGCAGTTTGGTTGGGAGTGGGTATCTGGGCACTATGAAGACCCAAAAGGGCCCCTCTCACCCCGGGCTGAAAACCCAGTCTCCTGCTTTTGTCTGGGAGGCAGCACAGTATAAGAATTATGAATCAGGCCTCTTGCATGCAGAGGTTGTCCTGCCCTAGCGCCATGTCACTGCCCTTTTCACTGCCCTTAGGTTCATAAGGTTCCTGGTCATCCCCCATCCACATCAACATCCCATATAAAGAAGCTCACCTTGGGGAGGATGGAGCATCTCCAGGCGTTGCCAGGCTGGGCTCACCTCTTTACCCCACCACTTTAATATTCTTCCAGCAAGGGCCCACACAAACGTGAGGGGTGGGTAAAAACTTTGGTTTGATAATTTCCCGAATTTGGGGTAATCATCAAGTGGGATCATGGTGTGAAATCTCTAAATTTCCATAGATTTGCAATCTATGAAAGTTAACATAAAACAGATCTAGCTCCTGACACAGGACTGCCACACAGTAGAGGGTCAATAAATGTTTAATGAATGGAAAGACAGAATGCCTGAATTGCAACTTACTACTTATCCTCAGATCAAAATTCAATGTATTCTACTTCTTTTTGTGCAGTTTGTCAGAAACCCTGGACTATATGATTTGATGGTAATGTTCATATTCAGTGGCCCATGATATGGGGTGCAGTCAATAGTAACAGGGAAAGTATGACACATATGGAAAGAAATATCCAATGGAAATTTTGTGACCTGAACAAAATTTTTGCAGATCAAATGATCTTTGAAAGGTAACCATGAGGGGTTTATTTACTTAAGCACTTATAATTTAAACCAAAACAAGAAAATCAATCAAGATATAATACAATTGATTCTAACTTAATCAAGACAGAGTTTTCTTCCTAAACCAGAGTTTTTCTCCTGTGATGTGTATTGACAAACAATTTTCTTATCTGGCTCAAAAATGACCTCACAGCAAGTCAAAGAAATTCAACCGTGATTTTAATGTTATATTTAACATTATTTTCATTTCTTTTAACATTACTATTATTTTCAATGGACAAATCATAATTGTACAAACTTAAGGGGTACAATATGATGTTGTGATATATGTATATAATGTGGTATGATTAAATCAAGCTAATTAACATATTCATCACATCACTTATCTATCCTTTTTCATGGTGAGACATTTGAAATTTACTCCCTTAGTTATTTTGAAATATATGCCAGATCCATGCTTAAAGCATTATAGATTGTAAGTGAACCCATTTATCTAGAGTTCTGAGTTACTTTACAATTAGCAAAGCCCCTGGGGAAAGCACTGGGAAGGTACTAAGCCACATAATGAATCTATTGCTTCAAGCACTTAAATATCAAACCACAGAAATGAACTCAATCTGGAATATGCCGTATGTCTTAGAGATATATGTGGTAAACCTTTATGTCCATTTAATGAGTACATAACTTCTTGAAATCATATGTTTTCTGAGAAGATGATGAGTACAACATTAAGTTAGTATCACCTTGAATTTCTTTATGGACATAGAGTCTTAGATTCCAGGGAAACCAAATGTGAGCTCTGAAAAGGATCTCAGACACCATTAAGTCCAACTCATTTTAGAAACAAAAAAAAATCAATGCCCATAGAAGTTAAGTGACATTCTCTAGCCTAAGGGTCAGCAAAGTTTTCCTGTAAAGGGCCAGATAGCAAATGTTTTAGGTTTTGTGGGCCATATAGTCTCTCACAGCCATTCAGCTCTGCTGTTATAGTGCATAAGGCACTACAGCAATGAGTGAGCATTTCTGTGTTCCAACAGAACTTCATTTATGAAAAGTGGTGGTGGCCTGGAATTGGCCTGTGGGTCATGGTTTACCAAACCCTGATGCAAACTGCATAGATGAATAATGTCAGAGACCGGCCAGACCCAGCTTTCATTATTTGCTATGGTTATTTATTTATTCATTCCTTTATTCATCTAAGACATAAGGCATGATAGGGGATTCTGCTACAGTTGATATGGTTGGTTCCAAGTTCAGACTGTAGGATTTTATCTACAGGGATAAAACTTAGCAGCCTCTACTAATTGTGTCTCAAGAATACATCTCCAGTTGGAAATCAAATTTCTAATCATGGAAATTGCCTACAGGACCCAACATTTTGTAGAGTTAATAGCCTACTACATCAGCATTTTTAGGTTTGTGTTCCCAAATGCATAGGTGGCCTGATCATCTTATAACCAGATGTGAGCCATAAGGATTTCCAGGACCAGCCTCCATCCTCAACCCCTGGGTCATGAGCCTTTCTTCTAGGGAGTTCTCATAGCATTTGGCTCACCTTCCATCACCCCATCCTTCCTAACACAGTATCTCTGCCAAATGATATCATGAGGAAGAACCACTTTTGGAAACAAATGAGGAGAGGAGACCCAAAGGGACTGGCCCAAGTGAAACAGAAGAACAGGAGAAGTGCTGAGTCATTCATCGAATCTTTTCAGCCTTGACAATGTACTGCAGATAGGGAAGTGAATAGTGGAGACCAGGGTCCTGTTCTAAGGGAGTCTGAAGTAGAGTGAAGGAGCATTAAATAGATAGTAGTAACTTCTGTGAAAAAAATAAAATAAATAAGAGCATAATGGAACAAAGAGTAGGGGCTGCGGAAAGAGAGAAATGGGCTACATAAAATGCAGTGAGTAGGGAAGTCCTCTCCAAGAGGTTGTCTTTTGGGATAAGTCCTACATGATGACAAGGAACCGACCTCATGGGGATCTTGGAAACGTGGAAATGTGCTGAGGCAGGCACTTATTTGGTGCATTCAGCGTGGTTAGACTAGAGCAGGCGAATAAGCACAAGACTGGTGTGAGATGAGGTCACAACAGAACACAGGGGTAGCTGCAACCCCTGGCCAGCATGCCTATGAGTCAATGTCTCCTACAAACAGGGGACACGCTCCACAGGGCATGACTGAAAATGACCCATTGGGGTGCAGGCTGAAAATATCAGCATTTTTATTTAAATGTATTTTTTGTCTAAAAAAATAGAAAGAAATTAAGCTTTGCTAATTAGGTCATATAAAGATTGCCACTGGCACCCTCTCTCAGTCAGGATGTCTGAAGGTTATGAATCAGGTATGGTACTGGAAATTTCCCAAGGTGAAAGAGTTATCAAGGGGTCTGTCAGAGCACCCGCAATACGTTCATTCTGTTGCAGCTGATATATGCCTTGTTAAGTGAATTCACAGATTATATTATCTAGCTGTAACTAAGTGAATACAATTGGCTTAAAAAGCTCTGTGCAAAGGAATCAAGCATTAGAAACAGAGTTAATAATGGAAGTACAAAAGGAAAGCAAGAAAATAGTAGACTTTACATTTCTGCTTCTACTATAAGCCCTTCAAAAGCTATAGGTTTTGGGTAAATACAATAATTATCTAATTCAACACTTTCAAAAGTGTTTGATCACCAGATTTCATATCATGATTCAGTATTCAGATATGCATATATGGACATGTAAATATATACAGCTATAGAGATACAGTTATATAATTGAAATGAGAGCTTTTCAGAACAATACTTAATAATATACTCTGATATTTTCTCTATTTTATTAAATAATTATTATTAATATTGTAATCCCTCAATAGGCTGTTGTGATATGCAATTTGAAAAATACTAATACAATCAGATCCAAAGAGAAATCAGCCAAAAATTGAAATTAAGGAGACTATCTGAAATATGGATTAACATCCATTACTGTTAACTATTAATATTACCACAAAAGTATATTTCCCCACTTAAAAATTGGCTAATAGTAGCATGAAGTCACCACAGTTTGAAAAATATTTTAAAAATTAAACATCCAGACCAAGAAAACAAACCACTATAATATTTTTCAGTAATATTAAAAACACAAGACAACCTTCAGTCCATTACTTTAGAAATTTTACTAAACTTAATGCATGTTTAAAAACCTATTTTAAGATCTCTTAATATATTAATCTAGTTGTATATGTATATATTATTTGTAATGATCTATATACATATACAGACACACATCTATACTGACATTCTTACTATTTGTTTTTTGTTTTTCTCTTACCGAGGTGATATGTGAACAAGTAAGCTTGAAGACCATCACTGTAGCTCACAGAATTTGTCTACTCTGTATCTTCAGTGGCCATCTGTGGATTTCCAGATCCCTAGAATGGAGGACTCTGCTTCTTCACCTTGTTTCTCCTACTATTGCCTAAACCCAATGTTCTTGGCCCTTTATTACCTGAGCTATTAGCCTGGAAACTGTTAAATAAAATTTGTGGAAGGCCTTTGATTTGGGCTGAACTCCTGCATGAGGCCCCAGTAGACCAACCCAAAATGGAGTCACTCTTGCTAAGGTTACACGTCACCAAACTGAAACCTATACTGTTTACTTGTAAGATCTGACCTTTTTAAGAAATCAGAAGAGAGAGGATAGCCAAATCCCATGAAGCCAACAGGATTCCCTATAAGGAAAGTAACAGAAAGGACCAATCTGCTTTTCGTTCCTTGTTTCTGCTTTCTTCAGCTTTTTCTGCCTAAAAAGCCCACCCTCTCTGCTCAGCTAATGGGAGTTCCTTTCTGTTTTGTAAACTGGGTACTGTCCAATTCATGAATTGCTAATAAAAGCCAATTAGACCTTTAAAACTCAATTTCTTGAAATTTGAGTTTTAGACATAACTGTACCTACTTGCAAATTCTTGTCCCCACAGAAAGTATTAATGAACATAAGACATCATAAGAGACCTGGCCATATAATAGTTACATGTCAAAGACTTGTATGAGTCAGTTGATTTTGATTCAGCTCACTCTACAGTTGGATATCCATTTAGAAAAACAAAGTGTGTGAAAGTTCTGGTTTATCCTGACCACCACTCAGTTTGCCAGTAACATATTCTGCCCTAGTTAAGAGTACTAACTTTGGAGAGAGACAAACAAACCTGGACTAGTCATATTAGACATATGAACCTCAGCAAATGTCTTAGCCTCCCTATGCCTCGGTTTCCATATTCATAAAATGGTGAAAATACTTACCTCTAATTAATCCTGCTATAAGGGTTGATTAGAAAAATCTATGGAATGCACTTTAGCACTAGGCTCAGCATAGAATGAGTACTTTGTAAGCTGTAGCTACCACTATTGCTATTGTTATAGTTGTCTTTGCTGTGGAGATTTAGTTCTGTGTGGTACATCTTTATATGTCACATACAGCTCTAGATGAGCTTTTAAAAAAACACAAGGTAACATATTTTCATGTTCATGAAGAAGAAAACAATACCATCCTAATTATATTTGCAACAATACTAAAATAATCTTTTGGTCAGACTGGCACTGTTGTCTTGGCCACTTTCTATTTCACAGCCACTAGGTCAACTCTCAAAATGAATATAACCACTTACCTGTATATTTCAAAGATGATGATGACATGGAAGGGCAAGGTTTGGGATCCTGTATTTTATTTTCCACTCTATGGGATACATTCAGGTCACTAAATCAACTTATTTTTTCACTTGGTCTCTTTTTCATTCACCTACAAGAAAAATGATACCTGGTTTGACTATCTTCTTTGTATAAAATGTGTTACACATTTTTAAAGAACAGCATAATTCACTCAGTTTTACTCAATGCAAAAATTTTCCTGGAAACATCACAAATGGATGTCCTTTTCTACCTCTACCACCCTCAATTTAAATAATGGTCAATTTTATGAAACTATTGCTAACAATGAATTATAGTGTAGGGCTTTTTCACATTTTTCTGCACAAGAACATTTACTAGAAAAAAAAATCCATTTTACTAGAGAGGGAAACATATTTTACTATAAACAGAATAGTCAAGAATGCCAACAAAATCAAAGAGCCATAAGGTCAATGGAAAGTGTCCATTAAATTTTTTTTCAATTTTGGAAGGCATCTTTGTTCTTAGTGGGAAAGCAGATGAGTAGAAGTCTTGATGGATAAACAGGACGTCAATTCACCAGAATATTCACAAAGCAACAAAAGAATGACAGGATAGCTTTGCATATAAAGTCAAGAGGCATGATCACTTTTCAGTTTGCTAAATAACCCCTCAGTCATTCAGGAAGAAATATACACTTTTCCCAAAGGATATCAAAAGCTCCTACTGTACAATTGTGCATGCAAATCAAAAGCACTGGTTATTTTCTTCTTCCCTTCTGCTTGCAATGTTTGGTCTTGGCTTAGTCTTGTGGGCTCAGGCATCCCCTAGGTGGCTTCCTCTGACCTCATCCCTCCCACATGTCTAACCACTCCTTTAGTGCTGCCAATGCAATGCCCTTAAACTGCCCTCAGTCCACACCCAGGATCCTCTCTGCTTGCTCCCTCATCCCTTCACTCTTGTTAACTTTCCGAGCAGTCTTTATTTATTCATTTCAGTTATTCCCGTAGATGTTATTTTCATAGATCCATGCAATGTGTGTGACTTGCCAAGTCCACAGCATTTGTGGGAATCCAGTCTTCCCCTCCTCTGCCTGGCAGCCTATTATCTCCTTCTAATAGCACCTGCAGCAAAGTCACAGCCTAAAGTTGTGACATTACCATGATATCCAAGCCAACCAATGGCAAGGCCCTAAACATAGAAGTATTTCAATGCAAGAGAAAGCATAACACAAATCTGAGTAACAGGCAAACAACATACAAGCTTCAACATATATCTTTATTAGTATTAAATCGAGTCAAAGTCATTTCTGACTGTCAAAAGAGTCCTTTCACAAATTATTCAAAGAAGGAGCACTGTAAGCTAAGACATTGTATGGCCATGCCAAAATTCCAGATAAAATGTATTGAAAGGATACTGAGGGAAACAAATAATGGAGAAAAACATTTCTAAGCTATATTCATCAAGCATTTAAGACATCAATTCTTTTTACCTCAGAAGCACTGAACTAGGGGCAGAAATTATTATTATTCATTATTTTTAACTTATATTGAATTAACTAGTGTTAATCTGTTTTTTTCATACATAATATTTATGACTTTGGTTGTAGTTTATGATTGCATTATAAAATAATATGTGTCATCATTCTTTTAATAAGGGAAAGAATGTAAATTACTTTCTACTACCAACATCCAGGGTAGCCTAGGGGGTGCTGTAGACCTCCATAATCTTCTTCAGTTCCCACCAAAGTCTCCTAAAAAAATTCATGCAATGTAAATAAAAGCAGCAGACTTGTTGTACAAACATAGCTTCAAAAAAATGTGGCACATATACACCATGGAATACTATGCAGCCATAAAAAATGATGAGTTCATGTCCTTTGTAGGGACATGGATGAAGCTGGAAACCATCATTCTCAGCAAACTATCTCAAGGACAAAAAACCAAACACTGCATGTTCTCACTCATAGATGGGAACTGAACAATGAGAACACATGGACACAGGAAGGGGAACATCACACACTGAGGCCTGTTGTGGGGTGGGGGGAGAGGGGAGGGATAGCATTAGGAGATATACCTAATGTTAAATGAAGAGTTAATGGGTGCAGCACACCAACATGTCACATGTATACATATGTAACAAACCTGCACGTTGTACATATGTAACAAACCTGCACGTTGTGCACATGTACCCTAAAACTTAAAGTATAATAAAAAAAAAGAGAGAGAGATGCATCAAAAAAAAAAAAAAAAAAAAAACCAAGTTCCCTAACCACACACCTCCAATCAGGTTGCTACCCTTAAACACCTTAGTTAGTCCTAGTCCACAAAGTTATAGACATCAAGATGAGATCAAATGTAGATTATTTATTTATTTATCTATTTATTAGCAAAAATGCCTGTGTAAAGAAAAATACGGACAAAGCTCAGCAAGCTAAGAGAACTGACAGACTCAGTATGACTTGGATGAAAGAGTCCTAGACTTCCTTAATGTCTAAGGAAGGTTCAGCAAAACTGTCAGGGAGTTCCTGAGCCAAGCTCAGCCAAGGAAGGGGTCTGTCTCCTGGGACAGTGCATGTTAGTATCCCCATCATGCTCAGTCATTGCTAGGGAGCAACCTTTATGGTGCATCATCTACAAGGGATTATAGACTGTAGGAGCTGGAGCCCTGACACAACTGTAGGAGGTCTGTAAGGCACATTATCAGAGCCAACACTCCTATACCACTTCTGTATAGAAATTCAAGTGTTTATGCTTACACAATAAATTTTGAGCCTGGCATCCAAATTTTCCCCAATCTCTGCCTAATCCATGTGTAAACTTTACTTTCTAGAACTTCTTTTTTGCCACTTTACATTAGCCTAAATACCCCTTTGGTACCCATATGAGCCCCAAAGACCACCAAAATGCTTTCAGTCTTGCTGTTTCCTCCCTCTACTACATTTCCACCTGAAACCTTCTTTTCAATATCCTACCTACTTTTTAAGGGCCATTTGAAAAGCCATCCCAACACTGATAAGGTTTGAATCTGTGTTCCACCAAAATCTCATGTCAAATTATAACCCCCAATGTTGGAGGTGGGGCCTGGTGGGAGGTGGATTGGATCATGGGGGTGAATTTCCCCCTTGGTGCTGTTCATGTGATAGTGAGTGGGTTCTTGTGAGATCTGGTCATTTAAAAGTGTGTGGCACCTCCCCCAACCCCTTGCTCCTGCTCCAGCCATGTAAGACGTACCTGCTTCTCCTTTGCCTTCTGCCATAATTGAAGTTTCCTGAGGCCTCCCCAGAAGCCAAGCAGATGCTGACCTCATGCTTCCTGTACAGCCTATGGAACCATAAGCCAACTAAACCTCTTTTCTTTATAAATTACCCAGTCTCGGGTATTTCTTTATAGCAATGCAAGAACAGACTAATACAAACACTAAGGTTGAACTCATAACTCTTATCCTCACCATGCTCTCAACCCCATCCCTAGTAGAAAGGTCCTCTCTCACCTTAGAACCTCTATGGGACTTTACCTACTTGGAGATGAGAACTTGGAGTATTTAGCACTTTCTTTTGCTTTAGTTGTTGTAAGTTTTATCTCTATAGTAGACCTCAGGTAGGATTGTACCTATTTCTAATTAGTATTGCCATAATACCATGCAAACCATAAATTGAATAGGCAAATGGATAAATTAGTGAAAGACAAATTCTGACCTGGTGCTTACTATCTATCCAGGAGTAAAAGTTAAGCTAAATGACCTTCTTTATTTCATATTTTGTTTTTTGTGTTTGTGCTGATTTTCTTTTAATTTTATGAGATAAGCAGGAACTATCAAACCCAAAGTACTATTGATCCTAACATTCAAGGGAAAAAAAAAAGAAAAAAAATCACAGACCTGATAAGGAATATATCATCACTGCTGAAGTCATGGAGGAATACACATAGTACAATGAGCCACATAGCAAATTGACCCAACAAATGACTCTTTCTTGAGAGATTTGAGTATAAGGTCCTAATAATACCTCTTCAGCTATCTATTTCCTTTTTCTCAGCTATCACTTATCTCAGACCTCAGTGTCAATTTCATATTAGAGCATATGCCTCTTGTTCATCTTTGTATCAAACATAACCATAATTACTAAAAAGAAATAAAATTATTAAATACCTCAAAATTTTATGAGTCACATGACAGAGACTAACTTCTTTATTTAAATTTTTTAATTAAATACTTTTTGAAATAATTTCAACTGAATTCAAGAGTCTCGATTAAAAGGAAAATCTTCAAATTGATTCTGCTCTTATGTGAATAGAGAACCTTGTAAACTTTTCAATAAAAGAACAATTAGTGGTAAATGAAGATTAATCAAACTTCATCTCCCAGGATAATAAGGAATGTGAGATTTACAGAAAGCCCTTAAAACTCATCCCACCTCACTTTCAGCAATGAAAGAACATCTATTACTAACTTGGTTTAGGAAAAACCCAAACTGACTTACAAAATGTTTATTTCTTTCATGAGTTCATTTATATCAGATTTTAAGAACCTCATTAGATGTTTCCCAGGCAGAAACATTTTTCTCCAAGACAATTCACCTATTTTAAATATCATTAAAGTGTGATTGGCACACATCCTGTGGGGAGCTGACACCCAGAGGGAGAACACAATACTAATAGTTAGTCAGGTGCCAACTGGCTCTAAGTTGCCAATTCCTTTTCAGAGAAAAACTAAGTATATCTAAGCAAAGGGAACTTTGATGATAATCAGGATACATTCTGTAGCATCAAAATTCTGCTTAGCAAGGGATAAATCAAGATTGCAAACACCACCTGAGTCAGAGTGTCTTCAATCACACAGTCCAGTTAAACCCTGAAAGCAGCTAACTTCAGGCCAAGATCCCATAGATGATCCTCAATCAGGCAGTTCGGCTTCTTGCATGTCAATCAAAAAGGTGATTAGCCTGAGACATAGTAACCAAGTGTAACAAGTTTGCTTAAAATAAAATAGACAGCCAAGAACCACAGCAACCCATTCTTAAAGAGAAAACAATATCTTGATAAGTGATTCTTTTCTAAATATATGCCTATTACTGTATATTTGAGCTGCTCCAGCAAATGCATCTTAATTTTATATTGTCCCAAGGAGTATCCTTGTTGCATTTAATTGGTAATTTGACTCATTTAAGTGAATAATTCTTGGGAGTTTGCCACATGCAAGGCAAAAATTAAACAAAGTTAGTAGAAGTGACAGTCTGGATCCTCCAGTATAAAGGGTAGGACAAGTGCACACAACAAAAGGAAGATACTGAAAAGAAAGAAAAGGGCATGGGCAGAGTGGAAACATCAGGAAATAGCAATGAGCATTTTATTTGAAGTGGCAGCAGCAGCTAGGGGTTGACAGGGCAGTGGGGACAAGAATTATAAGTACAATCTTAGTGTTGGATTAGCTTTTAAACCTTAGGGAAACCACTTAATGTAACTGAAAACAAACAAACAAACAAACAAACAAAAAACAGAAGCAGGATGGTAGAAATAACCCAAAAAGCAAAATTCTTAAAATATGTGGAGAAAACCATTTCAGTAATTCCTTCCTGACTTTGAGCTTCAATGTTATTTCTAAAATAGTTATAAATTGCACAGCAAAGCAAACTACTTAGCTTCTAAAGCTTCTAAAACATGAAAAGGCAGGAATACAAAGTCTTGGAAAATGGCCTTCCTTACTTTATGCAAAATGAAGCAATTCTATTGTTCTGACATTTTTAAAAATTATCCTAGAAAATGTCCACCTTATCTCAAGATTCTAACTCAAAAAATGATCAATTCTAAGTTTGAAAGAACAAAGGTAAATATATTTTACAAAACTTTATCATTTGAAAACCTGAAATTCCTTTGAACACTGTGTAATAAAGTCTCAAAATATTGCATAATGCTGTGCTTTGCTTCTTTGCTCCCTGCTTTTAGCTATTATCTCACCTTTATTGCAGAGAATAAAAATTTATATCCTGGGCAATTTTGTCCTTCTCTGCAAGTGTAGTTCTTCCCATGTGCAGAAAATGAATAATTTTTTAATTAAATAAATGTCAAATAGTTCAGTTTATGCATAGGAATGGCCTTAATAAGCCTATATTATGTACGCAAATGTTGAAGAACATGGTGAGGAAGCAAATAATATTTTCACTCCTTCAGCTGTTTATTAGAACCAAGGATAGGAAAAAATAAATTATTTGACAGCTAGATTTTTAAGGATTTCTGCAAGTATAATATTTGCTTTCTTATTAATTTACATTATAAACACATCTTCTTATTAAATTTACCTTAGTCAGGAGAAGAGGAAGAAGCCTCATTTACACAGGACATTATGAACTGACTGAAAGTGCATTTCACAGGATATTTTTTAGGTAGAATCAACTTCTTTACTTCTTTGAGAGTTTTCATAGTAAGCATTCTTTTAAGTTTTAATTTTTATTTTTTTCTTTTATTTTAAATTTCTGTGGGTAAAACAGGATGACTATAATAAGCATTCTTATTTCTTAACTTTTAAGTTCAGGGGTACAAGTGTAGGTTTGTTATATAACTAAAATTGTGTCATGGGGGTTTGTTGTACAGATTATTTCATCACCTAGACATTAATCTTAGTACCCAGTAGTTATTTTTCCTGATCCTCTCCCTCCTCCCACCCTCTGCCCTCTGAAAGACCCCAGTGTGTGTTGTTCCCCTCTGTGTCCATGTGTTCTCATCATTTAGCTCCCATTTATAAGTGAGAACACGTGGTCTTTGGTTTTCTGTTCCTGTGTTAGTTTGCTAAGGATAATGGCCTTCAGCTCCATCCATGTCCCTGCAAAGGACATGATCTCATTCTTTTTTATAGCTGCATACTATTCCATGGTGTATATGCACCACATTTTCTTTATCCAGTCTATCATTAATGGGCTCTTAGGTTGATTCCATGTCTTTGCTATTGTGAATAGTGCTGCAATGAGCATACACGTACATATGTCTTTATAATAGAATAATTTATATTCTTTTGGGTATATATCCAGTAATGAGATTACTGGGTTGAATGGTATTTCTGTCTTTAGGTCTTTGAGCAATCACCACACTGTCTTCCACAACGGCTGAACTAATTTACACTCACCAACAGTGCATAAGCCTTCCTTTTTCTCCACCACCTTGCCAGCATCTGTTATTTTTTGGCTTTTTAATAATAGTCATTCTTACTGGTGTGAGATGGTATCTCATTGTGGTTTTGATTTGCATTTCTCTAATGCTCAGTGATGTTGGGCTTTTTTACATATGATTGTTGGCTACATGTATGTCTTCTTTTAAAAAGGATATGTTCATGTACTTTGCCCACTTTTTATAGGGCTGTCTTTGTTTTGTAAATTTGTTTAAATTTCTTATAGATACTGGATATTAAACCTTCGTCAAATGCATAGTTTGCAAAAATTTTCTCCTATTCTATAGGTTGTCTGTTTGATGATAGTTTCTTTTACTGTGCAGAAGCTCTTTAGTTTAATGAGATCCCATTGGTCAATTTTTGCTTTTGTTGCGATTGCTTTTAGCATTGTCATGAAATCTTTGCCTGTGCCTATGTCCTGAATGGTATTGCCTTCCAGGCAATAGGTTGTCTTCCAGGGTTTTTATAGCTTTCAGTTTTCCATTTAAGTCTTTAATCCATGTCAAGTTAATTTTTGTACATAGTGTAAGGAAGAGGTTCAGTTTCAATCTTCTGCACGCGGCTAGGTAGTTCTCCCAGCGCCATTCATTGAATAGGGAATCTTTTCCCCATTTTTGTCAGGTTTGTCAAAGATCAGATAGTTGTAGGTGTGCATTCTTATTTCTAGGTTCTCTATTATGTTCCATTTGTCTATAGTTCTTTTTTTTCTTTGTACCAGGATCATGATGTTTTGGTTACTGTAGCTCTGTAGTACAGTTTGACATCAGGTAGCATGATGCTTCCAGCTTTGTTCTTTTTGCTTAGGATTTCCTTGGCTATTCGGGCTCCTTTTTGGTTCTATATGAATTTTAAAATACTTTTCTTTAGTTCTCTGAAGAATGTTAATGGTAGTTTAATAGGAATAGCATTGAATCTATAAATGGCTTTGGACAGTATGGCCATTTAAAAAATATTGATTCTTCCTATCCATGAGCATGTCATGTTTTTCCATTTGTTTGTGTCATCTCTGATTTCTCTGAGCGGTCATTTGTAGCTCTCCTTGTAGAGATCTTTCACCTCACTAGTTAGCTGTATTCCTAGGCATTTTATTATTTTTGTGGTATTTGTGAATGGGAGTTAATTCCTGATTTGGCTCTTGGCTTGACTGTTGTTGGTGTCTAGGATTGCTAGTGATTTTTGCACATTGATTTTGTATCCTGAGACTTTCCCGAAGTGGTTTATCAGCTTAAGAAACTTTCGGGCTGAGACTGTGGGGTTTTCTAGATATAGAATTACATCATCTGCAAACAAGGATAATTTAACTTCCTCTCTTCCTATTTGGATGCCTTTTATTTCTTTCTCTTGCCTGATTGTCCAGACCAGAACTTTCAATACTATGCTGAATAGGAGTGGTGAGAGAGGGCATCTTTGTCTTGTGCCAATTTTCAAGGGGAATTCTTCCAGCTTTTACCTATTCAATATGATACTGGCTATGGGTTTGTCATTTATGGCTCTTATTATTTTGAAGTACACTCCTTCAATATCTAGCTTATTGAGAGTTTTTTTAACATTAATGGATGTTGAATTTTATCAAAAGCCTTTTCTGTATCTATTGAGATAATCGTGTGATTTTTGTCTTTATTCCTGTTTATATGATGAATCACATTTTTGATTTGCATATGTTGAACCAACCTTGCATCCCGGGAATGAAGCCTACTTAATTGTGGTGGATAAACTTTTTGCTGTGCTGCTGGTTTCAGTTTTCCAGTATTTTGTTGAGGATTTTTGCATCAATGTTTGATACAGTTTGTCTGTGTCCCTACCTAAATCTCATCTTGAATTGTAGTTCCCATAATCCCCACATGTTGTGGGAGGGATCAGTTGGAGATAATTGAATCATGGGGGTGGTTTCCCCCATTCTGTTCTTATGATAATTAGTTCTCATGAGATCTGATGGTTTTATAAGCGGCTTCCCCTTTCACTGGGCACTCATTATCTCCCCTGCCACCCTGTGAAGAGGTGCCCTCCTCTATAAGTTTCCTAAGGCCTTCCCAGCTGTGTGGAATTGTAAGTCAATTAAACCTAATTCCTTTATAAATTGTCCAGTCTCAGGTATTTCTTCATAGCAACATACGAACAGACTAATACAGTTAATTGGTACTGCAGAGAGTGGGGTGCTGCTGTAAAGAAATCCAAAAATGTGGAAGTGACTTTGGAACTGGGTAACAGGCAGAGGTTGGAACCATTTGGAGGGCTCAGAAGAAGACAGGAAAATGTGGGAAAGTTTGGAACATCCTAGAAACTTGAAGGGCTCAGAAGACAGGAAGATGTGGAAAAGTTTGGAACTTCCTAGATACTTGTTGAATGCCTTTGACCAAAATGCTGATAGTGATGTGGACAATGAAGTTCAGGTTGAAGTGGTCTCAGATGGAGATGAGGAACCTGTTGGGAACTGAAATAAAGGTCACTCTTGCTATTCAAAGATACTAATGGCATTTTGCCCCTGCCCTAGAGATCTGTGGAATTTTGAACTTGCGAGAGATGATTTAGGGTATCTGGTGGAAGAAATTTCTAAGTGGCAAGGTGTTCTAGAGGTAGCAGAGCATAAAAGTTTGGAAAATTTGCAGACTAACAATGCAATATAAAAAGAAAAATCCATTTTCTGGGGAGAAATTCAAGCTGACTACAGAAATTTGTATTAATAATGAGGAGCCAAATGTTAATCACCAAGACAATGGGGGAAATGTCTCCAGGTCATGTCAGAGACCTTTGTGGCAGCCCCTCCCATCACAGGCCCAGAGGCCTAGGAGGGAAAAATGGTTTCCTGGGCCAGGCCCAGGGCCTCCCTGCTCTATGCAGCCTCAGGACATGGTGCCCTGCATCCCACCTGCTTCAGCTCCAGCCATGGCTAAAAGGAGCCAACATACAGCTCAGGCCATTACTTCAGAAGGTGCAAGCACCAAGCCTTAGTATCTTATACATGGTGTTGGGCCTGTGGGTGCACAGAAATCAAGAATTAAGTTGTAAGTACCTCTACCTAGATTTCAGAGGATATATGGAAATGCCCGGTTGTCCAAGCAGAAGTATGCTGCAGGGGTGGAGCCCTCATGGAGAACCTCTGCTAGGGCAGTGTGGAAGGGAAGTGTGGGGTCAGAGCCCCCACACAGAGTCCCCACTGGGGCATTGCCTGGTGGAGCTGTGAGAAGAAGGCCATCGTCCTGTAGACCCCAGCATGTTAGATCCACCAACAGCTTGCACCATGCACCTGGAAAAGCTTCAGACACTCAACTCCAGCCTGTGAAAACAGCCAGGAAGGGAGCTGTACCCTGCAAAGCCACGGGGGTGGAGCTGCCCCATGCCATGGGAGCCCACATTTACATCAGCATGACCTGGATGTGAGATATGGAGTCAAAGGAGATCATTTTGGAACTTTAAGGTTTAATGACTGCCCCATTAGATTTCAGACTTGCAGGGGCTTGTAGCCCCTTTGTTTTGGCCAATTTCTCCCATTTGGAATGGGTGTATTTTACCCAATGCCTATACCCCCATTGTATCTAGGAAGTATTACTAATAACTAACTTGCCTTTGGTTTTACAGGCTCATAGGCAGAAGGGACTTGCCTTGTCTCAGATGAGACTTTGGACTTGGACTTTTGAGTTAATGCTGGAATGAGTTAAGACTTTGGAAGACTGTTGGAAGGGCATGACTGTGTTTTGAATTGCGAGGACATGAGATTTGGGAGGGGCCTGGGGCAGAATGTTATGGTTTGGCTGTGTCCCCACCCAAATCTCATTTTGAATTGTAGTTCCCATAATCCCCTTGTGTTGAGGGAGGGACCAGGTAGAGATAAATGAATCATGGGGGCAGTTCCTCCATTTCTTTCTCATGATAGGGAGTTAGTTCTCACAAGATCTGATTGTTTTATAAGGGGCTTCCCCCTTCACTAGGCACTCATTCTCTCCCCTGCTGCCCTGTGAAGAGGTGCCTTCTGCCATGATTGTAAGTTTCCTGAGGCCTCCTCAGCCATGTGGAACTGTGAGTCGATTAAATCTATTTCCTTTATAAATTACCTGGTCTCAGGTATTTCTTCATAGCAGCATGCCAATGAACTAATACAATGTTCATCAAGAATACTGGCCTGAAATTTTGTTTTTCTGTTGTATCTCTGCCAGGTTTGGGTATCAGGATGATGCTGGCCTCATAGAATGAGTTAGAAAGGAGTCCCTCCTCCTCCTCAATTGTTTGGAATAGTTTCAGTAGGAACAGTACCAGCTCTTATTCGTACATCTGGTGGAATTCAGCTGTGAATTTGTCTGGTCCTGGGCTTTTTTTGGTTGGTAGGCTATTTATTACTACTTCAATTTCAGAACTCATTTTTGGTCTGTTCAGGGATTCAATTTCTTCCTGTTTCTTTATTGGGAGGGTGTAAGTGTCCAGGTATGTGTCCATTTTTTCTAATTTTTCTAGTTTATGTGCATAGAGGTGTTCATAATATTCCCTGATGGTTGTTTGAATTTCTGTTGGGTAAGTGGTAATATCCCCCTTGTCATTTCTTATTCTGTTTATTTGAATCTTCTCTCTTTTCTTCATTTGTCTAGTTAGCAATATATATTTTTAATTTTTTTTAAAAAAATGGCTCCTGGATTCATTGATCTTTTGAAGGGTTTTTTCTTTAGTTCAGCTCTGATTTTAATTATTTCTTGTTTTCTGCTAGCTTTGGGATTTGTTTACTCTTGGTTCTGTAGTTCTTTTAGTTGTGATGTTAGGTTATTAATTTGAGATCTTTCTAACTTTTTGATGTGGGCATTTAGTGCTATAAATTTCCCTCTTAACACTGCCTTAGCTGTGTCCCAGAGATTCTGGTATGTTGTATCTTTTTTCTCATTAGTTTCAAAGAACTTCTTGATTTCTGCCTTAATTTCATTATTTACCCCAATGTCATTCAGGAGCAGGTTATTCAATTTCCATGTAAATGTATGGTTTTGAGTTTCTTAGTCTTGATTTCAAATTTGATTGCACTGTGGTCTGAGAGACTGTTATGATTTCAGTACTTTTGCATTTGCTAAGGAGTGTTTTACTTCTGATTATGTGATCAATTTTAGAATAAGTACCACAAGGCGATGAAGAGAATGTATATTCTTCTGTTTGAGGGTACAGAGTTCTGTAGATATCTAGCAGGTCCATTTGAACCAGTGCTGAGTCCAGGTCCTGAACATATTTGTTAATTTTCTGTCTCAATGACCTAATATTCTCAGTGGGGTGTTAAAGTCCCCCTCTATTATTGTGTAGGAGTCTAAGTCTCTTTGAAGGTCTCTAAGAGCTTGCTTTATGAATCTGGGTGCCCCTGTGTTGGATGCTTATATATTTAGGATTTTTAGGTCTTCTTGTTGAATTGAATGCTTTACCATTATGTAATTCCCTTTTTTGTCTTTTTGGATCTTTGTTGGTTTAAAGTCTGTTTTCTCAGAAACTAGGATTGTAACCCCTGCATAGTAAGAATTCTTTTAAAGTACACACAGAGAATTCTACAGGATAGCATATAGACTGGGTGACACATCAAGTCTCAATAAATTTGCAAAGGCTGAAATCATAACGAAGTATATTCTTTTTTTTCTTTTTCTTTTTTTTTTTTTTTTTTTGGAGACAGGGTCTCACTCTGTCACCCAGGCTGGAGTGCAGTGGCATGATTATGGCTCTCTGCAGCCTCCAGCTCCAAGGCTCAGGCAATTCTCCTACCTCAGCCTCCTGGACAAAGTATATTCCATTACCATAAACCCTGAGAAAGTGAAGTGTGGCCCATATTACTCAGAAAGCCTGCTGCTCCCTCCTAATGATACATAAGTAGTTCCTAAATAGAAGATTGTGTGGCCCAGATGTTAGTAAGCATAAAGTGGCTACATAGGAATACCTCAATCCCCACCAAAGCCACCTTCCATTTTTTAGCCTAATGGGCTGAACTCTTATTGTCAGCTAACATCCAGTGAGAAAGTAAGTTTTGCCACTGGACCAAAACAAAGACTCTTTTCTTAATCATGCCAGATGAAAAGATTTTATTAACTTTATGATAAAGAATTAGAAGTTGATGGTAGAACCCCACTGTCTATCTCTTAGAGGTTTTTTTTTTTTTTTTTGTATAATATTTACACCTAAGTTACTTCAGGTAAACTGCATATAATTCACATCCCAAGGTATGAGTTTAACCATTCTCAAAAATTTCTACTGTCATCATACCAAAGCTAAAGTCAAGTACTTCCCAAGATCTTTTGTTAAAATCCAATAGAAGTGTTGAAAAATTAAAAATTCATTTCTTAGGTCTTTGTCTTAGAAACCTTATAGAAAGAAATGTAGGCTGCTTTTTTTGAGGAAGATAGTTAGCATTAATCTGAAAGGAATCAAAGAAATGAACAGGGAAAGGAATGATTAATTTCTTCTTCTGAAATAACCATATTTACTTATTCTCTACCATAAAAACATCCTGCCCACACAATGAGACATAATGTCATGATAAAGCCAAGTGTCAACTACTTACTTATTAAAATGGGATACTATTTGGATACCTAGTAAAGGTGCTGTTTCTACTGTGTCTTAAGGAACCTTAGTTGGGTTCCCCTGAACTCATTCAGGGGCCGTGGAACATGTGACATAAAAGTCAGGGGGCAACCAAGCACAGCCAGAGCTCTCATTTTATTCCTTTTGTTTACTCTTCCAGTAATCTGTCAATGGAGAAGGGTCTATGACTCTAAAATTGAAAATCATTGGAGACAGATTCATTTCTGGGATGAGGAAATCAAAAATCCTCTCCCCATGAAACTGGACAAATCTGTTTAAAAAAACAACAACCATTTCAGCAATCTGAAACTTGACCATGAGCATACAACAAACAGAGAAACATTTATTCATGAAAACGACTGATCTTCAGGTAGGAAGAGCTTAAATCTGTGGCATTCTTACCTGGGCCTGCTCCCTCTAGCACCTTTCCACCCCACCTGTGCCAGTTCTGTTCATGCAGTAGTTCAACCGGGGCAGGGTAAGTCATGAACATCAATAGCTTCACTATGTCCACCAGAGGAGGCTCACTTGGTTGTCTTTTACTAATTTTTAAAAATTGTGGTAAAATATACACAACATAAAATGTACCATCTTAACCATGTGTAAGAGTACAGTTCAGTAGTGTTAAGTACATTCATATCATTGTGGAACCAGTCTCCAGAACTCTTTTTATCTTGCAGAACTAAAATTCTATATCCATTAAACAAGAGTTACAGCCCGTTCTTTGTTTTCCCCAGCACTTGGCAACCACCATTTCACTTTCTGTCTCTATGAATTTGACTACTGTAAGTACTTACCTGTATAGAATCATACAATACTTGTCTTTTTGTGACTGGCTGGCTTATTATACTTAGCATAACATTCTGAAAGTTTATCCATGTTGTATCATGTTTCAGGATTTCCTTTCTTTTTAAGACTGAATAATAATCCACTGTATGTATACACCATATCTTGTTTATCTGTTCACATGGCAATGGACACTTCAGTTGCTTCCACCTTTTGGCTCTTGTGAATAATACTGCTATGAACATATATCTGCAAATATCTTTCCAAGATCCTGCTTTCAATGCTTTTGTGTATAAACCCCGAAGTAGATTTGCTAGACATTATGGTGATTCTATTTTTAACTTTTTGAGGAACTATCATACTCTTTTCCTATAGTTGTTGCAATATTTTACATTCCCACTAACAGTGCAAAAGAATTCCAACTTCTCCACATCCTCGCTAAAAGCTAACACTTGTTATTTTCTGTTTTTTGTTTGTTTCTTTGTTTTTAATAGTGACCACCCTAATAGGTAAGTAGTATCTTATTGTGATTTTCATTTGCATTGCTCTAATAATTAGTGATGATGAACAACTTTTCATATGCTGGTTGGTCATTTGTATGTCTTCTTTGGAGAATTGTCTATTCAAATCCCTTGCCCATTTTTTAGTCAGGTTATTTGGTTTGTTGTTGAGCTGTAGAGGTTCTTCATATAGTCTGAATATATTAGCCCCTTATCAGATATATGATTTGAAAATATTTTCTCCCATTCCATAGGTTGGCTTTCCATTCTGTTGATTGTGTCCTTTGATGCACAGATGTTTTAAATTTTGACATAATCCGGTTTATCTATTTTTATTTTGTTGCCTATGCTTTTGGTGTCATATTCAAGAAATCATTGCCAAATCCAAAGTCATGAAGTTTTTCTCCTATGTTTGCTTCAAAGAGTTTTATAGTTTTAGCACATATGTTTAGGCTTTTGATCTACTTTGAGTTAATTTTTATATGTGATATAAGATAAAGGTCCAAGTTCATTGTTCTGCATGTGGATATCTCTTTTTTATACCACTTGTTGGAAAAAAAAAAAAAAACCTGTCCTTTCCCACATTGAATTGTCTTGGCACTCTCATTAAAAATCATTTGACCATGTTATGTGAGTGTTTATTTTTGGGCTCTCTATTCTATTCCACAGGTCCACATGTCTGTCTTTATGACAGTACCACACTGTTTTGATTACTGTAGCTTTGTGATAAGTTTTGAAACCTAAAAGTATGAGGCCCCCAACTTTTTTCTTTTTCAAGACTGTTTTGGTTATTTGGGCTCCCTTGAGGTTCTACATGAATTTTACGATGAACTTTTCTATTTTTTCAAAAAATGCTATTGGGATTTTGATAGGGCTTGGATTAAATCTGGATATAGCTTTGGGTAGTATTGACATCTTAATGATATTAAATCTCCCATTTATTTGTATCTTCTTTAATTTCTTTCAGCAATGTTTTGTAGTTTTCAGTGTATAAGTCTTACACCTCCTTTTATTCCTAAGTATTTTATTCTTTTTGATGCTATTGTAAATGAAATTATTTTCTAAATTTCCTTTTCAGGTTGATCATTGTTATACAGGAATACAACTGATTTTTGCATGTTGATTTTGTACTCTGCAACTTCGCTGACTCCATGTATTAGTTCTACCAGCTTTCTCATAGAATCTTTAGGGTTTTCTACATGTAAGATCATGTCACCAGTGAACAGAGATAATTTTCCTTCTTGTCTTCCAATTTGGATATACCTTATCCCTTTTTCTTGCTTTATTGCTCGGACTAGGACTCCCAGTACTATATTAAGTAGAAGTAGTGAAAGCAGGCATCCTTCTCTTCTTCCTGATCTTAGAAGAAAAGCTTTCGGTCTTTCACAATTGAGTATGATGTCAGCTATAGAACATATTGAATATAGTCAGTTGAAATGGTGACCTCAATTACAGGGGAATATGAAAGACCAGTGGCTCTGGGAGCCTGAAGTTTCTGTTTTGTTTGCAGCAAGCAATGGACTGGTAGGTTAGGAGGGGATTTAACAGGGAGTTCCTAGAAGTGGATCATCCACAGGGGGCTTGATGAGCACCCTACATATCCCAAATTGACTGAAGAGTCTGCACATGCACAGCAGAGACTGAAGTGGGCCCAAACCACCCACATATCCCTGGATGAAAGAGTCTGCATGTATGTGCAAAGGAGATACAAGAGGACCTAATGAAAAAAAAAAAAACACAGGCTGGGGAAGACTTAAAAATGGACTGAATATATTCCCTAGCCCACAAACAGATTTATCAGCAGACAGTAGAAACCCTACTGACTAAAAAGATTTAAGCACAACTTTCTGACCAATCTTTGCTGAATGTTAAGTTATGCAGGCAAAGGAGTAACACTTAGAAAGCCAAGTTTTAAAAAAGTTAAAATGAGGGGAAAAACAGCAGAGACATCAACAGCCACAAATCTCAGAGTAAAGCATTAGGTAGGGCAATTCCACAAATTAACTGCAGGCAAGTTACTAAACAAAACAAATCAAAAGAGAACAATCAGCAAACACAGAAACTCTCTAGGGAAAAAAATAAGAATTCAGAGTGGCTATAATATATTGTCTAAAATGTACAGTATTCCAAAAAACAAAGGACGTATTTGTTCTTTCTTTCTCCTAATCATATTATTTTTCTTTTTTTTATTTATTTTTTATTTTTTTTATTATTATTATACTTTAAGTTTTAGGGTACATGTGCACAATGTGCAGGTTAGTTACATATGTCTACATGTGCCATGCTGGTGTGCTGCACCCATTAACTCGTCATTTAGCATTAGGTATATCTCCTAACGCTAACCCTCCCCCCTCCCCCGACCCCACAACAGTCCCCAGAGTGTGATGTTCCCCTTCCTGTGTCCATGTGTTCTCATTGTTCAATTTCCACCTATGAGTGAGAACATGCGGTGTTTGGTTTTTTGTTCTTGCGATAGTTTACTGAGAATGATGATTTCCAATTTCATCCATGTCCCTACAAAGGACATTAGCTCATCATTTTTTATGGCTACATAGTATTCCATGGTATATATGTGCCACATTTTCTTAATCCAGTCTTTCATTGTTGGACATTTGGGTTGGTTCCAAGTCTTTGCTATTGTGAATACTGCCGCAATAAACATACGTGTGCATGTGTCTTTATAGCAGCATGATTTATAGTCCTTTGGGTATATACCCACTAATGGGATGGCTGGGTCAAATGGCATTTCTAGTTCTAGATCCCTGAGGAATCGCCACACTGACTTCCACAATGGTTGAACTAGTTTACAGTCCCACCAACAGTGTAAAAGTGTTCCTATTTCTCCACATCCTCTCCAGCACCTGTTGTTTCCTGACTTTTTAATGATTGCCATTCTAACTGGTGTGAGATGGTATCTCATTGTGGTTTTGATTTGCATTTCTCTGATGGCCAGTGATGGTGAGCATTTTTTCATGTGTTTTTTGGCTGCATAAATGTCTTCTTTTGAGACGTGTCTGTTCATATCCTTCGCCCACTTTTTGATGGGGTTGTTTGTTTTTTGCTTGTAAATTTGTTTGAGTTCATTGTACATTCTGGATATTAGCCCTTTGTCACATGAGTAGGTTGCGAAAATTTTCTCCCATGTTGTAGGTTGCCTGTTCACTCTGATGGTAGTTTCTTTTGCTGTGCAGAAGCTCTTTAGTTTAATTAGATCCCATTTGTCAATTTTGGCTTTTGTTGCCATTGCTTTTGGTGTTTTAGACATGAAGTCCTTGCCCATGCCTATGTCCTGAATGGTACTGCCTAGGTTTTCTTCTAGGGTTTTTATGGTTTTAGGTCTAACGTTTAAGTCTTTAATCCATCTTGAATTCATTTTTGTATAAGGTGTAAGGAAGGGATCCAGTTTTAGCTTTCTCCATATGGCTAGCCAGTTTTCCCAGCACCATTTATTAAATAGGGAATCCTTTCCCCATTGCTTGTTTTTCTCAGGTTTGCCAAAGATCAGATAGTTGTAGATATGTGGCGTTATTTCTGAGGGCTGTGTTCTGTTCCATTGATCTATATCTCTGTTTTGGTACCAGTACCATGCTGTTTTGGTTACTGTAGCCTTGTAGTATAGTTTGAAGTCAGGTAGCGTGATGCCTCCAGCTTTGTTCTTTTGGCTTAGGATTGACTTGGCGATGCGGGCTCTATTTTGGTTCCATATGAACTTTAAAGTAGTTTTTTCCAATTCTGTGAAGAAAGTCATTGGTAGCTTGATGGGGATGGCATTGAATCTATAAATTACCTTGGGCAGTATGGCCATTTTCACGATATTGATTCTTCCTACCCATGGGCATGGAATGTTCTTCCATTTCTTTGTATCCTCTTTTACTTCATTGAGCAGTGGTTTGTAGTTCTCCTTGAAGAGGTCCTTCACGTCCCTTGTAAGTTGGATTCCTAGGTATTTTATTCTCTTTGAAGCAATTGTGAATGGGAGTTCACTCATGATTTGGCTCTCTGTTTGTCTGTTATTGGTGTATAAGAATGCTTGTGATTTTTGTACCTTGATTTTGTATCCTGAGACTTTGCTGAAGTTGCTTATCAGCTTAAGGAGATTTTGGGCTGAGACAGTGGGGTTTTCTAGATATACAATCATGTCATCTGCAAACAGGGACAATTTGACTTCCTCTTTTCCTAATTGAATACCCTTTATTTCCTTCTCCTGCCTAATTGCCCTGGCCAGAACTTCCAACACTATGTTGAATAGGAGTGGTGAGAGAGGGCATCCCTGTCTTGTGCCAGTTTTCATAGGGAATGCTTCCAGTTTTTGCCCATTCAGTATGATATTGGCTGTGGGTTTGTCATAGATAGCTCTTATTATTTTGAGATACGTCCCATCAATACCTAATTTATTGAGAGTTTTTAGCGTGAAGGGTTGTTGAATTTTGTCAAAGGCCTTTTGTGCATCTATTGAGATAATCATGTGGTTTTTGTCTTTGGTTCTGTTTATATGCTGGATTACATTTATTGATTTGTGTATGTTGAACCAGCCTTGCATCCCAGGGATGAAGCCCACTTGATCATTGTGGATAAGCTTTTTGATGTGCTGCTGGATTCGGTTTGCCAGTATTTTATTGAGGATTTTTGCATCAATGTTCATCAAGGATATTGGTCTAAAATTCTCTTTTTTGGTTGTGTCTCTGCCCGGCTTTGGTATCAGGATGATGCTGGCCTCATAAAATGAGTTAGGGAGGATTCCCTCTTTTTCTATTGATTGGAATAGTTTCAGAAGGAATGGTACCAGTTCCTCTTTGTACCTCTGGTAGAATTCGGCTGTGAATCCATCTGGTCCTGGACTCTTTTTGGTTGGTAAGCTATTAATTATTGCCATAAGTTCAGATCCTGTTATTGGTCTATTCAGAGATTCATCTTCTATTAGATTTTCTTTTGCTGCTTTCAAGATTTCCTGTTCACCTTTCTGTCACATGTTTATTTCTTTCTGTTTATTTTACTTGGGGTTTGAAAGAATGAAAGAGGGACCTATAATGAGGGGAAAAATAGTCAATAGAAACTGTCTCTGAGTGTCTCCAGAAGCCAGATTTAGCAAAAAACTTTAAGGCAGCTATTATGAATACGTTCAAACCATACTGAAACAATTAAAGTATGATATCAATAACTCAATGAATGAAGAGTTTCAATAAAGAGATAATCATTATATCCAGATGGAAATTCTGACATTGAAAAGTGTAAGAAATTAAACAGAAATTTCATCGGACGGGCACAACAGTAGATTTAAGCTGGCAGACAAACCAGAACATCTAAATTTAAATCAATAGAAATGGTCCTATCTGAAGAACAGAGGGTAAAAAAGATTGAAGAATAATAAACGGAGTGCACAGAAATTTGTGGGACAACATCAAATGTAAAAATATGTGCATAACAGAATCATCAAAGAGAGAAAGGAACAAATGTATTCACAAAAATAATAAATAAAAACTTCATAAATTTGATTAAAACATTAATTTATAAGTGCAATAACTCAACAAACTCCAAGTAAGATAAACACAAAGAAATTCACAACATGACAAAAAGGCAAACAGAAAATCTTGAAAGCAGCAAAAGAAAACCTAACCACTACATATAAAGAAAAAAATAATATGATTAGCAGCTAATTTCTCATCAAAAACAATGGAGGCCACAAAATAGTGCATGTTAGGGTTCTTCAGAGACACAGAAACAATAGGAGATACATCCAGAGTAAATGTTTGACTAAAAGTGTGGGCACCTCATGGTCCAGTCAAGGTGTCACATAAAATTAACCATCCCAAAGTGGACTGATATATCCGAAGAGCTGGAAAAAGATAAAATAAAATGTCAACCACAAATCCTATATTCAGAAAAAAAAATCCTCCAAAAATAAGGGTGAAATAAAGAAATAAGCAAGCACGTAAAGAATTCATAACTATCAGGCCGGGTGCAATGGCTCACACCTGTCATCCCAGCACTTGGGGAGGCTGAGGCAGGTGGATCACTTGAGGTCAGGGGTTTGAGGCCAGCTTAGCTAACATAGTGAAAACTCGTCTCCAGTAAAAATACAAAAAAAAAAAAAAATAGCTGGGTGTGATGGCGCATGCCTGTAGTCCCAGCTACTCGGGAGGCTGAGGCACGAGAATCTCTTCAACTTGGGAGGCAGAGGTTGTAGTGAGCTGAGATCACACCATTGTACTCCAGCCTGGGCAACAGAGTGAGACATGACACTGTCTCAAAAAAAAAAAAAAAAAAAAAAGAATTCATAACTATCAGATCTGCCTTACAAAAGAATGTTAAAGAAAATCCTTCTGGCTAAAACGAACTGACATAAGATAGTAAATGAAATCCACAGGATGAAATGAAGAGCATAAGAAATGTTAAAAGGCCAGGTACAGTGGCTCGTGCCTGAAATCCCAAGTGCTTTTGAAGGCCAAGGCAGAAGAATTACCTGAGTCCAGCAGTTCAACATCAGCCTGGTGAACACAGCAAGACCCACAAAAAAATAAAAAATAAGTTGGATGTGGTCATACATGCCTGTAGTCCCAGCTACTTGGGAGGCTAAGGCAGGAGGATCACTGGAACCCAGGAGGTCAAGGTTACAGCGAACTATACTCATACCAGTGTGCTCCAGCCTGAGTGACAGAGCAAAAGAAAAAGAAAAAGAAAAAGGAAAGAAAAGAAAGGAAAGAAGGAAGGAAATGCTAAATACATGGATAAGCATCAAAGACTATAAATATTTTTTCTTATTTCTTCTTTAAACTTCTTTAAAGAACATAAGAAAAAGTATAACACTATTTTGTAGGATTTATATCATATAGAGTTACAATATATGTGACACTAATAGTAAAGAAAAGAGGGAGTAGGAAAAGGAGATATACTAGAGCCAAAAATTCTACATTAAAGAAAAAAATAGCATTAAACCTTCACAAACTCTTCCAGACTACAGAGAAGCGGCCAAAATACCATATACACAAAAAATTACAAACCAATATTCCTCATGAACATAGATGCAAGAATACTTAACAAAATGTAATCAAACCAAATTCAGCAACTTGTAAAAAGGATTATACAAGATAGCCAAATGGAATATAGCTTAGGAATAGAAAGTATATATAACATGTTGGAAATCAACTAATTTCATGCACCATAATAATAGAATAAAGGACAAAAAACCATGTGATCATCTCAGTAGATAAGAGAAGTATTTAGCAAAATCTACCACCTATTCATGACAAAAATTCTCAGTAAAATAAAAATATAGCATGAAGCGTTGTTGAATTTCGTCAAAGGCCTCAATAAATTAGGTATTGATGGGATGTATCTCAAAATAATAAGAGCTATCTATGACAAACCCACAGCCAATATCATACTGAATGGGCAAAAACTGGAAGCATTCCCTATGAAAACTGGCACAAGACAGGGATGCCCTCTCTCACCACTCCTATTCAACATAGTGTTGGAAGTTCTGGCCAGGGCAATTAGGCAGGAGAAGGAAATAAAGGGTATTCAATTAGGAAAAGAGGAAGTCAAATTGTCCCTGTTTGCAGATGACATGATTGTATATCTAGAAAACCCCATCGTCTCAGCCCAAAATCTCCTTAAGCTGATAAGCAACTTCAGCAAAGTCTCAGGATACAAAATCAAGGTACAAAAATCACAAGCATTCTTATACACCAATAACAGACAAACAGAGAGCCAAATCATGAGTGAACTCCCATTCACAATTGCTTCAAAGAGAATAAAATACCTAGGAATCCAACTTACAAGGGACGTGAAGGACCTCTTCAAGGAGAACTACAAACCACTGCTCAATGAAATAAAAGAGGATACAAAGAAATGGAAGAACATTCCATGCTCATGGGTAGGAAGAATCAATATCGTGAAAATGGCCATACTGCCCAAGGTAATTTATAGATTCAATGCCATCCCCATCAAGCTACCAATGACTTTCGTCACAGAATTGGAAAAAACTACTTTAAAGTTCATATGGAACCAAAATAGAGCCCGCATCGCCAAGTCAATCCTAAGCCAAAAGAACAAAGCTGGAGGCATCACGCTACCTGACTTCAAACTATACTACAAGGCTACAGTAACCAAAACAGCATGGTACTGGTACCAAAACAGAGATATAGATCAATGGAACAGAACACAGCCCTCAGAAATAACGCCACATATCTACAACTATCTGATCTTTGACAAACCTGAGAAAAACAAGCAATGGGGAAAGGATTCCCTATTTAATAAATGGTGCTGGGAAAACTGGCTAGCCATATGGAGAAAGCTAAAACTGGATCCCCTCCTTACACCTTATACAAAAATGAATTCAAGATGGATTAAAGACTTAAACGTTAGACCTAAAACCATAAAAACCCTAGAAGAAAACCTAGGCAGTACCATTCAGGACATAGGCATGGGCAAGGACTTCATGTCTAAAACACCAAAAGCAATGGCAACAAAAGCCAAAATTGACAAATGGGATCTAATTAAACTAAAGAGCTTCTGCACAGCAAAAGAAACTACCATCAGAGTGAACAGGCAACCTACAACATGGGAGAAAATTTTCGCAACCTACTCATGTGACAAAGGGCTAATATCCGGAATCTACAATGAACTCAAACACATTTACAAGCAAAAAACAAACAACCCCATCAAAAAGTGGGCGAAGGATATGAACAGACACGTCTCAAAAGAAGACATTTATGCAGCCAAAAAACACATGAAAAAATGCTCACCATCACTGGCCATCAGAGAAATGCAAATCAAAACCACAATGAGATACCATCTCACACCAGTTAGAACGGCAATCATTAAAAAGTCAGGAAACAACAGGTGCTGGAGAGGATGTGGAGAAACAGGAACACTTTTACACTGTTGGTGGGACTGTAAACTAGTTCAACCATTGTGGAAGTCAGTGTGGCGATTCCTCAGGGACCTAGAACTAGAAATGCCATTTGACCCAGCCATCCCATTAGTGGGTATATACCCAAAGGACTATAAATCATGCTGCTATAAAGACACATGCACACGTATGTTTATTGTGGCACTATTCACAATAGCAAAGACTTGGAACCAACCCAAATGTCCAACAATGATAGACTGGATTAAGAAAATGTGGCACATATACACCATGGAATACTATGCAGCCATAAAAAAAATGATGAGCTCATGTCCTTTGTAGGGACATGGATGAAATTGGAAATCATCATTCTCAGTAAACTATCGCAAGAACAAAAAACCAAACACCGCATATTCTCATTCACAGGTGGGAATTGAACAATGAGAACACATGGACACAGGAAATGGAACATCACACTCTGGGGACGGTTGTAGGGTGGGGGGAGGGGGGCGGGATAGCTTTAGGAGATATACGTAATGCTAAATGACGAGTTAATGGGTGCAGCACACCAGCAAGGCACATGTATACATATGTATCTAACCTGCACATTGTGCACATGTACCCTAAAACTTAAAGTATAATAATAATAAAATTAAAAAAAAATAAAAAATAAAAAATAAAAATATAAAGGAACTTCCTTACCTGAGAAAGGGCACAAAATCACTTATAGCTACCATCATACTTAGAGACTGAAAGTTTTAACATAATATTAAGAACAAAACAAGGATGAACATCCTTGCCATTTCTATTCAAAATTGTACTGCAGGTTCTAGTTGGTGCAATGAGACTAAACACATATTCACATACAGAGAGATTAGAAAAGAAGACATGCAATTATTTTGAGGTTATATGATTCCACATGTTAAAAATTCCTAAAGTTTACACAAAACCTACTACAACTAACATACCAGCCTAGCAAGTTTACAAAATACAAGATCATGAAAAAATTAATTGTATTCCTATGTACTATCAATGAATAAAAATGAAATTAAAAAAATTCATCCACAATATTATATAAAAGAATAAAAACTTGGGAATACATTTAACAAAAGAAGTGTAATATTTGTACACTGAAAACTACAAAACATTGCTGAGAGAATTGGGGAAAAATCTAACCAAATAGGGAAGCATTCCATATTCATAAATTGACACACTCAGTACTGTTAAAATGGCATTTCTCCCCAAACTGATCTACAGATTCAATATAATCCCTATTAAAATCTCATCACACTGTTTTATAGAAATTGACAAACTGATTCTAAAATTTATATGGAAATGCAGCGTTAAAATATTTTTGAAAAAGGAGAAACAAAGTTAGAGGACTTACATATCCAATTTCAAAACTTACTGTAAAACCACTGTAATCTAAAGAATATGAGATTGGCATATGATAGGTATATAGACCAATAGAACAGAATTGAGAGACCAGAAATAAACCCTTTCAATTATGTTCAAGTTACATTCAACAAAGGCACTGAGACAATTCAATGAGAAAAACAAACAAACAAACAGAAAAAACAGCCTTTACAACATACGGTGCCAGGAAAATTGAGAATCAATTTGCAAAACAAGAAAAAAGAAAGAAAGAAAGAAAAGGAACTTAGCGGCTTACCACATACCACACATGAAAATTAACTCAGAGTATATCCTAGACCTAAATGTAAGAACTAAACCTATAAAACAATTTTTAGAAGAAAACAGAAAAAACTCTTCATGACCTTCAACTTATAAATTGGACTTTATTGAAATTAAAATATTTTTCACTTCAAAGACACAATTAAAAAATTAAAACACAAACCACAGAAAAGAATAAAATATTACAAATCATATATCTAATAAAGGGCTTTTATATAGAATATGTAAAGAACTCTTGCAACTCAGTAATAAAAAGGCAAACAACACAATTTTAAAAATGGGTAAAAGACTTAAATAGGCACTTCACCAAAAAAGACATACAAATAACTAATAAGTATATGAAAGGATGCCATTAGTCATTAAGGAAACGCAAATAAAAACCACAATAAGATACCATGACACACACACTAGAATGGCTACAGTAAAAAAGAAACAATAACAAGTGTTGGTAAGGATTTGGAGAAACTAGAACCCTTATATACTACTGATGGGGATGTAAAATGGTACAGCTATTTTGTAAAAACAATTTGGCAGTTTCCTTAAAATTTAAACACAAACTAAATATGGTGAGGATTTGGAGAAACTAGAACCCTTATATACTACCGATGGGGATGTAAAATGATACAGCTACTTTGTAAAAACAATTTGTCAGTTTCCTTAAAATTTAAACTTAAACTGAATATACAAGCCAGCAATTCTACTTCCAGGAATCTACCCAAGAGAAATGAAAACATATATCCACATAAACACTTGTATATGAATGTCTATGGCAGCATTATTTATAATAGTAAAAAATTAAATAACCTAAATATCTATCAACTGGTGATTCCATAAACAAAATGTAGTGTATCCATACAATGGAATATTATTCAGCAAGAAAAAGAAACTACTGATACATGCTACAAGATGGATGAACCTCAAAAGCATGACATTAAATAAAAGAAACCAGATACAAAATACTACATATTGTACGATTCTATGTATATGAAATTTCAAAAGACAAATATGTAGATATAGAAAGCAGATCAGTGGTTACCTGGGCCTCGTGGCAGCAGAAGTGGGGAGCATAGTGGTGGGGATTGACTACAAATGGGCTCAAGGGAAATTTTGGGGGTAATGGAAAAATTCTAAACTAAGACTGAAATGATAGTTACACAACTCTATACGTTCACTAAAAATACAAAAAGAAAACCTTTGGGTAAATTTAATGTAAAATATTTATTTTACAAACAATGAAAATATCTTCTTCATTTTATATGGTTTGTTTTTGCCATTTTGATTCCTACCCCCAGAATAATAACTTTTGCACAATACACCAATCCTGAAGGCAGCTATTAAATGGTTACAGTTTCGATACTGTAAGAGCTATCTGGATTATTTTGCTATTCCCAGGCCATCTATTCATGAATTGTACTGAACCGAAGTATATATTTATATTACAGTTTTTTTGTGGGTGGGGAGATCTTGATATGCTTTTCATTGATTTGCATAATTCACATTAAAGATGAGAAAGGGTTGGTGCCTTGTAAATATGTAGCAGATCTTTGTGGTGTGTTCTGATGTGTGCATTAACTTTATTAGAAAAGAACACTTGTGGTATCAATCTAGACAAGGTGCCAAATGTAAAAAAAAGTGTCTTCAACTTATAAAAATATGTGAATATCCTTATAGCATCTTTTGTCTGTGTGTCATATTTGAGCTCTGATATTGCTTTCTAATTTTTCATGTTGGGGGTCTTATTCCCCATGGAATTTAGAGTACCTTAGAATATAGGTCAAGAATCTGTGCTAGATTCTTAATGATTTAATTTGAAGTGAACATATTTGCTTTAAATTCATAGGAATAAGGTTGGTGAGACTGAGCGATTCTCCTAAATCAGATCTACTATAGTGGATTTTCTACTTATTAATTACTCAGCTTGTACTGCTACAAATTCCTTAAACATACACAAGAAAACTCATCCAGGGGCAAACAAAAATAGCCTCTAGAATTTAAAAACAAACGAACTCCATTCTCATTGTAAGTTACTATTCACTTCTGCTTTTCATGATTAGCAGTTTGAAGAGTCTGACATGCAGAACGAGGGGACACACTGGGTGAGCTCTAAGATTCCCTCCAGTCCTAACATGAATCATGCCCTCTATTATTCTTGATAAAAATGTATCATTTCTATCCACTATTACGTATTTTTGCAGTAGTTGAACATGAATCTATTTTTGTTGCATGATTCTTTTACCACATCCTTAGGAACCTAAGCTTTTTTGGATCAAAGGTAGAAGAAATGTATCATCTCAGCTTTTGGAAAAACTGAATATAAGGACATTCCAAAAAAATTTTCTCAAAATTCAACATCAACATAAATATTTAAGACTCCTATCTTAAAGAATTGACAACTAGTATTTTTTAATGAAAAAGAAATGTACTGAAATACAATTCTTTTTCAGTTTAAAAATGAACTGAAATATAAACTAAAATATAATTCATAGTCAGTAATATAATTCATAGTCAGAAATGCAAATTCAGTCCCACATGGCCATGGCCCCTCAGAATGCTTAAACTCTGCCCAGAAAGGCTATGAGGAAAGTGATTTGTTATTTTAAGGATTAAATTTAGATATTTTGGGGCTCATATCTTTTTACTTGATATTTTACAGTATTAGGCAATGAGTAGGACAATAAGAAAACAGAAAAGTGGCTCCAATGAGGGAATAGAATGGAGGAAACTGTTGAAAAAGGACGTAGATTTTGACTTTTCACTTTGCACTTTTTTGAACTGTCAGACCTTTTTATCATGAACATATACTTCTCTTAGCTTTCAAAACCTAATAAGAATAATGAAATAGAACTTTTAAATTTCCTCATGTGCATTTCCTTTGAAAGGCAGGGTATAGCAATAATGAACACTAAGAAGAAAAAGCATACATTTGCCATCAGAAAGATTTAGATTCAAATCCTATAGCACCCCAGGCATAGTTTTCATCAGAGCATAACAATTGGGTTTATCTGTCTGTTTCCTCCCTAAACAACTCTGTAGCTTGTTCTATGTTTCATTTATCATTTTCTCTTGTATATAGCATGTTGCCTAGTATATACTAGTTGTTCAGTAAATATTTGTTAAACTGAACTAAACCTCTGAAGCCCTGCCTCCTCTAGCTCCCATCTTTGTAATTTTTGGTGAGTCAACTTCCTCACATTCAGAGTAGGAGTGATAATTACTACCTCACAGAGTTGTTTAAATGACACATGCATATAAAGCACTTAGCACAGTGTCTGGTACATAGTAGTTGCCATTCACCCTCACCTCTAATTTTAAAATAAGTCTCTTTCCAATGGGAAATAATAATAATTTTCACAAGGAAAAATCTCAGTAGTCCTTTATCTGCCTTTTAAATACCACTTTGAAGCTAACAAAAATGGGCCAGGCAAAACATTAGCTTTGGTATGTGTTGCAGAGGTCCCAACACCACCCACACATTTAGCAATTTCTAGAAGGACTCACAGGCCCCGTAAGTAGTTGTATTCATGGTTATAGCTTATTACAGCAATCACCAAGAGGAAAAGATATGTCAGGACGAGTCTGAAGGAATCCATGCACAGGTTTCCTATGTTCCCTCCCTCACACCAGAAAGGACTGTGTTCCCTCCTCTCGCAATGATATCTAGTAATACATGTATACTGTTTCTTTCCACTGAGGCTTGCTTGAGACTCAGAGTCCAAAGTTTCTATCATAATGTAGGCACAACGACCTGCCACATCTACTATAATAGTAAATTCCCAGAAGGAAACAGGTGTTTAGTGCCCCACATGGGCAAAACAACCTATGATAGCTTAGAGAATATTTCAAATGCAAAGTTGAAAGGGGGCCTTTTAAAAATACCAGTGTCAGGCCCACTCTGTTAACGTTTTCCTGCACAGCATGTCAAGTGATAATACTGGGAAGAGGGCAGGAGTTACCAGAAAGAAGACTAATAAAAACTGGGGAAAACAGCCAAAGGACAAAATGGTTGAAAGGGAAGAGAGGAAATGAAGTAACTGGGCAGGAGGCAAGGAAAGAAATCAGGGAAAAAGAAGAGGGAAGGCAGGAAGGAGAGAAAGTAGTCACCTGGCTAAGCCAAACTGGCTTCTTACTCAGGCCACTTGACCCTATAGTACCCCTGCTCAATGTTGCTCATCCCAACGCCCTACCTCCCATTCCACTTCCTATGATGCCACGTTGTACGTGCTTATTTCTCATCCTCTCTATTTATGTACATACCTGTTCTCTTAGTCCTGCTGCCTTCGTGCTATCTGGATGCTTTGATAAGAAAGAAGGAGATGGAGGAGGGAGAGAAAGCCTGATAGTGATAAGATTAGGTAGAAAAATGCGTTTGAGCTAAATGGAACAATATGACAGTAACAGGCTCCCAGAGCTCCTCCAAACTTATAAAGAAATATGTAGTCTTTCTGGCTTTAGAAGACAAGAGACACTAGGAAAATATCATGGCAGAATGGGCTCTTCTGAGTGTACTTTTAAAATCACAGTGGCCTCTTTGACTTCTGTAATGAAGTCAGTGGTCAGTGGTTACTTCTCTCATTTTAACTCATAGAGCAAGTTTTTTAAAAAGCTGATAGGTGCTAAGGTTATATTCTCCCAACCCTTCCTTTTTTGTGACTTCCCAAATTCATAAAAGGGAAAAGAAGATAAAGGAGCTATTCCTTGCCTTGAGCTTTTATAATTAAAAAAATATGACAGATCCTTTTCTCCTTTTCTCACATTTTACATTTTATAAATTGCTGTCAGACTAAGGCTTTGCCAAGTTTCAACCCCAAGTGAAATCTTACCAAAAAAACTAAAAGTATAAAAAGCAGATGGATAATAGGTATAATCATTCAGCCTATGCATGTGTTATGGTTTTTTAAATAAGTTCATTCCTCTTGTGTTAAATGTGTAATATTAGTTATAACTATATTGATGTACTAAAATACCTATCCTTCCATCATTCTACTTTCTTATTATTAAGAAGGTTTCACTTTTGTTTTATATACATATATATTCATCTGGATAAAAACAGACACCCTAGATAATAAATTTGAAGGAATATGACAGCTTTCCATCTTCAGCTACCTGCAAGTCTATCACATGGAAGAAGATATTTTCACAACTCCAGAGAATGGAGGTTGACCAAATAAATACAAGATAATTTTCATGGGGCACATTAAGCTCACCTAAAGAAAAAACCAAGACATCATTTAGACTCTTCTAAAAACAGACGGTGTGGTATTATGTGGTAATTGTCACGTGAGGGGTACTGTCATCAAGGGAGATCAAGACTGGAACCAGCTGGTATCAGTGAGACTCTGAGAAATAATTGGAGAACCAACGGAAGGACTGGACAGACAAATAAACATATAGATTCCCACAGAGTCCAAAGACAAAGATCAGCCCCCCGAAATGAACTGGGTCCTTGGAAAACCTTATTGACATGGATAGATTGCTTGTTGAGATGGGTCAGGTTGCCAAATATAACTTAAGTGGTCTGAAGTTAAAGTGTAGCACAGACACACAAGGGAGTTATAACTGGATGGAGAGAAAAGGACTAAGAGCCAAGAGAGAACTTAAGGGTCAGGAAAGAGAGGCGTACTAGTCAGATAAGGCTAGGCTATGTGGAGGTAACAACCCTAGAATCTCAGTGGCTTAACATAACAAAGATTATTTCTTACTCAAGATGCATGTCCCAGTTCAGAGGGATCTTTGTTCCACACAGTCTTTCTGGGGCTCAAGCTCATATATCTGTCACAGCTGTTTCATCTGGATCACAGAGTACTCCAAGGTCTCTGAACATAAGAAATAGAAAAAAGAAGAAGCTCATAGGCTCTTAAGTGAGCCCGATCTGCAGTGAGGCTTCACTTCTGCTCATATTCCCATTGGCCAGAGCTCAATCACATGCTCCAACCCAACTATAAGAGAGGCTGCAAAATGCAGGGAAGGAAATAGATATTCGGTGAGCTCTCTGCTGCAGGAGGGTGCACTGCCCAAAACCCACACCGAACCTTGTCTGTGTCCAGGTGGAGAGGCTGCAAACATTCTTTATTTCAGCTTACTCTCCTGTAAAGCTCTACTTTTCCCAGCCACTAAAAGTATCCTGAATTTCTGACATGGTGAATTATCATTTTGGGGGGCATTCAAAAAGAAGCCAAGAGTGGCCAATATCCAAAATCAAATACTGGTGACGATGGGGGAGCAACAGGAACTCTCATTCCTTACTGGTCGGAATGAAAAATGGTTCAGCCACTGTGGCAGACAGTTTGGCAATTTCTTACAAAAGTAAACATACTCTTATCATATGATCCAGAAATCATACTCTTTGGTATTTATCTAGATGAATTGAAAACTTATGTCCACACAAAACCTGCACACAGATGTTTATAGTTTATAGCAGCTTTATTCATAATTGTCAAAACCTGGAAGCAACCAAGGTGTCCTTCAGTAGATGAATGGATAAAGAAACTGTGGTACATCCAGTGAAATATTATTCAGCACTAAAAAGTAATGAGCTATCAAGCCATGAAAAGACAAGGAGGAAATTTAAATGCATGTTACTCAGTGAAAGAAGCCAATCTGAAAAGTCTACATACTGTATTATTCTAACTATATGACATTCTGTTAAAGGCAAAGCTATGGACACAGTAAAAGTATTAGGGGTTATCATGGGTTAGTAGGGAGAAAAGGATGAATAGGCAGAACACAGAAGATTTTTAGGGCTGTGAACCTATTCTGTGTGATACTACAATAGTGGATATATGTCATTATATATTTATCAAAACCCATGGAGTGTACAACACCAAGAGTGAACTCTAAAGCAAGCTATGGATTCTGGGTGATGATGTGTCCATGTAGGTTGATTGTAACGAATGTACCACTCTGGTGATGGATGCTAATAATGAAGGAGTCTGTGCCTGTGTGCAGTGGGACAGGGGATATTTGAGAACTCTGTACTTTCCACCCAACTTTGCTGTGAACCTAAAATGGTTCTAAAAACTAAAGTTTATTAGTTTAAAAAAGGAGTTGGGGATGCTCCTCTTTAATAAGGTAGTAGAAGGGACATATTTATTTGGTAGAAAGTGAATCAAATGACCTCTTCAAGCCCCTTCCAACCCCGAGGTTCCCTGATTTCTATGCTCTGTTTGATATCAAGAGACCATTGACTCTTAGGACAGAAAGGTATTTTAAAGGTCATCCAATGGATGAATTCTGATAGATGAATTATTTCCTCTGCAGCACAACTGCTGAAAGGTCATCTCGTCTGTGCTGGATGATGCTCAGAGAATGGAAATTTGGTGCCTCTTTGATTAACTCTTTCAATACCTCCTTGAATCACTTTGTCTGAGAGTCTTCCTTGCATTGAGATGTCTGTCTCCCCATAGTTATTGCCCATTAGATATATCCATGGGAATCAGAAAGAGTAGTGTCTGGAGGCAAATCCGGTATCTGTTAAACAGAGTATACCACCAGTAAATGTGAAGCTCCTGCAAGACAGATGGGCATTGGAAGAAAATGAGGTAGGGATCAGCAATAACGTAACAGAACCAGGGAGGAAAGCAAGCAGGGCTCAGAGTGACCTTGAGTTCCTGGAGGACAAAAACAGGGGCTCAGTTTAGGTGCTGGTGAGGCTACCACTGTGCAGGGCTATGGGCAAGCTGAGCCAAAAAGCACATTCATTAGTTTGTGCCCAGGTCATTTTCCTCTTGAAGGATATTCAGTTTATTTCAACTAAACACTCATAAGTCATAATTTTCCCAAGAGGTTCTTTTAAACTGTTTGCAGACAGAAAGATCTATCTTTTAAGGAGTTCATGGCCTTGTTTAGAAAATAAAAAATACTTTGCCAAATCAACTGGATACTTCCCCATCCTTATTTCTCTTGGTATTCCTTCAATATCTAAAACAGCTACTACTCTTTTCCTTGATACTTTCCCCTTCTTGGTATTGACCTCATTTATCTCCGGCCCATTTTCTCTCAATGGATTCTCTTCTCTCCCTTCTAATAATGATGGTTTTCCCAAAGCCCGATCCCTACCCTTGTTATCTTACATGAAACATCTTTGCTGGGTAATCTATCCAGTCCCATGGCTATATCTATACTCATATGCTGATGAACTCTAAATGTGTGTCTCTCCTAAGAGCCCCAGACTCATCTTTGCTTAACTAGGTCACAGATACTAAGAGTTTATGTGCTCACAATGGATTTAATTGTTGTTCACTCCCCTGTTCATGCATTTCCAACTCAGCATCATATTTACCCAGTCACCAAAGCTGGGAGACTAGACAGAAGTAATCTTGCATTCTTACCTTTCCACGAACCGCCATAATCCAGGCATGAAATCCCATCAACTCTACCCTCAGGCAGCTCTAAAACCAACCTCTGCCTTCCATCCTCATTACCAATGACACAGTCCTTCATTTCTCATTTGGACTGTAATATTCCGCTTTAAGTTTTAATTTTTTTTCATTATAAGATATCATAGTTCAGGTGCTTTTATAATGAAGAACAATTTATTGACTCAGTCTTACCCTGTCCCAATCTGGCTCCCCACAAGCCACTAACTGAAACTACCACCGGTTTTTGATCATCTAGTAGTTGTCTCAGTATCACTAGATAGTATGTGCTTTATGTGACAATTTCTTGGTTTATCAAAATAAGATATTTCTTTTACTTTTCTGGTACTAGAGATGAAGAATTAACCTACTTCCTTTACCCTCAAGTTTCCAGTAGCCCTTCCCAAAAGTCCGTATGTAGCCAAATATAAGGCAAGACTTTTGCTCAAAATTATCCCATAAAAAATAAAGTCCTTATTAAGACCTTCATATTATAAGCAGTCTCTCAATTACTTAATTTCAAACGACAAATTACTATTTGGGGAAGACACAGTAACCTGAAATGACCTCAATCAAAGCTAGATTTGGATGTTTATAAAGGGTATCTGACATGACGGGGGAGGGTAAATAAATTTAACACAGATTGAGTCAATATTTCTGGAGAAATGGCTTCAAACAGCAGTTCTGGATGCCACTGCATACAAGCTTTTTTAAAAAATTACTTTATTAAAATACATTAAATACTTATGTTGTGGAGCTTACTACGAATTAATGAGTAGATGTAAATTAGGATAAAATTTCTAATGGCAACATCAAACTCAGATTCAAAAAGTGCTGTAGTCAAACAACTTAGTGGAAGCAAATATGGCACTATGTTTTCAAGTGGCTCCAGATGAAGGAGAAATGAATGCCAATGTGCATGTGTCGCCATTTGAAAAAAAATCATGAAATATGAGAGTGAAAAAGAGCAATTTTGTATAACAGTGTAGTTTACATAACATGTGGTTTAAAACATACATATATAACTAAAAGTTAAAATATCATAGGTAGACATTGGCTATTTCAACTCTTTCTTTAAATGTTGTATATTCAAGTTGAAAAAAGAAAAGTTGTTTCCAACTTTCTCATTTAGGAAAATGATGGTTTGACTCATATTCAGGGTCCACTTATATTTAGACATATATTATAGTTATATCTCCAGATCAAGACCTCCATTAGTCAATGCTGTCACTGACAGCATTCTTAAGCGTTCTAAAACATGCTTCTATTTTTCTATTTTATGTTCTGTGCACCATAGGCAATGTCTCTTGGTTCTCCACTTTATAAGGGAAAGCAGTAATGTTCTCCCCTTCTCCTCCAACTCTTTTTCCCAGTCCTCACCAACCTGATTCTGTAACAAAACTTGTCTGCAATTTGTCCAGCAAGGGTCACAAACTGTTGGTCCCTAAGTGAAAGACGATATAGTTTTGTTTGATTTAAACAGAAATTTATAAATTGAACGAGTTTCCCTGTATTTTAAACTGAGATTTCATGTGTAACAAAGGTCCTATTTTCTTAATATTTCTATTGTGCTTTATTCTTTTGCTTTCTCAGTGACATGACCTTCACCCTAGAATGCTCAGTTATCCACCTGTCTGGAGAGAGACCAGAATTTATTACAGAGGAAATTCAGAGACAGAATCTAAGGAAATATTCATCTTCTGATCTTCAAAAATAGACTTATGAAGCAGGACACTAATCCTTCCAAACTAGTGGTTATTCTTTTTTAAAAATAACTTCAACTTTCATTTTAGATTCAGGGGGTACATGTGCAGGTTTGTTACATGGGTGTATATCATGATGGTGAGGTTTGGGATACAAATGATCCCGTCACCCAGATAGTGAGCATAGTATCCAACAGTTAGTTAAACTATTTATTTTCTTGAGAAAAGATTTTCCTAGTTTACTTTATATTTCTCTTAAGCTTTCCAAAGGCCACACTTCAAGGATCCAGCCTCATAGATTTCTATAATAGCCTGACAATAGGTAATCAATCAGTTTATCTCTGCCAGTATATTATATATACTATGATAGTTGAAAGCCCACTGTGATGGTTAATTTTATGTGTCAACTTGACTGGGCCATGGGGTACCCAAATGTTTGGTCAAACATTATTTTGGGTATTTGTAGGAGGGTATTTCTGGATGAGATTAACATTTAAATTGGTAGACTGAATAAAGCAGATTGTCCTGCATAATGTGGGTGAGCCTCAGCCTATCAGTTGAGGATCTGAGTAGAACAAAAAGGCTGACCCTCCTCCCAGTAAGACAGAACTCCTGCCTGGCTGCCTTCAAGTTGGGACGTTGGCTCTTTCCTGCCTTCAGATTCCAACTGAGACATCAGCTCTTCATGGAGCTTGAGCCTGCTCGCTCTCAGATTAGATCTGCACCATCGACATTTCCAAAATTGTCAGTGGACTAACAGTTAAACAAGATTGACTTTTAGGTGTTGCTGGTGTTTTGTTGTGTTTTTCCTTGAACCAGCAGCAGAAGAGATTGGGAGCAGGCCATAATTGCAGACTAAATAATGAGATTCTTTTCTTCATATCCATTCTGTGGTGTGAAAAAAAACTGCGACCTTGCAACATGCATAAAGATCCAGCTTTCTGGTTCTCTTGAAATTTGCTGTCTCGGAACAGTGGGCTAGCAATCCTGTAGGAAGGCACCTCTCTCAGTTCAGCAGCAGCAGCATTTGCCCACTTTCGATGGGGCACACACTTGCCAGTTTGACAGGCCCACCCCCTTCCAAACCACTCTCTCACTCACTCACAGTGCCTGTATAGTTCTGAATATATTTGAATTTGTGATGCCTGGTCAATAAGCCCATTCTAAAAGTTCTAAAAGTTAAACACCAATTAAGTGTTTACATATTGTTTCAATTAGGAATATGGTTAGCTGCAAATAGCAGATACCTAAATAGCAGGACCTTCAACAAATAAAGGTTTCCTTTTCTCATATATCAAAAAGTCTGGTGCGGGCAGTTGCTGAAGTTGGATCAGTGATATATGATACAATGTTGCAGAGGCTACTAGCTGTCTACTAAATGTTAATTTTCTCTTTTTTGTACTAGTTGAAACCTGAGATTATTTGAAGGGACAATGTAACAAGCTACAAGCAAGATTTCTAGCCTTCCTTACAACTAGGAACATTTTAGATACTCCTGGACAATTTTAGGTTATAATAATCACAAATGGTGACTTCCAGGAAGGCAATTTTAATGGGGATAACACAGTTGGCATATGTCTTCTTTACTGTGCTCTATCCCTTCTTCATGTTTGAGAATAAAAATATGATGGCTTGAGTGCAGACAGCCATATTGAGAACAGGAAGATTAGGGTCATACCCAAAAGATGACAAAGCAGAAAGCCAAAGGAGCATTGGTCCCTGTTTATATCATGTTGCCATCAGAACAACCCTGGACTACCCACTCTGGACTTAATAAAGCTATAAATTAAGCCACTCTCTTATAATTTTTTTACTAGCAACTAAGTATAAATTTGATTGATACATTGTTGATACGCTGTCCATGCATCTGTAGCTCTTTTGGCATTTTCATTAAAGTTTTAAAATTTCTACTACCTTGCTCATGGCAAGAATATGGAGAAATGGGAATGAATCCGTCACAGGCACAGCTTTTTGATTCCCTTAAACGCAGGGTAAGCACCAGGGCATTATTCAGGCGCTAAATGGCTATCTTATCCAGTTGTGATTGGAAGTACGAACAGACAAATTCTTCATTAAATATGGACTACTACATATCTTCTTAGAAGTCTTGCTACTTGGTACAAATAAAGATGACATCTATGCAAAACAACCACTGGAACTCCGAATATGCCAGTGATGCTCAAGTCCAGATTCTTTCAGTCCCATGTCCCCAACTACCCTTTGCTATGAAATGACTCGGTTTTCTTATCTACTTCCACCCATTCAAACTAAAGCAAATTACTCATTTGAACTAAACTAAACTAAGTCACCCATTTGAACAGTGCACAGATGCATGAAGATCACATGGCCGTGAGTATTCAATAAGATACACACCCACACTCATCCAGATGACTGGGGAAAAAAGAATTATACCATATATATGATATAATATATGTAATTTATATATGGTATCATTTAGGTATAAAAGGTATAATTTATAAAATGTATATTATATATAATTTACATATATTATATATAAAATACACCTTTTATATATGTTATATACAGAACATATATATTTTATATATATATATATATATATATAATTTCCATCTAAATAAAACACAAAAATTTTAAATTCTTGTGGCAAACTCAGCATGCCCCAGAAATTCACCCTTCTTGCAGGCCCAGTTTGCCACACACTGTCCAAAACAGTTCATGACACCTCCTCCTCATACCTTTCTCTGAGCCTTGTATGTACCTCTCTCACGGTGCTTGCATTTTGTAATACACTTTGTTTTCTAGTCTCATTCCTCTTTGTCTGGGAACCTTTTGAGGTCAGCAACTGCTCTTCTTTATTTCCTTACAGACAGATCTAATTATTTAACACTGGATAAATGTTCTATTAATACTAGTTGATTTGAGTGAAGCTCTAGATAGAATTTATCACACTTCGAAGGAGGCCCATTGGCAAGATAAATCTGAAATTATCTGTACTTGTAATTTGTACAACATGCCAAAAAGAGAAACCTATTAAAAAGTACTCAAGTCTTTAGGAACTTGACTTTGATGACCTATAAAAATGACTAAAGAGAATATGTAGTTCCCCTTGACAGGTATTTATTATTTATGCTTCCTGTCAGAAATCATAGATTTTGTTTATCCTTCCTGTTCAATCAGCATCAAGAGGTGTAATGATTGTTAAAGGTCCCTAATGTCTTTTCGCCCCCTCCTATCCTCCTCCTTTAGGGCAGAGCGAATGAGCTCATTTGCAGAGAGGCTTGCCAGGCTCTGCATATGGTTTGTAATATAAATAGATCACATCTTAGGCATATCAGCAAGACAGAAGATGCTTGCCCTCCCCAAAGTCTGCTGAAATAGAAATTCTCACCTTAAAAAGTAGGCAAGCCACCTCTACTTTCTACTTCTCAGGGACTTTAAGAATGTGTTGTGTGACTATTTCAATCTTTGGCAAACTTAGATGAGTCCTGGACTATCCAAAAATAAAATATGCTAAAACTAAAAACTAAATGGCAGTCCTGTTTAATTTCAGATTTTCACCTATAATTGAACTTTGTGACTACATGCTTATTAAGAGCAATTTAGGTTCATGATCTGGATTATAATCTACTGCATTAGCTTAAACATATATTGATCAGATATTATTTTGTCTTTTATAAATAAAAGCTAATAATCTGGCTTACTTATGGTACACGTCTCTATTAAAAACCAAAAATGAATCCATGAGGTAAAGGTGACAATAAAACAAAATGATCCTGAGCTACACAATAGTCTTAGCTTTTATTTGAAATAGTTTAAGACTCACAAGAACTTGCAAAAATAATACAGAGCTCTGTGTACCCTTCACCCAGCTTTCCTAAATGAGAACATCTTACATAACTGTAGCACATTGTCAAAATGAGGAAATTGACGTTGGTACAATAGTATTAACTCAACTAATAATCTTGTTTGGATTTCACTCCTTTTCTGTGTTCTTTTGGTGGGGGGGTGCGGTATATATAGTTCTATGAAATTTTATTACCTGTTTAAATTTGTGTAACCACCACTATCAGGATACATATTGTTATTATTTTTAAACATTTACAGAAGTCCAACTAAGTATTAAACACTGATAATCACTCCTACATAACCTCATAAGGTAAGTTTATTATCCTCATTTTGAAGTGAGAAGACTTAAAAGGAAAAAAAGCAGACATTTCCCTTTCTTTTGGTATTTTATTATCATGTGACTAAGAGGCATACTTGTTTAATGACATTAATTTCAATATGAGGGATTCAATTTTTTAACCTTTGTGTTGAGCCTTTATCAAGCCATAGCTCTTCAATTTTTAAATGTATAGAGAGAGTTCACACAAGCCGTTCACTATTTTTTTTTTACTACAATTAGGCACGAGATGAGTGAAGAGACCACACACACACACACACACACACACACACACACACACACACACACACAAAGAAGACACATCCTGCAGCTCAGGATGCCAAAAACCACATCTCTCAAGTACTTTTGCTTTTCCTCAAAACCACAGAAACTCTATTTCTGTTCTTGTTTTTCTCCTGCACCCAGACCATAACAGTTTTATCCTTTGAGAGTTATTTCTAAAAATAAAATGAGAAAGAAGAAGAAACATGTAAAGGTATCTATCTTTGGTTTCCCAGTGCTATTTTTAACCACTTTTTTTTTTTTTTAACCATTCTCTACTAGAAAACACCACTCTGTCCATTGCATCACCCTCAGGCTCCATGCATTTAGAGCCTGGTTTACCCCATCCCTTTAACCACCACTGGAAATCCCATCAACAAAATATTGTGGAGCTCACTGTGGCTCAGCCCTGATCTCTGGAGCATTACCTCTTGTCCACACTCCACCTCTGGCTTTCAACAAATGTTAAACCAAGTCTAGTCTAGACATTTGGGACCCAGCATATGAATTTTTCTACTTACTGACTACTCCTTCTTTGTCTCTTTTCCCATTTTCTCCTCCTCTTTCTGATTTCCAAAGTTGGAGTCATGAAGGACCATTCTCAGCCTAAAATAGTGATTGTCAACCAAGGATGACTTTCACCCCAGGGGATGTCTGGCAATGTCTGGAGATATTTTGGGTTGTCACAACTGAGGGGAGTATGCTATTAACATTTAGTGGGTAGAGACTAGGGATGCTTCTCAACATCCCACAATGTACAGGACAATCCCTACAATGAAGAATTACTCCACCCCAAAGGTCAATGGCCAAGGTTATGAAATCCTGCCCTAAAAGATGCCATGATGTACTCAGATTCAGTCTACATGCTAATGGCTCCGATATTTCAATATCTAGTCCTGCTATCTCTCCGAATTCCAGATTTCTATATCCAACTGTCCCCACTTACGTCTATTATGTGCCCCAAACTTAACTTGTTCAAGGCTAAACTCTTGATGTTACCCACACACCTACTCTTTCCCAAGTCTTCCCCATATTGCTGATGGCGCCACCAAATTTGTCACCTTATATTCAGATTGTGATTTTATGGAAATCATTTGGTACAGGCATACTATGATTAAGACGAAAGAATAGTGGAGCTGTTAGGAATCTCATCTGGGAAAGTTTTTAAGACATACCTAAACCTATAAATTTAATTTGATGGTAGAGCCAGAATAAGAACTATGGTCCCATCAGCTTCCCCATATTTGGCTTGGCTCCCTTAGGTAAAATATGTAGCTCAGCTGCTTTCACTTCATTATTTTCATAAGTTGTTAGAAAGGCAGTTTTGTACAGTGCAAGGATGAGCAAACTATTACCTGTGGGTCAAACCTGGGTTGCCGCCCGTTTTTATATGGCTTGTGAACAGAACAATGTTACCATTTTTATGTGATTGAAAAGAAACCCAAGGAACAATAATAATTCATGACATGTGCAAATTATATTCAATTCTGATTTTAGTGTCTGCAAATAAAGCTTTATTGGAATATAGCCACATTCATTTATTTACGAATTGTCTATGGCTGCCTCCGTGCTACAACAGCAGAGTGGAGTAGCTGCAACACACACCGTATGGCTGGCAAAGCTGAAAATATCTACTATCTGGTCTTTTACAGAAAAAGTTTGCTGACCCCAGTAAAGTCACATGAGCTCCAATTTTAGAATTTAAATAGGAAAAGAAAAGAAATATAGATTTCAGTTTTGTCTCAGCTGGCAGTGTGATCTTTGAATATGATCCAATGTCTGTGAGCCTCAGGTTAAATGGGATAATGATACTTTCCTTGAATTGTAAGGAGTGTTAGAAGTAATGCCTGTAAAGTTTTCGAATATAGTAGGAACTCAACAAATATTAGCAATAAATGGTAATAATAATAATAATTATTATTATTATATTATCATAAACTTAGCCCTCAAATGTCCCCTTTGGCATGCTTTGAGAGTTCCTGTGACAAACGCCTTTTTCTAAAATCCAAGCAAATATGTAACTTAAATTGAATGCCTTTAGTCTCTTGCATCCGTTAGTTAGGTGATGACAGAACAGGTTTCTATCACATCATGGGTTGACAGCAAACTGAAGTTAATATCTTTATAATTCACATGTCATCCCACCCAATCATGAATTCCCTCAGTAATTAGTTTCCTGGAAATTGTCTCCTGAGTGATGAAGGTGACAATATCTGAAACTGGAAATAGTCGGGACGTAGCCAGTCTCCTTTTCAACTTTCCTATGCCAAGAACATCAGAAAACAAGTTTAGTTAATAGAAAACTATTAACTAAAGGAAGAACCAGAAATAAATTAGTAAATGGCACATAGAAACAGTCCCAACCAATCAGACCCAACTCTTTTAGATTTTAGATTTCCTAAAGGGCACTGACAGTATCCATAGAAGTAGAGAGTAGCCTTGATTTTTGATTGGCCTCCCCACAAATTTCCAGGCAATAGAGATGGGGGCATGCCTGACACTCACCTCGTCAGTGGCCTCTGTCAAGACCTTGGCCTCTGCCCTGGCCACCACCTCCAATCCTTCAGGAGATTCTGCCATCCCTGGTGGAGTCTCAGCCTCAGGCTTGCCTCCTGGCTTACATCTCATTCCCAGAGTGGAAAAGAGGTCAACTCTAGCTCTTTTTCTTTGTGTGACCCCATCCTTTCCCCATCTTGCACACTGCCATTTTCTCCTGCTCTCTAAGGCAGTTTTTGCTGAGCAAAGAGTCACTTCCAGCCTCCTTAGACTTCCTCTTCTCACTGAACTCCCCTTTCTATGGCACTTTCTGGGATGATCCACATCCCGCACGAGTGACAAGGCACAGGGTGTCATCCTGCTAATTAACATATGGCCTAATTATGGCTGTGTTACACTTTAGAAGACAGATTTAAAGCCTGAAGTGACCTAAGTAATTAGAAGTAGTAGACAGAAACATATGAAAGCAGCAGCAATAAGGTTGGGGTGGGCAATGACTTGGCCATGTCCTATGAGGCTGAAAAGGTCCAGAGGTCAGTGAAAAACAATCAGCCACGACTCAGATACATTGACACCTTGGGATCGGCTATAAGCTTTACAAGCTGTATTAAGAAACAAGCATCAAATGTAGGGCAAGATGGAATTTTCTTTCCTCTGTCCCATCTTCATTCTCTCCTCTACCACCCCTGGTGCTGAGGTGGTGTTTGGTAAGATAGATGCAACAAATTAGAAAAATTCATGCCCACAAAGTTGAATTTTCATATGGTGCTGCAGTAAAGATGGGGTGGGGGATAGGGGCTGGTAGCTTAACTGAAGTTCTGAAGCTGACACGTTCTAGGGTCACTTCTAGTGAATGGTAGGGGCAAGACCAGGACAGACAAAGACATGATGCACGTATAGGTTTGCATCTTAGTCCATTTTGTGCTGTTACAACAGAATACCTGAGACTGGGTAATTTATAATAAATAGAAATTTATTCTCACAGTTCTGAAGGCTGCAAAGTCCAAGATCAAGGGACCAGCATTTGACGAGGGCCTTCATGCTGCATCATCACTTGGCAGATAAGTAAAGAAAGGGTAAGAGAGAGAGAAAGAGGGGGCCAAAGTCATCCGTTTGTAAGGAGCCCTCTACCACAATAAGGAGTCCCACTACTATGTTAATAAGCCAACTCCCACAATAATGGCATTAATGCATTCCTGAGGGTGGTGCCCCATGACCCAAACAACTCCCAATAGGCCTTACCTAATACCTTTGCATTGGGAATCAAGTTTCTATCATACAAACTTTAGGGGACACATTCAAACCACAGTGGTTGGATACCCCTAGAAGTCAACTGTGGGTCAATAATGTGAGTACAGGTAGTTTCTATGGGAAAAGATCTAAGAAACAACGGCAGATGAGAAAACAAGACAAGGAAAGGAAAGAAGGCAAGAGAAGGTATGTTATCAAGGAAGTCATTATTGAGGACAAGTGGAACTCAATTCAGCTGGGGAACTATGAAACACAGAATAGAGCAGTGATTGGCCAACTTTTCTTGTAAAGGGTAACATAGCAAATATTTTAGGTTTTGTGGGCCATGCAGTCTCTGTCACATTGACTCAGTTCTGCCCTTGTTTAAAAAAAAAAAAAGCAGTCATAGATACTTTCATCCCTCAGGTACCCTTGGGGGATTGGTTCCAGAACCCCCATGGATACCCAAATCCATGGATGCTCAAGTCCCTAATATAAAATAGCATGATATTTTCATATAACTTATGTCCTCTTGTATACTTTAAATCATCTCTAGATTAACTTATAATACCTAATACAATGCAAATGGTATATAAATAGGTGTTACACTGTATTTTACTTGTATTATTTTTTACTTTTATATTTTTATTGTGCTGTTATTTTTTATTATTTTCTTTTTTCACATATCTTCTTAAGTTGAATCCATGGATGCAGAACCCAAAGATATGGAGGGACAACAACAATACATAAGTGAGTGGGTGTAGCTGTGTTGCAATTAAACATTTACAAAAATAGGTAACCAGTGCAAAGGCTACAGGTTGTCAACCCCTGCTTAGAATAATGTTTCTCAAACTGCGGTGAAGAACCAATTTTTAAAGAATGTCCAGTCCACTGCAAAACAAGACTTTTACAAATACAACAAAGATGAATCACTAGAAAATGAAATTTTAAAAACATACATATGAAATACAAGCTTTTTTATTATTAGATTCAAAAGACACAAAACAACTGTCCAATTGCTTGATTCTTTGCCTGTATTAGCTATAATCCAGTTGACAACCCTGCAAGGAAGATGCTGTTGACCTAATTTTAAGGAGGAAACTGACCCTCAAGGATTATGAGTGACTCATTCAAGGCCACACAGCTAGTAAGAAACAGAGCTGGGACTCCAACCCAGGACTGTATGATTCCAACACTCACACTCTACATATGCCAAGTTACTGATGAAAAGCCTGTGAGACAAATCACTGTTATAAGTGCAATCTGGGCTGGGAAAGAAATAAGAAAAGACTCATAAAATGGAAAATGATCTACAGGGAAGGTAGCAAAGAAGTGCCCTAGATATAATTGAAGTCTTTGAAAAATGGGAATAGGAAAAGTACAGTCACATGACTGGGGCCTTTTACAGTCAGACTAAGGTTTTAAAGGTATTTGTCAAGGCACTGGACACTAGAGACTCACTCTCAATGGGATTTTTCTAGGAGCTGGAAATAATTATTTAAAATTCATATAAAAAACAATTTAAGAAATTAAACAAATGAGGGTGCTACAGTTTGAATTTGTCCCCCAAAAGTTAATGTGTTGAAAACTTGATCCCTAATGCAACAATGTTGAGAGGCAGGACCTTTGGGACATGAGGGTTAGTTATCACAAGAGGAGGTGTGATAAAAACCAGTTTGGCCATCTCTCATGGGCCCCTTTGCTATGTGATGCCCTGTACCACCTCCAGACTCTGCAAAGAGTCCCCACCAATAAGAAAGCCCTCACCAGATTCACCACCTCAACCTTGGGAATCCCAGCCTCCAGAACTGTAAGAAATAAAATATTATCCTTTATAAATTACCCAGCCTTTCGTACTCTGTTATGGCAACAGAAAAGGGAATAAGACAGAGGAAGAAGACTAGTCCCCAAAGGAATTTATATATATTATAGGCAACAAGATTTCAAACAGTACAATACTGGCTTAAGAACAGACAGAAATCAGTTAAAATGAAAGAATCAGTAGCCCAGAAAATGAGTTTCCTTTGTATAAAACTGAATATTTAATAAAGAAAGCATTTATCAAACAACAGAAAAGAAAAAAATTATTTAGCATATGCAGTTGAAGAAACAGATTAAGAATAAAGTATTTCCCCTACATCATATATCAAGGTAAATTCCAAGCGGACTTTTTATTTATTTATTTATTTTTTTTTTTGAGACAGAGTCTTGCTCTGTCACCTGGGCTGGAGTGCAGTGGCATGATCTGCAACCTCCGCCTCCTGGGTTCAAGCAATTCTCCTGCCTCAGCCTCCTGAGTAGCTGGGACTACAGGCACGTGCCACCACACCCAGCTAATTTTTGTATTTTTAGTAGAGACGGGGTTTCACCATGTTGGCCAGGCTGGTCTTGAACTCCTGACCTCGTGATCTGCCTACCTCGGCCTCCCAAAGTGCTGGGATTACAGGCATGAGTCACCGCACCCAGCCCAAGTGGATTTAAGAGATTTTTTTTAAGTTAAATATAGAAAAAATGGAAGGAAGGAACTCAAAGCCCAAATTTAATTTCTGGCAGAATATCCTTAGGAAATAATCAAACTTATGGAAAAAAGAAAATGCAGAAAGATATTCACACATCTAATGTTCATTTACAGGGTGTGATTAAGGAAATACCAGCACTTCAGCTCCGTAGCATAATATATGGCCCTTCAAATAATTACAAAAACTATAGCAAGATAAAAAAATGTTTAAGAATGATGGAACTATAAAAATGAAAAAAACAAGGTGTATTAGTGTTCTATTGCTGCTCTTACCAAATTTTCTCAGACTTACCTGCTTAAAGCAACACAAATTTATTATCTTACAATTCTGGCAGTTAGAAGTCCAACATATCTCACTGGGCTAAAATCAAGGTGTCAGCAGGGCTGCATTCCTTTCTGGAGGCTCTAGGGAAGGATCTAGGTCCTTAACTTCTTCAACCTCTACAGGACACCAGCATTTCTTGGCTGATGACCTTTTCCTCCATCTTCAAAGCCCCAAAAGCCAGCAGAGTCCTTACATTGCATCACTCTGACCTCCTTCCATAGTCACATGTCCCTCTGAGTCTTGTTCTGCCTCCCTCTTCCACTTTTAAGGATGTTTATGATTACATTGGGCCCACCTAGATAATCCAGGATAATTTATCTATTTGAGGTCAGCTGATAAGCAACTTTCATGGCATCTGCAACCTTAATTCTGAATTTATCATGTCACCTAACATATTCCCAGGTTCCAGGGATTAGGACATGGGTATCTTTGAGGGGTCATTATTCTGGCCTATCTATTCTATCTATCTATTCTAAACCTATTGTACATAGTTTTCAAACAGATGAAGAAAATATAGTAAGATGTGACTATATATTAAGGGGATAGTGAGTAAATATTGTCTATTTTCCAAATGTTTTATATTAGCATATTATTCTATAATTTTTTGCAAACATAAGAGTGGTGGTTGATGGAGGCAAATATGAGAAATGTATGCTAAATCTCAGCGTAATAAATGTTGGGCTAGCACAATAACATCTGTTGCATTTTTCCAGCCATCCATTCTTTTCTGAACATTTTTAGATTTTCCTCAGTCATTAATTCCTTGGTGCAGTCCTGACCCATCAGAGTGGTCAGCAATGGTTGCCAAATGCAGTGATGATGGCTGACTGTCTTGCTATAGCAAGCTCTCAATTAATAGCATTTGCCTTTCTCATTTGGCTGGTCTTTGTTTATTTTCACAGAAAATGTAACTGTTTCCTTAAGCATTGAGCATTTTAATGTTTTTATTCCAGCAGTTATGGTGTCCTCAAGAATGTTGGGTCATCTCCCCAAGTGGTGTTTGGGCTTGTCTCAGAATTCTATGGAAAGAGGCCCAGGCCTCAGACCCTATGAAATACTTGTGCACACACAGGAGGGACTTTATAGTCACTACATTAATCCCTCCAAACTGGGAGGTCTCCTAAACCACCCACCACAAGCACTTCTTATTGAAATCACTGATTTCAAACCAGCTTGCAGTAGAAATTTTGTGAAGCAACCATAGAATTGTTTCCATTCCTAATTCTAGAAATGAAAGCACAACTATTCCTCCATCACATCATTTAAGGAAGAAAATAAAAGATGATATGCATTCTATCTGTTGCAGTGGTACAACATCAAAACAACAAGGTCAGGACAGGGGTAGCCATGGAAAAAAATATAGTTAACATCATCTAGTTTCAGAAAAATTGAATGAGTTAGCCTTCAGTCCACATTCATGCATGATGTGGTTTGACTGTGTCCCCACCCAAATCTCATCTTGAGTTGCAGCTCCCACAATTCCCACATGTCATGGGAGGGACCCGGTGGGAGGTAATTGAATCATGGGGGCAGGTCTTTTCCATGCTGTTCTCATGATAGTGAATAAGTCTTATGAGATCTGATGGTTTTATAAAGGGGAGTTCCCCTGCACATGTTCTCTATTGCCACCATCCATGTAAGATGTGACTTTGCTCCTCGTTTGCCTTCTGCCATAATTGTGAGGCCTCCCCAGCCATGTGTAACTATGAGTCCATTAAACCTCTCTCCTTAATAAATTACCCAGTCTCGGGTATGTATTTATTAGCAGTGTGAGAACAGACTAATACAATGCACAATCCATGAAACCTCATGTCAGAAGAGTTACTCTTCTCAGTTGTTCTGCAGTCCTCCCCGACTTTCCAACTTGACTAAAACTTTAAAAGTGCTTAGGATTAACCCTCTCTAGTTCCAACCCTTCTATTTATTGAATAGCTTCACGTAACTTGCAAATAATGCTACATCTATGTCCAGAGTCAAGCTGTGTAGTTTGATCATTCTTTCTCCCCATGACTGTAAAATGTTTTAATATCATGGATTGTGTCAACTCTAATCACAGTTATTCAAAATATAAACAGAGCTGGAAAGGATCCTAGCAATGATTCATTTCTTAGTTCTTAATCTTGACTGCACGTTTAGAATCACCACAGTAGTGGTGGGGGCAGCTTTTAAAATCTTGATGCCCAGGAATGCCCCCAAACAGTTTCATAAGAACCTCTGGGACTGGGATTCAGGAATCAGTGTTTTTAAAGCTCCCTAGTACCACAGCCAAGGTTTAGAACCACTGCTCTAGACTAAAAAATGAATGTCCAGGCAGATGAAGTGACTTTACTAAGATAAAATAGCTAAATAGTTGCAGAACCACCAGCGCTGTGCTTACTTTGGAGCTGGTACTGAAGGAATGAATTCTATTCTAGGTTGATCCAAAACAGTGGTCCCAACCTTGGTGTCTAATGAAGGTACATGGAAGCCTTTAAAAACACAGTATGTAGATTCCTACCCCATACCCCAACAGAGATTCTGTTTACTTTGTTTGGCGAAGCTCCTTGGGTGATTTTAATGTATAGCCAGGGTTGAGAACTACTGATCTAAATTTTAGAAGATCATGGGCCATGTGCAGTGGCTCATGCCTGTAATCCCAGCACTTTGGGAGGCTGAGGTGGGCAGACTGCTTGAGGCCAGGAGTTCTAGACCAGCCTGGCCAACATGGTGAAACCCTGTCTCTACTAAAAATACAAAAGTTAGCCGGGCATAGTGGTGCATGCCTGTAATCCCAGCTACTTGGGAGGCTGAAGCAGCAGAATCACTGGAACCTGGGAGGCAAAGGTTGCAGTGAACCAAGATCATGCCACAGCACTCCAGCCTGGGTGACATAGTGAGACTCTGTCTTAAAAGAAAATTAATTTCAGAAGGTCTTCTAAAATTTAGAAGATCAGTAGTTCTATAACCTATCTGCTCATTTTTCTTAACCAATAACCTATCTGCTCATTTTTCTTAACCAAAGACCACAAAGTAAGCGGATGTGTCTCCTTCATAGCCAAGGAGCTTTATCAGAAGGAAATCATGTCAGTAAGCTCTTAATGTCAAGAAGGAGAATGCAGAATGTATACAATACATTAAAATTATCCCAAAATTACAGGAATTTCTCTCTGAAATGAAAGGTGTTTCCAATAACATGCTTCATTGTTTAAAGCTTTAATGTCAGAAAGAAATTTAACATTAATGATATAATAATCAATCCAGGGCACTACATTAAAAAATTTGTCGTACAAACATTACCTTAAATATGAAATGTTCAAAAATAATAGGAAAACCAAGATATGCTCTTAGGTGTCCTGAGTGAATTGGTGTGAGGAGGAGTTATTTAGGAGTAAGTGAGGATGTGGAGATGCCTAGATTGGGGTTCAACCAAGGAAGGTGTACTAGGTTTTCTATTGCTATATAACAAACTACCTTGAAATTTAGCAGCTTAAAACAGTAAACATGTATTATCTCACAGTTTCTGTAGGTAAAGAACTTGAGAACAACTTCACTGAGCGGTTCTGGCTCAGGGTCTCATGAGATTTCAGTCACGATATTTTTGGGGCTATAGTCATCTGGAGGCTTGACTGGGGTGAAGGATCTGTTTCCAAGATGGACCATGTGGTAGACAAGTTGATGCTGGCTCTTGACAGGAGACCTCAGTTCCTTGCCACATGGACCTCTTCATAGGGCTGTCCTTATGACATGGTGGCTGACTTCCTCCAGAGTGAATCCAAGAGTGAGCAACAAGGCAGCTTTTATGATATAGTCTCAGAAGTCACATATTATCACTTATACCTTATTTTTTTTATTAGAAGCAAATCACTAAGTAAGGACCACAGTCAAGGGGAGAGGAATTAAGCCCCACTTTTTAAATAACATGTCAAAGAATTTGCGGACATATTTTAAACCATCACATAAGGCAGGAGAGAACAGACAAAGACAAGTGTGCTTGCTGGTAAACCTAATGCAAACTCCATTTGGAAATCATCATTCTCAGTAAGCTATCGCAAGAACAAAAAACCAAACAACGCATATTCTCACTCATAGGTGGGAATTGAACAATGAGATCACATGGACACAGGAAGGGGAATATCACACTCTGGGGACTGTTGTGGGGTGGGGGGAGGGGGGAGGGATAGCATCGGGAGACATACCTAATGCTAGATGACGAGTTAGTGGGTGCAGTGCACCAGCATGGCACATGTATACATATGTAACTAACCTGCACAATGTGCACATGTACCCTAAAACTTAAAGTATAATTAAAAAAAAAAAAAAAAAGCACAAGCCCTTCCCTTTTTGACAACTGCCAAAAGGTCCAGGAATAGGCCTTTAAAACTAGCTAGAATAGCTTCTGGAAGGAAACAAGGGATTATCTTTGATTTTAGGAATACTTTTGGTTCACAAATGTCTTCCTGAATCCTGGAATTATTATTATATAGAGGCAAAAGCCACAACTAGAGATGAGACAACAAATGAAAATGGTAAATGAAATAAACACTGATACTGCTGAAAAAGGAAGAGTTTACCAGCCAATAGGTGGGGAGACTCAGATCAAAGACATAACCTTCTCATGTAGAGGGAGAATGGAAGAATGGAAGAGAATTAGAAGAAAGAGAACAGAAAGGTTAGGCTGAGAACTAGGAGGACTGGGCTTCAAAGACCCAAAGGCCCAGGAGAGGTTTCCAAGTGTTAAGATCATTAATTGGCTACCTCGGTATTTTTGCTTCATATTCTATACACTGAAAAATCTTCATCCGGACAGTTAAGATCTTATACTTTGGACCTCCGGCGGTGAATCTCAGTAGGACTCTTTCCTTGTTGTGTACTGTAGCAAGTCCTGTAAGCACCCTGTACCTTTCCTTCCTCATCTAGACAACAGGGAGAATAATAATGCCTACTTCATAGGTTACTAGGTAGATTAAACAAGTTATTATTTTCTCATTATTAAAAAAAAGAAAACAACTTGTGATAGTTGGCAAAATACCGCAAGACTCAAGCTTAATATTTCTTAGCATCTGCTGATTAGAAGAAGTAACTAAACTTCTAGAAATCTACTTCCTCAATTGCCATAGGTATTTATCCTTCCAACGGACTCTGATGTGTCATGAGGCATTTTAGTGAGCCTTCTTGTTCACATACATATGTCAAGAGCTAAATCATAATCTTTGGGTAGCTTCTGACTACTCAAAAATAGGAAGTTTCAACATTAAATATTGATGAGTAGATTTGCTTTTTCTCATATGTCAGTTTTTGCACATGAAAATATTTAAAATTACCTTTGATGTTAAAAAACTAATTTATTAAAATTTCCAAATCAGAAACTAGTCCTTCTCAAGCTTTTAAATTCAACTCACTAATGATATTATTGTATGTACAAATCTACCAAGTTTTAATAATCACTCTTGGGGGATCTTTAATTAATGTTTGTTCCCATTGCCAATGCAGTTGATTAGACTCTCTCTAGTATGTTAAGCAATATTTAAAATTTTAATATATTCTATTTATTCTATTCCTTTTTTATGGGCTTCAATTGTGTGAGTAATAAACCTTCCCATGTACTCATGTACTATTTATAAATCTAATAGATTAAATTTGTAAATATATTGGTAAACTTAAGTTTCCTGAATTTTCTAATATTACGGATAAACGTCATAAGATTTCAAGCTAAAATCATAAGTTTAAATCAATAAGTCAAATACACATTTTGAATGGTATCACAAAGCTGATAAAGTTATCTTAATAAGCCAAATTCTCTAAAACGTAGTAAACGTCTAAAATACCAAATATGTATATAGTATTCTTAAACACAAAATATTAATGCTATAGTTTTGGTTATTTTATTTTTTTTCTAAATTACAACTTTTCTTTAGATTAAAAGGAAACATAACTGTTGAACTAAGTACTGAGCATCTTGATGTTTTCAATTCAACCAGTATGGCATCCTCCAGGAATGTTGTGTTACATCCCCAGGTGATATTTGGGCTTGTCTTCCAGTTCCCTGAAAAGAGGCCCGTGCCTCAGCCCCTAAGAGATTCTTATACACAACCCTGAAGCGAAAACTGAACTCTCTTTATGGCCAACGCAATAACACTCTCCAAATGGGCTGGTCTCACAGCTCAACTCTATGTAATCCCATTCCTGAGTCCACTAATGGAAGCCTGGAACCCCTCCCCAAGTCTAAACAATTACGTTTTGAATTTAGTGGGTTCTAAAGATACTCATCACATTCTCCTCTAGCTCTAGAGACTTGAGTGGTCCCTGTAGTCTTTTCTTAGCCTTCCTATATAGGAAAGTCACAGCTCTCTGTATATTAAAATAACAGACAACTGGAGAATAGATTGTGGAGGCAAAAACAGAAGCGGGAGAAAGAATTAGGAAAGTATTTCAGTGGTTCAGGTGACATGGGACAGTGGCCAAGACCAGGGTGGTATTAGTGGAGATGAAGTGGATTGATGAGAATATGTTCTAGAGGAAACATTAACAGGACTTGGTGATGGATAGTAGCTACTGGGAGGGAAGAAAGGAATTGGGGATAATGCCTGGATATTTGCCTGAGCAACCAGGTGGTTGGTAGTCCTGCTACCAAAATAAGAAAAACTTGAGTGGAAGGATCTTAAAGAGAAACTTCAATAATTCTCTTCTAGGTATGTTAATGTCGAGATATACTTTAGACAACCAAAGAGCAATATTGTATTACAAATTTGAGCCTGCGGTACTGGAGAACGAGCTCACAGGATACTGAAGTCTGCTCCTTCATCGGATACTTCAGGTTTACTTCCAGGAGGAAAGATAAGGCTTGGATTACCCTCTACTGGGCATATTTGCTGCCAGGATCTGAGAGAAAAGATCCCACTCCCCCTTTATCATTTCTATAGAAACTAAGCAACAACTTTATACCTATGGTAGGCATCGTTTACCTTCAAGTAAGCAAGAATAAATATTTTCATTTACAAAATTGTGAATGCATGCAGTTCCCTATCGCAAGATTTGCGATCATTTGACTTGCTTTTGAAAAATTGGACTTTACTATAAAAGATTTTAGTTCCAAATGACCTAAGAGTCAAGTATCCCCTATATGTTATTGTGATGGTTAAATTTTATGTTTCAAGTTGTCTAGGCTATGGTTGGTAGCTTGGTCGAACTCTAGTCTAAGTATTGCTGTGAAGGTATTTTGTAGACGTGATTAACATCTACCATCAGTTGTCTTTAAGTAAAGATCACTCTCCATAATGTGGGTGGGCCTCATCCAATCCATTGAAGGTCTTAAGAGCAAAACCTGAGGTTTCCTGGAGAAGAAGCAATCCTTTCTCAAGGCTGTAACATAAAAATCCTGCCTGAGTTGCCGGCTTGCCAGCTTGCCCTACAGATTTTAAACTTGTCAGGCCCCACAATCACATGAGCCAATGCCTTAAAATAAATCTGTCTCTGTACACACACATATTTAGATATATAGATAGATACATACGTATATATCCTATTGATTCTGTTTCTCTGGAGAACCCTAACTGATAGTTATTATGCACATATTTCATGTAGGTAAAAATTAATAGGAAAATTACATTTAATGGTCGAGAAGTATCTGTGGCCTCCCATGATTATGTGTACCACCTCTTGGTACATCAGAGGTGCTTCATACATTTCCATTTGTGAACTGAACTTTTCTGGAGTTACTGCTTGGATACAGAGAGAGAGAGAGAGAGAGAGAGAGAGAGAGAGAGAGAGAGAGATCATCCGTAACAGCTGGCCTTGCTACTGATGAAGACCAGCCTCAGCACCTCTTGGAGGGTTTGCCATGTGCCACTCATTCAAGAAAAGGGCTGATGAGTTGTTCTGTATAGAAGCTGAGGAAAGAGATTTCCAAAGCCATAACTATTTCTAGAGACAATATGCCATTGATAAGAAATTATTTCAAATTGTGAAATGCATCTGTGTAAAAGAAATGCATGTGAAAACCTGCACATTCTTTTGTTAGCGAAACTGAATTCAGCTAGATTATCTTTCCCATATTATTACAAAGCAAGTTTTACATTAATTAGCAAGCTCTTCCAACAGAATGAATGAAAGGCTGCTGATTTTCTAAATCACTTGCCTACTAATACATGATTGCAATTTAATAGGAAACTATAAATATCTTATTTTTAGGACATATGTTTTGCATGCCATTATTTTCACAAAAAGCTGTTTTATTACATAAAGTGTTTTTCTTGTCCTTGACAAATTTGGATATAAGTAGTAAATAACAAATGCCTTCACCGGATCAGAGGCATAAACATAAAAGCAAAAATGATAAAATGTATTGAGGAAATCGTAGAAAAATATAATCTTGACCCTGGAGTAGGCAAAGATTCTTTAAGACACAACCCCAAAAGCATTAACCATAAAATAAAAAATGATAAATTGAACTCTAATCAAAATTAAAGACTTCTGCTCACCAAAACATACCATTAAGAAAATGAAAAGGCAAGCCACAGACTCTGATAATATTTACAATACATAATCCATGACAAAGTACATGAATCCAGATGAGAAGAGAATGACTACAAATCCATAATAAAATGAGACAAATTATTTAATTTTTTAAATGAGACTTGAAAATACACTTCACAAAAGATTATAGATGGCCAATAAGAACATGAAAAGATACTCAGCAGCATTAGTCATCAGAAAATGCAAATTAAAGCCACAAGATATTATTATAAACCCAATAAAATAGTTGAAACAAAAAGATTAGCATTAACAAATGTTAGCTAGGGTATGGAGCAACTGGAATTCTCATATATTGCTGGTGTGTGGAGGGGTGTAAAATGGTGAAATATATTTGGAAAAGAGTTTGACGCTTTCTTATAAAGTTTCCATATTCTTACTCTTAAGTGTTTCCACTCCTAGATATTTCATTTCCAGTGGAAATAAAAATGTCTGTCTACACAAAGACTTGTATGTAAATGTTCATAAGAACTTCATTCATAGTAGCCAAAAACAGGAAACACCCAAACTTCCATCAGCAAGGGAGTGGATAACCAAATTGTAGTATATTCCTACAATGTTATACTACTCATCAACAAATAGGAACAAACCACTGATAGTTGCAACAACATGAATGAATCTCAAATCAGCACGTTCAGGGAACAAAGGCAGGCATGAAATAGCACATATTGCATGGCTCTATTTATACACATTTCTAGAACAAACAAAGCGTCTATAGTGACAAAAGCAAACTGGTTGTAGCTGGAGTTGGTGGTGGAGGAGTCAGGGGTAGAATTTGATGGGAAAGGGACAAGAGGGAACTTTCTGGGAAGACAGAAATGTTCTATATCTTGATTGAGACCATGGGTACATACACTGTTGCTTCCACGTTTTACCCATTCCAAAATCTTTACAGGACAGTCAAGATTTTAAAATATAAGTTAGTTTTTTTCAAAGGCTCCAAATAAAGCAATACCTTAAGAAATTACTGCAACTGTTCTAACACTGTGTTACTAATACTTTCTATAAAAAAGACAGGATATAATAATAAGTTAATAGTTCATGCTGTCTCTATGGGTTCCACTAGCACAGAGAGTATAGAGGTTCAAGGTCACGTGTGGAAGAGCAAACAGCATTCTTTACTGCTCTGCTACCCCTTTCAGGAGACTTATACTCATCCAGGTAATTTCACTGCCCCCCATGGCATCTCACACCTGTGTTCTATCGCCACAGCTGTGCAGCTCTCCGTAGTCAGCTGTGGGGCTCTGTGTCCAAGTGGCCGGGTACCCCTCTGAAAATGAGATTGGTTCTGCTGCCCCCCTAGCATCTGCAGTGATTGCCTGAGGGGTCAGGCAATCTTAACCAGTCTTTCCACAGCACACAGGGGCTCTCGGTATCACATGTTCAGTCTCCTCTCCCTAGAACTGTGGCATATGTCTGTGAACTAGAATTGGAGGATAATTTGAGAATATGGAAGGAGCCATTCTTACAATGGTTCCTCCATTCTGCCTTGTCCCAAACCTCCAATCTGATTATTACTGGGCTCTGAACTGTAAAGTCTTGAAGCTCTGCCTTGTCCACCTTCAATCCTTTGGCCTTGCTGTGTGACGTTCAGCTGCTTCCTCCGCAGCTTGGATGTAATAGACCACCCAACTCAGCACTCCTTTTTCCACCCTACAGATTCCAGCCCCGGATCCACGTACCAGCTCATCACCCAAACAGGCAAGCCCTTCCTTCTTCTCACTGTCCTTTCTTTCTTTCATTTTTTGAGATGGGGTCTCACTCTGTCACTCAAGCTAGATTGCAGTGGTGCGATCATAGCTCACTGCAGCCTTGAACTCCTACCCTCAGGTGATCCTCCTACCTCAGCCTCCCAAGTAGTTGGGACTACCAGCGCACACCACCATGCCCTGCTAATTTTTAAAAATTTTGTAGAGCTGGGATCTTGCTATGTTGCCCAGGCTGGTCCTCACACTCCTGGCCTCAAACTATCAGCCCACCTCAGCCTCCCAAAGTGCTAGGATTACAGATGAGAGCCACTGCACCAGGCCCCAACTATTGAGGGCATCTTACTGTGGATGCACTTGCTCCCAACAGAGGTAGAGAAATTATGTTTAATAAGTAGTAATACATTGATGAGAAAGCTAGACAGTTGAGAATAGTTTAAAAAACTAAAAGATTAGCAAGTTTATATTATGCCAAATTTATAAATCAGTTCTTCATATTTGTAAATGTAGTTGAAAAAATCCTACCTCACATAAAACTTTGGGAAGGCAGGTCACACTGGAATTTTGATGCACTGAAATCATTTTTTCTCAGCTTGCTGTTTTGAGGTATATATATGAATGAAAAGTTTCTTTGAAATGCTACAGTTCAACACAGACACACTCAAACTTAGGAGATAGTAATAGATTTTCATAAATAAAGGGCTGAATTAGGAAGATGACAATCTTTTCTATTATCTGAGAGAAGCATCTTCTTTCAGATACATTTCCTGACCCTGAGCTAACTTACTATCTAAAAATAAAGTGGCCTTGTTTTGGTCTTCTATCCATCTATCCAAGTGTAGGAACCAACCTTAGCTTATAGCCAAACACAAGTAGCACATCTTTATAGACTTAAATTTATTTTAAAAAATAATTTCTGCAAAATTAAGTATGCACCGCACTTGAAAACACTGATCTCAAAGATAAACTTAAGACAATCTGAAGAAACTCTTTTGTCCCAAGCTGAAATGCAGCAGACTGAAGTACGATTTAGAAGCCTGGAACTATAATCCATTATTTTTCACCCTAGCCAGTACACTGTTAAAATGGAAAATCTGTCTAATCAATTACAGCAGCTGGGGTGGAATATTGCATAGCTTGTAATCTCTGAAGCTTAAAAGAAAATCTGTTTACAAAAATTCAGAGATACATCAAAATGACAAGGGGAATGAAAGTTCATTTTCAATTAACACCAACCAGAGTTTTAGAAACCTGTAACATCCTTATTCCCCTTACTCTTACCTCTTCCGAGGTTGTCCAATTTGACCATAAACATGCCATGGAAACAGAATTGATGGAATGTTTACAAAACAGATGTGTTCACGGGATGCTAATAATATATTTAAACCCAAGACCTACCTTTCCAAAGGGACATAAATTATAAGTGACAGTATACAAAGTACAAAAGAATGCATTAAAATATATGCCACAGAGCAGACAAAATTGAGGAAGATATCGCCTAGTCCATATTTATTAAACACTCACTATATGAAAATTCCCAAATTTCTTCCAAAGAATATTCTTTCACTCTGCCGAATTATGTACTACTATCCGTTTCGAAAATGACTCAGAAAGAAAAGTATAATATTTCACTCTACCTAGAATCAACAGGGGAGGAAACAAAAATATTCAAGATAAATAATGAATGAATGATAGTATATACACATATATATGCATATGTACATACACATATACATCTTAATAATGATGAAGTGTTTTTTCTCAACTTTTTTTTTTTCTTTTTGAGACGGAGTCTTACTCCCTCAGTCACTGAGGCTGGAGTGCAGTGGCACAATCTCGGCTTACTGCAACTCTGCCTCCCAGGTTCAAGTGATTCTTCTGCCTTAGCCTCCCAAGTAGCTAGGACTAGAAGCACACACCATCACACCCAGCTAATTTTTGTATTTTTAGTAGAGACAGGGTTTCTCCCTTTTGGCCAGGCTGGTCTCAAACTCCTGGCCTCAAGCGATCCACCCGCCTCGGCCTCCCAAAATGCTGGGATTACAGGTATGAGCCACTGCACCCGGCCTCAACTTCTTTACAAATGAAATATGCTTGTGTCTTCCAATGGCAAGTGCCCTCGATGAGGAACTCTGGTTTGCTAGTGGTATAGAGGTCTGATTGTTGTCAGTACTCTGTCATTCCTATTTATTTTCTTGTTTCTCTGTGTGAACATACCTTTGTCATAGTAAATACATGTTTTTGACCTACAACCCTTCACCCACTACACAGCAGGAAGATGATTCTTTTGGTAACCCATCCTCAGTTTTGTTATTGCCACTAAGTCAGTGGTTCTCGATCACGAGTTAGTCTGTACCCTTAGGGACATTTGGCAATGTCTGGAGATGTCTTGGATTGACACAACTGGGGAAGTGATGTTATTGGCATCTAGAGGACAGGGATTCTGCTAAATATCATACAATGCACAGGCCAGCCCCCAGGACAAAGAATGATCCGGTTCAAAATATCAATAGTGCTGAGATCAAGAAACTCTGCTCTAGAGTTAGGTAGGACTAGGTCTACTGTGTGACTGACTCACTATTGAGCCATTGCATTTTTGGATCTAAGATACAAATAGATCTATTTGCATTTGATTATTCAAACTCCCCAGTTTATGGCACATATTCATCATTGGACTCTTCTCGGCCTTATTTTGTTCTACTTTTCTATTTCCTTTCCCCATTCCACCATTCTAACGTATATGACGTATATCCTTTTATTTGTATGTGGCTTTGGGTAGCATGTGGGGGTGTGTTTGTGTACATGCATGTGTACATGTGTTACACACATGGTATTGGGCTCTAGACTCACACCATTTTGGCATTTTTCACTCAGCATTGTTTTGAAGTAAAATAATTGCTTCATTGCTGTGTGCAAATCGAGTATGCGCCTTCTAATTGCTAAAAGACACAGCAGTTTACTAATATACCACCCCCATCCCCATTGTCACAAGTGGTAGTGTTTCCAACACTCTACTCCTAAAAATGCCATGAAAAACAGCCTCGAAAATATTCCTTATCTGTCTGTGTGAGAACTTCCCTGAGACATATATCCAGAAGAGAGTTCTCAGTGCTTTCTCAGATATTATCACAATTGACCTTCAAGCAATGATGTGAGACAGGCATCATTGTTTTCCAGTGATGGGGAAGCTAAAGCTTAGCGAGATTACATAGGTTGCCCAAGGCCACATAGCAGAGTGGGGACTGTCTGTATTTTCTGAAGCTCACATCTCACTTTCTCCTTAGACACTTCCAGATGCAAAAGAGAGTGAAGCCCAGAGCAGAACTGGCACTGACAGCAGGGAGACATGGAGGGATTTGTGTGAGGCTGTGCTCACATCCTAGAGCTATCTGCCCTTCCCCAGATGAGGTATTTTTCCTCTCCAGCATTTTATTACACCCCAGGATCTCTGGGACCAAATATCACAGGGACAACTCTACCCATCAGACTGAGGATGAGGAGGACCTGATGGCCTGAGCCACAGGCCCAAAGGAGATGTCACAGAGAAACCAAAAACTTCTCCAGGCGTGTATCTTCACCGTTCATTGTTTCATTCATTTTCACTATTAATTGATCGGCTACTATGTGTAGCAAGCTTGTCAAGCAAAACCTATCATTCAAGGGATTGTGCTCCTATCTGTGACTCCATATTACAACCAGCTAGTGCCCTTGCTTCGATGGCTATCCAAGCCATCACACACATGATCCTTAGGGAAACCAGCGAGATGGCCATAGCCCTTAAATGCCAGAAGAGTTGGCAGCAGACATGGGGCCAACTTCTCCCTTGTGTCCATGAGACCTCACTGCACATGAATGTGTTGGAGATCTCTTGCACCTAGGATCATGATACATAGGTCACTAGGAAACCCTAGCAGCACCCTCCAAAGAACAGGGACATTATAGTGGCTGAGGTCCCTACACTTGACTGAACACAGCTATTTGGTCCCAAACTAACATGCTAAGGGAACCAAAGGTTAAAAAGTCCTCTGCAGATGGAGGGAAGATTGTTAACCTATTGTATTTTCACATGTTTTAAAGTTGAATCATGTTTAGAGGTTTCAAAAGGGGATTTGGCTGTGTTATTTTGAACCCAAGAAGGCGTAAGCGGGGGAGGAAGCTAGTGGAAACATCCCTAACCCAGAAATCCAGATACCTGGGCCTGGGTCTCAGCATGATAATTGATCCACTGTGTAACTGGGAGCAACTCAGCCTCTCTGGGTCTCACTGAATTCCCCTGGGAAAGAGGTGAAGTTTCAGATTGTTTCAATGAGCCTTAAGGGTCAGTGAACGTCCCTCAAGGGCCACTCAGGATGGGAGTTGAGATGTTAGGAATGGGAGTTGCAGTACCTGCCCAATTTGACCACTTTGACCAAGTTTATATTTTGGCATTGCATATAAGAATTCATCTTTTTACTACAATGAGTTCTAACACAAAAGAAAGATTTTTAAAATGACTGATCACAATGACTTTAAAACTCTGCTTAGTGCTAGATATACTTTGCTTCTGTGACTCATTTCATTTCTCTCAACCCCAAAGCTCTGGCTTCCCTTAACTTTCCCTTCTCCTAGAAAACCAATAAATTGAAAGAAAAAGAATCTTACAGTGGACAGGGCCAACTTCTCCAATCAGGCTTGGATAATCAGCCCAGGGCCAGAGCCCAGAATATGTTTAAAGACCCATGAAAATTTACTCTCTTAAAATTTTAATCTTTTCCAGTCAGAAAAAAAGAATAATAATGTGTACATAATAATGAATCCAGCTCTGCTTACATTTGTCTTTATGCCATAACAGCCATAAAATATAATTATTAGTATTTTTGGTGAAGGATGGACCCATGGAGGCAAAAGTACTTTCAGCCCATGAAGGCATCATCGGTTCTAATAGCAGGAAATATGTGGAGTTTGGAGACAGCACAGATCTGGGTTCAGATTCCTGCTTTTAACATAGCTGCATGTGATTTATCTCTGTGTCTCTGCCTCCTGGTCTACTCAACAGGGACACAGATTCCTCCAGGACTTGCTGGGAGGCTTAAGTGAGCATGCACGTGATATCCTGGCCCAGCAGGTGCTAAACTAATAGAGGTCTCTCCTCTCCCCTCCTTTTCACACAAACCCCCAGCCAGGTGGCATGGACAAACATTTTAGGGGGCACTTAGCCAACATTTGCTCCCTGGCTTGGACTTGAAACTTCTAAAACTTCCTGCCAAGTCATTCAGCTCTGCTTTGTTCTCTCCATACTAGGAATTAAACAGAACTCACGCAATGGTCTTATAATTACCTCCTGCTTCTGTACAGAAAAATCCCAATTTTGACTGAAATAAACTGAGGTACATGAAACAGCCACAGCCTGGGCCTCATCCTTTGTCATCTGTATCTCCAAGAACTGAGAAGTAGCAAGACCTGATGATAGAAATAGCATTGACAGAACACATGGCTTGGTTGACATAAAAGATCTGTCCCAAGAAAGATGGAAATAAATCTAGTTTTCATAAATTGGATGATGTTTATCTTTTAAAAACACACACAAACTTTTACATTCAAATATGATTATTTGGACACTTAGGTTGCTTCCATATCTTGGCTATTGTGAAGAGTGGTCCAATGTACAGATATCTCTCTGACATACAAATTTCATTCCCTTTGGATATATACCCAGAAGTGGGATTACTGGATCATATGCTACTTCTATTTTTAGTTTTTTGAGGAACCTCCATATTGTTTTCCATAATGCAAAAAGAAGGGTATTCTGCCATTTGCAACAACATGGATGAACCTGGAAGACATTATGCTACGTGAAATAAGCCAGACACAGAAAGACACCACAAGATGTTCCTTATGTATGGAATCTAGATAAGTCAAGCTCATAAAAGTAGAGAGTAGAATGGAAATTTCCAGGAGCTGAGATGGGGTTAAGTAGGCAAGGAAATGGGGAGAGGTTGGTGAAAGGATACATAATTTCAGTTAGACAGGAGGAATAGGTTTTAGTAATCTACTGTACAGCACGGTGACTATAGTTAATAATAATGTATTATATATTTCAAAATCGCTAAAAGAGTAGATTTTTAAAGTTCTCACCACAAAATAAGTATGTGAGGTGATGGATATGTTAGCTGGATTTAATCATTCCACAATATATGCATATACATAACATCACATTGTACCCCATAGATATGTACATAATTAGTATTTGTCCATTAAAATAAAATATGATTATGTGCTGTTTTAATTAAAAAGAATATAACATTAGCAAAACCACTCCATGTTAAGAGCATACTAAAAACAGAACTGACATGATGCTTTAAAGGTATGAATGTAATATAAAGAACTCTGTGTCTCAAAGTGAACTAGAATCCACTTTAGAAACTGTGGGGAATATGTGTGCATATTTGTGTGTGCATAGACAGAAAGACATTTTTATATATTATGCATGTATATAATATACGAAAAATCAGAATAAATAAAGAATAGAACAATAATGTATATAACATAGACTTGTATGTAATCTTGGGTCTTGGGTAGCTGACCTTTCTGGGCAGGTCCTGCGAACGTCTGGCACACAAACTTAGGCTTCCAGTGCCAACCTTCCAATGACCTAACCCTCGACTCGGCTTCTGTCATGCTATATCATAAAATGAAAGCTCACAAAGGGCAGGGCGTCCAACACATTCACAGCGAAAAGCCCTGACTTTAGCGCTCCTTTCTGTGGAACCCTGGAATTATGAGGTGCCCGTGCTTCTCAAGTCGATCCTGAACTCATAAGTCCACCCTTTCCCTAATACTCTTTCCCTATACTTTGTAACATATAATTTATCTAAAATCCTAATGGGTGACCCAGAGACAGTCAAAGGAACCACCTGCGTGACAGCTGTAAGCTATATATTGGTAGTGATCATTGCTGGGTGGTAGGTCTATAGGCAATGGCTAATTTTTCCTTCCTACTTTTCTGACTTTCCAAATTTTCTACCTTACCCTTAGACTGCAGGAGCTGGGAGGGGGGATAGTTATTATCTAAAATGAACTTGAGACTGCCCAAATAGGAGCCCTTCAAAAGAAGTTAATCTGCTTGGTGATTCGGTCCGGAACTAACCACTGGTTCCTTTAGAGATGTAATCTACAAGACACTGATTGTAAAGGAAATCTAATCTCTGTTCTCAATTTATCACCCTAAAAGTTGCTAAAAGAGAAACTAGTCCATGTCTCTTTGGTTTAGAGAATGACAGTCTCCGCTACAAACGATAATTTCTTGGAAAACATCTTGTTGCTTCTTTACAAGGTTCTTTTCCCTCCAGGACTTTCAGGGAAAGCTATTCTTATGAGAAATAATAAATCAAGCTAAATAAAATATGGCCTAAAAAAAGATTTACACTTCCATTTACGAGAATGGGTAGTGGCAGTAGGTGGATCAAAGTCGCCTCATTTAATTCATGGTCCTAACAAGGGTGGTTATCTGGGTTTCCAGCCTATGAGAAATAAAAGACGTGAAATGGGAAAGGGATGGAAAGAGAAGGTTTGAAGAAGCAGACTGCAAGGCTGGCAGCAGTGAGCAGACAAAAATTCCTGCCTGATTCAGAGGGTAATACTCTTGATGATGTCTCAAGAGATACTTAAAAAGTAGATATAAACAAAATTTGTGGGGTACTATCAGATCAGACTAAAAACAAAAGTTGAATTTTCTGGTTGTGTTTTATGAGCAGTGCCTGGCACACAGTTGGCACTTTACAGATGTTTGTAAAGCATAAATATCACACAGCCCTAACAAGGGATAAAGTGAAATGGCCACACAGGCATGGCTGTGCCAGTAGAAATTGAGTTTTTTCTTTTTGGAACATAATTTAGAAAAATGCCCATAGCTTTGGATTCAGTAAATTTTAGGAATCTGATCTAAGGAAATAATCTTAAAGTAAAAAAAAAAAAAAAAAAAGCCTTATGTAAAAATATTTTCAATTGCTTGGCTATTAGCAGTAACACTGGAAACAAGTCAAATTTCCAACAAAGAAGAATAGTTAAATAAGCTTAGTGGAATATTACATAACAGACAATATATATTCAGGATAACCTATAAAAGTATTTTTAATGCTTTAAAATGTTTAAATTTTTCTATCCATCTATTATGTGTATATATATGTGTGTACAAAAGCATATATAGTATGATTATAATTTAATCATTGAAAGAGTAAGCATTATTTCCTATACTAACTGTACTACAGGGTAATCAAATAATTGTTAAAAGAAAGTTTCTCTTTATAGAAGTATTCTAGCTGGTAAATGAAGATTGAATGAATGAGGTAGAGTAACACTAAATTAATTATCATTACTGAATAACAAATTACCCCCAAACATAGAAGCTTAAAACAACACACTTTCCATGGGTCAAGAATTCAGCAGTGGCTGAGCTAGGAGTTTCGGCTCAGGATGGTTCAGGAGCTGCAATCAAGATGCCAGCTGGGGCTGCAGCTACCTGAAGGTTTGACTTCCAACCTCACTCATACAGCTACTGGCAGGAGGCCTCAGTTCTTCTCCATGTAGTCCTCATGGCTTGGCTGCTGGCTTTGCCCAGAGCAAGTGGCCAAGAGAGAGAGGAGTAGAAGCTATGCTGCCTTTTATGACCTATCCTCACAAGTGATATAACAGCATTTCTGTTATGTTCTATTGGTCATGCAGACCAACCCTGAAACAGTGCAGGAGGACATTACATGAAGCCGTGAATCCCAGGAGCCAGGGAGCACTGGGGGCCTCTTCAAGGCTGGCTACTGCGAACACCATTTATCAACCCTCAATGAATTAATTGATCTACACTATAATCATCAATGGCCACTGACATCACAACAAGAGAGACAACCAGGCATGAAGTGCCACTGATGGAAGTAACAACAACAGCTATGAAGTAGTCCTGTGAAAAAAATTGAACTTGAATCTGATTAAGTCTCTGGTTCTACATACTAATATACAAGAACTCGAGGGGACAAAGGAACATGTTAACCAATACCATGTAAATGCAGCTTCCATGTGAGTGCAATACCATGTAAATGCAAGTCCAGACTGTGAGCAGTTTTATAAGACAAAGAACTAATTTCTTGATTAAAAAAAATTGCAAGGGATAAATGAGAGAGAGAGAGAAAGAAAACCTACAGATTGAAAGAGACTAAAGGACATTTCAATAATTGTAACATTTAAACATTATTTCAATCCTAATCCAAACAACTAAATTTTGAAAAACATGACTAAGCATATGAATAGAAGTAAGGGAGAAACTTTAAAGCATACAAAAACAAAATACAACATTCTGTAATCATTCGTTGTAAGGGAAAGAATAATTCTACACATATAATATCTTAAGAAAATATTATAGTAAAAATGTTTCTATGTTTCCTCATTCATTTATCCATGCAGTTAATAAATGCTTACTGAGTACCCAACGTGACTAAGGCATGCAGTAAGTATCCTGGCAAATATAGAAAAGGTTATGTAATACCTGATACCCAGTGTTCAAGAAGGCAGCTAAATACAAGGTGCATTTTTGAAAGTTGGTATTAAAAAATGATTCAGCCTCAGTAACTAAAATGTGACTTGGGCAGAAGACATCAAATAAATTTTCAAGGCCGGGCACAGTGGCTCGTGCCTGTAATCCCAGCACTTTGGGAGGCCGAGGCAGGCAGATTGCTTGAGGCCAGGAGTTCAAGACCAGCCTGGCCAACATGGCAAAACCCCATCCCTACTAAAAATACAAAACTTAACCAGGCATCATGATGCATGCCTGTAATCCCAGCTACTCAGTAGGCTGAGGCAGGAGAATCACTTGAACCTGGGAGGCAGAGGTTACAGTGAGCTGAGATTGCACCAGTGTATTCCCGCCTGGGTGACAGGGCGAGACTGTTTAAAAAAAAAAAAAAAAGTCATACCTCCCTTGTGTTAATTTTATAATTGACATTTTAAAAACACTTCACCATTTTTCATTAATAATGATCATGCTTGCCCTAACCCCACAAGCTTTTAGTGGCAAAGTAGATCTATGTATTTTTCTTCAGTGTGATTAGATACTCATATTTCCATAGCATTTTTAAAATTTGAGATATGATTGAAATATTACAAAATTCTCTCCTTGAAAGTATACAGTTGGGCAGTTTTTTATTGATTTGTTGATTGGTTGATTTATTGAGACAGAGTTTTGCTCTTGTTGCCCAGGCTGGAATGCAATGGCGTGATCTCAGCTCACTGCAAACTCCGCCTCCCAGGTTCAAGCGATTCTCCTGCCTCAGCTTCTGGAGTAGTTGGGATTACAGGTGCCTACCACCACGCCTGGCTAATTTTTTGTATTTTTAGTTGAGACGGGGTTTCACCATGTTGGCCAGGCTGGTCTTAAACTCCTGACCTCAGGTGGTCCACCTGCCTCGGACTCCCAAAGGGCTGGGATTACAGGCATGAGGCATCGTGCCCAGCCGGCAGTTTTTAGTGTATTCACAAAGTTGTGCAACTATCACCACTATCAAATTCTCGAGCAATTTCATCACCCCCAAAAAGAAACTCTGTACCCATTGGCAGTTCCTCCTCAGACCTCCATTACCCTCTGGCTGCCCCTCCACCCACGAACCCTAGGCAACTAGTAATCTACCTGCTGCCTCTGCCTCTATGTATTTGATTATTCTGGATATTTCATATAAATGGTATCAGATAATATTTACGGTCTTTTGGGACTGGCTCCTTTCACATAGCACAGTGTGTTCATGGTTTATCCATGTTGTAGCATGTGTCAGTACTTCCTTTCTTTTTATGACCAAATGCTATTCCATTGTATGGATTGACCACATATGTTCATCCATTCATCAGCTGATGGGTTCATGTCATTTCCGCTACTTGGCTATTACGAAAAACGCTGCTGTGAACACTTGTGCATAAGTTTTTGTGTGGACACGTGTCTTCATAGGAGTGGAATTGCCAGGTCATATGATAACGCTAGGTTGAACTTTTTGAGGAACTGTTTCACACTTGTTGCTATGGTTTGGCTCTGTTTCCCCATCCAAATATCATCTCGAATTGTAATCCCCACGTGTCAACGGAGGGACCCGGTAGGAGGTGACTGGATCATGGGAACTGTTTCCCCCGTGTTGTTCTCATGATACTGAGTTCCCACAAGAGCTGATGGTTTTAAAGTGTGACACTTCTCTCTCTCTCCTGCTGCCTTGTGAAGAAGGTACCTGCTTCCCCTTTGCCTTCCACCATGACTGTAAGTTTCCTGAGGCCTCCCCAGTCATGTGGAACCATGAGTCAATCAAACCTCCTCTCTGTATAAATTAACCAATCTCAGGTAGTATCTTTATAGCAGTGTGAGAATGGACTAATAATATATACTTTATTTATTTACAAAATAAATATTTATTGAACAATTAAAACATTTTAATCTGGCTCTTAATTTACACCTAGTTCATTATTTTGTAATAGTTTGGGGTTTTTTGGGTCATAAAGTTGACATTTTAAATGCCAGACTTTCCTCCATTTTCTTGAATTATGTTGACATCATAGCTGCTGTTACCTTATATTTTATTTATACTTTATTTTGTCCAAGTTTTAAAAAATGCTTCTATTTTTAAAGGCAATTTTATATGTAATACTATCTGGAATTTACTTCAAAATAATATGAGAAGAGGATGAGAAGTCAGTAAAAGTATAGAAAAAGAAAGATGAAACAAGATTGGCCATGAGTCAATAATTCTTGAAGCTGGTGATTATACCTAGGGGCTCAATATTCTCTACTGGGTCAAGTTTCGTATATGTTCAACATTTCTCATAATATAGTTCTGAAATAAACATTTTACTTTAATAGATTTAAGCCAATTTTTTAAAACAATGAATTTATATTTTTCATTTCAGCTGAAAATCATTACACCATCCTTTTCTGTATTAAACATAAAGTATATTTCATTGGCCAGATGAATTTTCTCTTCTTTCTTTGTTCCAGAGGTACTTGAATATATAATTTGTGTTTGCTTTACATTGTGGATTTGGAATCAATGTGCAGAGGATCTCCTTGTTCTACCAACACAAAATGAGTATTACAGAGTCACATAGCAATCCCCAAGTTAAGTCATTTAATTTAATGCAACTTAGAGCAGACTCCATCCTAACAAATTGGCTACAGAACAGCTAACTATGAGTAACAATACTTCAGTTAGAGCAGCCGAGGCATGGATTATTTATCAAACTGACCATGATGAAGCCCATTAGGAACAACAGGATCTGAAAACACGTACTCAAGCTGACTGAAGGCCAAGCCGTGATTCTAGCAAGTCCCCAGCAAAAAGAGTGTGATTGCCACTAATTTCCAGGTATTATTTGTATAATGCTGTCTTAAATAATTTCATATTTTAAGTTGACTACAATATGCTCAGATGCTGTTTGCTTGACTTGATCAAAGTACACAACTCACTGAAAATGTTGTTCGCAAAATCATTCTGTCTGCATATACTGATAGCAAGCCAATTTTGCAGTACATCACAGGAATAGGTGGTAGATTTGGTTTACTTAGGTGTAGAAAATCTGGGAAACAGAAAAGTATCCTCAGGAAAACAGTATCCTTAAGACAATCACTTACAATGAGACCTTAAAGATAAAATAATTCATTTCAAGTTGCTGGGCGTGGTCACTCACACCTGTAATTCCAGCACTTTGGGAGGCCAAGGTGGGTGGATCACAAGGTCAGGAGTTCAAGACCAGCCTGGCCAGATGGTGAAACCCCGTCTCTACTAAAAATACAAAAATTAGCCGGGCATGGTGGCAGGTGCCTGGAATCCCAGCTACTCAGGAGGCCGAGGCAGAGAATTGCTTGAACCCGGGCAGCGGAGGTTGCAGTGAGCCGAGATGGCGCCACTGCACTCCAGCTTGGGTGACAGAGACTCTGTCTCAAAAATAATAAATAAAAATAAAAAATAAAAGTATGAACAGTCTCTTAGAAGAATTTTTCAAAAATACATACTGTGAAGTGTCCATGGAAAGCATATCGATGCTTCTACAAAGGCAAGTAGGTTGAGAAGTGAACGGCACCTCCTAAACAGTTCATTTTCCACCTGCCAAGGCCTGGATCCTTACTAGCTGGTAACCTACACAGTAATCTAGGAAACAGAAATAAAATAATCGCCATTTCTAAGTCTTCAACAAACTATTACTGGCATTTTCAAACTACTCTATGCCTTTTAGAAAATATAGGAAAAGGGGTGTTCTGTTTCACAGTTGATCCTTGCCTGCCCTCTCAAACCTGAATCACCAACATTAGCCATCAGCCAGACAAGCATATTTAGTGTCTCAATTTCGGTATCTGTAAAGAAGATATTTCAACAGATGGTGGAAAAGGAACTAGGACAAGAACCAAAGGAGACAATTCTGAAAGGAAACTTAGAGAAACAAACCCAGTGCCTGGTAACTTCATATGTACAAAACAGTGCCAATCAGCTAGCTGGTCGATGAAACAGAATAAGGTCTGTGTGCATCGCTTTGGATTGATTTTCCTTAAGAGAAGCATAAAAGAAAAATTGCCCCTCTCAGATATGTAGGCTCCAGGCTGGGTTCTAGAAGCCTGGTCCTATCAAGTCAGAGGGGAGGAGCCAGTGCTCAGGCTGAGTGCTCAGGAGTGGAGGAACACATCACAAAATGAAAGGTTAATACAAAGGAAACATCCATTTAGAAGGGTTAGGAATAGATTCTATTCCTTTTTATTTTATTTTTGAGCCATTTCCTGGAGAGACTTATAGGGGTACAGAGAAAACTTCCCCTTCGCCCTCTAAAGGTTCACTGAAAATCAGCTGACAAAAGGCAAATTAATAAAGGAAAAGGCATGCAATAGTTTACTGTAACGCGCATAGCATGGGGGAACCACAGGAGAATGATTACCCTCTGACCGACAGCAGCGCAGAAGCCCATATGCTCTTTTTCATAGGGGACGGAGAGATGGCTCTCCTATCAGGTTCAAATCAGCCTCGTTGTGCTAACTGAGGCCAGGAGGCTTCACACTGAGTAGGTGGCCAATTAAATGCTGATGAATCCATGGTTTATTGTGAGGCTTTCACATGCCTACAATCATGCAAATATATTCAACACACAAGGGCACTAGTAAGAGAGAGAGGAGGGTCACAGCTTGATTATCTTAGGAGGCCAGCATGCTGACTGACAATCCAGCAGGTCCTGTTATTTTTTCCTAGGTCGGGGTTGGAGCGGGTGTCACTGTCACTGCTCTTCTCCCAGCAGACCTTCCTACAGCCCCTGCCGATGGAACAGAGGCCTCAGAGTTGCCACGTGCAGAGCTTCTGCTGGCATCTTGACCGTGGTCAGTTTCTTTGTGGTTTTTATGGCCCTCCATGGCCATGATCTCAGCCACCTTTTGGCTTCACTCGCTTGTCAGGTCTCAGCAGTGCCTGGCCACAGCAGGTGACATCTTCTATACATATGCTTATCACTCTGAGGGGTCAGCAATTTCACTGTAGGCTGAGCCATTTGTCATAAGTGACACCATTTTGAGACATTTGGGATCAAGAAACATGATTACATATCATCGGGGAATTTAGACAATTATTTTCGGGGGCAGTAAACCATTAGGGAGAATAAATGGACGGTGGAGGTGAGAAACAGACACTAAGAAAGGTGAGAGGTGGAGGTGCACAGGAAGAAAGGTTGTCTTATTATGCAGATGGAGTCTTCCAGGTCATCTTTCTGAGCTGCCCTCAGAAGAATAGATGAAAAGTCTGTCTGGGTCTGGTGCTAACTCCCAGTTTTTTATCTTCATAGATGGTTGATCTTTCCTAGATATTTGATGAGATCCCTAGGGAGGCGGTTTAAGACAATTACATTTCTTTTGGAAAGATGCTTTCTTAGTGAGATAAGGAAATTCCAGAGACAGTCCCTCCCAGAGCTTGGGGGACAAGAGGGAGGCAGGGGGAGACAAGACAAGGTAAGAGGGACCTTGATTCTGACGCCTCTCTGCATGTCAAAGCATGAGTCTTGGGGTATTGCTTTCTGAGCCTCAACAGACTCATGTCAGGCAGAGGAGCTGAGATAACTTCTATGGCAGGAGTAGGAGGAGCTCAGGCAACAACTGCTATTCTAGTGATGTATAAATTTTCAGTCTAAAGCAGTTCACATGTTGTCTGTGTGAAGCAATGAACACTGAATGCCCAGAGCTATTTTAACACATGAGCTATATGGACAAGGATACACAAGAGAAGTTAATCAAGTCCCTTCACACTTACCAAATAGGTACTTTGTAAAAGCAACTCTCCAGAGAGACGTGGGTTTTTCTCACAATTTCCCCCGGGGAGCACACTGGGCCACGCACCTCCCTCCAAACCTCTGCTGCACCATCTCAGGAAGCAGAGGCCTGGAACCGTGCCTGAAACTCCTTCACTCTGCAGGTGCGTGGTGACAGCCTGGCCCGGGTGGCAGGCTGGAAAATATGACGACACAACCACAAAAGGCAGCATTTTCACACTAGCTCTTACAGACTGTTAGTATCTGTCATTCAACATTAGAGAAAAACAAAGCCCAGAGGGCAGCAAGATGAGAAGTATTTCTATGCTGGTGTCTCATTTGCAAGGAAAAAATAAAATGTGACCTCATAAAGCACCAAAGTATCACCAATGAAATAAGAGATGTTAAGAGTTTGCTGAAAAGTGCAGAAGTTAAAAAAAGTACTAACTACTAAAAAGTGGTCAAGAGGGTTTTGAAGTCATAACTTTCCTTTTGATTCATTATTCAGAACCCAAGAACTCAAATATTTGGTGTCATGGGAACATAAAGCTAGTAAATGTGTTCTGCAAATAGCAACTATCCCACTGTTTGTCTTTTGCTTACCAAATAGCATTTCACGTTATCAAATATCCTTTTTCCCAGGACATTAAATGATTTTATGGAATCTAAAAAGCAATGGTAATTAAGTAAGGAAAAATGTTGTGCCTCCATGTGTACCCTCAAGTAATAAACAGATTCAATACATGGTGCTTGATGCTATTAGTAGGGGATGATGCAGATGATACGAAAATAACAAATACAAGCTCACTATGTGATCATTTTTGTATTAACTTCAGTTAGTTTCAGATACTTTATGTGGGTATTATTAGAATCAGAGATTTCATTCCTACATAATTCATTTTACTTTATTTTTTATTTTTATTTTTTGAGACAGGGTCTCACTCTGTCACCCAGGCTGGAGTACAGTGGCACAATCTCAGCTCACTGCAACCTCTGCCTCCCAGGCTCAAGCAATCCTCCCACCTCAGCCTTCCAAGCAGCTGGGACCACAGGCGTGCATCACCATAACTGGCTAATTTTTGGATTTTTTTTTGTAGAGACAGGGTCTCTCCATGTTGCCCAGGCGATCCACCTACCTTGGCCTCCCAAAGTGTTGGGATTACAGGTATCAGCCACTGCTCCTGGCCTCATAATTCATTTTAAATCTATTTAGAATGCAGGAAAAACACTATTTATTTAGACCAGAGGTCAGAAAAATAAAATCCACAGGACAAATCCTGCCTGCCACCTGTTTTTCTGTTGTTTTTTTGTTTGTTTTTGTAAATAAAGTTATATTAGAACATAGCCACGCCCATTCATTTATGTATTACCTCTGGCTGCTATTACACTACAATGGCAGAGGTTGAGTGGTTGCAACAGAGACTTTATGGCCCACAAAGCCTAAAATATTTACTACCTGGCCCTTGACAGAAAATATCTGCTGACTAATACACTAGACATTTCATTATTTACCCTCACTATCACTATGGCACAATAAATAACATATGTAAAATTTCAATATCTGATTTTCCTGGAGAAAATTAAAGGAATTTATATTAAGTTTTGGTATATTCCCTGCAAATATGGCTGCCAAGTAGTCTGCCTTTGCCATCAAGACCTGGAGTTTATTTTCCCTTCCCTTGAATATAAGGTGGTCTTGTGACTTGCTTTGGCAGCACAATATGGTAGAAGAGGCCTGTCAGCTTCTGCTTTCCCTCTTGGAGCCCTGAATCACCATGTGGAGAGTTTGTCTCCTCTGCTGGAAAGAGAGGCTCAGCCAGTCCCAGATACACCAGCTGTGGTACCAGTCTTTGAGTGAAGCCATCTTGGAGATCCTGGCTGCAGATAAGCTCCCAGCTGAATGCAACCCCAGGAGTGGCCACAACCAACAGTGTGGAGGAGAAGAACTGCCTAGCTCAGCCTAGGCAACCAACAGGGTGGGGAGAATAAATCATCATTTTAAACCACCAAACTGTCATTATGCAGCAATAAATGAACTCAAAGTTTTGATGTTCCATTTAGTATTTCAAACTTTCTTTAGGATATTTTAAAATAGTTCTAAAACAAGACAACTCTATCGTCTTCTTTTATATCTTAAAAGCAAGAAACATCATTCTGTTCAGATGGCAGTGTGAGCAGATTGGATGAAAAATGTCTCTCATAAACTGCATGTAAGACATGGAGACTCAAAGAAAAAGCAAAGTTATCTGGCAACAGCAATAAGATACAAAATCTCATCTAAATGCTGAGAAAAAGATTTTTTTTAATCCACGAGCTAAGTGGTCAGGGTTTTCAGAATCTCATTTTTTAAGAAAGCATTTCTTTTCTCAATCTATTTGTCTTACTAAAAAGCAAGCAGGTCAGGAGAAAGAGACTTCAAGGAAATAAAAAACATTGTTAAATTTAAGTTAGCTGGTGGCAGGTGATTTACAATTGACTAGTAATATAAGAATAAAAATTGAGAAATACTCCCAGAAAAAAGAGAAAATAGAGGAAAACAATAAGAGAAGAAATTGATGCAAACATGACAATAAAAGTCTTCAAGACAGACATTTCGAGCAGGGGATTGCATTTTCCATGGGGCATAGAAAAGGGGGTTCAGTTAGGCAACATTTATTTAAATTTTATTTAAAGAAAATGATGAGTTGAACTAACCACTGAAACACTTGTGCCTCATAAAGGAGACAAAATGGTACAGTGCCTACCAGAAACGGCATGGATGTTTCTCAAAAAATGAAAACAGAATTGCCATATTATCCAGCAATCCCACTTTTACTTCTATATCCAAAAGAATTGAAAGCAAGATCTCAAAGAGATATTTGCACACCCATGTTCACAGCAGCATAATTCACAATAGCCAAGAGGTGGATGCAACCCTAGTGTCTACCAACAGAAACAAAATGTGGTCTATCCATACAATGGATTATTATTCAGCTTTAATAAAAAGAAATTCTGACACATGCTACAACAACATAAACCTTCAGGACATTATGCTAAGTGAAATAAGGCAGTCACAGAAAGAAAAATACTGTATGATTCCCCTTATATGAGGTACCTGGAGTCATCAAATTAATAGAGATGAAAATACAATGGTGGTTGCCAGAGGCTGGGGGAAAAGGGAAGTGAGGACTTGTTTAATAGGTTCAGAGTTTCAATTTTGGTAGATGAAAAAGTTCTAGAGATCTGTTGCACGACAATGTGAATGTACTTAACACTACTGAACTGTACACTTAAAAAATGATTGCAATGGTTAATTTTATGTTATTGTGTTTCTTTACTATTAAAAAACTTAATTTTTTTTTAAAAAAGAGACTAGAAGGAAAAACTCCAAAATAGTTATGGTGACGAGCTATGGCATCATGATGTTGGATGATTTTTTCCCCCTTTTATCTGTGCTTTGATGTGTCTGTGTCTTTTTGTTTTTAGTTTGTTTTTATATTTGGAAAATATTAGTTTCCTATAATTTTAAAAGAAATGGGAGTTAGTTGGGTCAAAAATAATAATAATTACCTTAATATATTTAGACAAGGATTTTTTAAGTCTATAAGTAGGATGAAGGAAATAATTAAAGCATCAAAACAAATATATTAGAAAATAGAAAACCATAGCATTATTTACAAGCCCAAGAGTGCAAGTTTCTTGAAAAAAAAAATACATATATATATAAAGAGAATAGCTTTGCCAAATATAATCAATAGAAAGGGATGAGGAAAATGTCCATTAAATGAATTATGAATGTTAAAATAGCAGCTGCTGAAAAAAATCCTTTGAAACTGCAAGAAATAACTAAGCAGGCACAGCTGTAATATATTTGAAAATCTAGATCAGGCTTAGCAAACATTATCTGTAAAGGATCAAATAATGAATATTTTTAGCTTTGTAGGCCATGCAGTCTCTGTAGCAACCACTCAACTTCTGCCATTATAACTTGAAAGCAGTTACAGACACTATTTAAATGAAAGGGTGTGGCTGTGTTTCCATAAAACTTTAGAAAAGCAGGCAGGAGGCCTGATTTGGCCCACAGGTCGTAATTTGCTAAGTGATAGAGGCTGGGGTCACTTTTCCTTCACGTTCTAAAATTTGGCCTCCCCACATCACTGTGACAACCTTCACCAAGGTAATAAAGAGCTGGAGCTACTGTATCTTTTTCTCCTGGGCCACTGACATCCTCATGGATAGCATTCCTAATTAGATACCACTAAACAAACACTGATTCTGGATACTCAGAATCCATAGGCATCCCGCTTCCACATTTTATATTTTATATTAAAAAACCAAAGTGTCATAAACCTTAGAGGGCAAACAGAGGCAAAGTAAAACTTCCATCATGGTCTATCAGTACTCACAACTTCCATCATGGTCTATCAGTACTCACAAAGACTCTCTTTTCAGGAAATATCTCAGGCCCACTCCTTGACATAAGGAAAACTATAGAATATGCCATTCTAAAAGCTTTTGAACATAGGAACCAAGGCTCTAGGTTTTGGTGAAAGTATTAATTAGAGTAAGAGGCTCTAGCCAGGGGTGAGAGGGAGCACAAATACAGAAACAAGGTCTTCCCTTTGCTATAGCGATCCGGTGCAGTTACCCCAATTGAGGTTCAGGTTCGACATTCTCCTTTAAGTCCCTTTTTTATTTAAAAAAAAAAAAAAAAAGTCAGCAAGTAGTAAACAATCTGAAAAATCCCATAAGAGAGTTCATGGAGTTTTCAGATGAGGAAACTGGGCAAGCCATGAAACTTGTATTCAAATGCCAGAACTGTGGGCCCTGATGATTTTGAAGTAGATTTGGTTCAAACTTTCAGGGCCTGGATAATTCCAAGTCAAAAACTCAGAAGTTTGAATATAAAAACATGAAAAGTTATGCAATTAATTTCAGAAAGCTTCAACAGAATCAGAATCTCCAGAGGTAAGCTCTGGGACTCTATATTCCCCCATAATTCTGATGCAGCATGTCTTGGAGCTAGCATTTGAGAACCACTGAATTCAAGAGTTAAATATAAAAATCAACCAAAGACAATGATTAGTTAATTAGCAACAATCGTATGGGAGGGGGTTTCTGGAAGCATTTTCGCACATAACCAGTGAGAGTGTAAATCACGATAATTCGTCTGGAAAGCAATTTGGCAAATGTATCAAGGACTTTAAAAATGTTTATAGATGTTGATACCTGCGGAGGAGGGAGGGCTACCCGGCTGCTGCTGGGAGCAGGGGTTTAGAGGAGGAGACGCTAGGCTAAGCTCAGGCCGCTGAGGAAGGGGCGCCTCCCAGCTGTTGCCGGTGTGACCGACCGGCCCCAGGAGGATGCTTCTGGAAGTGCGGAAAGAAGTTGGAGGCTGCCACCAGCCGCTGCAGCCAGAGTGAAGCGCCCCTGCATCCTGACGAAGCAGCAAGCCAATCGAGATGAACCCCTCTCTCCCGTCCAGTTGTCCCTCTCCAGTGCCCCCTGCTGGCAAAACACAACAGGAAGCAAGAGAGCAAAGGAGTTTTCAGCACAGCAGAAAGCGATGAATTTGGAGCTGCCCGATAATCGCCGAAAAACTGACAGCACCTGAAATCTCTTTATAAAATTCCCCTCACGTGTACAAAACATGCAGGATATTTCAAAAACCAGAGTCTTGATTGCCCAAATCTTAAAGGAAAGAACTAAAAAACTAGCGTTAGAGGTTCCTTTCAGAGTGATTTCTGGAAGCCAGCAGGATTTCACTTCATTAATATAATTATTTTATTACTTGGACTAATCAACATTTTGTCATCGGGCTGGCTTGGGAGTTTTGAGGACAAAGATGTCGCTTTCCCATAGTTTTATTTCTCCTCATTTTTCTATACAAAGTGCATGATATAGTATTACTTCTACAAAACAGCAATTCTTATCACCAGTTGTAAGAATTTAAAACTAAGAGCGTCTCCATTATAAAATATCTATAATGTAAACTGACATAAACCAAGAAAACCTCAGGCAGCTCTCAGATATGGTTACAAACCGAAAGAATAGGGTGATGTTGACACCATCCTGTTATGATCAGCTGGTTTGCACTGAGCCCAGAAGACAAAGGGTACACACAATTTGTTGAGAAGAACATTTATTATGACGGCAGGCTTCTTGTGTGCTAATTCACTTTTGACGGGGTTGTGTAAAAATCTAAGAGCACTTAGCTACTTACTACTTAAGCAACAAGAGTAATGTTCTGTTTACAGAGGGAAAGTTGTTTGAACTTGACCATGATCATACCATGGTATGTTTACCATACCATGTCTTGGCACGGTAAAATACAAGATTTTAAACTTGACTTCTCCATTGAGAAAATCAAAACAAAACAAAAGAACTGGTTTGCCTTATTGAATAATGAATCTGAGACTTCTCAGAAATGATCTAATGTGATATGTTTGTCCATTTGGAGAACATTTCAAAGAGATTTCAAGTTTCCATCTAGCTTTTCTTTTATTTTAGCTTCTTGTGTTATAAATTTGTCCCATAAGACAACGACTCTGAAACTTACCATCAAGGAAATCTTATAAAGCCAGGTTCCTGTCTGGTGGGATAAATTTAGACTCTAGAAAATGCAAAAAAGTATGTGTCCCACCATCCAGAATTCTGGGTGTGTGACCTAGAGAAAGACTGGCATTTGAATACAAGGAATTATATACAAGTGCTATTTATTTCAGCACTATGTATGAGTAAAAGGGGAATTTGGAAGCAATCTGAATATTCAACAATGGTAAAGGAATTAATACAGGCTATTACATCCATGTGATAGACTGTCATACAGCAGTTGAAAGTATTAAGCTAAACATGTATATAAGTAAAACACATATTTACATATTTATGCATATGTTATACATGTATGTATATATACATATGGATGTATGTCATATATATATGTATGTCAAAACTATGATGAGTAAAAGAGCAAAAAGTTTCATTGTACAATGTGAGTCCACACTATACCACACTCAGGCTATTTTTGCCTGTGGAAGAAAGGCAGGGGCTTGAGACCCAGGTAATGGTTAAAGGGAACTTTAGCCAAATATAATTTTTTTTTTGTCTTACAAATAGTGGTTGAAACAAATATTACAAAATAATAACAGTTTTTTTAACTTTATAGTGAAAATGTATTTTATATTCTCCTTTCTAGTTTTCTGCAAATTCTAAATTTCTTACCAACTGCCCCCCACCTGCCCCCACCAGACTTCATGCTAGCTACAGGATCCCAAAGATGTGTTGCTGTCTCCATCTACTTTCTTCCTTGTTATTTGAGCAGTAGCAAGGGTAGGTATATGTTCCCTTGAGCATCTGATGGCTTCTGAACATGCCAGGGTTTCAGTGATTTCAGCCAAGGCAACGAAGTTTAAACTGTTCCACAGAGAGGGAGTAAAACATTTGCACCACAAAAGGCACGTTGTGACATTAGCTATTGCTGTATAGCAAAGCATCCCAAAATTCAGTGGCTTAAAACAATAAGCATTTATTATTGATCAACAGTACATGGGTCACCTGGATGGGTCTGCTAACTTGGGCTAGACTTAGCTAATCTTGGCTGGCTTGTATATGCATCTGTTGAGAGCTGGCAGGTAGGCTGGGGGTTGGCCAGTCTAAGATTTTTTTTTTTCACATGTTGGCCAGTCGGCTGATTGTTGGCAGTGGTAATAAGAATAACAGGCCATGTGGCTCTTATCGTCTGCAGGTTAACTGGGATTTGTTCACATCTCAGCAAGTTTCCAAGGGAAAGAATGGAAGGGAGTGACTTCTGCCATATTGCCTTGGCTAAAGCAAGTTATAAGACCAGACTTTTCTTTGCCCTTTTCAAGAGCAAAGAAAATAGACCCCACTTCTTTATTAGAGGAACTTCAAACTCACATTTCACAGGTTAGGAAAGGGAGTAGTGGTGGTGGTGGTGTTAGGTGTGTAAAGATTTAGAAACATTTTTAAATCCATCTATCACACCATGGCTTCTTGTGGACCACCAAATTAACTAAGAGTCCCTGATTGGTTATATTTCACATGCTACAGAATATAAAAGACAAGATGAAATATCATATATCAGAAGAAAATCTTACTAGGTTTTCCCTCCAATAGAGTGTTTTCGGTTTTCAGACTTTGTTTTGTATACTGCCCAAGCACGTTTAAACAGCCTTTATCCTCTGACACTAATAGGTGTGTTTCTATGCAGCTCACAAATCATCTCACCCAAAATTATTTTCTGGATACTAATGGACGACTAATAGAGGCTGGTGACCTGAAATTGTCTCAAAAGTCACCTTTACAATAGTGAAGATTGAGCAGTAAATAGAGCCTGCAGGCTGGTGTAATTTACCTTGTGCCAAGCCATATCTCCAAAATGGCTTATTAAATCATCCCACTGAGAGTTGTAAATCTAAGTGGGAAAAGTACAAATCAATAGAAAAACATAGTCAAGCACTTTACTACCTATGATTTTCATGATCCTCTGGAAGGATGAAGATTGATGTTGCAAAGAAATTCCAAAACATGGAAGACTTGTAAAGATTAACTGGCTCTGGTTTGCTTTAGTCTTAACAATTCATTTTATTCTTGCTGTCACTAACCTCTGTGAATTAACCTTTTTTGCTTATATCACAGTATCAGTATATACTTATTCCTTATGCCCTATCTTGCTAAGCAGGAGAATCAGAAAGCCAAAAAGTTTGAAGATCTGTCAACCCCATATTTGCTTACAAAGGAAGCTGTATAAAGGCACAGGTTTTCTGACCTTCAGAGGAGGTATGAACTCAGAGGAATGACAAGAGGAACCTTGGCCTGTTTTAAGCAGTGATGCTTGAAAGAAGCCTCACTGGAGTATTGGAATAAGTAGCCTTTCAGCTCTCAAAAATGGGTTTTCATAGTGTATTTTCCTTGAGTTTTAGGCACAGCCAATTTTTAGAGACCCCTTTCTAAAAAGTGAGATATAATTCCCTGTTTTAATCTATTCTCACATTGCTATAAAGAAATACCTGAAACTGTAATTTATAAAGAAAAGAAGTTTATTTGGCTCATGGTTCTGTAGTCTGTACAGGAAGCATAACACCTTCTGTTTCTGGAGAGGCCTCAGGAAGCTTTCAATCATGGCAGAAGGCAAAGGGGGAGCAGGCTTCTTACATGGTAGGAGCAGGAGCAAGAGAGAGAGGTGGGAGGTGCTACACACTTTTAAACAACCAGATCTTACGATAACTCACTCACTATCACAAGATCAGCACCAGGAGAGTGGTTCTAAACCATTCATGAAGGATGACCCCCATGATCCAATTACCTCCCATCAGGCCCCGCCTCCAACATTGGGGATTACAGTTCAACATGAGATTAGGCAAGGACACAAATCCAAACCATATCATTCACATACCATAAAATTTACCCTTTAAATGCTGACAATTCGGTGGTTTTTAGTATATTCAGAGTGGTATAATGATCACTACTGATTCCAAAAATATCCATCACCCCCCAAAAAAAGCTCATATCTATTAGCAGTTAGTCTCAATTCCCTCCTCTCCCTATCCTCTGACAACCACTAATCTACTTTCTAGCCCCATGGATTTGCCTATTCTGAACATTTCATGTAAGTGGAATCATACAATATGAGGCCCTTGTTTCTGGCTTCTCTGGGATCCTTTTTGATGAATGAAAGAGCACATGAACCTGATGTTCCTGACTCTCAGAGTGTCCTTGCTCTTTCTCTGCCTGCCTGGAGGCCTGTTTCAGCCTGGCAACCCATTTCCACAGAAGCTCAAAAGCACAAATCCAGCTCCTCAAGCATTAAGCGAATGTCTGACATTTGAGCAGCAATGAAGGGCAGGCTCACAAAGCACATCACCCAGCAAAAATGCCCCTGCCCCGTTTTCAATACTTCTCTTTTTTCTGAAACAAATCCTTCTTTACTTTTCTTTTCCTTTCCTCCTCAGAAATCTCTGCCACCCCCTTGAGCCACAGCTTAACCTCCTCCCCAGATGCTTCTCCAAACTCTTCCTTTTGGTATCTCACTTAACAGCCAGAAGCACGGGCTCATCGTGGGCGAGACCACACCACACCTTGCCCCCCAAGGGCCTCCTGGGGGCACTCCATTTGTCTCATCACACACACATTCCAGAACAGGACCCCCTTCAGGTTTTGTGGGGCCTCAAGTTTCTGTAATCGTGGTGGCCCTCTTTGAGAAATAAAGCACACAATTATGCCTACAAAACTGAGGGCTTGGAATAGGTGCACACAAGCAAATGAGGAGCCCTGAAGTTTCAGCTTCACCAGCTCCACGGTCATTCTACCTCTGCTCCAAAGCCAACACCATGGATTGTTGGAACATCTGAGTAATGCAAATGTTTCCTGGCCTCACAGGCCAGGACTCTGTGATAGGCAGAATAACAGCCACCAAAAACACCCACATCCAAATCCCCAGGATCTGTGAATATGTTACCTCACATGGCAAAAAGAACTTTGCAGATGTGATTAAGACTAAGGACCTAGAGATGAGGACATTATCTGCATGGGCCCAATTTAATCATAGGAGTCTTCATCAGCAGAGATGCTTTCCTGGCTGTGGTCAGAGAATCAAAGAAATGGCAGCGTGAGAAGGACTCAGCCAAAACTTGCTGGCTTTGAAGATGGAGAAAGAAGCTACTAGCCAAGGAATGCAGGAAGCCTCGAGAAGCTTGAAATGGCAAGGAAACATAGTCTCCCCTAGGGCCTCCAGAAGAAACACAGCCCTCTGACACTTTGATCTTCACCTAATGAGACCTGTATTATATTTCTGATGCCCAGAACTGTATGCTAATAAATGTGTGTTGTCTCAAGTCACTAAATTTGTGATTATCTGTTACAGCAGCAGTAGAAAATTAATATGGACTCCAAAGTGTTGAAAGTGTTGTAATCTGAGCATAAGTGAAAAAGACGCTTATCTTCCTACAAACCTGCCCTAACAGGAACCAAACCCTTAAAACAGGTCCCTCTGTTTATCTGGGAGTCATCACAAACCAGTTGGCTAGCTGTGGTCACCATGCAGTCTGCCAAGTTCTTCCTCCCTAACTGCCTTAGGAGATCCTTGGAAGAGGAGGAGGAGGTGAGGGAGCAGAAAGGGAGTAAGTAGGAGGATAGTGAAGAGCTGATTTGAAAGCTCCCTGAAAGAGACTTGCCTCCCTCCACATGATGATAGGGCCGTGGCGAGAGTATCAGTGCTGCATGCACCTTGGGCTACCTCCAGATGGCCCCAAGCTTTAGTTCTCATGGAGTCAGAGAAGTGTGAAGCTTGTGTCCCCTCTGTCATCTGGGCCCCAGACAGCTCTGTTCAAGTCTACAAGTACTCTTGTGAGGTCTCCCCAGCATCTGGCCTTCTGCCTTTGCCCAGAGGTGCAGGAAGTCCCTTAGGAAACAATTGCTTGGTTTTAGGCCCTCAGGCTTCTATTGCTAGGGACTCGAGCCCTTCATGGCAGCAGACAGCTCCTCCTCTCCATCCTCCTCCTCCCTCTCTTCTGCACTGGCCTCCCCAAAAGCCCCTCCTCCCAAAAACCAGCTGGAAATGATCTCCTGCATTTCAACACATGAGCAAGCCCATGAGGTGGCTGTCCAGGCCAGCAGCCTTTGGGCCCTGCTTGGTCAACCAAAAGGCTTTGGAAACTGGAGGAGGGCACAGCAGAGAGAATTAATTCTTACTCCCTGCCACATTTAGACTCCCATATGAGTACATAGCTTTTTTGTCTTTTTCATGCTTTTTGCTGTGGACAGGTCTCCTTGCCGCAAGCCAAGTAAAGAATCTGCCACAGAGTTATACAGCAGCAAGCCCAGACATGATATAGAAACTCAGCCCTCAAGACCTAGTGTTAAGGGCCACCTGCACCTGGGTGTGCTTTCTTCTGTCCCATTGGGGTCCATGGTGTTGAATACACCACACTTGAGAGGCCACCAGAGTTTGAAGGCTGTTGTGACTGGCGTGTTTTGAAGCTAGTGCTTGGAAAGGTGGCCAGGAACACACTGAAGGGTCCCTGAGAGCCCAAAGTGCTGGAAGAGACTCTGGCTCTTGACTTGGTTTTTTGGGGAATAAAGTCTAAGTCCAAAGTTGTTTGTAATCAGCACTTTAAAGATATTTGTCAGCCCTGTCTTTTGCATCTGGGGTTGCTGATAAGAAATCCCATGTTCTGGCCTAGCACGGTGGCTCACACCTGTAATCTCAGCATGTTGGGAGGCCAAGGCAGGCGGATCACTTGAGGTCAGGAGTTCGAGACCAGCCTGGCCAACATGGTGAAACCCCCATCTCTACTAAAATACAAAAATTAGCCAGGCATGGTGGCAGGCCTGTAATACCAGCTACTCGGGAAGCTGAGGCAGGAAAATCACTTGAACTCAGTTCGAGGCCAACCTGGACAACATAGCAAGCCCTCATCTCCACAAAAAATTTTAAAAAGAAATTAGCCTGATGTTGTGGTGCACAGGTGTAGTCCCAGCTACTCAGGAGGCTGAGGTGGGAGGATCACTTGAGCTGGGGAGATGATGGCTGCAGTGTCACGCCACGGCTCTCCAGCCTGGGTGACAGAGCAAGACTGTCAGAAAGAAAGAGAGAGAGAGACAGAGGGGAAGGAAGGAAGGAGGGAAGGAAGGAAGGAAGGAAGAAGGAAGGAAGGAGGGAAGGAAAGAAGGAAAGAAGAAATCCCATGTTCTACTCAGTCCATACTATCTTCCCCGGTGACCTTAGCCAATCTCAGAATTTACCACCTATGTTCTGGTGACTTCACAGACTATATTTCCCACCCAGTTCTTCCTCCTGAGGTACAACTTCCATCTCATATAAGTCTCAAAACATTCTGTCTCCTCTCCTCATCCCAATTTCAATAATTTTGTGGAGGCCACTATCTCCCAACTGTCCTACTTTCCTCTCACCTCTTTTTTTTTTTTTTTTTTTTTTTTTGAGATAGGGTCTTACTCAGTCACCCAGGCTGAAGTGCAGTGGCATGATTATAGCTCACTGCAGCCTTCATCTCCCCAGCTCAAGCAATCCTCCCACCTCAGCCTCCTGAGTAGCTGGGACTACAGGTGTACACCACTACGCCAGGCTAATTATTATTATTTGTGTGTGTGTGTGTGTGTGTGTAGAGATGAGGGCTTGCTATGTTGCCCAGGCTGGTCTCGAACTCCTGAGCTCAAGTGATCCTCCCACTTTGGCCTCCCAAAGTGCTGGGATTACAGGCTCATGAACCACCTAGACCAGCCTTCCTCTCACCTCTTTCTAATCCATCCTCCACAGTGCAGCTGAGTGAGACTCAGAAAATAAAAACTTAATGATGCCAACTATTGCCATTGGCAATCATTGCCTCCAGGATAACATGCAGACCCTTAACACGGTCTATATGGCCCCATATGATCTGACCCTCAGCTCCTGACCCTTTACCTCTCTGACCTCCTCACTCTGCTCCAGCCACACCAGCCTCCTTGCTTTTCCTCCAGCAATGCCAAGAACACTCCTGCCTCAGGGTCTTGGCCCTGGCTGTTCCCTCTGCCTGAATGCTCCTCCTCCAGCTATCTGCATGTCACACTCCCTTAAACTCAGGTTTTTGCTCAGATGTCACCTTATCAGTGAGTGAGGCATCTCCCTAGAACTATAATCACTTTACCTAAGTACTAATTAACTTTTACCTTGGAAATCAGGTTAATTAATAAATTCAGTGACATTCAGAATAGATGATAACTGTTAACATCAGTGAGACTAATAAAAAGTGAAATAGTTTAATGATAAAAATACAAGATTCCACTATTGTGTCAATTTAGATAGATTGTGTTAATCCATAGAAATCAGTCACTATGAGCACACTAGTACCTTGAAATTACTTCCTCGTAGTGACTTGAGTTACTTCTGCTAAGCTAGAGATCTATTTCCCAGTATTCTCTGAATGCAGCTATGATCACTGTGTCCATTTAGCACATATTCTATTTTACAGTTCTCATTACAACCCCATGCAACAAAGGATTTGGATGCCAAAACTAAGATATTTTGTTAAATCCTCTAGGAAGCCAAACATCTCTAAAACTCTTGAAAGTGTGGTCAGTGAAAGATGTTGTCATTGAATCTTGGATGAACTTAATAGATTTCTTCTTTTGCAATCAGCCCTCATATTTCAGAATTACAAAAAATAAATCCAGTTTAGATCTAGCTACCTAAACGATAAAGCCTTAAACTAACAACTGCCTCTTCCTTTAATACCAGAATCAAGCAAATGGCCAAGCAGATGGCAGTTTAAAACAGTAAGAATCCTGGGAACACGTGGGAAGGGTGAAGAAGATGGAGAAAGTGGAGAGACTGCAGAAAAATGATTCCAAATGTTTCCCTACTTCTTTCCTCTACCCTCTGACCCATAAAGCTTGCCTATTGTCTTGCCTTGGCTTGGAAAAAGTTGCAGTGAAATAGCTTTAGAATCAAAACAGATCTGTTTGAATTCTCTCTTGCTTCTAACTAATCTGAATTCTAATTCCTTGATTTATGTAAGACATAATACCTTCCTTATGTAGCTATCCTGAGAACAAAAGGAAGAACATAAAGTATTGCAGAAAGGACTGACTATGTCTGAATCCTGCTTCCTACCCGATTTCGTACATCCTATCCCCTCAAACAATATCTCAGAACCTGCCTGCTCAGTGTGCAGACTGAGGGCCAGCAGCCTCAGCATGACTGGGAGCTCACTAGCAGTTCAGGCCGGCTGACTCAGAACCCACATTCTAGCAAGACTGCCCATCAAAGCAGGAGAAGCATCATCCTGTAGGAAAGGTCTCCTGATTTCCAGCAACCCAACTGTTCAACTACATGTGAACTCTTGCTTATTCACCCATTTCTAGTAATTGCATTCCTCACTGTGTGATGAAAGATCTAACACATGTATTTTCCACGTATGATGCATGTTGGCAACATGTCCATTCTGGATATGATGTGGGATAGCCTCCCAGTTGCTGTGCCTGTCACCATGCAAAGGGAGTGGTGCTGGCTAGGTACATCCCAGGCCCTGAGACAATTTGCTGGGGACTTGTATTCTGCTCATTGGTTAGATATCCCATAATTTACACCGGAGGGAAGGCTGAAGGCAAGAAATAGCCATCGATAAACTCATGTTGAGTTTAGAAGGTGGATTCCAGAGAAGCACTTGGTCTTTTGACCAGAATAACATAAAAACAAATACACACTAAAGTCATCCAGTTCAAAAGATTTAACTAGTTTATTGAGGAGTTTCTTGCTTCTTTGGAGTATAAACATGATTTCCAAGTTATTGCTTTCAACTTAATCTATTGAAACCCCTTTACCCAAGTGTATATCAAGTTCCTTAACACCATCTTGGCCAGATTTCATAACTGATGAAAACATTCAATGATCAAACCCTCTGCACTGAAAACCAGTTAATAGAAGCATACTTTATTTTTGGGACAATGGAAGGGTTAATTTTGGAAAATGCTGACCTTTATGGGTTACATTACACTTTTGTATATTATGAACTGATTAAAGTAACACACTTCCTTAATACCAAACTTGATTTAGTAAAAATGATGGTCAGTGCCTGTAAAAATTATCTTAACTGTATTCCAACAAGGACCATGCCTTATTTCTTCCCGTTTCCAATACCTAGTAGTTTCTGGCAGCAGAATAAGTAGTCAATAACTGCTCAGAAAAACTTAACTGTTGACAAGCCAAATCTTAAAGGGCAAAGGCTATTGAACTATCTTTTTAACTGCAAAACAGGGTCATTATACTTGTTCAAATTTTTGAGTTGACAATATCTAATGAGAGACAGCAACTTTTATAAATTGATAAGTTTTCTTTGGCTTCTTTAGTGTACGTCATACCCTGGAATGATTTATATATTCCATTTCTGCTCAGAAATGGTTTTTTTGTTCTCACAAGTTTTTGTCAAAGATCTAGTACAAGGGTCTGATACAGAAATTATTGAAATATTGTTTTCAACATGCCTTTAAATTACTACTAAAAGGAAAACATTGACAATGAATATAAGACTTAACAACTGTAAGGTTTGGCAGTTTAAGAAAGTAACAATTTAAAAATTAACAAAAGGAAGATAATTTGTAATTTGTATAAGGATTATATAGACATTTAAATATTTTTATCTGAGGAATATTTTGAATTATTAGTAATAAACAATAGAGGGTTAGATGTTTTGATGAAAAATTAGTACTTAAATCAACCAAAGCTGCACAGCATCAACTGTTTTTATTTCTTTTTTTGAGACGGAGTCTCGCTCTGTTGCCCAGGCTGGAGTGCAGTGGCGCCATCTCAGCTCACTGCAAGCTCCACCTCCTGGGTTCACACCATTCTCCTGCCTCAGCCTCCCGAGTAGCTGGGACTACAGGCGCCCGCCACCACGCCCGGCTAATTATTTTGTATTTTCAGTAAAGACGAGGTTTCACCATGTTAGCCAGGATGATCTCGATCTCCTGACCTCATGATCCGCCTGTCTCAGCCTCCCAAAGTGCTGGGATTACAGGCGTGAGCCACTGCGCCCGGCCACATCATCAACTTTTGAAGTTATATTTAAGAAATGCCTTCAGGGGAAGAAAATAATTGTTCATTATTAGAAAATGAATTAACTGTAAACTCAAGGTATGTGCCTATATAAATGTCTGTGCTCACTTCATTGGAGACATTTAAACAAGTTGAGTCTTACAAAGGAAAATCTTTTTCCTTTTCCTGGCCATAAGTAATTACTGATTCAGCTTTTTAAGCAATTCAGAGCACACTGCAGGTGCGCCAGATTCAAACAAGCATTGCATAAACCAAATGGAGATAAAAGCTACCAGGAACCTGAGTACTACTCCGGATGAGACACCAAAACCCACGTCTAACTTAGCAACTAAGTGCACAGTATTAATTCTCATTGGTCAGTGTATGCATAAGTCACTTTGATGAAACCATCTACAGATTTTTAAAAAATCTTTGTGGCCCTTGTTCACAACCAGTGATCTTTGGAAGTTAAGGTCTGCTGAGTTGAGTTACAAGGCAGGTGCTATATTCAATGCTGGTATGGTACTGATACCATTTCTACGAAGTTAGAACTTTCTAAAACATCTGAAGATAGGGGAGGCATGTGCGACTAAAATAAGGATTAGAGGAGTGACTGCAGAGACTGTCAGTTGGTAATGAGGGAGGAGGAGGATAAGCTGGTGTTAGCCCCAGATGAGACCACAATGCAGCAACAAGACAGCACAGAACTGCAGGAACTTCTAGGAACCACTGTCTGGTCCTGCTGCCAAGTGAGGCAAAACCAAAGAGGGATTTAACAAAAAAAGGCACAAAGGAAAAACAAAATGAAACCTAAAGTTATGAGTCAAAAGGTTACCCCACTGTTACCCTGCATTAAAGAGGACAAGGCCAGAGTGAAAACTCTCTCTCCTGGTTCTTTCAAACAAGACAGGCTTTATTTAGATCACCAAAAATAACATTTTACAGAAAGGGAACCATAACATTACACAACAAAGTATAGCTGTAAAATCTCAAATAAGAAAGGCAATGCTTTCTTTAGATCACCAAAAATAATGTTTCACAGAGAGGGAACCGTTAGAAGCAAATGCATAGCTGCAAATTTTCTTTTGCCATCAATATCGATTCCCTCTAAAATACTTTGAGACTACTTTGTGGTTTCCGAGTACAAACTAAACCTTTTTGGACAGAGTTGCTCGGCTTCATCAAAAAAATAAAACCAATTTGCAAAAAAAAATTTGTTTAATGCTAACAAATAAAGAGACAATGTGGTTCTTGCTAACTAACTGCAATGTCTACTGAAATGGCCTAACCTATTCCACGAATATTTCACTGTGAACATAGTTGCTTTTTCCTTGCCATCACAGATGGCCTGCAAAGTAACAAGTGTCGTGTCAGAGCACTTTCAGGCACCCAGGGAATCATTCCTAACAGAATAACTGCAGTATGTGGGCAACTCAAACAACAGAGCCCCAAGGTGGGCATTGTGTTTGCGCTGTGGGTAAAGACCCACCACCTTGTTAGTTATTCACCTGGAACCCAGAGCGCCAAACTAGACAGAGCAGTTGCTCTTACAGAACCAACAACATTTTAATAAATTGCCCGGGGGTTCTTGGTGCTGTAATGTGCCTCACAGGCAGCGACATAAGCCGACTCTGGGAAGAAGTCATCGTGGTATTCTGCTAAAAACCTGGAAAAAAAAAATAGCCCCAATGAGCACCATACTAAGGACTAAATACCATCAAGCAAAATATTGACTTTCAACCTACTAACATTTCAACTGTTTTTTGGTATTAGGAAGAAAAAAATGACTATAATTTTGATCTCTCTATACTGATTATTTTCACTGCACTTATCCAGCTTCTATGTGAATTACTACTTATCTGAATGCCTTCACCATCATCAGGTGTACAAATGGAAACAGAACCTACACTCCACTAGGTGGCAGTCTGGTTATATAAACACTTCTGTTGGGGGCGGAAAAAAAAAAGCCCATGAATGTTTCTACATTTTTCTGTTGTTCAAACAAACTATTAAAAACAACAGATTATAGGCTGGGCACTGTGGTTCACGCCTGTAATCCCAGCACTTTGGGAGGCCGAGGCAGGTGGTCACGAGGTCAGGAGATCGAGAACATCCTGGCTAACACAGTGAAACCCCGTCTCTACTAAAAACACAAAAAATTAGCTGGGCGTGGTGGCGGGTGCCTGTAGTCCCAGCTACTCGGGAGGCTGAGGCAGGAGAATGGCATGAACCTGGGAGGCAGAGCTTGCAGTGAGCCGAGATCACGCCACTGCACTCCAGCCCAGGCGACAGAGCAAGACTCCGTCTCAAAAATAAATAAATAAACAAAATAAAAAATAAAAAACGATTATAAACAATAAATCTCACTTCAGAAATGTACATCATTTATATGAGCAAAGTCATACAAAAATTGAACAGAACAACTAGTAATGGCATTTGGTGTCCTAATTTGCCATGCCAAAACATGTTACAGTTCTAGCTAACAGTACCAAGACACAGGAAAGACTCATATGTATGAAGACGGATGTTAAAAATGTGCTGGTCATTCAAGAATCTTCAATATACATATGATATCTTGACTCAAACTTCAACTGATTTTGCCATGGAGGGCTAAGACATTCTCACATGTGCAATATTCACTAATAAGCACATTTGCCTTATGCTTGCTTCCCAGTGACTCCCACCTGCCCAAATTCCTAAAAATGTGCAAACCTTCTTCAGTATAAATTGAGTCAAAACTCATTGGATAGCTAACTCTTTTTCTTCTATGAGTGTACTCTTTTTATGATCATTATTGAGTCCATTGATTCTGGTTGATATCTTCGAATACGTTTTTAAAACCTCTTACTAGGTTTATTAGTAAGTCCTCCTAAGTTACTTCCTAAAATTCTAATTTCTATTTTGTATTAGGCATGCATCAAAATTAGCAGGATTTCCTATGCTATCCTGCAACTGACTCTTCATATTTTCTTGGCACTATTTGATTTCAGTTTACAAAATTTTATGCCAAACAGAGTTGTGGGTTTTGTTGAGGAAGAGGCTGGGAGGGAAGAGGGTCTTTTGGAAACTTGTTTCCAAGAAAATGTTGTGAAGTCTAATTCCACTCATGGACACTTTATTCAAAATGCCTACATGAAAGGATCTCTTAAAACCACAAGACGATTTCCCTGGCTGGGATACTCTCCACTCTGTGGTAAATCCTACTTGATAAGTCAGGGTGGGGCCTGGATACAAGGAAGAGATACTCCTTAAAGAGAAGGAAGAAACAAAGTCAGGTAGCTAGGATGAGCTGGGTGAGGCAGGGGGACAACTAGCCTTGAAGGCCAAGGAGAGAAAGTGGTCCATAGACATCATCTGGAAGGGAGAGGACACAGCAGAGCCTCAGATCAAATGATCCTATTAGATAAAAAAATGACTGGCTTTGTCAGCTGCAGGAAACAATACCTTGGTCTGAATTCATACATGACAACACAGACAAGGGGTCTTTTCTCTTAATTCTAAAGTAAACACCGAAATCCAACCTATAAATGCTACTATTTAAGTTAGTTTATGTACATGCAACAAAGGAAAGTCCACTACTTGAGGTACTGTTGAATAAAAAAATGTAAAACTAAATTATCATCAATCTCAATCACTTCTACTTTAGAAAATTTATTTTCTATTTATAAGGTTTTTTTAAATTAAATTCTTCTAGTGAGACAAAAAAACTTCACCTCTGTACAATGAATGCCCCTAACTCAGAAACCAGAGAAATTATGGAAAAAAGAAATACCAAAAAAACCCACTCCTAATTCCCATTACGGTTAGAACCAACCATGCTTAGGTAATACTTCTACTATTTAAAATATCACAGAGCTGACTTCCCCATGTGCTAAAGAGAAGTTCAGAAAAGCCACATATATGGCAACAGGTGTAAGTTTTGACAAAATAATAAAAATACCTCAAAAAGAGATCAAAGTGCTTCAATAAAGCCTTCAGATTCTTCTCAGAAAAGGACATCTTTCCAAGGATTTCTGGAAGTTTCACTGCATTAAAAATAAAGGCAAAACCATTTACAATTAGCAGAATCTGACAATGCATAGGATTCACTCAGGGAAGGTCTGGGCCCCTCCTTATCTCTACTGGAACTGAAATTAACATCCACATTATCAAACAAATCCCCAAACTCTTACTGAACAAAGACAGAGTAGCAGTACAAATATTACAAACATAATTTTTATGAAATTTAAGATTCATTCAATGCCTTTTCTTTGATAGATTACTTTTAATTTTTCTTGGATCCCCAAATTTCTTAGTTAGATAATTATAGCCCAAACCACAAGGTGTACAGAAAGCTAACAAGAGAATACAAAATGAAAAATGGAAAGAAGGCAGGAACCAGGATTCTTACCAAACAATCGCAGCAAATGTTGTGCCCCATAAATGTAAGAGGGTGGAGGCGGCTGGTCACCTGGGGGGTAATTGTCAGGCACAAGCTTCCAGGAGAGGACCTGGAAAAAGCACGAATTGAATGCTTTTGTTATTCTTAATGGAGACACTTCCAACCACCTAACAATTATGACAGTAAATTGTACGTAGAGGGGAAAAAATAAGTGATTGGATCAAAATAAACACAAGCTTACAAAAAACAAAGATGAAAGGCAAAAACACTTAAAATAGATCAAGAAAGTCTTTAATTTCTTAACTCGCAACAGTTATTCTCTATAAATAACTGTAACTGTTTAGGTTCTTTAGTCCTTTCTCTTTATTGAAAATTCTGCTGCATGGCCAGGCGCGGTGGCTCACACCTGTAATCCCAGCACTTTGGGAGGCCGAGGTGTGTGGATCAACTGCGGTCGGGAGCTTGAGACCAGCCTGGCCAACATGTTGAAACCCCATCTCTACTAAAAATACAAAAAATTAGCCAGGTGTGGTGGTGGACGCCTGTAATCCCAGCTACTTGGGAGGCTGAGGCAGGAGAATCACCTGAACCAAGGAGGCAGAGGTTACAGTGAACCAAGGTTGTGCCACTGCACTCCAGCCTGGGCAACAAGAGTGAAACTCTGGCCCCCTTCCCCTCCACCCAGAAAAAAGAAAATCCTGCTGCACTAGAGAGAGAATGAAGCATTAAAAAGTAATCCATAGATGTTCTGAATAATATTACTGTTGTTTCAAGATTCCTTAATTTCTTGCTGTTAGATTCATTATGGAAACGAATTTGAATCTTTTAACCCCTTGAATCAACTGAAATAGACTTCAAACCTGATAACTGATTTGTCTTCATTCTGAATTTCAGAACTGTGGGTGGACCTGGGGCTTTTGTTAAAGGGAGAGTTGCATTTCAAAACTCTCTGATGAATTTCCGTAAAAGTACTTCAGCAAATTATAGAACCAGAGCCTACTCTACTGAGCTGCTACTTTGGCTTTTGGGACGTCATATTCAATATGGAAACAGTCAGACTGGAGGAAGTCCACCAGCAGACAAAGCAGAAAGAAAGATGCCCCCACAAACTCAGAAACACTGATATAGTCAGTTTAACAACATGGAACTGCCAGAAGCTAATAAGCACCAAGGTGGCCCTGAAGGATCCAGAACAAAGGCCTAGCTTCACTTTGGCCCCTGCCTAGACAGGCCTAGACTCTCGCCTAGGTCTCCACCCCCAGCGCCCCACTTCTGCACTGTGGAGCACTGAGGGAAGGGATCGTTCCAGCATCTTTACAGCATCCCCAGCACCTGCCCAGTGCACACAGCTGAAGCTTTGGAACCATTCTGAAAGTGACTCAAAGGAAACATACAGGACTTTGCAATCTCAGAGGCATGAACAGCACTTGGCACGTACAAAAGCAGGTCATCTGGCTCTATCTCACTCACTCAATTCTGTGTTTCAAGGCAGTTTATAATCTTCTATTTATGAAGACACATTTTCCGGGGAAAAATGGTAGGTTTCTAGTCGGGGGATTCCCAGTGGGGTATGCATGGGAATCATTGATGGACCTTTACTGGCATGTGCTGGCCCAGACCAGCCCCTAGTACTGTGGAGCAGCGATTGGAACTGAGAGAAAGAGCCCTGGTCAAAAAACACGGTGGTAGACGTACGTAAGAAGGTGGGAATCCACGAAGGTCTCATGAGTCCTTGTGAGAGCCGCCTGAACCCCAACCATTTCCCAGAAAGCACTTTCAAACTATAAGTTGCAGCTGTACCTATAACCACTAGATGGCGCATTCGCACTGCAGACCGGAGTGGGAATAGCCCTTACTTGACAACTCAGATGCCCCTTAAATTCACGATTTCCCCTCAATAATAAAATTCGTAGTGCATTCTTATCTGAAAAATGGGCATGTCAGGGACTGCTTGAACTAGGGATTTCCTAACCTACCCTCAACAATCATCATAACACAAATTAGGCTTTCTAGATTCTCTATGGGGTCAGCCAACTGTAGCCCCTAGGCCAAATCCAGCCCCATGCTCATATGTTCAAAATGGTTGGGGAAAAAAAATCATACGAATAATATTTTGTGATATGTGAAAATCACATGACATTAAATTCTCAGTGTCCATGAATGAATTAAGGGGGCAGCACACAGAGCCACACCCCTTTGTTTATGGCAGAGCCACGTCCCTTTGTTTAGGGCTTTCCTGCTGGAACAGCAGAGTTGAGCAGTCTCTCAAGAGACCTTAGGGTACACACTACTGAAGACAGTTATCGTCTGGAAGAAAGTTTTGTGACTTCTCTTCCCATCATCAAGTGCTCTTTGCCTAGGCTGGGCACAGTGGCTCATGCCTGTAACCCCAGCACTTTGGGAGGCAGAGGCGGGAGGATCACTTGAGCTCAGGAGTTGGTGACCAGGCTGGGCAACATGGCAAAACTTAGTCTCTACAAAAAAATGCAAAAATTAGCCAGGCCATGGTGGCATGAGCCTGTAGTTCCAGCTACTCAGGAGGCTGAGGTGGGAGGATCGCCTGAGCCCAGGAGGCAGAGGCTGCAGTGAGCTAACATCCTGCCACTGCACTGCAGCCTGGGTGACAGCATGAGAGTGAGACCCTGTGTCAAAAAAAGAAAAAAATGTTCTTTGCCTAGCAAAGCCATTTTCCCTTGTGCAACTCCTACTCACCTTAAAAAAAGAGGAAATCTCACCTCCTAGGAGACGTTCACAGAATATGCTGATAAACTGAGACGTCTTCAGAATCCCTGACAAACTCACCACCTACAGATCACCTAATGGGCCTTAAAAATAGTTTTAAAATGAAAAGTTTTCCCATCTATCAAGTGGAAATCTGGTGGCAAGGCTGATCTCGAGAATTCAAAGTATTTGGTTCAAGTGTCTGGCACAGTGGTGGCCTAGAGCCCATCCCTGAAGGGACGGCTATTGGTATTACTGTTAATGATGGAGGGGAATCAGGGATTTAAAGTAGGAGTCAGCAAACTACAGCCTGCTGGTCACATCCCGCCCAACTACTGCCTGTTTCTATATTGCCCACAAGCTAAGAGTGGATGTTATATTTTTAAATGATTGAAAAACAAAAAAAATTTTCAAACACATGAAAATTAAATGCTAGTCAAATTTCAGTGTCCATAAATCAAGTTTTATTGGAATATAGCACACTCATTTTATTTACATACTATCTGTGGCTACTTTTGGAGTTAAGTAGCCTTGACAGACACCATATGGCCCACAAAGCCGAAAGTATTTACCCTCTGGCCCTCTGTGGAAATTGACATCTGTTCTATAAAGTAAAAATACTGGTATTTCAATAATTGCACTTATTTAAAAGATGATTGTCAGTGTAGGGCTGGAATCCTAACAATTTTCTCACTTTAGAAACCAAAACCCACAGTGTTAAGCATAAAATTACGTACAATTTTGATAATGTTTACAGTAATAGCAGCAACATGATGCTTTAAGAACCTTGACTTCCACCTATAGAATTGAAGTAATCACAAATAAAGGAACCATTGGGAACAAACATCAAACATTCTTTACCTCGTTTATTTCATTAGTTCTTCTCCCTTCAAAGCCAGCAAACACAGCACTCCCTTCCTTGCTAGGAGTCAGAGGAATAGGTGAAGATGATCTGCTATGCACAGGTGTCTCTTCCAAAGAAAAAGATGAAATTATTCACACAGCAACTGAATTAAAGACTGCCTCAAGACTGTTAAAAACTGCAGAACATAAATCTAAACTTGGTTCTCAGAAATTACCAACCTTTAACGATAAGACTTTCCTAACAGATAGCACCTGAATTTTATTTGGTTAAAAAAATAAGGAATAAAGCACTGACATATGCTACAATGTGGATGAACCTTAAAAGACTATGCTTAGTGAATGGAGCCAATCACAAAGGGCCACATACTATGTTTCCATTTATATGAAATACCCAGGGTAGGCAAATCCAGAGAGACCGAAAGCAGCTTAGTGGTTGCCAGGAGCTTGCAGAAGGGGAAGTGGGGAGTGATTGCTACTGGGTATGGGGTTTCTCGTGGGGGGGTGCTGAAAATGTTCTGGAATTGACTGTGCAGATGGTCGCACAACTCTGTGAATACACTAAAAACTACTGGATTGAACTGTATATGTGGATGTGTCAATGAAGCTGTTAAGTGCCACTGAATTATTCACTTTACAATGGTTAATTTTATATGTGAATTTCACATCAATAAATACAAATAAAAAATAAAAAGTACAAAGAGAAACAGAAAAAGATAGCACTTTATTTTGTAGCACCTTTTTAAAAACAGTCTTTTTAAAAATTTTCCCAGCTGACCCTTTTCAATCTTCAATCAACCAATCCTTATTAACCACTTACATACAGATGATTCCATTTATATGAAATGCCCCAAACTGGCAAATCTATAGAGACAAATAGATTAGTGGTTGTCAGGGGACATAGGGAGAAGCAAATGAGTAACTGCTAGTCGATGTGGGGTTTCTTTTTTGGAGTGGTGAAAATGTCTGAAACTGATTTCAGTGATGGTTGCCCAACTCTTTAATTTTGCCCAACTAAAACTATTTTGTTAGTTATCTATCAGACAGGGTGGTCTCTTTGTGTCGCCCAGGCTCGACTGCAGTGGCCCAATGAGAGCTCACTGCAGTCTTAGACTCTGGGCCTCAAGCGATCCGCCAGCTTCAGCCACAGCCACAGCTGCAGCCTCCCAAGTAGCTGGGACTATAGGTGCACATCATCACACCTGGCTAACTTTTTCTTTAAGAGATGGGGTTTCACTATATTGCCCAGGCTGATCTTGAACTCCTGGCCTCAAGTGATCCTCCTGCCCCAGTCTCACAGGCATGAACCACTGTGTCTGGAGACACTAAAAACTTTAAATGTGTGAATTTTAAGGTATGTGGATTATATCTCAATCAAGCTGTTTTAAAAAAGCACCTGATTTTGTTTTAGCACTTGATTATTCAAAGGGCTTCTCTTAAAGGTATGCCTTCTTCAACTCTGCCCTTCTGAGCCTTCCCAATCTTCAAAGAATCAGCAAATACTTTCACGCACCTGGAACTATGCCACCAACACTGAGCTGTGATGGGGTGACACAATCAACAAGTCAGACCTTTCTCTCAGGAGCTTATGGATGTGGCAGGGACAGGATGTACACAAGGAAATGGGCACCTGAACACAGAATGGCACTGGGATGACTTTTGGGAGTTCCAACAGGATGATGCTTAGAAGGACCCCTGAAGGAGTCAGCACAGCAGGCGAGGCTGAGGGAAGAACAGGGCACAGGTCATACACAAGATACACCTACTGGGGCATGGGGATTCGACTCCAAGTAGTTTTACCCTGACGTTAGCTTTGGAGGTGTTTTTGATATTTATGAGGGGTGTCTTAGATTTCACAGCCTGCGAGCAGCTGAGCTCTGTGAAAGGAAGGCCACCAGGCTTCCATCTCTGGAGTTGGGTGCTTGGCGCCTGCTGGCGTAGCTCTGTTTCCACCTCCACACAGTGTGCCGGGGGACAGGCATGCAAGCTGCCTCCCCTGCTGCTGACTTCCTAACTCACTGAGCCCGCGAGGCACCAGGTGACATCGTCGGCCCTGCTGCCATCAACTTTCCATTTCACACATTTTTGGCAGTCAAGGGTGGAAGGATATAAGCACAGAGCACCCTGTATTTGTGAATGAGGTCTTCAATGTAAAGTGAATACTACTACTAAGAGGGCTTAATTAGCATAGGCTAAACAACCAGATTGTAATTAATTTGGGAAAAATGCCTGGTTAGTGTATAATAGCTAATGTTAGTTTCTACAGTAATTGTACCTGATTCATGGCACCTGTTTTAGCAGTTTTTGAAAGTTTAAAATGATTAATTAGCAGTGGTTTACTTCTAAGTTTTATATTACAGCAAATCAACCTGTGTGTATTTTGGAAAAAAAGAAAGTAAACTTTTGTCTAATTTATTTTGCTCATTGAAACATTCCAGCTCAAAATCAAGGTGAGAAGATCTGATGGAGTTTGAGTTGGGCTAAGAGGAGGTGAGAAGAGCTTATGGAAATCTGAGTATTCTTACTTTGATAATTCAGGACAGACCTTTCCAAATTAAACTTTAGAATGGAGAGACTACAGAGACAGAGTACAAAGAAAACAAAAAGCTAAACAACCCATTAGCATTGCTCATTTTGAATGCTTCATTAGGCCTAGCTACACAATACATAGAATTCTGATAACTCAATTTGCTCACAAGTGGTAGAGTGATGGCAAAAAAGAAAGGCTGAGGAAACAGCCCAGTCCTGCCTCCAACACAGCTGCGCTGCAATCTGCGCCAGGTGTTTCAACTTTCTACAGCTCCAGAAAGCAGGCAGCATGACAGCACTTTGGACATGGGAATCACACGCACTGTACACACACACATGTAACCTCAGCACCATGCCTGGCACTGACTAAACACAAAGTACACGCTGGCTCTCCCCGGCCTGGGGCACCCGAGAATGAACCTACTCTTTTCCAGGTGCAGGAAGAGCTTGGGCATGCTGGCGGATGTGTCCTGCTGCCGGCGCTTGGGCTGAGGTGAAGCGCTGCTCTCAGAAAGCCTGTCACAGTTGGCACTGTGGCGCGTGGACCGCCTCAGAGACTGCAATGCTTCTGGCTCAGCTTTGCGCCTTTTGGGGGTGGCTGGTTCACCGGTGGTCGGCTGACTCTCTGTGGACTGTGGCGTGGATGGATTCAACAAAGGCGGACTGGGAGAGAGTTCCTCCTGGCTCCTAGGGAAGATGGAGGATGTCACACATGGCTCAAAGGGCCTTTCCAGAACATGGAGTGCTTCTGAAGACACGAAATGCTCTCTCTACTCCAGGAGGGTCGTAAATATGTACCGAAGTCACTTGGACCCTCTCCATAACTCTGCAAGGCACGCTGGCATTAAAGATTGTGATGCCCCTGTTATATGTGTCTTAGAGCAGTGGGTCTCAAGTGGGAGCAATGTTGCCCTGACAGGGAACAGATGGCAATGTCTGGAGACAATTTTGGTTGCTGCAACTGAGGAAAGAGGTGTTATCCGCATCTAGTGGGTGAAGGCCACTAATTCTGCTAAACATCCTATATTGCACAGGCAGCCCCACAACAAAGAAAGATCTGATTCAAAACATCAATAGGGCCGAGGCTGAGAAACGCTGGTCTAGAGAACAAGAATACCCTACCACCTCGTTGAAACGTAACTACTGGCAGGACTAAGAAAAGCATTGGGGTTGCTGTGTGAAAACACACAACCCACCCCGGAGGAGTCTCAAGGTTTGAAGTAGGCCCTGGGGACTTTGACATAGGTCCCCAGTGAGTCCTGCAGGCCTCTCACCTGGGGTGAAACTGACATGGGGAAAGGGAAAGGAGAGAGAGAAGCTACCAAAGGAAGGATGGCTGAGAGGAGATGGCGGCCAGGCGGAAAGAGAAGCTGGGGAGCTGACAGCCATGAAGCAGAGGGAGAAAGGGAGGGCAGGGCAAGGTGGCCGAGAAAAAGGGCAGCACACTGCAAGTGGGAGGTTATCAGTTCACGTGCAGGCAAAGTTTTGCAGCACAGCAGTAGATGAAGGCAGATAATAAGTGGTTAACAGAGGAGACAGATGAGTGGAAATCATGAGAACAGACCACTCTCTCAGGAAGAGAGGGAAGAGGGAGCGAGCACAATACCTTATAGAGATTAAGGGAAAGACTTTAGGTTGCAGGATCCCCCTCCCTGCCCCCTCAAAAAAGAACAGAGCATGCTCGGTAACTGAGGGAGGAAAAGTGGTGACATCGCAGAGCAAGAAGAGAAGTAACTTTTACTGAAGGCCAAAGTTTGCAGGCCCTGTGTGAACATTCCCATTTAATACTACTAGCTAGGCCTGCCTTCCGTCCATCCCACACCTGCAAAAGAAGGAGGCTCCTAAGAAACCTCTGCAACTAACACAAACAGCCAGTGAGGGGACTCAATTCAAACCTGCCCCTTCCACCCTCCCCGGCCTGTGCTCTCTTCACCCCACCCACTACCGTCTTCCCCAAAATGGGAGAGCTGCTCATCATCCCACCTAAGTTCTCTATGCTGGGGTCTTCACTTGGTAAAATCTGCCAGAGCCATATGAAAGTGAATGATGACTTAGCTTACCCAGGAAAAAAGAAAACCACCAGGACACACACTTTTCATTTCCTTCCCTCCTCCAAACATGTTGGCCCACACCATCAGATTGAACTCTTCAAAACAAGGATCTGATCATTGTACTGCTGACATGTGAGGGTGAAAGTGCAGGCTATATAACTTACCTGTTAGTGCTTGTGGCACTTTCCTTAATTGGAAGAAAAAATTTAGACGAAGTCACCTTTTTATACTGAGCTTGTTCATATGGATAGAGTAAAACCAACGGGAGAGTGTAATCAAAGGTTATTCTTAATCCATCCACCATCTCCTTACAAAGGTCAACACTGGGAGGATTAAAAAGAAGAGATTAGAGACACAAGTAAGAGGTACTTTCCAAATGTTCACAATGAAGTTGCCGATTTTTAATAGGGCAGTTTTAAATCTAATCATTATATACTACACCTACATACACACAAAATGAAATGGATTTGTAGCTACTGTCAAGATTACATAGGAAAACATAAAGTGCAGAAAATACAGCAGTCACTTTAACTTACCCCATTAAACACAAATAAATATGTTTGAGGCCACACGAGGTGTCCAGCAGCCTGTGCTGCAAAAGTGGACAGGTGGACACACCCCTATCACTGCAAGCTGAAACGGGTTGACCCTAGTGAATCCCTAACCCTTGCTTTAACTCCAACACTCCACCTTTCTGCCTCTCATCTAGCTGGGTCATGTGTACCAGGCAGGATACAAGGAAGCTTTCTCTGACTGGAATGAAAACCTGTTTGTAAACAAGCTTTGAGAAATCCTCACTGCCCATTCTGGTGCTTCTCAAGGAAAGTTCTCGCCCTAAACAGTATCACTGAAAAAACTGTCTCAGTGCTGAGGCAGTGCACTTTCAATGCATCCATGTAAGATGTGTAAATAGTTATTGAAGTACTGAAGATTTCACAAAAGTGACAAGGTTTTAATATTAGATGATTCAATGAATTATCAATAAATTATTAAATATTAAATGAATTCAAAATAACGGAATAGAGACAAGTGTCACCTGTTCTAAATGGAAGCCACCTCTCTAATACAGAGAGAACCACAAAACACCAAACATGCCAGTACTCACTTCTTTTCTGCTGGGATATAATGCACGTTCATGTTGGCATGTGGCATAACGTGATGGTGACGAGGCCTCTCATTGGCTGAAAAGGCTGCATTGATAGCAAAATGCTTCACATAGGATTCCAAAATCGTTATGATGTTGGTCTGGCATGGAAGTTTCACTAACTGTTAACAAAAACATAGACATCTGATGTATGCATCCTAATGTAACAAACCACATATTCCAAGAAACACTGGTCATGTCTGTATCATTTTTTAACTCAAAAATAAACCAAAGCCAATTCTGTTTGAATAGAACTTCTTAAATATGTTCGCAATCTCTTTGATCTTTTTTTCTCTACTGATCATAACCTTATGTAGATTACAATATTACTTTTTTGAATAGATGTAAGCAGTGATTCTTAATCTCAGTGATCTGTGAGAACAACCTGGGGAACTTCTTCAAGTATACCTGCAGTTGGACTCCACCACAGATCAATTAATTCTTAATTTCTGGGCTGAAGCACAAGCAGCAGCATTCTGGAAAGCTCCCAACACAACCCTAATGGGCAGCCAGAGCTGTGTGAGTTTCAATTTTTATCAGCTGCACAGCACCACTGGCAGAGAACTTTAAAACCTGACTCAATACAAAGCTGAAAAATATAAATTTCGTTCCACCAAGATTCGCTATTGCTTACGTCTATGATTGCAAACTATGGCAAAATGAAAATGCCAAACAAATTAATGTTTTATACATTCTCCCTACATACCCGTTTCCTCCTGTTAATGTAGTAACAATCATCCTCCAGCTGCTTCTTCAGAACTTCAGGGATTTCTATAGTTATTGTTCTTTCTTCCATTTCCCTTCTTGTTTGAAGCTCTGGTTCTTCTTTCTGCAATATCAAAATTCCATTTTTAACTATTTAAAACAGTAGAAGAGTCAATATCCAAGGAAGGCCTGCTATGAAACAAACCCAGCTAATCCTCAACAATCATAGTATGCCACGTGTTCTAATTAAAAGTATGTTAAAGGCCAAAAGTTAACTTGTTTGGGGGCACTAAACACAATGCAAATATGTATTTCATTTCTTTCCCATTTCAGTTTACCACTCGGATTTATATTAACTTTGGATGCAGGCAGAAGACATCACAGTCTGTAGGCTCCATTAAAAAATTAATCATTATAAAACAAATAATTTGACTGGAAAGAAAGATAACTATAATTTGTGGAAACATTTTAGGGGCATAAAGAGCCACTGAGAGACTCATACGGCGACTATAAATAAGGGTTGTTTTTCTTTAAATGTCAAATAAAAATTTACATTATTGGTTTAAAAGATGTATCTTTAGAAAACAATTCACAACTGGAGTATTTCACTGTGAATTTTTACCACTAAAATATATAACAAAGAGAAAGTTTTTACAATAAAAACTTTATACCACTTCAGTCTTTTCTTCAATATCACTTTCTTCACTTATTTCTTCATCCTTGTTTTCACTACAGTCAGAGGAACTGCTTAATGCTAGGTGAAACAAAAGCATCCGGTAAACTCGCATTTTATACTTCACCAACCCTTATGTCTACAGATCTTCACGTGTAGTGTGGGTGCTACTGGAAATAATAAACTGCAATTCCATGTATTTTTAAATGCCAAACACAAATACTGTATCTTTCACAATAGAAATTTATTTTGACAACCAATTTCAATGGATGCAAAAATCACACTAGCTAATGATCGGAAAGTGTATTGTCAGTTAGGATCCTACAGTTTCCTGTTGCATTCATAAATGGGACCAAGGCCTGGGAGGTGCCAAAAAGAGAACAGATCCCATGAGAACACACCCATGAGGGGTTTGTACAAAGATGCTGGCCGAGAGGGCAGTAGTCACAAGCATGACTCTGCTAACGTTCTATTACTGATTTACTGACTTATATTGACTGCTACTTTAATTGTCAAAAATAAATGGGGCAAATATTATACATAATGAGCTTGAAGTGTTTCCCTGTCTAGAATTTCAGTGAATCCTTCTCTCAGTCTAGGTGGAAGTTCTTTCAGCCAAAAGAAATGAAGTGAAGCTACTCACAGTTTTCATCATTTTCATCTTTTTCTTCAGTGGGGAGGCCTTTTAAGACAGAGTCCACACCAGGCAACCTGCAGCGCTTCTTCTTTCTTCCTGTGCTCCTCCTGAAAAAGAGTAGCAAACAACTGAAATAAGTTTTGACATTGAACTCGTGAGTCTTGAGATCAAAACAAGATATAATAAACAATGAAATACATTTGAAAAATTATTAAACTTTAGAACATAAATGGTAATTTCCATTTCAGAAAATTATACAATAACCACTCTGAAAACACTGTTATTTAGAATACCATAGGAACACTCTTCCCCTTACACACTTTAAATATTTAAAATTATTTAATAAATGATATTTGTCATTGTATTACTTTTATATCATAAAAATCTAAAACACTAAGAGAAAACACATTGGATAACATTTATATCTTGATTTTTGTATTCTTACAGGCGAGCTACAGCTTTTCTTGCCAATTTACGCTGTAATCTACGATTTTCATCGGTATCACGAAGCACATGATCTTCTGCTGCCCATCTATCCCAGCTAATTGAACAAAAAAGGAAAATTCAGTACTTTAGTTTGATATGAAACAACGACTAAAAGTACCTCAAAGCAATAGAAATGCCCCAGAATTACATTTTTAGAAAACGATTTAAATATTTTAAAATCACAAAGAGGAGGCAAATAAACTGAAAAAGTAACTCATTCAGACACAGAAACAACTGGGGTTTCCAGAATCACCCAGACAGAATCCAAATACAATCGACTTAAAAGTAACTATTCGTCACAATAGGCAAGTTCTGGTAACAAAGTAAAAACAGGAAATGAATCAAACTTCTCTACAAGTGTTTCTAAAACTTAAAGAAGTTTGCAACGCTACAAAGTAAAGACAGGAAATGAAACAAACTTCTCTACAAGTGTTTCAAAAACTTAAAGAAGTTTGCAATGCTACAAAGTAAAAGCAGGAAATGAAACAAACTTCTCTACAAGTGTTTCTGAAACTTAAGTCTGCAATGTTTCTATGCAGCAAAGACAATCAATTTTCAGTCTGGTTTAACAAGTTCACTCACCTTCTGTTCCAACCATTAAAATGGATCAGATATTCTGGGATCTTTCTGCCTTTTTCGTCTTTCCCAACAATAACATCAACAATCTGAAACGAAGAAATATTTCCCACAAATGGCAGAACATACAGAAAATTAGAAGTTAGATCAGGAAAACTAATTCACAGACCCTTTTTTAAAGAAAGCATTCTCTCCTCTTTTAGACCGACAGCCGGGTTGAAATATTTTTCCTTTCATTTTTTTCCCCCAAGTGGACGCCTTCAAAATAGGAAACATCCGTCCAACCACCCCGTGATTGGTCTCTGAGCGTGAGACAGTGTGAGGCTTCTGAAGCCATTGGCCAGCCGATTTGTCACTAAGGAGAGACTCCAGGCTAGATGAAAGCTGCAGCCCTGAGAGCTCTGGGAGTTGTAGTCTCCTGGGCTCCCCTATGTCCAGTGCCAGGATGGCTAGCTGGAGACTCTGGAATCCCTCCCTGTTGTGTCCCTAGAGGGAACAACTAAAACTAATGATGGGGCGTGCCCCCCCCCCTCCGCCCCGAGGAGGCTGGAGGGCGAGGAGAAAGAGGGATAGCAGACGCGGTTAAAAGACAGGAGCAGCAGGGGAGGGAACTGAAGGCAGAATATGCTCATCCCTTTAGGGATGTCCTTTAGCATCTCTAATGGACAGAGCTGTCCAGACATCGCCAAAGACACACCTGGGACTGCCCCTGTCCCTGCCGCCTAAGGCTTCGCCCAGGTGGCCCTAGGAACCCAGGTCTCTGAAATGAAAGCACCTGGGTGCTTTCCTTGGGGATCTGGGAGACCTGGTGCCAACTCCTGCCCGCCACCCAAATCTGAGGAGCTGCAAGATGTGGCTCAGCTCCCGGAGACTTAGGTGGACCGGCCCGGGGCGCGATTCCCATCAACTATGGTCAGACCCACGTAAATCCTTCAGAGTTTGAAAACGTAAATGCTGCAAGGCCCTGGGGTACGAAAACACTGGGCCAACCTTGCCCTCGGGATGGGGTTCACGGCCTACAGGCGGGATGGGGCCTAAACTGGACTAGGGTCCCAGGGACACAACGTCGCAAGTCAGCGGCCAGCGCCGTGTAACTATGAATTAGAACCTGGATCGGACGGCCAGGGCGTCCCACAGGAGCCCACCCGGCACCAGGCCGCACAGAAGGAGACATTTAACGCGAAGACAGAAACCGTATTCGAGAAGCCTCCTCCCTCAGCGGCCACCGTTGCAGTCGGGGGCGCAAACGGTAGCCCCGGTAACGCGACAAAGCATGGGCGAGGCTCCCAACCGCGCGTGCGCCGCCCGGCCTGACGGAAGGAAGTGGAAGCATCCCAGACCCCGCCCCGACTCCCGGGCGTAGCGCCCTGTGAGCGCCCCCTGCCGGCCGCACCGCTCCTCGCAGGCCGAGGAGCCCGGCCGGTCCCTCAGCTCCGCGCGGCCGTCCGCCCCCGCCCCCGCCCCCGGTCCCGGGTCCCCCAGCCCGCGCCTCCTCCCTGTCCCTCCGCGGCGGCACCTTGGCATCGTACAGCACTCGCGCCTTGGTGGGGTCAGGCTCGAAGCACAGCACTTTCTCCCCTGAGTGGAATTTAAATTTCATGCCCTCGCTCGCGCTCATTTGCTCATCGTGGCGGAGGGCGAGGCTCCGGGGCGGGCGGAGCGCGCGCGGTGGGGGAGGGCGGGCGGGGGCGGGGAGGCGGTGCGCCGTGGCCGGGGGGGGCCGGGAATGGCGGAGGCTGCGGCCGCCCCGCCCTCGGCCCCTCCTCCGCCCGCCCCGAGCCGCTGCCGGGACCTCGGAGGCGCCTGGCGCGCGCGCTCCCGCCCGGGCGCGTCCCCGCACGTCCCCGCCGGGGCTCCGGGAGGGGTGCGGGCGGGGAGCGCGACCCCCTGGCCAAGGTCTACCGGCAGGACGTCTCCCGTCGCCCCCATGGGAGAGGGTCCCCGCGGCCTCCAGGCTGCGCCCACGTGCGCGCAGGGTCGTCCGTCGCCCCGAGCGCCCGCTCTCCGGCCCGGGCGTGGGAGGCGCCTAGGGAGAGAGAGAGCCGGTCTGGAGTAGGCACCCGGCGGCCGGGAGGCTGGACGGCGTCTGCCCCCAAGAGCTCCCTGGCCGTGCGCGCCGCGTCAGCCCCCTTGGCAGAGCAGCGCGCCGATGAGTGTGGCCACGCTTGGAGAACGCAGCGCTGGAGCTGGCCCCAGGCGGGCAGTGGCCTCGGGCGAGGGCAGAAGGGCACTCCGGGCTGTGAATAGAACACTTGCTTATCCCTTCAGAGGACAAGCCGGTGGCAGGCCTGGAGCCCCCAGTGACGGGTTGAGCAGTGGGCAGCGAGGCAGATGGGTCCTTAAAGAGTAGCTGACGTCTTCAGTGTCAGCTTCTAGCGTGGCCTGACAGCCCCCAGCATCCCCGGAATGCCCCCCACGGTCTATCTGCTCCAATAGACTAAAAATTCCCTAAATAGAAGCACCCTTGAGGCCGCTATCAATATGGTACCTGCACAGAGTGGATGTTAAGTAAATACTTGATGAGCGAATGACAAGTGATGGGAGACTTGAAGGACAAACTTCCAGGGACAGGAAGGACAGTGCTGGGCTTTTTCTTTTGAGTTTTGGAAAGCCGTTGGGCAGTGTAATTACTGGATTAGGACCGGGCTGGAGACCAGCTTCCAGGCTAATCTCTGCGGACCTGGTGAACTTCCCCTTCTCTGTTCTAGCCTCCAGAAAGTTGCATTTGCTTCCCCTCTGCACGCTTCCTTCACCAGGTTCCTGGTATACATCCTTCACATTTCAGCGTGGGCATGCCAACAGAAAAGCCCTCAGGCTTCCCAAGATGAATCATAAAGCCCTGAGGTGTTCCCTCCCAGGACTCTGCTTAACCCCTTTCTTGCATGTACCACTGTGCTATAGAATGGGTTGTTCATTTGCAAAATGACCTCATTAAGACAGTAAGCTCTTTGAAGCTGGGGGTAGGGGTCTTATCCAATTCATCACGGCGTATTCGTGGCACATAATATGGAATGAATGAACAGATTGATTTAGGAAATAGAACCCACAAAACTCAGTGGCCAATTGGATGTGAAGGAGAGGGAAGGAGGAATCTTGAGAGACTTCCAGGTTTTCTGGCCCAAGGAATTGGGTGAGTAATAGCTGCATCCGCCAGAATAAGGCTATACAGAGGAGTTAAAGGTTGGGGGAAGATGGTCAAATGGCCTTTGGGGTAATACGGTGCAGAAACTAGAACTGGAACCATGATTCCTCTCCAGGTTGTGGTGTATCAGAGATGAGAACAGTAGATGGTGGTGTTCCCCACAAATGGCAGGGGCGGCTTGGAAGCACATGTAATTGCACGTCCTGTGTAAACCGTAACTGAAGTATTCACCTTTTTATTTTTCCTGCCCATGATTGGAGAGAGTTCTGCTGCAGGCTCTACCCTTTCAGGGATAGGATTTTAGATGCTTTCCTTTGTTTCTCCGCATTTCCACCCCTTCTTATGTCATTGAGGAATTCCTCTTTCCCCGTCCCTCTAAAAAGTCCAAGAATGCAAAAGCCTTCAGGAACCTAAAAGTTAAAAAGCCTGCCAATGGCAGCACCCCTTACAGTCCTCCTCCAGATTAGGATCCACTAGAGAGGGCTCCACCCTTAATGCAGGACATCATTTTTCCTCTCGGGTGTAAAGGTTAAGAACATGGCCAGCTCTGCAAACCACTCTCCAGGACCCAGTCCCATGCTTGTCACTTTCTAGCTTGTGACCATGGACAACTGGTTAGTCTCTTTGTAATGCACTTTGTTCATGTTTAAAATGAAGGAAATAGTGGCTCCTACTTCATAGGGTTTTTTAGGAGTCAATGAGTCAATTCAGTGTACATGGCTTTGTGTAGTGCCTGACATATAAGGGCTGGGTAAATATTTGCTCTTGACATTAGGCATTTCTTATCTGTTTCTCCGTGTCCCCCATTCATTCATTCATTCATTCAGCAAATATTTATTGGACCTCCTGTGTGCTGGTTGCTAGACACACAAAGTAGAATACATACATTACCCCTGTCCTCCCAGAGGGCACATTTCAGGAGGGCGGAGCAGCAAGCAATCAAGTTCAAGCTTTATGTGCATACCCTGATAAAGCTGGTGTGGAATAGAGGAGACAGAAGAGCTTACTTCTCTCTAGGAGGAGGGAGAGTATCTGAAAAAGCTCCAGAGAGGAAGGCACTCTTGAATTGCAACTTAGGTGTTTTCCTCATTTTCCAGTTTTTGAGGTTTGGACAGTAGTTTCGTCTGTATTCGGGCATGATTATAGAATGGTCTTGTTTTTGTCGGGATTAAGATAACCATTAAATCTTATAACAAATCTTTTTGATTTCTCATTATAGGTCACCTACAGGAATTGCTTCTCTTAGCAAGGTGAGTGCAGTGCGGGATCCAGTTAGTTGCGTCGCCCGCCGCCCCGCTGGCAGAGGCCCAATTTTGTTCAGGTGTTTGCCATCCCACATTGTTAGAGCAGACCTCTCACCAGGGCTGGAGTGACACTTGATCGGGCTAATACGGTAGGACTCACCTCTGGGTATACATTTGGAACAGCTGGGGAACTTTGAAAACTTGTTAAAATACTGTTGCCAGGAGTTGGAATTTTGTTTCCAAAGTTCCCAGGCGATTCCATTGTGCAGGCGGGGCTGAGAACTACTGGTCTAAACCAATCCCGGCAATCCCCTTCCTCTTACAGTGACTGGTTTAAGTATGGTCATGTGATACACGCCTGGCCAATGAGAAATTCTCATAGCGAGTTAAAATGGGGAACTGTGAGTACTTCTGGAAAATATTTTCCACCTGCCTCCCCCCAAAAGAAATACATCTGGCATAAAGTCTCCTCTTCCTCACTGGGTGTTATCATCTGCATCAGAATGCGGCGTTGGAGAGGGTGTCAGTGCTGTAGCCACCTTGGCACCACGGAGCTGGCCATCGTCACTGAGGCTCTGAGGATGAGAGCCCAAGGCTAGCACTCGCTCACCTGGGTCACTGGGGAGCTGTTGAGCCCCTGACGCACTAAATTAACTAATCCTGATGCCTAACGCCAAACTTCTTGCTCTGTGACATAATAAACCTCCATGCAGCAAAAGCATCCTGATCACGCCCCTCCTGCAGTTGTAGAGTTAGGTTATTGGCATCTGGTATGTTGTCTATTGCTAATTTTGGTGATACTGATGAGACAGACCTCTGATGGTGAGAATGCATTTTTCCATGGACATGTAGACATAATTGATGTTGCATTTGAAATATTGTTTCACATGTATTCAGTATTCAGTAGGCTTTGGGAATGAAGGGTAAACCTAGTTACCATTTATGATACGGTTTCAACTAGAATGTCTCTTTTAGGTTAGAAACAAACTTTAAATGAATTTCTGGAACAACCCATTTATAAAGTTAAGAACAATCTATGATCTTACAACTTTGACCTTAGAACTGGATGACCTTACAATTGGATTTTTTTTTCTTCTTTTGGTCTTAGGTGATATGCAGACCTACATCCTAAGAATAATTTTGTGGTTAATGAATATTCTGATAAAAGTTATAGTGATCCTTTTACAAAAGTTGCAATGCTTCTTAATCCTTAATCCTTGTTGGTGCTTCTCAGGTCAAGTGGAGTTGACTTTCACTGCTTCTTGGTTTCCACTCGTAATTCTTCAGATGTTATAGGGATGTAGTTCCAAGGGAAAAACCAAGCTACCTACATTGTGGTTATATTATGAAGAAAGCGTTCCAGAATACTGCCATCAGTGCCCTCCAGCCAAAGACCACTAGGAACACACTTGTTGAACTTGCGTTGAACAAGTTGTATATTGTTTACTTCAGCCAGGGAGAAGGCGCGCCTTGGGAAGTTGTGGGGAGCCTCAGTGAGGGAGTTAGAAAAGGCTTATTGGAAGACTTGAGTTTGTGTTCCATGATTTGGTGGCTTGAAGCCCTTCTCCTTGTGAAGGAGTTAAGGAAGTAAGGTTTTCCTCTGCATTTGATGATGTCATGAAGAGGTGATTTTAGGATTGGGTATTTGATTACATCTTACCTAGGAGGAGGAAAGACCAGATTGCAGTTGAAGCTGTGATTGGTAAAGAAGTGGCTGTCACTCATATTAGCCAGGAGAAGGGACTGTTTTGGATTTTGTGGTTTGGACAGTAGTTGTGTTTTGCCTGTGTTCAGGCATGGTTGGAGTGGTCTTGTTCTTGTCATGATCCATCATGGTCCCTAAGTGGTTTCACCTGATATTCTATGACACTATTTATGATCAATATGAGAATAGCCAGGCCCAGCTGTTCATGCCGGGCCAGCTCCTGGATGTCAGAGGCTGCCTAGTTTTTCCTCAATCATTAAGGTTTATTGAGTGTTTTCTATGTGATAGGCATTCTGCTAAGCACTTGACATATTCAGATCCAGTCATTCTCGAAACCTTAGGAGGTGGTATTATGATCACCCTCGTTTAACAGAGGTAGAAACAGGGACCTGCATTGCTAACTGACTTGTCCAAAGATGGGGCGTGAGTTCAGGCTGACACCAAAGCCAATGATGCTGGTAAGCACACCTTTCCACAAAACGATGTGGCTGGGCTTGGGCTGTAAGATTCAGGACTCAAGTCACTGTCACTTTATAAATAGCAAGAGTATTAACATACATGATGTCTATCTTGCAAGTTTGAAACAAAGTCCAGCAGCATGCCTATATTATGAAACCATTTAAAGTTATGTTGTAGACAGATATTTACTGACATGGAAAAACTGTGAACAGTATGGTAACAGACAAACACATTAAAAAACAGAATTTGGGTGACCTGAGGAGCTTTTTACAGCTGCAACTTTGACTCATTGAATTGAAATATCAGAGTGGGATTCCAGCATCTGTGAATTCAAAAATTGAAATTCTTGCTGTACAGATGAAGCCCAGTGTTCTGTTTCAGGTGTAAACTGAGGCAGGTACTTGTCAGGCTTTCCTGTTGTATGATCAACAACCTTAATGGCCAACATTCAGGATATAATTGGGTTCTGATGAATTCAGAGCTGTAGAATGTAGTCAGTTTGCACTTTTGTGACACTGTACTTAGGGTCAGTGGATACTTTTGAAGATGGTGAGAATGATTATTTACATCTATTGGCAAGTTTGAGTAAAGCCACCTTGGGCATAAGATTTGGCCCTGGTACAAGCTTAAAAAGTAACTTTAGGTCCTCAACCTTCTTATTCAAGATTAAACATTCAAAGCTGAGGTTTATTCCATTTAACAGAACCAAATAATAACAGCAGCTATTTATTGAGTGGCTACATGCCAACTTTTCCACATGTCATATTCTTTAGCCCTTAAACAATCCTCTAAACTAGATAATTATTATCTGCACTTAAAAACAAGAAAACTAAGGCTCAGAAATGTTAAGGGGCTTACCCAAGGTAGCACATGAATAAACGTCAGAATGGCAAGGTGTTTTCCAATCTAGTTCTATCTAATATCCATGTCCCACTTTCTCCATTTGTTAATATCCCAAGTTTTACAAGCTTTTAAAAAGGCTTATAAAACTCTAAGGAGGTTTCAAATATCTCTGTCTTTGTACAGCTATGTAATCAATGCTTTCTGCACCTGTGACATATCAAATTAGCACAAACACAGAGAATATTATTTGCATTAAAAAGGGTACTGAACTTGCAGTCATATAATCATTTTAGTCTTCATGAGATTGAGTCATATCAGCTACAAAAGCCAGATTAGAAGACTATCCTTACAGTTGAAATTCCAGAGAAATTTACACAAAATCATTTTCAAAAAGGTTCAAAATATCAAGTCGGGTTTAAAAAATGTTAACTAGATGACAACCTTCAAATGCCAAGACCTCTGAAACATTAAAGCCTATTTGAAATTTGGCAGAAGAATTTTAAAAGGAAGATTGAATGTCTTACTCACCTGAAATTTGCTTTACTTAAGACTCACATGATGTTTCTGAGTAAAACAACTGTCCTTGACTAATTTCATATAAAAATGATGATGTATTATGAACAATAAAATTACTATTAATTGTACATTATGAACTGTTGTTGAACCATGACAGGGGAACAAAATACACATAAATTGCAAATTTTGCTGTTGAAATATATTCTGGAAATTATTAGTTTCTTGGTCATATTTCAGTGAGTGACTCTTAAAAACAGTATTCTCTGTTTTTATCATATTTGAAAAGCGGCTTTGTCACCCTTGTAATTAATTTTTGTTAAGTTTTTGAAGAAAGAGTGGTAAAAAGAATCAGGCTACATTGAGTATTTATTATTAGCTTTCAGTTCTCCCAGGAACCATGGCTAGATACAGCTTCCTCTTTACTCAAATCTGTAATTAATGTTCACAAGATATCATACTGACATTGTTTTTTGTTTTGTTTGGGGGGGCAGTTTTTGTTTGTTTGCTCTTTTAGAGACAAGTGTTGCTATGTTGCCTAGGCTGCAGTGCAGTGGCTATTCACAGATACAATCATAGTGCACTACAGCCTCAAACTCCTGGCCTCAAGCCATCCTCCCACTTCAGCCTCCTGAGTAGCAGGGACTACAGGCACTTGCCACCTCACCTGGCTGACATTGTTTTTTAAAACAGAATCTCATGAGGAAATTACCATATGAGTCCATGACTAATGGATCATGAAAATATTAGCTCAATTATCAAATTAAAAATTATTGACCTAAATTATCCTTCATTCTACTTGGATTATATGTAGTAAAACCTAAACTAAAAATGGTAATTTTTAGATCAAAAGGTAACTGAAAATGATTTTCATATTTTAGTTTCCAGAGATTAATAATTTACTACAAAGATGACTTTAAAACCTTAAAAATTCTAAGAATATACAGTGACTTTTTTTATCTCACCCCAATCTTATTAAGATGATTGTCTCCAATGACAATCATCATTCAAAGTGATGACTCTGAGGTATTGTCACTTCTTTTTTTCATGCTACCCAAAGTACTGGATTCTCATCGTCATCGTGTGAATTGTGTTGTAGTGACTATATTTAGTCTGTCCTGTTAGATTTGCCATCTTCTTTATTCTGGTAGCAGATCTTTTCTTCTGACCACAAGTTGGGCAGATGGCCCAGGCGTGATCCAAGGCAATATCTCATCTCCTCACCAAGGTGATTGGGCAAAAAGGCACCTTGGTGCGATACAAGGCCAATGAGAATTATTCCATGTTCTTGCTACTTGGACACAGGGGGAAAGCAACTCAAGTGGAAAGAAAGCAGTTTATTGTTCAGGTAGGTTTCTGTCACTTGCAACCAAGAGTTCTAATGAATAGAACCTTCTGAATACCTCAAGGTGTAGCCAATATTTTATGTAGTGGTTTTCAGGAAAGCAGGAAAGTGAACCAAATTATTTTAGACATGTTTTTAACAAGGCTTGAAATAAAAGTTTCTCAAGATTTGTACCAAATCTAATTTTTCGTTTTGTTGATATCCAATAAAGTTTAATAATGAAAAAAATAAATGTTAGCTATAATGAGTGTTCTAATCCCATCTCAGGTTTGCAAATAGTTTCCTGAAAGTGGTAAACAATGAGCCTGGCTTGGGTGTACTGTTCCATACACGTTGGTATGTCGCAGTAGTAGAAAGAATGGTGAAAGACCAGTTCTCAGACAGGAACAGTAAGATTGCAAAAGAGGCTGAAGTGTGAAAATAATTCTGCTTTTCTTCACTCAGTACATGATCTCACTGTATTGGAGTAAAATGGTGACTAGTGGATCTGATTCGCAGTCACTTTGCTTTCCTGGAGGAAAGCCAGCAGTTAAACCTAGGGAGATTGCATGGACAAGGTATAAATTACTGAGAACTGTATAAACATGTTACTGAAAAGAGGTTGCACTCTTTTGTTAATTTGGACTTTCATTAATTGGACTCTGCATTAATTAATGCAAGAGGTAATGAGACCTGCAACCTTATTTTCTTAACAGTCGTGCTTCCCCACAGTCCCATCTCAACCCCGCTGATGGGGCATGTGTAACCTGCAAAATGATGACTCCCCATACCTACGTCTCTTCTCTAGTCTTCAAGTATCAGAGTGCTATCCTGTAATCATATGCTAGCCTCATATCTAGGGAATACCCAATGTATCTAAATGCAACAAGTCCAAAATGCAACTCATCACCTTTCTTCCTAAGCCTCCTGCTGTGTCTCAGTTGATGTTAGTGGCTATATCACCATCCATCCTATTGTTCAAGCTGTATATCTATCTGGATACTGCCTATTCATTTTTCTCCCTCACCCCTAACATTCAATCAGTTCTACTCCCTAAGTAGCCCTGAAAATGTGTAGTCATTCTAGACAACCGCTTTCTCTCAACCCTCTCGGTAATCCCTAACCAGGTCCTATCACATAAGTAGCTTTCTAGCTCATTAATCTTTTATTACATCTCTACTACTGCCACTCTGGTGTGAGCCACTGTCACCTCTCCTGCATCAGTGCGGAAACCTTCTAACTGGATACCTTGTATCCAACTGGACTCTGTAGCATCTTTTTGTCACATGGACTCTGTAGCATCTTTTTTTCACAGTGTGGGTAGGATGAACCATTGTAATATGTAAATCTATCATGATACTAACTGCACTGCTTTTAGTCTCCCAGGGACTTCTCTTTGCTATTAGAAAGAAATGGCATGGCTCACTAGGCAAAGTATAGTCTTGACATGGCCTTTCTCATGCCACTGTCTTCCTCTCTTGCCCTACACCACCCACACTGATCTTGTCCCAGTTCCTTTAACACCTTATCCAGAATGTTCTTCCTCTGCTCCTTTGCCTGGTTGCCACGTTGGTCTTTCCAGACCCAAAGGATAGGCTGTGGTGCTTCATTATGTCTCCACCGGTCCCTTCATTTTGTAGCCATCGTCTCAGATCATCATCACACATTCATTTGTGTGGTTGTTTAATTATTTGTCTCTTCTACTAAATTGTAACTTCGATGAGACCCAGGACTGTGTCATCTTTTGCAAACATGTATCCCCAAAGCCTAGCATTTTTTCATAGATATGACATAATAAGTGATTCAGTGTATTTGAAATAGAACTATTAATACCTCATGTATATTATGGGTTAAATAGGCTTTGAGTGCTGGAGGGTAAACCTAACCATCACTTATAAAACAGTTTAATTCAGAAACTGTAGTCTAAGTTGCCAGGCACAGTGGCTCATGCCTGTAATCCCAGAACTTTGAGTGACAGAGATTGGAGGATCACTAGAGGCCAGGAGTTCAGGACCAGCCTGGGCAACATAGTGATACCTCCATCTCTAACAAATAAAAATTTAAAAAATTAGCCAGGCCTGGTGGCACATGCCTCTAGTCCAAGCCACTCTGTAGGCTGAGGGGGAAGGATCACTTGAGTCCAGGAGTTCAAGGTTGCAGTGAGCTATGATCATACCACTGCAGCTAAGCCTCGGCGACAGAGTGAGACCTCGTCTCAAAAAAAGAGAAACTGTAGTCCAAGATGGAAAAATCAAACTGTAAATGAATTTCTGAGACTTCCCACTAAAATTGTTGGAAAATTGCCTCTGAAATTATAGCTATGTATTAGACACTGATTTTTGTTTTAGTAATGTAATAATATTCAGACTATAAGAATGTGTTTGGAGGTTAATGAATACTTGGAAAAAAGGTCTCAAATAAGATTTTATAAATATCTCTTACCCTACTTCTGAAAGCTACTCAGGAGAGCAGGGACTATGTCTATTTTTATTTATCAGAACCTTATGCCAAATGCTATGTCTGTGACATAGGAAGCACTCAATAAATATTTGTTGAATGAACAAATGCTGTTTTGTTTGTTTACTTTTGGCCATTTGCTTTGATGCAATATTTCTACCTGTATTCCTCTTTGCCTAGTTAGTTCATATTTATCTTTTATGCTTCAACTCAGGCATCGTCTCCTGTGCAAAGTCTTCACAGATGCCAACTGCCCCTGGCCAAAGGTGAGCTGGGGGCCCCTATGCGTATCTCCACATGCATCCTTCTATTATGTGTTTATCATACTGTGGGATAAATCTGTTTATGTCTCATTTTCTCCCTGTGCAATAGGAACTCCTTGAGATCCCCTCCATATCTCCAGGGACTTGTACAGTTCTGGGTACATCATAATTTCTTGAGGAAAAAAAAAAGCTTGTTAAATAAAACAATTAGCAAATATTCAGCCTTCAAAGTCCCCAGAGACTCGTTCTTGGTGCATCCTAATTGCTTCAAAATTGTTTGTTGAATGAAAAAAAATGAATCAGTGGTTCTTCAGGCTTCAAACATCATCCCAATCTCATTTTAGTTTAAATTTAAAATGTGGGCTGGGTGCCGTGGTTCATGCCTGTAATCCTAGCACTTTGGGAGGCCAAGGTGGGTGGATCACCTGAGGTCAGGAGTTAAAGACTAGCCTGGCCAACATGGTGAAACCCTGTCTCTACTAAAAAAAAAAAAAAAATATATATATATATATATATATGAAAATTAGCCAGGCATGGGTGGCGTGTGCCTGTAATCCCAGCTACTCGGGAGGCTGAGGCACAAGAATCACTTGAATTCAGGACGCAGATATTGCAGTGAGCCGAGGTTGTGCCACTGCACTCCAGCCTGGGTGCTAGAGTGAGCCACTAAATAAATAAATAAATAAATAAATAAATAAGTGACCTGAATAGCTTTAGCATAAACCCAAGTCTATATATTTTATTTCCTTTTATTTAAACACACACACACACGTGCACGCGCATGCAAATAGGCGAGATCCAAGCAGCAAAACAGAGGTACACTCCTTAAAAAATATTGGTATATGTTACATTAATATTCAAGGTGAAAATCATATGCCAGAAATTTATCAAGTACTACTGAATGTTGTTAAATTAAATAATTTAAAGGAACTCAAGGTTACCTTTTTGATAAGAAAGAGATGGATTCTCAAATGAAGTAAACTACTCATGTAATGAATATTTTAAATCTAGGGATAAAAAAATCATTACAGAACATTGCACTTAGCATGAATTATGGCAAGCTTTTCCCCTGAGATGGGGACTAAGACAGGATGCTCATTTTACCTCAATTCTATGCAATATTGAGATCTTAGTCAAAACAATAAGGCAGATAAAAGGAATTAAAGGCATAGAGATTGAAAATGAAGAAATAAAGCTATCATTATTCTCAGATGACACAATTGTCTATGTCACAAAAAAGTCCCAAAACTCTATCTGTAGATAAGCTATAAAGATACTTTGTAAGGTTGCTGTATACAAAGTCAGTTGTGTTTCTGTATGCTAGCAATAAGCAAGTAGAAAATGAAATTTGGAATAGCATTTACAACAGTATCAAAAAGGTCAAATACCTAGAATGAATCTAGTAGAAGATGTGAAAAACACATAATTATTAAGAGAAATTAAAAAAGACCTAAGTAAATGGAGGAATACATCATGTTTATAGATCAAGAAGCTTAATATTATAAAGATGCTAGCTCTCCCTAAATTGATCTATAGATTCATAAATACAATGCAATCCTAGAAGTTTTTTGAAAATTGAAAAGCAGATTCTAAAATTTGTATGGAAATGAAAAGGGCCAGAAACAGCCACCAAAATTTTGAAAAAGCAGAACAAACCTAGAGGACTTTTATCATCAGATATTGTGGCTTCTTATAAAACTGCAGTATTTAAGATGCTGTGGTACGGATGTAAGAAAAGACAAATAGATGAACTGAACAGAACAGAGCAGAGGTCCCCAGGCCCTGGGCTGCAGACTGGTACCAGTTTGTGGCCTGGCAGAAGCCAGTCTGCACAGCAGGAGGTGAGCTGCAGTCGAGCCAGCATTACCATCTGAGTTCCTCCTCCTGTCAGACCAGCATTGGCATTAGATTCTCATAGGAGCACAAACCCTATTGTGAACTGCACATGCAAGGAATCTAGGCTGTGCAGCCCTTATGAGACTCTAACTAATGCCTGATGATCTGAGGTGGAACTGTTTCATTCCAAAACCATGCCCCCCTTGACTTCCACAAAACCAGTCCCTGGTACCACAAAGATTGGGGACTGCTGGAATAGAGTCCAGTAACAGACCCACACATGCCACTTGAATTGTGAGAAGGGGGTTGCTTCAGTGCAGTGAGGCAAAGATGATCTCTTTAATAAATGGTGCTGGATCAATTGCATGTCCATATAAAAAAGGAATCTTGATCTTCTACTTCAACCATATGTAAAAATCAATTTCAGATGGATTGTAGATCTATGTATGCAAGGTTAAAACAATAAAACATCTAAACAAAAGCATGAAAGAATGTCTTCATGACTTTCAAGATAGCAAATTTTTAGACACAAAAAGCACTCATTAAAAAGAAAAAGTGGCCCCCAGAAGGGTCAATTTCTCTTTATCCAAAAAATTATCTATGGGACTATTGGATCGGTTTTACTGCCATAAACTTTTATGTGTTCATTTTTGTAATATACTATGAAAGTTTACCTGTATCTTTATACATTTTCGTTAGTCTGCCTGCCCAGACACTGCTGCAGAAAAGGAAAGTTCTGAAAGGAGTGTTCATTTCTACTTTTGGAGTTTACATTTGACCAAGTTCAGAAGGGACCTGAGGAGCAGAATAAAGTAGTGGTGGATGATGACAACAATGATGATGATAGGAAACAATTATACATACTGAACACTGTGCTAAGTACCTTATAGTATATTATCCTTTAATCTTTCCAACAATCCTGAGTTAGATATGGATACATTAATCAATTGACAGAAAAAAAATCGAGATGTGCATTTTCACATGTATGAGCATGCACGCACGTGCACACACACACACACACACACACACACATGCACACATTACATGGAGCAAGGAACCAAATGACCTGGCTTGGAATACAGGTGCAGTGGCTTATGCCTGTAATCCCAGCACTTTGGGAGGCTGAGGCAGGTGGATCACTTGAGGCCAGGAGTTCAAGACCAGCCTGGCCAACATGGTGAAACCCTGTCTCTACCAAAAATACAAAATCTATCTGGGTGTGGTGGCATGCCTATAATTCCAGCTACTCGGGTGGCTGAGGCAGGAGAATCACTTGAACTCGGAAGGCAGAGGCTGCAGTGAGCTGAGATCACACCACTGCCCTCCAGCCTGGGTGACAGAATGAGACTCATTCTCTCAAGAAAAAAAAAAAATTTGACCCTTTTGGTCTTAAAACTTGAAACTTACATTTGTGTTATGGGAGCTCCTTCCTCAGGAAGCAAAGACCTTCAGGCCTCTCAAAATAAATAAATAAATAAATAAAAGTGTCAAAGAACTAAAACTCACAAGATCAGCACATCCAGACAATTAGAGGCTGGACCCCTCATTCATGATGGTTGCTTTCTTGCCCCTCCCAGCTCCTGTTTTCTCACACATTGTTACATTTCTTCACTACTATTATAAACCCCTAGTTTTAGCTGGTCAGGGAGATGGATTTGAGACTCAGGGAGACGGATGTGAGACTGAGTTTTCATTTCCTTGGCTGCAGCACGCAATTAAAGCCTTCTTCCTTGACAGTACTCATTGTGGCTTTCTGTGTGACGAGCAGCAGCACCTAGTCCAAACCCTGGTGCTTCAGTAACAGTGGGTGCAGTTCAGAACTTGAGAGTCCTAAAGAGACCTGCACCTTTTCTATCCAGCAGTACTTTTACACCAAGGAGATAAGTTTACAAAAGTTTATATAAAATGTTACAAGTTTATATAAAACTTATATAAGTTGCAGTTAATCTATAATGTAAATTCTGCATTTTCAAAGATGTGTGTGCACCAGGAGGAGAAACACAGTGACTGAGAAACACCAAGAATAGGAATGAGAATTATGCAGTATGGTCATTTAGAGTATTCATTTATCCAGAAAGTATTTATTAGACACTAGACACTGGAGGAGATATGAGATGGCAGCACATTAGTACAGTCCCTAGCCCTATGAAGCCAAGACTAGTTGAATTGACAGATGAATTTACAAACTTAATGAAGAAAAAAATGTAATGAAAAAGGAAGTACAGAGTGCTATAGGAGGACATAGCAGGGGTGAGCAACTTCATGGCTGAAGGCCAGAGAATATCTGGAGCACAGATATTCCTCCTCCAGAGAAATTGTGCTGAAAGATAAGAAGAGATCAGAGAGGAAAAGTTGATCGTGGAGCAAATGGAAAAAGCATGTGCAAAGGTTTAGAAGATGAAAACAAAGTCCACTTTGGCTAAAGTCTAGACATCGAAGGGAGGTTCAAAAGTTGCTTAATGCCCGGCATGACATTTTTGACCACAGCTAACAATGAGAAAATATGGTCAAACATGTCACATCAGTTCACTGTGTTTGCTAAATCCTTGGATTGTGGCTAACCTAAGTCTCTTGTCTTATAAACATACCTAACATCCTTTGGACCTGCTCATTGAGATTGATAGATTAGATGTGATAACTATGTAGTTCTCTGTATTTAATCTCATGTGCCATTTTTTTCCTTGTTTATATCCCAAAGGAAAAAATACAAATAATACTGGATTAATTTTATAAACAGAAAGCTACTAGATTCCCTATAAAGACAATGTCTCTGACCAGATGGATTTGTGCTATCAAACTTACTTTTTTGGAAAACTTTTGAAATTTTCATCCAATATTGTTTAAAAAACAATTTTAGTCCAGGCGCAGTGGCTCATGCCTGTAATCCTAGCACTTTGGGAGGCCGAGGCGGGCGGATCACGAGGTCAGGAGATCAAGACGATCCTGGCTAACATGGTGAAACACCATCTCTACTAAAAATACAAAAAATTAGCCAGGCGTGGTGGTGGGCGCCTGTAGTCCCAGCTACTCCGGAGGCTGAGGCAGGAGAATGGCATGAACCCAGGAGGCGGAGCTTGCAGTGACCCAAGATCGCGCCACTGCACTCCAGCCTGGGCGACAGAGCGAGACTCTGTCTCAAAAACAAAAACAAAAAACAAAACAAAAACAACAACAACAACAAAAGATTTTAAAGGATTGTAATAAACTGATGTGGTAAAATAGTGCTTGGGACAAGCCAGGCATTCTTTTCTCACTGTTTAAACTGTATCATTTCAACTAGACCTAAATATTAATTCACTTTTATTAGCTTAATAACATTTTCCAGGCAGTTTTTAAATGAGTACTGGTTATTTTGCAAATAGGTCTCTTACAGACGTGAGACCAAAAGACATCCCCAAAAGAGCATGAAAGCAGCAAAATTGTATATTCTGTTTTTCATGTTCTTTCATAAGTGAGGATGATAAAGCTTTTAGAATAAAATACATGTATCTTCAACTTGTATACTAATTTAAATTATATGCTGTTTACATTCAGTTTATATCATATCAATGTTGTTTATACTAGATTTTAAGTTCTAGGGGGCAAAAAGTGTGGCTAATAAGTTACTGAATTATTTAATAAATTATTCTAGAAGATACATGAATATAGTGGGATTTCTCATGGATTTAGGGATAAGAATTAAAATAAAATAAATCTAAAACCCATGGCATGGCTTTGTCCTCCTAATGACCCTTCCTACAGCCTTGAGAGCATGTCACTGCTTTGACTCTCATTTTCCATATGAAAACTAAAGACAGCCGTGCATGTCACCCTCCAAACTACTAGTACTCACCAGTCTTTTAAGGACTTTACATCCTATTCCTTTCATACTATTTTTATAATTTGGAGACAAAAGCCCAGATCCTGCTGGATAATGAAACTATTTCCCAGAAAGTTATGTTAGTAGATGTGTTCTAAATTTCACCTAGTGACTTTATTTCACGCAGTAAGCAATAGAGGGGCTTTAAAAAAAATCACAACAGCTTATTAGGATAACCCACTAGAATATAGGGGTCTCTAAACTGATTTGAATCTTTAAGGCCATCTGAACTAACTGCACCTTTGAGCAAGCAGTATAACCTTTTTTAAAAAAGGGATGCTGTCTCTCCTCTTTCAACCCAATAACCTCCTCATATTCTTCAGAGGAGTGAAGCATGCATTCCATTAAAACTCCTTTCACCAAGACCTTGGTGCTAACCCAAGTAACAATTGGGTTTTCTATCTTGCTTTTCTTGGCCCTCTGGCAGCATTTACTCAGGCGCTAACTCTCGCCCTTCTGGAAACACTCCACTACCTTTGTCTCTGTTTCCCTATCTTTCCCATTGTTACTACAAGCTCTTGAGCCACTCTCTGTTTCCTTTGTACATGCCCTTCCTTTATATGCTGATAATAGTTAGGGCTTTCTTCTAGGCCTTCTTTTCTCTCACCCTAGATCAGAAGTTCTTTTTAATTTGTTTCATAAACATTTTTTGTTGGTATAATATGCTCAGTTGATAAAACTTCCAAAGATACAAAGGGTGTCAAGTGAAGAGTCTCCTTTGTATTCTGTTGACCCTCAGACACCCCATTTCTCTTTTTAAGGGAATCTCTGTTATGGATTTCTTGTGTATCCTTGCAGAGATATTTTATGTATACACACACATAGACACACACAAGATACTGTATAATACTACATACATACTGAGTCTTGCTTTTACTGTTTAATAATGTATCACGTAGATTGTTGCATATATGTATATATAGAGCTACATCTTTTGTGTGCATGTAGATGTAGAGTGTGTCTACATATGGATGTATTATAATTTATTTAACCAGCCCTCTTAGAGTTTAATGCAGGAAGTAGAAATTCACTTGCTTTCTGGTATGTAAATGAAAGGAATTAGGTGAGATGAAGTAATCGAAAGGGAAGAAAAAGTGGAAATAATGGGGTTGCCCCCGAATTACTGGTTTCAAAGTTATACAACCATAGCTGTCATCCAGAGATTCAGAAGTTGCTATCACCATGGCCACAAATGGCGTTGTCTCACCACCAAATGGCTGGTGAGTAGACCCTGGAAGATGGAAACCAACAGCCACATACATTCATACCTGTCTGACTTTGTATGCAGCCTGCATAATATCACAGAGATGGCCTTTGTCTTACTTTTAGTCTGGATGCTTTTCAACTTGGAGTCACTTTCTTGTTGTATAAGATAAACTCATGGCAGAACCTAAATAAAACAGAAAGAAGAGTGGAAAAGGATATCAAAGCCTGATTGAACAACACTGTCTAGCCATTTGGATTATTCACCATAAATATCTATCCTTCCACCTATCTTTAAATTGCAACAATATGGTCACACCTTATATTATATATTACCTTCTACAGTGAAAATATATTCATCCTCTCTCCATAAAGGGGAACCTATTCTATTAGTTGCAGAATCAAACTCTGAGTGATTTTAATTACTTTTTAAAATTAGTCACAATTGAAATTTTATGTCTTGTAACACAATGACTAAACTATAACTAAACACTATACTAATTTAGTATAAACTAAATTATACTTGTAACACCTTTATGTAAAATAAAGGTGAAGGAGAAAATGGAGAAATGAAATTTGGTTACTATATAAAGGTATATACACAAAATGGCAAGGAAACAATGTATGTAGCTACTATATTCCTTGATTTCACAACTACTCATGAGGTTTTTCTTGGTGAAATTTCTTTCTTCATTTAGCATTCTGTTTTTCCTTTGCCCTTGAATAGTATTTCAGCTGGATAGGGTTATTTATATGGTAGGACAATACAAACTAGTATGGTGTTGTTATCACTGTCATCAAACACAAACAGGTTAGATAACTAATTTTAGTTTTCCATCTTGGTGCCAAATACTGTTTTATTTAGGATTATGTGCAGTAAACACTCTAGGCATTTTAAGTAGAAAGAGTTTTAACACAGAAAATTAGGTGCTTGGAAACTCATTGGGAGCAATTTAGGGGATTGCCCATGGGCTAATGATTTAAAAGTCACATCATTCTCATGCTTTCTGGTATATTTTTGAAAAGACAAAAGTCATACCATAACTGCTGTGATTACAAAGTCAGAGAACTGTGACTGATGCTGTCACGACACTCCCACAGCTGAATCTCATGCTCATGAAGCTAGTGAGTACATGTTGGAATGTGGAGTCCAGCTGCTGCAAATGCTCATCTCTGCCTCATTTTCCTTTTCAGACTCCAAAGCATCAGGAAAATGTCTCATCACTACATTTCATGAAAATGCAGCTCATCGATGAAATCTAAATCATGTCACAAATCCTAGCTGCATCAGTCTGATAAATGTAGTTTTTAGTCTTCTAAAATATTGAAACCATTGTAGATATAGAGTAGGAACAAAGAAGGGAGAAGAAAGTGCTAGCACACTTATGATGACAGATATTGGCGTAGCTTGCTATCTTTTGTTTTTACACCCAATTTCATGAGAAATATCTTAGAACACACACCATTTCCCACATATGTGAGAATAAAAGTAGGAAAAATTCATAGAAATGGTATTGATGGTTGAAGAGAGACTTTTATTTAAAAATTTATTAAATATTTACAAATTACTAGAGCTTATAACACAGAGTGTGGTCTGTTCTGTGGACCAGCAGTACTGGCCTCACCTGGGAGTTTGTTAGAAATGCAAAATCTCGGGCCAGGTGTGGTGACTTATGCTTGTAATCCCAGCACTTTGGCAAGGGGAGGTGGGCAGATCGTTTGAGCCCAGGAGTTCGAGAACACCTTGGGCAACATGGCAAAAACCCATCTCTACAAGAAATATAAACCAGGTGTGGTGGCATGCACCTGTGGTTCCAGCTACGAGGGAGGATGAGGTGGGAGGATCACTTGAGCTCAGGAGGTCAAGGCTGCAGTGAACTGTGATCATGCTACTGCACTCCAAACTGGACAACACAGTGAGACTCTATCTCAAAAACAAATGCAAAATCTCAGGCCCCTCCCCCGACCAGCTGAACCAGAATTTGCATTTTAACAAGATTCCCAGGTAATCTGTGTGCACATTTCAGTTTGATGAACACTGGGCTAGAGGTGGTACATACTGCATTCCCAGTAGCAGCATATGTATGGAATTTTTCCTCTACTATCACTAAGACTGTGCTCAGTTGTCTTCATATTTTTCAAATTAATATTTGAAAATGGCATTTCTCTTGGCCAGGCATGGTGGCTCACGCCTGTAATCCCAGCATTTTGGGAGGCAGAGATGGATGGACCACATGAGGCAAGGAGTTCAATACCAGTCTGGCCAACATGGCGAAATCCTGTCTCTACTAAAAATACAAAAAAAAAAAAAAAAAAAAAAAAAAAAGCTTTGCATGGTGGTGTGCACCTGTAATCCCAGCTGCTGGGGTGGCTGAGGCATGAGAATCTTGAATCCCGGAGGCAGAGGTTGCAGTGAGTCATAATGGTGCCACTGCACTTCAGCCTGGGTGACACAGCAAGACCCTGTCTCAAAAAGGAAAAAAAGAAAAGAAAAAAAAAAAAGAAACTGGCATTTTATGAAATTGAGCATCTTTTCAAGATTCAAAAAAGTTTTTGTATCAATTTCTGTGAACTTGCTCTTCGCATTTATTCAGTTAGTCTGTTGGTCTTTTTCTTATCAATTTAAGAATGTTTTACTGTTAAGAAAGCCCTTCGGCTTTGGTATGAGTTGCAAAGTGTTTCTCATTTTGTTATTTCCCTTCTAATTTTGTTTATGATTTTATTTCCATGCAGAATACAAACACACACAGACACACACACATTCCTGTGTGGTTGAATTTTTTAATATTTCCTTTCATGTGTTAGAGATTTTTGTCTTATGCTTAGAAACGCCTCTATCACACACAAGATTTTTTAAACTCTTCCATGTTTTCTTTGATAATGATCCAATCCTTGAGCCATTGGAATGTATTTTGGTGAGAGCTATGAGGTAAGGATCCAACTGAATAGTTATCCTAGATAACTATACATCAAGAGTTCTTAACCTCGCATTCATGAATGCCTAGAGAATACTTAAGCCGCTAAAATTGCATGTGAAATTGTGTCTGAATTTGCATTTTTCTGAAGCAAAGATCATTAGGGTTCATTCAGTTTTCCTCAAAGATTAAGAACCATTGCTCTATGTAGTGTCCCATCATCCAATATGGCTTCAGTTGTTTTCCGTATCTTTATTACTCCCAAGTGTCCAGTCAGAGCCTTCTCTTGACCTCCCTACTTGGGCATACCAAAGTGGATGAGTCCAATGTAATCACAAGGACCCTTATAAGAGTGAGGCAAGAAAGTCAATAAACAAAGGAGATGGAATGACAGCAGCAGAAATTGGAGTGATGCACTTTGAAGATGGAAGAAGGAACCAGAGCAAAAAACTGCCTTGATTTTATCCCATTAAAACTCATATTAGACTTTTGAGCTCCAGAACTGCAAGAGAATAAACGTGTATTATTTTAAGCCACTAAACTTTTGGTAGTTTGCTATAGCAAATAAGAAACTAATACATGGTATAACATAGAGAAGGCAGCAACAGTCTAGCCTCAGGAATTTAATAAATTTACTGGTCTCATTATAACTGCTGGCATCATGAGTCAGCCCAATACAATATCCAAGCCCATCTCAGTGGAATATATTTCTATAAAGTTTTATAAAGTAAACAAATAGACACAATCTACTTACAGACAAGCCCACATCTATTACCTTACAACTGCATCTCATTGCAAGTGACCGGAGCATCATTGAAACTGGTGGAAGGAACCAGCATGCCATATTGGCCCTTGGGTCCCATCTAGCAATTTTACCATCTTCATCTTTTAGACATCAGCATCTTTTGACATACACCACCTTTCTGCAAACACTGAAAAAGTTCTAGCAGTGTGTTAGTTCTCAAATAAGGAAAAAAATGAAAGGAAATATTCTAAGACAAAAGGGAAAAGGGGCAGCTAGGCATGCCCAAGGGTAAGGAAACCTAAGGCATTAGAGAACCATAACCAAGTTTCACTTGGGCAGGGGGTGGGGAGATTAAGAAGGGAGAGAAACACTAGTCAAAGCAGGTTTGAATTTAGTCAACCATCTCCTGAAAGTGGGCACCTAGTATAGCTTAGCTCCATGTCATCTGACTATCATCCTTCTAAAGCCTACCCTAAAATAGCGTAGCTGTGACAATATGGTCAAACAACCCAACTGCAGCAAGGCAGAACTCTGCAACCAGGGTAAGCTTGTAACTCCGGCCTGTAGCTGCTCAGGGGAATCTGCAGAGGTGAAAATGACAGGCTCACTAAAGGCTATAGGAAAGGAGAATCTTTGAGGGAACAGTTGGTACTGGAGATAGTGCCCCTTGCCCCCAGTCCTCTGCTCTTTCATGCCAGAGAGGCGCTGTCATTCTCTAACCACAGTCAGGGAAAGCGTTTTGTAGAAGGTATTGATGGATAGATAAAATGAGCCAAGCCAAGTGTTTGGTGAGTTGCAAATACGAACAGACATTGTTAGAGGGATGCTGAACAGTTCAGAATAACTGAGAACAGTCATTACCTCTGTGGAGAAGCCTCAGAGTGGGTACAGGAGGCAAGAATATCAAAGATGAATTAATGAAGCTGTATGGGTGACTATCTTACAAATGAGAATGCATTCATGTAGTCATCATGTAATTAAACATAAATTTGCAAAGAAAGCACTTGTACTTTAGAAACTGAATGTTAATGAGCTAAAGGCCAAGAAACAGAACTCTAGCATTCATGAATCAAACAAAAGAAAGCAAATGTCTTTACATAGACTTTCATAATCAGCCTGAATGTGGATTAGCAAGGAAAAGAGAACCATATGACATCCAGGTAATGAAAGAAGAGAATCTGGAGCTGAATGAAGGCATATGGTGAATTTCTAGGGGAAGAAATTGTGTTAGTCATCTATGTTCCTCTGGTCTAGTGCAGTGCTGTTTCCTTGTAGCTGTACATGTCCCCAGGTGTCTGTTGACTGCCTGACTAAAGGGGCAGATGGCACAATCCCATCCACATTTAGCTACATTCTCACACATTCCTGATGGAAAGGGCTGTGTAAACACTACTTGGCCTTTTATAGTCGTCGTGAACCCTGTATGCCTACTACTATTTGGACATAGTTTACCCATTCACTTCCTAGACCAGACTCAGGATTCTCAATAAATCTTGTTTCTTTCATAAAAACCCACCTTCCAAGAATCACATTCAGTGATCCTGCCCCCAACCCCAGTGAAAGCATATGGGGAATCTAAAAAACAATGATTACAAGTAAGGCTTAGCCAAATAACTCAGAGGATCAATCAATACAGAAAAATGAGAAAGCATTTTGTACATGGTAACACTCTAAGCAAATGTGATCAGTAATTACAATCGTTCAGTCTCCTGTGGTTTGTCAGTGCCCTTTGCGGCTGGGTCTGAGTTGCTGAACTGCTCCTGGTAGGGCCAGTCTTTGTAACTGGCTCAGTTGTTCCCCACAGTCCTCCATTTCTGGTGTCCTTAAGCAGGTCTTGCTCCTTTCTCTTTGGTGGTGTCGATGGACACAAACTGGTCCATTATCTTTTTTATAGGATGCCTTTCCTCACCAATGTTGCCAATATACAAGAAGGTAGGGGAACTGAGGTCCCAAACAGCATATTGTGATCCTAAGTTTATTTAAATGGATGGAATTGAAAAATGACAAAATGCCCAATGAGTAAAAATTCTACCATTAATTTTATTTTTGCGAAGAATTAAAGTGCCCTATCAAAATGCACAGTTACTTGAGAATTATAAATAAATCATAGTCACTGATCAACCATTAGCTGGAATTGGCTCGTCACATTTTCTGTGCAGTTACTTAGCATGGCATTGAGACAGTGAGGTAATAAATACATAAGCATTGATAGTGAGAAGTAGAAAAGGAGTGTCCAGAACAAGAATGGCAAATCCATGGCATACATGCTTTGCTCGTTCACTTCCTACACCCATGGCAAACATCAGACTTTTACCAGCCTCTCCAGACAGAGCCTCAGAATCCTGTTCAACACAATGCTCTAGGAAACCACTGTGAATTGAACTTTGTGTTGGCAAAGGAGGTAAAAAACTTTTGGTCTTTTCTGGCCTAAAATATAAGATAGAATGTTAGAGAGTACCATAGGAGGATATAAGAGTACCATAGTAGAGGAAGGCAGGCAGGGGCATCAGGAAGAGGCTAAGCTGCTGGGGAACGTGGTGTTACAAAGGGACACAGTATAGTGACACAACTGGGTCATTATCTTTCCATATTCACGGAGTTGAACAGCAGTACTTCTCAAAATTTAGTGCACATAGGAATCATCTGGGGTTCTTGTTGAAGTGCCGATTCTGATTTAGTAGATCTTAGGTGGGGGTCAGGACTCTGCAATTCTAACAAGCACATAGATGCTGTTCAAGTTGCTGGTCCAAAGATTATATCTCGAGTAGTGAGGATGGAGTTGCTTAATGTGGATTAAAACTCATGTCTTGGGCACAGGACCCTGGGTACTTTCCCTATGCTGTAGAGGAGGGAAACTGGAGTCGAAGTCAGAACTCCCAAGTTCAAATTGGAGTCTGCCACTTATCTTGTGACCAAAGTCTTCAAGACCCATTTCTTTTATCTGTAAAATGGGAACAAAACATATACCTTATGTGATGCTGATGAAGATCAAATAGATATTTTAAAGGACTCAATAAATATTAATTAACTCTGAATAAGCCACAGTCAGTGAAGACACAGAAGCTCTGGCTACACACTCCCAAATAATCCAGAAGAAAAATTTTATCAGCCTTCCAGGTGGCTGTCAACATGAAGCCAAACATACAAATATTTGGAATGCATGCAAAACATATTCAACAAGCACCTTTCTCCCTTTCCGATGGGTGTTTTGGCCTCAAGAAGACAAAGAGTGAGGGGCTTTATGTAGAAAGATGCTCTCTATCTAACTTCACTGTCTTCTTTGTATACTTTGGAGCTGCTTACAGATGCATTGGAAAATGATAATTCATACAACATGGATAATCTCAATTTTCAGAAAGCCTTTGATACTGTTCCATACAATGGGCTGCTTAAACCCAAGACAGCAGGGATTCTTGATGGAAGCCTGAGAAAAAGGAGAAATTGGCTAGAGAACAAAACAAAAAGTTGAGACTGAAACAGAATGGAAAATAGAAGATGAGGTTACTTTCAAAGAGCAGGGGAGGAAGTCTAGATGTTGCAATTGCGACTGTCACATAGGTTGGTATACAGGGTGAGCAATGAGAGAAACAGTGATTACAGCTGTGGCTCAACCATGCATGAGCATCAAGCTTGACAGTGACATGCACTTTATAGGACAATATCTTAACATTATAAGGGCTACATATTAATTAGGCTAGACAGACTGTTAAGGCACTTGAAATGATGTGAAAACAGGTCCCACTTAAGAATCAAAATATCCAGCTACAGCATGACACTTTTAGTAGAAATTTTATATTTTTCATTAATTATACTCATTGTAACCCTGGGAAAATAAGAGATCCACATTCTTCTAAATCAGTGGTTCTCAACTGATGGTTGTTTTGTGCCCCTGTCCCCAGGACATTTGGCAATATCTGGAGACATTTTTGGTTGTCACAGTGGAGCTGGGGATGCTCCTGGCATCTAGTAGGGAATGCTCAACATTCTACAGTACACAGGACAATCCTCCACACACGAGAGTCATCCAGCCCCAAGTGTCATCAGTGCCAAGATTAAGAAACCCTAGTTTAAACTATTGTACCCTAATGTGTGCACAGGAGAGGCAAATTCATAAGGTAAGAATTTTGTACAAAAAACATTTTAAAAATAGCTGCCATTTGTGGAATAAAGTATTCATTTTCACCAAACTATAATATGCTGTTCTAAAACTAGAAACAGGAGCAAGGAGGAGGGGCTGAAGAGAACAGAGAAATCTGTGGAGAAAAAGAGATACAGGAGAGAACAGAAAACAAAAACATCTAACCTCTGCCGGGACTTCCATGCTCTGTACAACCCACTTTCTTTGTGAGTCTTCTGCCCAATTCACTTCAAATGATTGGTCTGGAGTTTGCTTCAGATGGTACACAGATGTTTGAATCTACTCATGCCAGCTAGTCTTCCAGACATCATTTTGTTTTAGAGAAAAAAGCAGGTCTAATGAGAGAATATGGAAAGTAGTTAGAAAAAAGAATTTTACAACTTTTAAAAAATGTATGAAGTTGCTTCGATTTCTGACTCATAAATTATAGAAGAAGGTAATTCCTCTAATTGGTACATTAAAAATCAAAACAGTCCAGATTTCCATAACCGCTTTCTCTTACTAGGCGAAGATGCAGCCCTGATGGAGGGGACGAAACGGTTTCAGTGGACCTGCAGAGGAACCCACACCCTGCTAGTAACTCTACCTCTTGTGATGTCACAGTTATAGTCACTACCTTCAGAAATTTTGTCTTCTATTATGGTATGAGTATTCTCTGCAAGTTTCCTCAAGTAACTTATTCAGTTAACTCTTTTAAATAGATCATGTGGACGATGAACCAGAATAGAACGCAGCTAGGGGGTTCAGAAGTGGGAACAAAGAAATCTCTCTGAAAACGCTTCCTTAATTTACATTTTCTTCAAAAGTCAAAACTATTTGTAGGAAGGCAGGGCCCTGAATCATTCAAAATTTCCTCTAATTTAATTCAATGGAAAAGAAAACACAGCTGTGACATGTTCTTGGCTATCAATGGCATTGATTGACCTTTGGCTGAGTCCATTTAGGAGATGGTAACATACATCCCAGGAACCTAACCTGGTATCCTAAAATGAAAGGGTTCCTCAGGACAAGGTTGAATTATAAATGATTACATGATTGGACATCAGCACCCTGCAAAACAGCCAGAGCTGAGGACCACAGAAGCAATGGGAATAGAACTCTACCGTCAAGCCTATTTATCCACAAAGATACACAGATGGTATTGCCTTGAGTTTCAACACCATTGTCATCATTTTTGGTTGGATTCCTTACCATCATTAATTGATAGAACTCCGTGGATTAATTGATTTTTTTCTTTTTAAATTAGGTTTAATTTTTAAAATTAAAAAAATTGTATATATTTTTGTGTACCACATGTTTTGAAGTAGGTATACTTTGTGAAATGGCTCAATAGGGCTAATTCACATATGTATTGCCTCACATACTTATCAGTGAGAACACTGAAAATCTACTCTTCTAATGATTTTCAAAATACAGTATGTTCTTTTTAACCATAGTCACCATGCTGTACCATAGATCTCTTGAACTTATTCCTCCTATCTAACTGAAATTTTTTATCCTTTGACCAACAACTTCCCAACCCTCCATCTCCCCAGCCCCTGGTAACTACCATTTTACTCTCTACTTTTATGAGTTCAACTTTTTTAGATTCCACATATGAATGAGATCAGACAGTATTTGTTTTTCTGTGCCTGGCTTATTTCACTTAACATAATGTCCTCCAGATTTATCTATGTTGTTTTGAATAACAGGATTTCTCCTCTTTTTTAAGGCTAAATAGTTTTCCATCCTGCATTTGAACCACATTTTCTTTCTCATTTTTTTTGTTTGTTTGTTTTTGTTTTTTGAGACAGAGTCACTCTGTTGCCCAGGCTTGAGTGCAGTAGTGCAATCTGGACTCACTGCAACCTCTGCCTCCTGGGTTCAAGCAATCCTCCTGCCTCAGCCTCCCAAGTAGCTGGGACTACAGGTGCACACCACCACGCCCGGCTAATTTTTGTATTTTTGTAGAAATGGGGTTTCACTCTGTTGGCCAGGCTGACCTCAAGTGACCTCAGAGGCTGCTTCAGCCTCCCAAAGTGCTGGGATTACACGTGTGAGCCACCATGCCTGGCCTGGACCATATTTTCTTTATCAATTCATCCAATGATGGAAACTTAGGTTGGTTCCATATAAGCTACTGTGAATAATACTGAAATAAATATGGGAGTGCAGATATCTCTTGGATATAGTAATTTTGTTTCCTTTGGATGTATACCCCAAAGTGGGATTGTTGGATCATGTGGTAGTTCTATTTTTAATTTTTAAAGGAACTTTCATACTATTTTCTGTAATAACTATGCCAATTACATTACCACCAACAGTGTGCAAGGGTTCCCTTTAAAGTTTCCATATCCTTTCCAACTTTATATCATTTTTTTTGTTAGTAGTCATTCTAACATGTGAAGTGATATCCCACTGTGGTTTTAATTTATGCAATGATTAGTGATGTTAAGCATTTTTTCATACACCTGTTGGTCATTTGTATGTCTTCTTTTGAGAAATGTCTATTCAGGTCCTTTGTCCATGTTTTAATCAGGTTATTTGTTTTCTTGCTGTTGAATTGTGTTGAGTTCCTTACCTTTTTTTTATATTAACCCCTTATCAGATGTATAGTTTGCAAATATTTTCTCCCATTCTGTAGATTGTCTTTTCATTCTGTTGATTGTTTCCTTTGTTGTAGAGAAGTTTTTTAGTTTGACGAAAAGTTTGCTTTTTGCTTTGGTTTGTGATACGTGTATGTACACATAAATATACACATATGCATACACACTGACATAACCTTAACAGCTGAATTTGAGCATTGTTTTCATTCCCTTGTACATATTTTGTTTTACAGTTTGTTATGGTGTTAGTGAATTTAAAGGTCCATATTTGACATGTCAGGGCCAGGTATACTTCTCTTTACTCTTTACCTATGGATCCTAGCTCATCATTGAAAAAAATCATATATTTAGTCACAAGGAGGAAGGAGCAAGAAGACAATGATGAATCAGTACCACCAGTTATCCTCCAATGAGCCCTTGGTGAAAGGGGTCAGTGAAAGCATCTCTGTACATAAACAGGAGCATCTTAAATATCTTTAATATACCAAAAATAGTTCTCAAAGGAAATATATGCTTAGCACAAGTTTATACCATCCACTGAGCAGCTAAGAATCTATTTAGGTGCTCATTTGTTTTTCAAATATTTCATGTAGTTCATTCAATATGATAGAAGTGAGTAATTGTGGTGCTTTAAGCATAAAGATGGTCCCTCACTGGTGCTCCAAACATTAGTGGTCTGTTCAGAAATTCATTTTGCATATGCACAAACTTTGGGGCCATTTTCAATCACTGTTAAGACTCAATTTTTCCCCATTTACTTCAGAATGATTAAGGGGGTAATGAGTAGTATTGATGACATGGAAACTTCACAAATTGAATCCACTCAGTTTGCATATGTTGATTATCATATTACATTTTAGCCATACCTCATCATCACCATAAAACATAATTTAAATTTTAGGATATGGAGACAGAAGTTAACTTTCTACATATAAGGGACTGACTCATGACTTAGCATCGACCAGCCAAAATACATGTAGAATACATAGAGAAAACACACGAAAATAAAGAAGAATTACTGATTTCAAGCAGCTTAAAAAGAAATATTAAATATTTATCTTATACATTGTTCTTTACCCACAATAGGCATTTTAAAAATATGCTGTTGGCACTATCCCTTATAAATTCTTTTGAAGTTTCTGTGCATGTTCTATGAAGAAAAAATAACAGGTATCTACACCTGTATCATCCTGTATGTCATGTGATCTTAGAGAAAATCAAATTGAGTCCAAATTACCAAGCACCTACCATGTGTGAAGTTCTGACCTTGGAGGGGACACAAGGCTTCTAAGGAATAGTCTTTTCCCTCAAAGAAACTACATTCATAATGGTGGGGAGAGGACATAAACTTGAAAAAGTTAAATGGCAATAAAATGTTTTACTTATATCCCAGGACATCGATAGAAGACATGTCATCAGCGACAAGTACAGCCAATACTTCCATGCTAGACAGAATAATCGCCCCCCAAAATGTCCACATCCTAGTCACCAGAAACTCTTAATATGTTACCCTACATATAAAAGGGAGTTTGAAAGCATGATTAATTTAAGGATCATGAAATGAGGGGGTTATCCTGGATTATCTTGGTACCAAGGCCCAGTGTAATCATAAAGGTTTTAATAAAATGGAAGCAGGACAGTCTGAGGCAAAGGAGATGTAAGGATGAAAGCAGATTAGAGGAAGGCGGGGCCATGAAACAAGGAACTCAGGCAGCCTCTAGAATCTGGAAGGGGCAAGAAAACAAGTCATCCTCTAGAGCCTCCAGAAGGAACAAAGTCCTGCTGACCTATTTTGGACTTCCAACCTCTGAAACTAAAATAATAAATTTGTGTTGTGTTAAGCCACTGAGTTTGTGGTAATTTGTTACAGCTGCCAAAGGAAGCAAGTACACTTGCTATTATAATCTACTTCATTTCAGTGGGCCCCAAAGTCCACAGCTGTCAAAGGGGAGTCATGAGACTAAATCAATATTCCAACATCCCAAATTATACACTTGACTCATGCAACAGCTAAATACACTGTCTTTGGAGACGAGGGTAGGAGAGGAAAAGCAGCAGAAGTGCAAAGGAGAGGAGACGGAAGGTGCTGGAGAGTTTGTCTCTCTGGGCCTATACTGGTTGATTTGCAAAGCACAGAGCAAAGACAGTATGTTTTCCAGGTCTCACCCTCCTGTATAGGGTGAAGTATAAAAGAAACCAGACCAATACTGCCCAAAGCAATCTACATATTCAGTGCTATCCCTATCAAACTACCAATGTCATTTTTCACAGAATTAGAAAAAAGTATTCTAAAATTCATATGGAACCAAAAAAAGAGCCTGAATAGCCAAAACAATCCTAAGCAAAAAGAACAAAGCTGGAGGCATCACATTACCCGACTTCAAGCCATACTACAAGGCTACAGTAACCAAAACAGCCTGGTACTGGTACAAAAACAGACACATAGACCAATGGAACAGAATAGAGAACCCAGAAATAAAGTCACATACCTACAACCATCTGATCTTCAGCAAACTTGACAAAAATAGGCAATGGGGAAAGGACTCCATATTCCATAAATGATGCTGGGATAGCTAACTAACAATATGTGAAAGAATAAAACTGGACCCATACCTTTCTCCATATACAAAAATTAAGTCAAGATGGGTTACAGATTTAAATGTAAGACCTCAAACTATAAGAATCCTAGAAGAAAACCTGGGAAATACCATTCTGGACATCCACCTTGGGAAATAATTTGTAACTGAATCCTCAGAAGCAATTTCAACAAAAACAAAAATTAACAAGTGGGATCTAATTAAAATAAAGAGCTTCTGCACAGGAAAAGAAACTGTCAACAGGGTAACCAGACAACCTACAGAATGGGAGAAAATATTTGGTTAACTATGCATCCGACAAAGATCTAATATTCAGAATCTATAAGGAACTTAAATAATTCAATAGGCAGAAAACAAATAACCCCTCTAAAAGGTGGGCAACAGACATGAACAGACACTTCTCAAAAGAAGACATGCAAGCGGCCAATAAACATACAAAAAATGCTCAACGTCACTAATCATCAGGAAAATGCAAATGAAAACCACAGTGGGATACCACCTCACACCAGTCAGAATGGCTATTATTAAAAAGTCAAAAAACAACAGATGCTGGTGAGATTGTAGAGAAAAGAGAGCATTTATACACTGTTGGTGGGAATGTAAATTAGTTCAGCCACTGTGGAAAGCAGTCAGGAGATTTCTCAAAGAACTTAAAGCAGAACTACCATTTGACCCAGCAATCCCATTACTAGGTATCTACCCAAAAGAAAACAAATGGTTCTACTCGAAGACACATGCCCTCACATATTCACCACAGCACTATTCACAATAGCAAACACATGGAATCAACCTAGATGCCCATCAACAATGGACTGGATAAAGAAAATGTGGTACATATGCACCATGGAATACTACATAGCCATAAAAAGGAATGAAATCATGTCCTTTGCAGCAACATGGATACAGCTGGAGGCCATCATCCTAAGTGAATTAACACAGGAACAGAAAACCAAATACTGCATGTTCTCACTTACAAGTGGAAGCTGAACATTGGGTACTCATGGACATAAAGATGGCAACAAACACTGAGAACTACTAGAGGGGGAATGGAGGGAGGGTGTCATGTGTTGAAAAACTACCTATTGGGTGCTATGCTCAGTACCTGGTTGACAGGATCATTCATACCCTAAACCTCAGCATCATCCAATATACCAATGTAATAAACCTGCACATGTACTCTCTGTCTCTAAAATAAGAAGTTGTATTTTTTTTTTTTTTTATAAAAAAAAGACCAGGCCAAGGAGAATTGCAGCTCAGGGCTACCAAAGCCATTAATTACTAGTTCGATCCTCAATGATAAACAAAGGATTTTACTGGTTTCAATTTTACCCAAACTCATGTCCCCATTATCAGCTAATATTAAGATATTATGGCATAGAGACTGTGGGTGGGATGTAGGCAGTCAGGGAAGACAGGATCAAAGTAGAGATGCTAATCCAGGAACAACCGCACAGTAAGAGCAGCCAATTTCTCCCTGTGAGTCAAGTGCTTTTCCTGCTGAAATCCGCAAGGACAAGATAGATTGTCATTATCCCAGGCTCCATAAAAACAAAACATAAGAAAGTCACTTAAGAGTGAGAAACCACTTGGTGTTCAAAGAAATTTAATTTGTTTTTATTGCTCTTTATTTTTATTTTTAATTGCTCTCCCAGGAATGGCTAAATGACATGGACTTTTCATTTCTTAAAGATCTCAGGGGGCTCTAACTTCAAGACAAGATGATAAAAAAAACCTCTATGTATATATGAAAGGCCAGATACCGAAGTAGCAATGGAGGATCCAAATATAGCCTGATGACTACAATAGGATACCTCAAATATCACTTGATACAGTGACAGTTCTCACTAGGGAAACTGGTCATGATGGGAACTTAGTGCGAGATGGCAGGGAACATACAAAGAAAACAAATCAAACCCAAAAGATAGAAAGAGAGAGGAGTTAAGACAAATAAAAATGATTTATTCAAGACCATTGTGTGAGAGAGGAACACTTTAAGAATTGGAGAGGTTCTGAGGTATCATCTTTAGTGCCAAGATCAGCGCTGCACTCTGAGGTCTCTTATGTGCCTCTCAGTTACAGTAATTATAGTGGCTAACAAGAGTCAGTCCCTGTGCTAAGTCTTTCCTGCATTTGTTGTCACAATCTCCTTGTGTAAGGTTGGTTGACAGATGAAAAAACCAACTCTTCAGTTATTTACTCGGGGTCCCAGGTTTTAAGTGACGTAATCATGATCAAACCAAAATCTCTTTGATTCCAAAGTCCACGTTTTCATGCACTCTACAATACTAAAATCGAGTTTACACATGCCTAGAAGAAAATGTCCTGGACATATTTTGGGCTTTAGCCTTTGGATTATTACCTCTCTCCATCCCTTTAGCTGTAATTCCTACTAATTGTATGTTGGAGTTTACCGTTTATCTGTCTTGTTTTTTAACTTCTCTTTAGCAACTTCCACGTCTTTTGCCTTCTGCACTATAGTTTGGCCTGTTCTTTAGAGCCTTCTCTAAATTCATAGTTCTCTGCTGAGCTGTGTTTACCCTACTGTTTAATTCATTTATTGACTCCTTCCTTTTAATGGTCAAATCAGACTCTATTATCTATAGTTCCTTGTTATTGCTCATGGTATTTGATTTCCTCAAATGCTTTGTAAATTTTGTCTGCAACCCTATATTTAGAACAAACTGTATTCTATAGGGCTCCTTTACTCAGCCTATTAGCTTTTGTGGTCATTTGCCAAGGCTCTACAGGCTTCAAAGTTTCTAGACCAGAAGGTACACTAGTCCCACAGCCCCACACTTCTCGAGTATATGGAAATGCAAACAGGAGATACTCAGCACAAATACCCACTATGTATCCTTCACAATATTCCTGAAGGAAAGCGGTTTATATAGGCTAGGCCAGGTGTCTGCACACTATGGACTGCGAAACATCTCCCACCTGCTGCCTGTTTTTGCAAGGCCTGCAAAGATGAGAATGGTTTTTGAATTTTTAAATGAGTGAAAAATACAAATAATGTTTTGTGACATGTGAAAAAGATGCAAAATTTAAATTTCAGTGTTAATAAATATTTATAGGGACACACCATGCCCATTTGTGTACATATTGTCTGTGGCTACCCTTATCCTACAAAAGCAGAGTCAAGCAACTGCAACAGAGACCATATGGCCCACAAAGCCTAAAATATTTACTATCTGGCCCTTTGCAGAAAGCGCTTGCTGGGCTAGGTCATCTAATTGAAATCGTCTCTGTTTGAAAGTGAAAGTACAGTCCACAGCTGTGTGTCAAAGTGTTCTGCCTATATGAAGAAAAACTTAGAGCGTATAAAATAAAAAAGAAAGACTGTGATTGCCAATCCCTTAAGACACCAAGGAAACTTTTTTTTAATTTCCCCAGTTTTACACTTGCCCATAATTTCTTCAGTGAAACATGCCATTCTCTACTGTGGCCACCAGATGGAGACTCCAATAACGGCCTAATGGTACATCAAAATTTACTTACCAAGATACCCTACGCATAATTTTAAAACAACACTTTGAGAACAGTGTGAATAGAGAGATCAACTAAATCATGTCAAACTAATAATAGGCTTGGTAAGGAAACAGTCTGGAGCCCAATAGCTTTTGGGGAGGTGGGAGCACCCCTGGAGTTAGTCTATGCTTGATCTTATCAATGGTCTCAAACTGTAATGTACAAAGAATCACCTAGAATACTTGCTAAAAAGGCAGACTCTCAAGCCACGCTGTTAGACAGTCTGAGTCAGCAAAAATGAACATGCATTTTTTTTAAAAGCAACCCTACATTTGATTCTGATGTAGGTGATCTAATGACCGCAGATATAAAGGTACTGATTTCAGGAGATTTCTTCTCTGTAGGCCTGAATAAACAGGTGGCTGATTGTGCAAATTACAAGATCCAATGAGTGCAAGGGCATTTGGCACCACTGCTTGGGCAGGGGTTCAAACTTGTGGTCAGGGGTGGAGAAAGCTCTCTCTCCAATTTCAGCACCCAGGGAGAAAGTCAGAAAGGATTGTCAAGGCCCCATTCAAATGGAATGGCCCTCAGGCAGAGCTCCTAATGGGGTGCTATGACTAGAACATAACTTGAGGAGATGCTGGAGGGACTGAGGACCTCCGTGTGAAGAGGTCCAAGTGTAGAGGCAGCAAGAGCCATGCTAGACCCACCTGATGCCAGACTTAGGTCCGCTTAGGTGAGGTGGGCGAGGCTGACCTGGTAGCCTGAATGTTGAAGTTTCTGTAGCTCTTTAAGAAGAGGAAGTCAGGGAAGACATGTCCTAGTGGTCTTTTTTCTTTTATGATCTTCTTGTGGAGCCCTTGTCTTAATTCACTGATTTAAAGCATTACATCATCTGGCAGTCACACCTGTAGTCCCAGCACTTTGGGAGGCCGAGGGGGGCAGATCTCTTGTGCCCAGGGGTTCGAGACCAGGCTGGGCAACATGGCAAATTCCCATCTCTACAAAAATAAAAAAATAAATAAGTAAATAATAAAGCAGTACATCCATTCTGAAAACTAACCTCTCTTTATAAAGTGAAGGGTAAGTGCAAAAACTTCTATATCTCACACATACTGATTCTCTTAAGTGCCTTCTCCTTTCTTTTCCAAGCGTAATCTTCAAAGCAGCTTCCACAACATGGACAAACCCTATAACAGCCTGGTCTGAGGCATTTTTAGGTGATTTTTGTTTGCAGGACCCTAGATTTTCTATCTTAGAACCACTATGACGAACTTATACATGTGCTCAATAAGTGGTTGCTCAATAAGTGATTCTTTCATTAAATGAAAGAATCAAATGAAGAATAAAATTTTCTCTTAAAAGGAACAAAATCCAATTTTTGATGGCTCCATGCACTTTCTGCATCATTTCCTTCAGCAGCATAGAGAATGGAGAAGTGTACAAAACCTCACTTGGTTAAAAACTCCTATGTCTTTATTTCCAGTCTTGTCCTCTCTTTAAGTCTTCAGTTGCCTGCTAGATGTTTCTACATACATGCCAAAGACTACAGCAGAACTAAGCTCACCATCGTCTTCCAACATCTCCTAGAATCATCACCATTTTTCTAGTCAAGCATGCACAAAAACTTGGGGTCCTCTTTACTTGTCTGCTTTTTCTCATCCACTATCTTGCTGGCTTTGTGCTGTATTAACTTAACTCAGCTAAGCCTAGGTTTCACAGCATCCCCTTTGCCATTTGATTCCAGGCAATATTGGCCACCCAGGACATTTTGTGTGCAACTTGGAAATTGGAATTGAAGCAGAAGTCATATATTGTACACTCTGAAGGTTTGAGCAGGGCTTCTGCACATTGTCACTGATCTGCTGACATGAGATCTGCTGACATGAGGCCAGCACCTGCACCACAGCTCCGCCAGCTCCTTCTGATGTCCCCCTCAGCTTCCCCAAGGCCTGGGCCAGGTGTGCAGACAGCTGGCTCTGTTGCGATGGGCATCAGTGTCATGAACGGTGTCAAGCTTTCCTTTCAGATTCCTCATCTTTGTAAATTGCTTCACCAACTCCCACAATTGCATCAGCCTTATCCACTATAAATGCATCCGTTATCCATTCCTCTCTCTTTGTCTACTTCTGCTGCCATAGCAAGATACCTCAAATTGGGTAGCTTAAACAACAGAAATTTATTTCTCACAGTTCTGGAGGCTGGAAATCCAAGATCAGGGTGCCAGCAGGGTCAGGTTCTGGTGAGGGCCCTCTTCCTGGCTTTCGGACAGCCACCTTCTCACTGTGTCCACACGTGGTAGAGGGCAGAGAGTGCAAGTTCTCTGGTGCCCCTTCTTATAAGGACAATCATCCTATCATGAGGCGCACACCCTCATGACCTCATTTAAACCTACTCACCTCCCAAAGATCCCACATCCAAATACCATCGCATTGGGGGTTGGGGCTTCAACATACGAATTTGGGGGGTAACAATTCAATCCATCGCACTCTCCTAGCAGTTTTCTTTCCCTCATTGAACCCTGATGGTTACAGCTCTTGTCATTACTCAGGAAGTCCTACAAGATGTTGCAATTTTGTCTACCTGCTTCTTCTTCTTTTTTTTTTTTTTTTTTTGAGATGGAGTCTTGCTCTGTCGCCTAGGCTGGAGTGCAGTGGCGCGATCTCGGCTCACTGCAAGCTCCACCTCCTGGGTTCATGCCATTCTCCTGCCTCAGCCTCCCGAGTAGCTGGGACTACAGGTGCCTGCCACCACGCCTGGCTAAATTTTTTTGTATTTTTAGTAGAGACGGGGTTTCACCGTGTTAGCCAGGATGGTCTCGATCTCCTGACCTCGTGATCTGCCCGCCTCGGCCTCCCAAAGTACCTGCTTCTTGTTTCAACTGCCTTTGCCACCACTCCAGTTCAGAGCCTCTCCCCTGGATGTGGATCTCTGCAGGAGCTTTTTGGATCAGCCACTACCCCTAGTTTCAGGGGCCACTAATCCATCTCGCTCCTGCTGAATCATTCTGGTCTCAAAAACCTCAGTGTCTCTCTGTCTCACCAAATTCAGTTCAAATGTCTTTGTTTTTCAAGGAATTTCTTTTTTTTAAACCTATACCTTCTTATTTATTTGTTAATACACACATGTGGCAAGTTCCTTGGAATCTCTGTGCCTCAGTTTCCTTAGGCATAAAATGGGACATATTAATGGTGTCCACCCCAGAGGGTTGTTGTGAGTGTTAAATGAGTTAACTTATGTGAAGCATCTAGAAGACTGTCTGTCTGCCTCTTAAAAAGTCCTCTGTAAGAGTTAGCTATTAGTATGAGCCATTATTATTCCCATGGCATAGCCTCTGAACTAGACCATGGATGCTCCAGGCTCTGCTTTCGTGTCTTTTTTGTTTGTTTGTTTGAAACAGGGTCTCACTCTATCCCCCAGGCTGGACTGCAGTGGCATGATGTCAGCTTACTGCGCCTCCCGGTTTCGAGTAATTCTCCTGCCTCAGCCTTCCAAGTAGCTGGGACTACAGGCACGTGCCACCATGCCCAGCTAATTTTTGTATTTTTAGCAGAGATGAGGTTTTGCAACGTTAGCCAGGCTGGTCTGGAACTCCTGACCTCAGGTGATCCACCCAACTCGGCCTCCCAAAATCCTCCCTGGGATTACAGATGTGAGCCACCACACCCGGCCTTTGTGTCTATGCTCATGTTGAGCAACCATGCCACCTCAAAAGATAAAATGACATCTATCAAGAATAAGCAATTAAGATAGAGGAAAGACTACTAGAACATACGTTGGGTCTGTGCTGGACTTGTCAGACATACTAACCTGGAAAGTGCAAAGTTCCCTCCTATTGGGCCACACCCCATCCACAGTGCCTTGAAGGAGAATCTGTGACAGCCTGTTCTTAGCATGAGGTAGCCACCTGGGTGGGGGTAGGGTGGCCCAAGAACAAAGAGTGGAGTTTCCATAGCTTGGGGAGACCCCTGAGGTGGCCTGGTGTAAAGGCTTTGCCCAATGCGGTGGTGGAAACTCACTAGGCTGGTGAGACTAGCTCCCAGTGGAATCTGGATAGAAGAATACAGTGTGCATTAGCCAGTCAGAACATGGGGAATCATGGAACACACGGAAGGAAGCAGAGATGTCCATGAGGGAGATGTCAGAGGAGCCATGGAAGACGAGAGGGAAGTGTCCTAAAAGCAGCCTGGGGGCCTAGACAGAAGAACATTTCTGCCCCAATATTGTTTATTGCTTCTTATAATAACTCCTCCTTTTCCAAAGGCCTTCTTAGAACCCCAAGAGGCTAAATCCAGAGGGCCATTTTTGAGGAGTTCAAGAAACAGAGGATGGAGAAAGACACATACACTGAGAGGTAACTGTCTCTCTGAGAGAGTTTGAATGAGGCTGATGGAGTCATGACTAAAGGGCTGTATTTGTCCAACCAGCCCCACTCCCCATTGCCCCACCATCAGCCAGGCTTCCTTTGGCAAATATAAAGTAGAGATATGTAAGAGTCAAAGGTAGGCAGGACACAGGGCCTGGGAAGTGTTGGTGTGACGGTTTTGTCCTCCATGTTGGTACTGGATTGCTGTATTGGTTTCTAAGCGCAGCTGTAACAAGACACTACAGACTGGGTGGCTTTAAAGCAACAGATATTTATTGTCTCACAGTTTTAGAGGCCAGAAGTCTGAGATGAAGGTGTTGGCAGGGCCATGCTCCTTCCGAAGCACCTAGGGGAGACCCCTTCCTTGACTCTTTCAGCCTCTGGTGTTGCTGGCAGTCCTTGGCATTCCTTGGCTTGTAGGGCATCACTCCAATCTCTGCCTCTGTCATCACATGGCTCTCTTCTCACTGTGTCTCTCCCTTTTTTATAGGGACATCAGTCATATTGGATTAAGAGCCCTTCCTACTCCAGTCGACTTCATCTTAACTAGTGACATCTGCAACCACCCTGTTTCCAAATAAGGTCACATTCTGAGGTACTGCAGCTTAGCAATTCAACATATTTTGTTGCGGGACAAAATCCAATCCATAACAATGGCTAAGTTTCTTTTTTTCAAATTATTTTGAGTTATAAAGGTTCATTCATGATGGCAAGATGCAGGATGCCATCTGTCCACTGATAATTGTCTGCCCTTTCGATCATGTGCTGTGGTCATGGTGAGGCAGCTGCCCCACCCAGCATTACCTTTTCCAGCTGCCTTTGCTTCCAGTTGTAACCACATGACTAGTTCTCACCACTGATGTGTGGATAGAGTTGAGGTTTGTCAGTTCAGTTTAAGTCTTCAAAGACACTGGTACCTTTTCTATTCTCTTTTCCTGAGGCAGAGGACTTGAGGCATTAGGGGATAGCAGAACTCCATGGAGGATAACTGCCTGCCCAGTGACCGAAAATATTCAAATTGTTTTTTTATGGAAGTGAGAATTAAGCTCCTGTCTTGTTTAATTTAGCCATTGAACTTAAGTGGTTTACTTGTTATAGCCACCCGCAGCAACCTGTTTCATTCAAAAGACCCAATTGTTTTTCCTTTCATCATTTTCTCACAGAAGTTGATATTCTGCTAAATCCTCCTTTAAATTCCAATATGATTTTAAACTAATCGTGAAGGAAAGCAAAAACATATTATATCATCCTAACTTTGGACAAGCTATAGGGATAGACAGATATTATATACCATATTTCCTACGAAGTAAAAAGTCCTTACGTAGTACAGATATATCAGTTATATTAGTAACTTCCTTTTGAAAAACTAATTTTTTGCTTAATTTTCTATTGCTATTGATAATGCCGTAACCCATGGTCTTTATACTACACAAATAAGGAGAAGCTAAGGGTGATAGAGGATGTAATGTGTTCTTCTTGGGTCACTTTTTCATTTATCATTCAAATATCATGCAGTCCTACCCGGTTTTGGGATGAGAATAGAAGGATATTTTAATTTCCAAATGCACAGACTTTTAGGCAAATATCTGTCTGTGTGTCTGTTTGTTAAATCTTTTTGGCTCAGACGTCTCTGGTGACTTGTTCTGGCACCATTCACATTTTAGTATCTCAAGAACAACAGGAAGAAGCTTAAGAGACTTCTCAGGAGAAAAGGCAACTTCATGCCATATGGAGATTTAAGAATAAAACACTCATGCTGAAGGCTTAGAGATGGCAGGTGGTCTTTATAAAGGAACATTCTGTGGGTTCTGACAGATTTACCTATTGCAGAGGTTCTCCACATGGAGCAATTCTACCCCCCTGGGGATCAGTTGGCAATGTCTGGAGATAAGTTTCGTTGTGACAACTGTTTTGGGGGTTGGGGGCTGCTACTAGACTCTAATGAGTAGAGACCAGTGACATTGATCAACATCCTACCATGTACAGGTCATTCCCCCAATAAAGAATTGTCCAGTTCCAAATTTCAGTCCTGCAAAGGTTGAGAAACCCTGACTGGGAGTAACACGTGAAAATTAACTATGTCTACATACTCCTTTGATGAAGTTTGCTTTATTCTCAAAGCTGAAGTTTCAAGCAGAATAATCGTGAAAATCCTAAGAATGATATTGACTAGCTTTCATTGAAATCTATGTGCCCAAGCACTGTGATAACTGCTTTACACAGCAAGGAGTGCTTTACAAATTTATAAATCTCAGCTTTGCTTTTTTTTTTTTTTTTTTTTTTTTTGAGATGGAGTCTCACTCTGTCACCCAGGCTGGAGTGCAGTAGTGAGATCTCAGCTCACTGCAACCTCCACCTCCCACGTTTAAGCAATTTTCCTGCCTCAACCTCCTAAGTAGCTGGGATTACAGGCATATGCCACCATGCCCAGCTAATTTTTGTATTTTTAGTAGAGACGTGGTTTCACCATGTTGGCTAGACTGGTCTGGAACTCGTGACCTCAGGTGATCTGACCCCCGCAACCTCCCAAAGTGCTGGGATTACAGGCGTGAGCCACCATCCCAGGCCCTCAGCTTTGCTTGTAATGCAGAAAATAAAGATAAGAATCTAGGAAACAGAAAATTAGAGACATTTTTTAGAGTAAATTTAGATTTAATTGAAAATCACAGAAACACTGAATTAAACCATCAAAGAAGCCCAACTTTGTGAATGCTAATACTTTTAGAGGAAAAATTATAAAAACACTGAGTCAAGCAAAATATTACTCAAACATAAATGAGTTAAGAATAGTATATCTTTCTGAAGAATATTTAGCCCTGTGAGAAAACATGCACAAGATAATGTTCAATAAAAAATATTAAGCTGGACACAGTGGCTCAAGCCTGTAATCTCAGCACTTTGGGAGGCTGAGGCAAGTGGATCATTTGAGGCCAGGAGTTCAAGACCAGCTTGGTCAATATGGTAAAACCCCATCTCTACTAAAAATACAAAAATTAGCTGGGCATGGTGGTGCGTGCCTGTAATCCTAGCTACTCAGGAGGCTGAGGCGGAAAAGTCGCTTGAACCTGGGATGCAGAGGTTGCAGTGAGCAGAGATTGCACCACTGCACACCAGCCTGGGCGACAGTGAGACTCCATCTCAGAAAAAAAAAAAGATAATAATTCAGCTACAAAACTTAAAAGTATGATCCCAATTCACAGCTATGCTTTTTTGATGAATGAATACATTGATAAAAATATTGGAGAGAAAATATACCATAATGAAATACACTGAAATGTTGTCTCTAGGTAATGAGATTTGTTTCTTCTTTACTATTTCAATTATTGTGTAAATTTTCCAAATCGAGCATGTATTATGCACTACAAGGGAGGTAGATAAAGGAACTGGAGGAGAGAGATGAAATCTCTTTGGACAGAAACTGTTTTGACAACATCAGTGATAACAGATATGCTCTTGATTGAACTATTTATGACTGTTTATATTGACTGTATTCATGAATTGTATGGGATAGCTCTGGTGGAATAAATGACTTTCTTAAGCAAATGTAAGCGAAACATGACTAATTAGTTCACCTAACCAAATGTGCTTTGGAAGCGTTCATTTTCATTATGCTGTATTTATTTTTGTTGGGTTTTCTCTGGAAAGCATATGAAAAAGGGGGAAAGAAACATTTCAAACATTAGATACAGCTATTTCAAATATTCATAGGCTAAATAGAGGAAAAAATTGAGAAAAATGTCTTGCCTATTTAGTACTTGTGTTTAATAGTTCCTTTACTAATGAGTGTAAGAACTGACTGTTAAGAGAAATTTTCTTTCACCTACCATTTTCTAAATTCCAACTTGAGGGCTTTTACAATTCCGATATCTTAGAACTCTGGCTTTTGACCACAAAAGCCTAAGATAAATAGTATGGAACATAAAACAAAACAAAACAAAACAAAACAAAACAAAAAGCTCAGTAGTCGGAGCTTTGATGTTGGGAATGCAGCACGACACACTCAGATTCAGGAATCCTTTCTGTTCAGTTGCAAGCACAGATTAAAAGTCTCCAGTCCAAATATAGGAATAGTCTCCCCAAAAATGAGAAATCTTATTTTCCAAAATGAAGCCAACAGAAATGTGAAAACTAGTTAGAAATTTTATGTCGAGTTTACAGAGAGGCCATTCCAATTAGGGATGCTAAGAATAAGAGACCCATTTCTCGTTATTCTTTATCATTATTAAAAAAACAGTGAATCAACATTTGTGCTCAAGTGCTGGTAGCCAGTGTTTCTCAACCAGGGTTACTTTTAACCCTCAGGTTACATTTGGCAAGGTCTGGAGATATTTTTCAGTTGTCACAACTGGGGGATGTGACTTGCTACTGGCATCTCTTGGGTAGAGTCCAGGAATGCAACTTTAAAGTATGCATTCAGTAAATACAGATCTCATCGATGTTGATCCTAATCCCAAACTGGATTTAGAATTTTTTTTTTTTTTTTGAGACGGAGTCTCCCTCTGTTGCCCAGGCTGGAGTGCAGTGGCATGATCTCGGCTCACTGCAGCCTCTGCCTCCTGGGTTCAAGCGATTCTCCTGCCTCAGCCTCCCAAGTAGCTGGGATTACAGGTGCCTGCCACGACTCCTGGCTGATTTTTGTATTTTCAGTAGAGATAGGGTTTTGCCATGTTGGCCAGGCTGGTCTCAATCTCCTGACCTCAAGCAATCCACCCACCTAGACCTTCCAAAGTGCTGGGATTACAGGTGTGAGCTACTGCACTGGCCCGGATTTAGAATTTTTAAGGCATCAGTTACTGAGAATTAATTGATAGAAGCCCTGAAATCATGAATCTAGGATAGTCAGACATAAACTATGTAACTTCTCGTTGTAAAAGTGGATAGGTTTTTATTATTTAAATTCACATACATTTGTTCCTATGTGGGGATTTTTCTTATACTGAAGCATGCACTTAAATAGATTATTATTAAATTAGGAAGTATGCCAATCAGTAAGCTATTGTATCTCAGCTCAATCCCAGTCTTCCACACTCCTCTTGGATGTTGGAGCTGAGAGTCTTTTGCCAGTTGGCTCCCTAGTAGGTTCAACCAAAACCAGGGATGCAGGGAGACTTCGAGGCTGGAGGAGGCAGAAGGGGCCTGCTCTTTACTGCCTGCTTGTTCCTGTCAGTGTCATCCCAGCGATGTCTCTATGCCTGGCAGTGGCAGTTCGTTCGTTTCCAGGATTTGTTTTTCATATCTCTAGAACCAGTCTCATTGTACCTCCTCAAATACACTAGCATCAGCCAAGCAGTGTCCCCTTTTCAGAAGTCTGGAGCCCATTCCTATGTGGCCTCTCCTCTGATCTCCTAGGCTCTGATAACCCCAAACTCTTCCCTTTGTTCTTTCAGCCCAAGAGTGGTAGCTGCTTCTTGAAGTTACTGCTTCTACCTTATCTCAGTGGCCCTTTATGCCCCTTCAGTACTCCCATACCTGTTCAACCAATTTCTTAGATTAAATTCTTTCTGTTCACGTACTTGATTTGATTTTCATTTTCCTGACTGGACCCTGATTGAAAATTTAAACCTTGTACAAAAGTTTATCACAGTATAGTTGTTTATCCTGATCTGAAATATGAAGATGCACAAAAAACATAACTTTCAATCGTTTGACTTGATTTATTACACAACAAAACCACCAGAAAATCAATGAGACAACAGACATAGCCACCGGTGTTGTTACTTATAGTCTGCTATTTTATCCATGACATCTTCAGGCTGACTGAAAATAATAGCACATATTGAAACTTGCATTCCGTTTCACCACTGAAAGTCTTTGGACAGTCTTCCTTGGTCATTCAGGGTTTTGGTGAGTTTTTCTAGTTCCCTTTAGGACTTACCAAGCACTCTTTTAGGTTCACAAAGGGTTAGCAGCCATAATTATTGTATCTGACATCACTGATGCCCAACTACTCTTCCTATTATTGAGAGCAACCAGACACAAAATAAAAACTTACTGTGCTCAGGGGATAGCCCAACTCTCCTCCTGAACAACAGGACTTTGGAAAGAGGTACTTAAGAAAGCCTGTTTGAATCTTGAGTCTTTCTAAAACAGGACCAATGGCACTGTGTTGTAAATATTGATGGAGCCTCCAAGTAGAGCCCATGTTCTGTGTTTTGCTTTCCCCATATATAAAATATGTAAAAATGAGCCAACTGACCAGATGACCTTGAAGTGACTTCCAACACTGACTTCTCTTAAAAGCTGTGATAGTTACTAAAAACTTTCTGGTAGCTATAAGGTTTGCTGGAATGATTGGAGGGTAATATGGAGCCTAATGTCTGGCTGGCTCATATAGAAAGAAAGATGGACAAAGATAAATCTCCACATGGAATTGAGTAAACTAAGAGAGGAGGGCATAGAAGGGAAGGGTTTGTTAGAAAGACATGATGCAGGAACCAGGGAGTGCCCCAGAAAGTTCATTTGGACAGCTGTCCCCTGCTCCAGAGTCTTCTGGGAAAGCTCAAAAGTTGACCCCTGCAGTCACACCTACACTTCCCTTGACAGTTTTCTTTCCCTAACCCAACTTCTTGGAGATATTGGTCACAGGTGCTACTATAATGAGTGCTGTTTAGAAACCAGTTTTGAGTTTTGCTTGGAATTTATGTTGTGCTTGAGTGTTTTATAACTTGTTTTTCAAAAAATTAAATAGTGGATTGGGGGAAAGGGGAATGGAGAGTGATTGCTAATGAGCACAGGGCTTCTTTTGGAGGTGATGAAAAAGTTCTGGAATTTGTGTGACGGTTGCACAACTTTGTGAGCATAATAAAAATCCCTGAATTTGAATTTGAATCATAATTTTAGCTAATGTTTTAATTATCATTTTATGTTCTATTAACCAGATCAAAAACTTGTTTCACTTGATTTTTAGTAGATTTTATCTCATTTTATTGTTATTTTTTTTTTTTTTTTTTATTATACTCTAAGTTTTAGGGTACATGTGCACATTGTGCAGGTTAGTTACATATGTATACATGTGCCATGCTGGTGCGCTGCACCCACTAATGTGTCATCTAGCATTAGGTATATCTCCCAATGCTATCCCTCCCCCCTCCCCCGACCCCACCACAGTCCCCAGAGTGTGATATTCCCCTTCCTGTGTCCATGTGATCTCATTGTTCAATTCCCACCTATGAGTGAGAATATGCGGTGTTTGGTTTTTTGTTCTTGCGATAGTTTACTGAGAATGATGGTTTCCAATTTCATCCATGTCCCTACAAAGGATATGAACTCATCATTTTTTATGGCTGCATAGTATTCCATGGTGTATATGTGCCACATTTTCTTAATCCAGTCTATCATTGTTGGACATTTGGGTTGGTTCCAAGTCTTTGCTATTGTGAATAGTGCCGCAATAAACATACGTGTGCATGTGTCTTTATAGCAGCATGATTTATACTCATTTGGGTATATACCCAGTAATGGGATGGCTGGGTCAAATGGTATTTCTAGTTCTAGATCCCTGAGGAATCGCCACACTGACTTCCACAATGGTTGAACTAGTTTACAGTCCCACCAACAGTGTAAAAGTGTTCCTATTTCTCCGCATCCTCTCCAGCACCTGTTGTTTCCTGACTTTTTAATGATTGCCATTCTAACTGGTGTGAGATGATATCTCATAGTGGTTTTGATTTGCATTTCTCTGATGGCCAGTGATGATGAGCATTTCTTCATGTGTTTTTTGGCTGCATAAATGTCTTCTTTTGAGAAGTGTCTGTTCATGTCCTTCGCCCACTTTTTGATGGGGTTGTTTGTTTTTTTCTTGTAAATTTGTTTGAGTTCATTGTAGATTCTGGATATTAGCCCTTTGTCAGATGAGTAGGTTGCAAAAATTTTCTCCCATGTTGTAGGTTGCCTGTTCACTCTGATGGTAGTTTCTTTTGCTGTGCAGAAGCTCTTTAGTTTAATTAGATCCCATTTGTCAATTTTGTCTTTTGTTGCCATTGCTTTTGGTGTTTTGGACATGAAGTCCTTGCCCACGCCTATGTCCTGAATGGTAATGCCTAGGTTTTCTTCTAGGGTTTTTATGGTTTTAGGTTTAACGTTTAAATCTTTAATCCATCTTGAATTGATTTTTGTATAAGGTGTAAGGAAGGGATCCAGTTTCAGCTTTCTACATATGGCTAGCCAGTTTTCCCAGCACCATTTATTAAACAGGGAATCCTTTCCCCATTGCTTGTTTTTCTCAGGTTTGTCAAAGATCAGATAGTTGTAGATATGCGGCATTATTTCTGAGGGCTCTGTTCTGTTCCATTGATCTATATCTCTGTTTTGGTACCAGTACCATGCTGTTTTGGTTACTGTAGCCTTGTAGTATAGTTTGAAGTCAGGTAGTGTGATGCCTCCAGCTTTGTTCTTTTGGCTTAGGATTGACTTGGCAATGCGGGCTCTTTTTTGGTTCCATATGAACTTTAAAGTAGTTTTTTCCAATTCTGTGAAGAAAGTCATTGGTAGCTTGATGGGGATGGCATTGAATCTGTAAATTACCTTGGGCAGTATGGCCATTTTCACGATATTGATTCTTCCTACCCATGAGCATGGAATGTTCTTCCATTTGTTTGTCTCCTCTTTTATTTCCTTGAGCAGTGGTTTGTAGTTCTCCTTGAAGAGGTCCTTCACATCCCTTGTAAGTTGGATTCCTAGGTATTTTATTCTCTTTGAAGCAATTGTGAATGGGAGTTCACTCATGATTTGGCTCTCTGTTTGTCTGTTGTTGGTGTATAAGAATGCTTGTGATTTTTGTACATTGATTTTGTATCCTGAGACTTTGCTGAAGTTGCTTATCAGCTTAAGGAGATTTTGGGCTGAGACGATGGGGTTTTCTAGATAAACAATCATGTCGTCTGCAAACAGGGACAATTTGACTTCCTCTTTTCCTAATTGAATACCCTTTATTTCCTTCTCCTGCCTGATTGCCCTGGCCAGAACTTCCAACACTATGTTGAATAGGAGCGGTGAGAGAGGGCATCCCTGTCTTGTGCCAGTTTTCAAAGGGAATGCTTCCAGTTTTTGTCCATTCAGTATGATATTGGCTGTGGGTTTGTCATAGATAGCTCTTATTATTTTGAAATACGTCCCATCAATACCTAATTTATTGAGAGTTTTTAGCATGAAGGGTTGTTGAATTTTGTCAAAGGCTTTTTCTGCATCTATTGAGATAATCATGTGGTTTTTGTCTTTGGCTCTGTTTATATGCTGGATTACATTTATTGATTTGCGTATATTGAACCAGCCTTGCATCCCAGGGATGAAGCCCACTTGATCATGGTGGATAAGCTTTTTGATGTGCTGCTGGATTCGGTTTGCCAGTATTTTATTGAGGATTTTTGCATCAATGTTCATCAAGGATATTGGTCTAAAATTCTCTTTTTTGGTTGTGTCTCTGCCCGGCTTTGGTATCAGAATGATGCTGGTCTCATAAAATGAGTTAGGGAGGATTCCCTCTTTTTCTATTGATTGGAATAGTTTCAGAAGGAATGGTACCAGTTCCTCCTTGTACCTCTGGTAGAATTCGGCTGTGAATCCATCTGGTCCTGGACTCTTTTTGGTTGGTAAACTATTGATTATTGCCACAATTTCAGAGCCTGTTATTGGTCGATTCAGAGATTCAACTTCTTCCTGGTTTAGTCTTGGGAGAGTGTATGTGTCGAGGAATGTATCCATTTCTTCCAGATTTTCTAGTTTATTTGCGTAGAGGTGTTTGTAGTATTCTCTGATGGTAGTTTGTATTTCTGTGGGATCGGTGGTGATATCCCCTTTATCATTTTTTATTGTGTCTATTTGATTCTTCTCTCTTTTTTTCTTTATTAGTCTTGCTAGCGGTCTATCAATTTTGTTGATCCTTTCAAAAAACCAGCTCCTGGATTCATTGATTTTTTGAAGGGTTTTTTGTGTCTCTATTTCCTTCAGTTCTGCTCTGATTTTAGTTATTTCTTGCCTTCTGCTAGCTTTTGAATGTGTTTGCTCTTGCTTTTCTAGTTCTTTTAATTGTGATGTTAGGGTGTCAATTTTGGATCTTTCCTGCTTTCTCTGGTAGGCATTTAGTGCTATAAATTTCCCTCTACACACTGCTTTGAATGCGTCCCAGAGATTCTGGTATGTGGTGTCTTTGTTCTCGTTGGTTTCAAAGAACATCTTTATTTCTGCCTTCATTTCGTTATGTACCCAGTAGTCATTCAGGAGCAGGTTGTTCAGTTTCCATGTAGTTGAGCGGCTTTGAGTGAGATTCTTAATCCTGAGTTCTAGTTTGATTGCACTGTGGTCTGAGAGATAGTTTGTTATAATTTCTGTTCTTTTACATTTGCTGAGGAGAGCTTTACTTCCAACTATGTGGTCAATTTTGGAATAGGTGTGGTGTGGTGCTGAAAAAAATGTATATTCTGTTGATTTGGGGTGGAGAGTTCTGTAGATGTCTATTAGGTCTGCTTGGTGCAGAGCTGAGTTCAATTCCTGGGTATCCTTGTTGACTTTCTGTCTCGTTGATCTGTCTAATGTTGACAGTGGGGTGTTAAAGTCTCCCATTATTAATGTGTGGGAGTCTAAGTCTCTTTGTAGGTCACTGAGGACTTGCTTTATGAATCTGGGTGCTCCTGTATTGGGTGCATAAATATTTAGGATAGTTAGCTCCTCTTGTTGAATTGATCCCTTTACCATTATGTAATGGCCTTCTTTGTCTCTTTTGATCTTTGTTGGTTTAAAGTCTGTTTTATCAGAGACTAGGATTGCAACCCCTGCCTTTTTTTGTTTTCCATTGGCTTGGTAGATCTTCCTCCATCCTTTTATTTTGAGCCTATGTGTGTCTCTGCACGTGAGATGGGTTTCCTGAATACAGCACACTGATGGGTCTTGACTCTTTATCCAACTTGCCAGTCTGTGTCTTTTAATTGCAGAATTTAGTCCATTTATATTTAAAGTTAATATTGTTATGTGTGAATTTGATCCTGTCATTATGATGTTAGCTGGTGATTTTGCTCATTAGTTGATGCAGTTTCTTCCTAGTCTCGATGGTCTTTACATTTTGGCATGATTTTGCAGCGGCTGGTACTGGTTGTTCCTTTCCATGTTTAGCGCTTCCTTCAGGAGCTCTTTTAGGGCAGGCCTGGTGGTGACAAAATCTCTCAACATTTGCTTGTCTATAAAGTATTTTATTTCTCCTTCACTTATGAAGCTTAGTTTGGCTGGATATGAAATTCTGGGTTGAAAATTCTTTTCTTTAAGAATGTTGAATATTGGCCCCCACTCTCTTCTGGCTTGTAGGGTTTCTGCCGAGAGATCCGCTGTTAGTCTGATGGGCTTTCCTTTGAGGGTAACCCGACCTTTCTCTCTGGCTGCCCTTAACATTTTTTCCTTCATTTCAACTTTGGTGAATCTGACAATTATGTGTCTTGGAGTTGCTCTTCTCGAGGAGTATCTTTGTGGCGTTCTCTGTATTTCCTGAATCTGAACGTTGGCCTGCCTTGCTAGATTGGGGAAGTTCTCCTGGATAATATCCTGCAGAGTGTTTTCCAACTTGGTTCCATTCTCCACATCACTTTCAGGTACACCAATCAGACGTAGATTTGGTCTTTTCACATAGTCCCATATTTCTTGGAGGCTTTGCTCATTTCTTTTTATTCTTTTTTCTCTAAACTTCCCTTCTCGCTTCATTTCATTCATTTCATCTTCCATTGCTGATACCCTTTCTTCCAGTTGATCGCATCGGCTCCTGAGGCTTCTGCATTCTTCACGTAGTTCTCGAGCCTTGGTTTTCAGCTCCATCAGCTCCTTTAAGCACTTCTCTGTATTGGTTATTCTAGTTATACATTCTTCTAAATTTTTTTCAAAGTTTTCAACTTCTTTGCCTTTGGTTTGAATGTCCTCCCGTAGCTCAGAGTAATTTGATCGTCTGAAGCCTTCTTCTCTCAGCTCGTCAAAATCATTCTCCATCCAGCTTTGTTCTGTTGCTGGTGAGGAACTGCGTTCCTTTGGAGGAGGAGAGGCGCTCTGTGTTTTAGAGTTTCCAGTTTTTCTGTTCTGTTTTTTCCCCATCTTTGTGGTTTTATCTACTTTTGGTCTTTGATGATGGTGATGTACAGATGGGTTTTCGGTGTAGATGTCCTTTCTGGTTGTTAGTTTTCCTTCTAACAGACAGGACCCTCAGCTGCAGGTCTGTTGGAATACCCTGCCGTGTGAGGTGTCAGTGTGCCCCTGCTGGGGGGTGCCTCCCAGTTAGGCTGCTCGGGGGTCAGGAGTCAGGGACCCACTTGAGGAGGCAGTCTGCCCGTTCTCAGATCTCCAGCTGCGTGCTGGGAGAACCACTGCTCTCTTCAAAGCTGTCAGACAGGGACACTTAAGTCTGCAGAGGTTACTGCTGTCTTTTTGTTTGTCTGTGCCCTGCCCCCAGAGGTGGAGCCTACAGAGGCAGGCAGGCCTCCTTGAGCTGTGGTGGGCTCCACCCAGTTCGAGCTTCCCGGCTGCTTTGTTTACCTAAGCAAGCCTGGGCAATGGCGGGCGCCCCTCCCCCAGCCTCGTTGCCGCCTTGCAGTTTGATCTCAGACTGCTGTGCTAGCAATCAGCGAGATTCCGTGGGCGTAGGACCCTCCGAGCCAGGTGTGGGATATAGTCTCGTGGTGCGCCGTTTCTTAAGCCGGTCTGAAAAGCGCAATATTCGGGTGGGAGTGACCCGATTTTCCAGGTGCGTCCGTCACCCCTTTCTTTGACTCGGAAAGGGAACTCCCTGACCCCTTGCGCTTCCCAGGTGAGGCAATGCCTCGCCCTGCTTCGGCTCGCGCACGGTGCGCACACACACTCGCCTGCGCCCACTGTCTGGCACTCCCTAGTGAGATGAACCCGGTACCTCAGATGGAAATGCAGAAATCACCGTCTTCTGCGTCGCTCACGCTGGGAGCTGTAGACCGGAGCTGTTCCTATTCGGCCATCTTGGCTCCTCCCCCCCTTATTGTTATTTTTGAATAGTTCTTTGATTTACTTGGTTCAAAAGGCAAAATACACGAAACATTATTCCTCAAGAAGTTTTACTCCTATGAATATTTATTCTTATTTTCCACCTTTTCTTTACAAAAGGTGGTGTTCTATATATATAAATATACACACACATTGTTCAGTGCCTTGGATTTTTCACTCAACAATATTACCTGGACATCTTCCCACATTGGAACTTAAGAGAACTTCTTAGTCCTTGGATTTGCAGTTGCATGGTATTCCACTAGTGGAAGTAAGACAACTTATCGAATCAGTCCCCTGAATCATCTGATTTTTAAAATATGAAGATATAATTAAATAGAATTTTGAAATGTCAGTGGATAAAGAATACACACACAACTCACATGTACATCTGGTTTGAAATATTTTGGCTTATGGAATGATCAGAGAAAAGAAATTTGTTACTTATAGGCTCCAAGATAATAATTTATAAAAGAAATCCTGTAAAAACTAATTTTGAATCAAAATGCATAGCAGTTATAGAAAAGAAGAAAATCAATGTGCATAGAGCCATTATGTTCTAATATTTTAAACAAGGATATGTTTCTTATTAGAGTTTATTAAAGCTCGAATTATGTAATGGTGGCTATTCTGTAACTTTACGTTTAAAAGTAAAATAACTAAAGCCTTTTGTGTTAGCAAATTAATTTTTTGAAATTTTATTCATTTATCCTGGGTTGATGTCAAGATTTCAAAAACAAAAGCAACATACTTTCATTGATTGTAGCAAAGCAGAAACATAATTAAATATCAGATTAAAGCTCAAACCATGAAAAATGATCTAATGTTTTCCTTTCACATTTATTAGGAAAACAATCAAAACCCTTTTCTAATATTAAAGTTATTTTTTGAAGTCTTACTCAAAGGAATCCTAGATTAATCATAGATTTAAAAATCCGCCCATTCGTGCCTGGGGTTGAGGTCCTCCCTCGCCTAGGCAGAGGTGGGAGCTTATTGGTGCTGCTGCGGCCCTGCTTCCTCCTCCCCGTTTCTATGCTCCTGGGACCATGTCTGCACTGGTGGGTGCTAGAGCCAGGAGAGACTTTTGAGATAATGTACAATCTCCTCATTTTACATATGAAGAAACTGGGGCTTAGGGAAGAAAATGAAGTTGTCCAGGTCACTCAACTAGTGGTAATGCCAGGACCAAGGTGAAGATGCCTGGAGGTGTCAGGGCTGTGGGGACCACATAAAGCACCTCAAGTGAGCATGTGCACAACTTCAGTAAACACACTGTGCATGCAGCCCCTCCCAAGTGTTAGCAGCCCACTGCGCATGCGGACAGCCCACCCCAAGGGACGAATCAGGGGAGACAAGATGCAGACCCCAGAAGAATGCCAACATGTAAAACCCCAAGTCAAAGGTCAAACTGCACACTTGATCTCTGAAGTCTCCTGCTTGGCCCTCTTCCAAGTGTGCTTTACTTCCTTTCATTCCTGCTCTAAAGCTTTTTAATAAACTTTCATTCCTGCTCTGAAACTTGCCTTGGTCTCTCACTCTCTCTTATGCCCCTCAGTCGAATTCTTTCTTCTGAGGAGGAAGAATTGAGGTTGCTGCAGACCCATGCAGATTTGCTGCTGCTAATAGGGAGTTCAAGTACCATCCAGAATGCTTTGCCTGTGTGAGCTATAAGGTGACCATTGAGGATGGGGATGCATACGCCCTGGTGCTGCGTGTCACCCTATACTGTGGAAAGTGCCACAAATGAGGTGGTGCTGGCACCCATATTTGAGATACTCTCCACAGAGTCCATTCAGGACCAGCTGCCCTACTCTGTCATGCTCATGTCCATGCTGGCCATCACAGAGGGCAGGCGGAGCTTCTCCGTGTCCGTGGAGAATGCCTGCTCCAACTATGTTACCACCGTGCAAGTAAAAGAGGTCAACCAGATGCACATCAGTCCCAACAGCTGCAATGCCATCCACCCCAGGGACCACATCCTGGAGATCAGTGGAACCCCCACCCACACACTCCAAGTAGAGGAGTTGGAGGATGCAATTAGCCAGATGAGCCAGACACTTCTGCTGTTGATTGAACATGACCCTGTCTCCCGGTCCCCAGCCCAGCTGCGGCTGGATGCCTGGCTCTCTCCCCACACACAGAATGCTGGACACCCTCACGCCCTCAGCACCCTGGACACCAAGGATAATCTGGAGGGGACACTGAGAAGATGCTCCCTAAGACTCAGTAACAGCATCTCCAAGTCCCCTAGCCCTAGCTCTCCAAAGGAGCCCCTGCTGCTCAGCCGTGACATCAGCTGCTGGGAATCCCTTTGTTGTTCCAGCACTTACTCAAAGCAGAACTTCCGGTCCTGTGACCTGATCCACGGGGAGGTCCTGGGGAAGGGCTTCTTTGGGCAGGCTATCAAAGTGACACACAAAGCCACAGGCAAAGTGTTGGTCATGAAGGAATTAATGCGATGTGATGAGGAGAACCAGAAGACTTTTCTGACTGAAGTGAAAGTGACGTGAAGCCTGGACCACCCCAATGTGCTCAAGTTCATTGGCGTGCTGTACAAGGACAAGAAGCTGAACCTGCTGAGAGGACATTGAGGGGGGCATGCTGAAGGACCTTCTGCAAAGTGTGGACCCATTCCCCTGGCAGCAGGAAGTCAGCTTGGCCAAAGGCATTGCCTCCAGAATGGCCACCACCAAGAAATGTACTTTGCACAAGAACAACTTCAAGAAGTGCTACATGGTGGTGGGAAACCTCTACTGGATGATACCTGAGATGCTGAATGGAAAGAGCTATGACGAAATGTGGATGTATTCTCTTTTGGGATCGTTCTCTGTGAGACCATTGGGCAGGTGTATGCAGATCCCGATTTCCTTCCCCAAACACTGGACTTTGGCCTCAGCATGATGCTTTTCTGGGAGAAGTCTGTCCCCACAGACTGCCCTCCAACCTTCTTCCCCCTGGCCATGATCTACTGCAGACTGGAGCCCGAGAGCAGACTGGCATTCTCAAAACTGGAGGACTCTCTGTACCTGGGGGAGCTGGGCATCCCGCCGCCTGTAGGGCTGGAGGAGTTGGACCACACTGTGAGCATGCAGTACGGCCTGATCCAAGACTCACCCCACTAGCCCTGGCCCAGCCCCCTGCAGGGGGGTGTTCCACAGCCAGCATTGCTCCTCTGTTCTCCATCCCTGCTGTGAGCAGGGTTTTTCGGGCTTCCCGTGGATTGGCAGCTTGTTTAGAAGCAGAACAAGCCGGCAGGGTGCGGTGGCTCACGCCTGTAAGCCATCACTTTGGGAGGCCGAGGCAGGCGGATCACCTGAGTTCAGGTGTTGGGGACCACCCTGACCAATATGGAGAAACCCCATCTCTACTAGAAATACAAAAAAATAGCTGGGTGTGGCGGCACATGCCTGTAATCCCAGCTACTCAGGAGGCTGAAGCAGGAGAATTGCTTGAACCCGGGAGGTGGAGGTTGCAGTGAGCCGAGATCGTGCCATTGTACTCCAGTCTGGGCAACAAGAGCAAAACTCCGTCTCAAAACGCAAACAAAAAAGAAGCAGAACAAGCCATCTCTTCTATCTCCCCAGGAGACGAATGGATGCAGCACCAGGAAAATGTATCTCCACAGGTTTGAGGGCCTGGTTACTGTCTGCAAATCCAGCACTCACCTGAAAGCTGTGAAGAAGACAAAAAAAAAAGCCCGGCCTTTGGGCCAGGAGGAAATCTGTTACTCGGATCCACCCAGGAGCTTCTAGGTCACGCTGATTAGTGTAATCTCTTACAATAATCAGCGTGACCTGGACTTGCTAGGCAGGATCCCAGGGTGAACCTGCCTGTGAACTCTGAAGTCTATAGTCCAGCTGGGTGCAGGAGGGCAAGTGGGAGTGTGGATGAAGGAAAGAATGGTGGCCAGAAGAAACTCAAAGGGTGTGAAAAGACAGTGGTGCTCCCCACTTCCACTCTGGGTCCTGCCCTTCCTGGAGCAGAGGTCGAGGGAGTAGGTTTTGAAGAGTTTTGGTGTGTGGCACAACTGGCCAGGAGTCAAGAAAAGGGCTGGCTTCTGTTCACCTGCCAGAGGGTGACTCTAGCCAGCCCAGGGACAACATCAATGTGAGGGGAAGCTTCTACCTCATGTTTTCAAACCTAATTACCGGAGACTGGCTGAGAACTTATGGGCAACAACCTGTCTGTTTGCAACAGTCACCTTCAAGCAGAGGAAGAAGCTGGGGGACTAGAAAGAAAGAGGCCCTGCCCTCTAGAAAGCCCAGATCCTGGCTTTTGTTACTCATGCCCTGGTGGACTCCTCAGTCAGAAGCCTAAGACATTTTGCCTAGAGCTAGATGGGTTCTGGAGGACAGTGTGGCTTGTCACAGGCCTAGGGGCTCAGGCAAGGGAGTGAGAGTGTCAGCAATCTCTTGGCCTTGGCCTTGGCCTTGTGGCAGCCACTGTTCACCCTTCAACATGCCTGGTTTAGGCAGCAGCTTGGGCTAGGAAGAGGTGGTGGCAGAGTCCCAAAGCTGAGATGCTGAGAGATACACCTCCCCAAGCTGGGCCAGCTGACTTCTACCTCCCTCATTGGCTGTCCCACCTCACTAGTTCCTGGCTGCAGCTGCCTGAGCCACAGCTGCCTGAGCCACAGCTGCGGGTACTGGAAAGCTCTGAGGTGACCCTCCACCTAGGCTCCCAGAGCTCCAGGGACTCTTTGGCTCAACTAGATTTGCATCCTCCTAACTGTGAGCTTGCACCATATTTAACAAATTGAGAATAGGTTTGGGGTATTAATGCAATGTGTGGCCGTTGTATTGGAGTGGTGTGTTGCGGGGAGGGGAGTGATCCAGGAAAGTGGTTGTTGTTAATATTATCTTGTCATTACATCTATTGGGTGGTGTGTGAAATATCGTACATAGACCTGATGAGCTGTGGGATCAAATGTCATCTCTGGCCAGAGTTTCCTTGCTATACAGACTATACTTACATGTGAAGTTTGCAAGCTTGTTGTAGGGTTGAGCCTGGACTCCCAGCAGCAGCTCAGTTCAGTATTGTGTGGCTGGTTGTGCCTCAGCTGTCCCCAGTAAGTGTGGGAGTGGTGGGCCTGAACTGGGCCATTGATCAGACTCAGTAAATTAAGCAGTTAGTATAACAAGCAATTTTTTAAAATCCAAGATTTTTTAAACTAGGGGAACAGTTTGCATGCATTCGTGCATTGCAGTGAGGTTGAGATATACACGTCAACTTTTGAAAATGAGCCAAGAGATTATAAGTCAGCATATGAGACTCTTTCTATTCATCTTATTAAAAGTACTGACTTTGTATCATTTACACATTTAGAAATTGTATTTTGCTGTGCAGAAAGGGACAAAATGTGGGGGCAAGTATTAAATTAGGCAATATGCCAGGAAGAACAATCAGTTATTTGTTAGGTACCTATTAATGATTTGTCCAAGCGAAAACTGGTTTCTGAGACTGTTATCTGTAATAAAATACATTTCCCAGTGAGGCAGTGAGGGAGATGATCATAGGTGAATCTTTGCCAATCCTGTGTCTGTTCATTGTTTTGCATGTATTATACACTGGGAGGTCTTGAAGACCAAACATGGAATGTATGACTTTTAAAATATGTCTGGCCAGGTGGGGTGGCACATGCCTGTAATTCTAGCACTTTGGGAGGCTGAGGCAGGCAGATCACCTGAGGTCAGGAGTTTGAGACCAGCCTGGCCCACATGGTGAAACCCCATCTCTACTGAAAATACAAAAATTAGCTGGGCATGGTGGCGGATGCCTGTAATCCCAGCTACTCGGAAGGCTGAGGAAGGAGAATCACTTGAACCTGGGAGGCAGAGGTTGCAGTGAGCTGAGATTGTGACACTGCACTCCAGCCTGGGTGACAGAGTGAGACTCTGTCTCAATAAATAAATGCATAAAAATTCAATATGTCTGGTGATATTTTAAAATATCAAAATCATCCCATTTAAAAATCAAGCATGATTTTTCAAGGAAATTAATTTTGCTACTTTTCCATTCATGGCACAGGGAGTTGTTTTTGAGAAGTGTTTATTCTTCAACTTGCCCCTTGAAAGTAAATTTATTTTCTTTCCCTGGTCTATAGGGCAACACCAATCATAAGACAATTCCTCTTTCATTGCTCTCTTAATGTTCTCCAGCTCACAGGAAACTTCCTCTTCAGGCTTTTATCACTGTACCTTTTAAGTGTCAATTAATGAATTCTATCTGTTATTCCATTAATGTCTTTTAAAAGTCTATTATATGAAAATCCTTGTGCAACTTATTTGAGAAGCAAAGGCAAAAAATAAAGTCGCTTAGTATATATAGTATGACAAAATAGACACACACGAAAATGTAAATAACAAATCTATAATATGAAATACAGCAATATGAGGGGAGAAAGATAATGCAGGCAGATCATACTTGATTGCTGGGCACATAGGGTCTCCAGACACCAAAGGGGTGCAGACAACAAGGTGCACATGGACAGAGTAATTTGTGTGGCTTCACAGAGAGGGAAAGACCGCAACAGGCCATGGGACAGCATTTGGGTGGGCAGAGGGAAGAAGATCAGCACTCACTAAAAAACCTTGGTGGTGAAGAAGTCCCCCTATTTAGGAGTCAATGACAAGGTGAATGTGGCTGGCATCAAAAATTAAAGGAGAGGACTAGCAAGCCTGGAAAACTGAAGTTGGATTCAGCCCATAGAAGGTCTTGCATGTGAGAATAAGGAAGAATTTGGAGTTTACCTTCTTTCTGTTGGATGATTTATTCATCACCAAGTGTTTATGGAGTGCCAGGAACAGTCTCAGGAGCTGATAATGCAGTGATGATTAAGACACTCAAAGTCCCTGCTGCTCTGGAACCTTCATTGTAGAAGGGAGAAAGACAGAAAATAAACTGGAAAACAAATTAACAAGATCATTCAGGCTGTGCGTGGTGACTCACGCCTGCAATCCAAGCACTTTGGGAGGCCAAGGCAGAAGGATTGCTTGAGCCCAGGAGTTGGAGATTAGCCTGGGCAATGCAATTGCCCATAGAGACCCCGTCTCTATGAAAAATTTAAAAAAAAAACAAAAAAAACAAACAAAAAAACAAAAACTAGCCCACTGTGGTGGCACACGCTTGTAGTCCCAGCTACTCGGGAGGCCGAGGTGGGAGGATCCCTTGAGCCTAGGAGGTAGAGGCTGCAGTGAGCAGAGATCATGCCACTGCACTCCAGCCTGGGCAACAGAGCAAGTCCCCATCTCAAATAAATAAATTAATTAAAAAAATAAGATCAAGATAATAACAATTGTGGTAAAAATAATGAAATAAGATCATGAGAAAGAGGATGACTGGGGCTAGGGACACATTTTTATTTTTATTTTTATTTTTTTTATTTTTTTTGAGACAGAGTCTTGCTCTGTCACCCAGGCTGGAGTGCAGTGGTGCGATCTGGCTCACTGCAACCTCCGCCTCCTGGGGGTTCAAGCGATTCTCCTGCCTCAGCCTCCCAAGTAGCTTGGACTACAGGCATGCACCACTGTACTCAGCTAATTTTTGGAATTTTAGTAGAGATGGGGTTTCACCATGTTGGCCAGGCTGGTCTTGAACTCCTGGCCTCGAATGATCTGCCTGCTTTGGCCTCCCAAAGTGCTGGGATTACAGGCGTGAGCCACTGTGCCTGGCCTGATCATTTTTTCAAAGCAAGGAAATAACACTATCAAAACAAAGATTTAGAAAGTTACATTTCTTTTTGCTTAATAAACACTCATGCACTAGGGAAAGAACAGGCTTTTGGCCTCCTCTCTTCTTACTTCTATAAAACATTTATTGAGTGGTGCTTTTCTGGGGACTACTCTTTAATTTAGTTTTCTAAATTAATTAGGGGGATCTCTAAAAATAGAGACTTTTGATCCAAATAGAAAAGTGAGAAGTCCGAGACAAGTTAGCACTTACCCAGTGTAGGTCGGCAAGTTTCTCTTTTGGCTTTTGCTAATGATGATGTTGCTGAAGGAGCCAGGTTTTTCAGAAAAAGGCAGGGAATGTTGGGTCTGCCATTGATCCATACAGTGTCAGTGACTGTCCACTACATCTGGATCCAGATATTCCCTCACGATCACTTCCACTGAACATTATCGTTCTTAAATAAAGGAAAAATATAAATCTGCCCTAATGCTTGTTAATTTGAATCCATGTTTTCACAGGTTATATGAATCAACACCATTTTAGGCAGTTCAGATTTGCCCAATTGAGGCCTCCTGACCAGATGTGCTATGCTAAGCCAACAACAGTCAGCAGAACTGCCTACGAATATGAACAAAAAATGAGTGTTTCCGATAAGAAATGATCTCCCAGACTTCGTGTCAGAAAACAACTGCATGAGTTTAGAGTTCTGGCTGGGGATTTCTGAAGCAAGCCAATTTCATAATGTTGTTGGTTGCTTCTTTATCCTTAACAGCTTTAGTTTTTCATCTGAATTAAGTATGTGCCTGTAATTTGCCATTCAAAATGTAAACTCCCTTCTCCCCCATATTTTGCCATCTTGTTCTCTTCCCGCCCCCACCGGGACTTTGATCTCCCTAATCTCCTAAATTCTTCCCAGAGATACAGACTTTAGCAGTTCATTCTCTTGGTCCTTCACCATTAAAGCATAGCTTCCCTCTCTTCAAAAGTCTTATTCACTTTCCACCTTCTTTCAACATGTAGCCAGAAAGTCCATGTAGTAGAGCAGAAAGAGGTGGGCTTTGAAGTCAGCAGGACCTGGGTTTGAAAAGCAGCTCTGCCTGAATGGCTCTGGAATCACTTCATGTTTTAAAGCCCTACCTCCTCACCTATGCAGTGTGCTTGATGGACAAAGTAAATGCTTACAGTATCTGAGGTTTAAAGGAAATAATGAATATAAACTACAACTAATATATATATGTATAAATGCCTGCCATATAGAAGGTGATATACAAGCAAATGTTTGAAATTGAGCCTCCTGTTTCCCCCTTTTTTCCAGTAATTGCATGTTTGGAAAATTACCGTTATTCTATATATATGTACATAGAGTATATTTTTCTCTGTGTTTCTATAATGTTTTAGAACTATGATTTTCTAATTTTAACATGCATGCAAATCACTTTTTTCTCATTTTTTCTGATTCAGGGAGTCTAAGGTTGGGCCTGAGATTCTGCATTTCTAACAAGCTTCCAGGTGACATTGAGGCTGCTGGTTCAAGGACCATGCTTTGAGTGGCAATGTCGTAAAAGGAAAGTTCACAAATGTGGTGTTAGGAATGTATTCAGCTGCATGTAACAAAACACCAGCTAACAGTGTCAGGATTTGTTCTCATGCATTAAGAATCTAGAGGAAGTAGATGGCTACTAGCATTGGTTTTGTGTGGCGCCATGATATCAAGCCTAGCATGACTGTGATACTCTTGCTTTTCCCTCAGGCTTGTTGGTGAATGGCCATAAAACTGGATGCTACAGTTTCAGACTTCATGTTCACATTTCAAGGTAGTGAGAAGAGACATATCCCATGCCAGCTGTTTGCTTCTATCAGGAGAGCAAAAGTTTTTCAGAACCTCCTGAAAGCTTTGGCTTATGTTATAATGATCATCTTAGTGTCACATGGCCAATCCACACTCCAAGACAGACTGAGAAAGTGAGCCTTCTGAGAAGAAAGAGCGGGTACTGAATAGGCAACTAGCAGAGACTGCTCTATTTAGGTTCCTCCTACCTTTGTTAAATAACTTCTATATAACTTTCCTCTGATACCTGATCTTTTCATACATACTCAGAAGATACTTGGTAACCCTTCGAAGGTTTACTTAGCTGCCCCAGTAGAGGAATTGCTTTTCTCAGCTCTTATATATCACACAAGTCTAATATGATATTTCTTAATACACAAAGTATAATTGTGAGTTAATAAAGTCAGCTTTCAATTCCTTAAGAAAATGCTCAGACTCTTACTGAACACAGACCACGTCACTCACTTAAATAATTTGGGCTCAAATTAAATACTTTAATTTATATTCAAATTAGCTCTTAGTGAAGGAATTAGATGTCAAGAATAATAGGTCAAAGGGAACATGGGAATGTTAATCCCTTGTCTATAAATAGAAGACTAGTGATACACAGATCAAAATTAAGTTCAAACGGCGTGCCTAAAATAGAGTTTTGCAAATGATGCTTCTAAGGAGGAATTATTTGAGTAAAAATAACTCTAGCTCCTATTTTAAGAAATCTTAGATGTTACAGTAATGTATTTAACTCATGGCAAATAAATTAGTGGATGTCTAATAAAATTATTGCACAAATAAGAATTCATAACAGGAAAAAGACAAGCAGATTTAGTTTGTAAGAAAGTTGAACACTCTATGGAAATGGGGAAGAGAAACAAAATTCATACCTCATTGTGTCAAATTAGAGGTCAATAATAAAATCAGATTTCAATTATTTGAGACTATATTGACATTTCCACCAACTTTATGAATCAGTCAGTCAATATACATGGGAACTTTAGTCTATTAGAGGCTATAAACAAAAATATCAAGTCAACGTAATTACTTCTGTGCCCCAGGGATGGTATGAACCCCCCAGCCCCAAAAAAAGACATTTCCAAAGTTGATGTGCAAAGACATGACTTTGAGTTTAAAGCCTTTTTCAGCTGTTTGACTTCGGATTATTCCTTTGCCCTGATGGCAATGTTGACCAAGTATAATTGCTCTGAAGATTAAGTGAGAGGATGTAGGGAAGGTGTCAGGCATGCAGTAGGCTCTTGAAAACTTTCTTCTTTCATGCTCTGCACCATTTAGGGAGCTCACACTCTGTTTTATGTTGTTGCTTGGTTTTCTGATATTAGAATATTAGAAAGGTGCTTGGAGAGAAAGCGTACTAGGGAAGACCATAATATCTTAACAAGATGATTCCATTACTTTGAAGGATTGTTAAGTCCTCAGGATATCTAAGATAAAGACTAAAATAACATCTAAAGGCAAATGTAAATGATTTGACAGTTCTCCACTGTTTCACAATTTGGAAGTCTCAACCTTTAGCAAGCTTTGTGTGGTACAGATTATTAAGAACTGATGAATTCCATAGACCAGGTCAGGCTTAATAATAGCTTGTTTTGCTTCATACTTCAAGTAACTTTTTAAAAAAAATTCACATCAATTAGTGTCTGAATTTAAGAAGTCTTACAGCAGACAGAACTTGGGCAGCAAAGATCATTTCCAATGAAAGTGGATATACCAACACGGCAGAAATGAGAAGCAACTTCCTACTTGATGTTTTGGTTCCAAAATGGCACATTCACTATTATAGCAATATCACATTAGACTGATTTCTTCTTCCACAATATAGTGATCATATTTGCCAATTGTTCCCAAGGTTATAACAGTAATTGGTCATATTCCTGATGCAGGATCAGAGGAGGCAGGAGATGGAGGTAAGAGATCAGAAGAGGTAGGAGATGCCCATTAAGCACTGTGAGCATCTGATCAAGGCTTTGGTGCTTTTCAGGGACTTAAAAATCTTCAAGACTTGACATCAAATTTATGGGCTTAAAAATACAAAGCGAGAACTATAAAATATAAATAAATGTTTAATTAAATGTATACAAAGCCTAACATCATGTCAACTTCCCTAATTAATAAATTTAGTATCTATAAACATTTCACTACATTTAAAACCATATATAAGTCATATTTTCTCACTTTGTGAGAGTTTGTGTATATGCATAGTAACTGCTGAGAAATTATAACCAATTCATAAGTCAAAAGTTACTTGTAGCCAAATATCATAAAACACAATTATAAAATCCTGAACTTTTTTTTTACAATAATTATGCTTCCTGTGGTATGGGGGTTTGTTTTAATATGTTTTATTTATTTATTTTTATTTATTTATTTTTTTGAGACGGAGTCTCACTGTGTTGCCCAGGCTGGAGTGCAGTGGTGTGATCTTGTCTGCCTCCCGGGTTCAAGTGATTCTCCTGCCTCAGCCTCCCGAGTAGCTGGGACCACATGCACGTGCCACCACACCCAGCTAATTTTTGTATTTTTAGTAGAGATGGGGTTTCACATGTTGGCCAGGCTGGTCTCGAACTCCTGACCTCAAGTGATCCACCCACCTCGGCCTCCCAAAGTGCTGGGATTACAGGCATGAGCTACCGCGCCCAGTCTAATATATTTTATATAATGTGGAAGAGAGATTCCAAAAGTAAGACAGCATAGGGCTACAGTATGTTTAGACCAGCCCTGCAGACATATAAAAAAGTATGAGTTAGTGAGCACTCGTCCTATAGAAATCCTGTAATTGAATAAGATCAGTATTTGATATGCAATTATTGCAGTTATTTGCAGAAAAAATCTCCAAGTTTTATGCTTTAATGAAAAATTTATCTTTAAAATCCGTCTCTTTAAAATCCATCACTCCTCTCTCCTGTCCTCTGTCCAAAGTCCCTGCTGATTCTATATTTTAAGACTTTTCAAATATAAAATTCTAGGCTTGGTTTTCATGGAGCATCATAATTTATTCCTAATCGACCCAGTTCTCTACACCTACCAGACTAATACTTTGTCCTTCAGGCGTCAACATTGTCCTTTCCCATTGTCCTTGTAAATATATCCTTCACCTGGAATGATATTCTTTATCCTTAATCCTCATTCATTCATAAGTTCATTTTGTATTTATGGAGCCTACTATGTGCCAAGCAGTGCTCTAGGTTTTGGGAATGCAAAGGTGAATGAAACATAGTCCGTGCCTCAGATAACTAATAATAATTTACCTTGCCACTTAGACTGTGGTCTTTGAACCGGCATCCCCAGCATCAGCATCACCTTGTAGAAATGCAAAATCTCAAGTCTCATCCCAGACCTGGTGAAACAGAATCTGCCCTTTAACAACACTCCCAGGTCATTCATATGCACATCAAAGTCTAAAAACCACTGTGGAGTAAGCCATGATAGACAGATAAATATTAGTAGCTATTAAAAGAATGCTATATTATGCAATGGATATACTTTCTGTTAGTCAAGTGCTGCTCATCAGACTCAGCTTCTCTCTCTCACCAAACCGTTCCTGCAACTCCATCTCCCAATGCCCCTTTCTGAACATCTACAGTACAGCCTTCTACCACCAGCTTAGCCCTTAATCATACTTAATCCTTGACCTTTCTCTTGTTTGCTGTTTTTTTTGGGCATGAAATGCTCTTCTTCTCAAATGGAGTTTCCATTGGCTAAGAGCAGGAGTAGAGATTTCTTACACTTCTGTACCCCATGAAAGCAATCGACACTTACTGAGTCTATACAATTTGCAAATACTTTTGCTTCATCAGTTTAACAAAACTACTAATATAAAATAGGTTTTGCCTGCTGAAAAGTCTAGGGAATATACTAGTGGATAACATTCGTGACAGATGTAATATCCTCAAAAAAAGAGACTAGATTGGGACTACTTATCCATCTGAATGAAAATGAATTGAAGTCAAATATTTCTCCAACTACCTAGAATTACTGTTATGCAGATAAGAGCAACTGTTCAATCAGACATACCCCAGACCTGCTGGGGGAAAACTCAAGGAAAGAGAAAGAGTGGCCCATGTGTAGATCTCTAATGCCTCGTCACACTCCAGGGCAGTGCCCAGCAATCTGGCAGGAACAGGCATCAGAACCTAGGAGAGGAGAAAAATAAAATAGGGAGGAATCTTAAACAATCCAAAGGACAGCAGGAATAAAGAAGAGGGAAGAGGGAAAAGAAAAACAAAAACTGGAACTAAGGCAAAACATAAAATAAGGTGGAAAAAATGAAACCAAGCAGTTTTGTAATCACAACAATTGCAACAAAACTCTCTAGTTCAAAAGCGATGATCATAGCCTGAATGTTTTTTTAACAAAAACTTCTTGTAAATTATATCATTTACAAGAAACATAACTGAAATAAAGGAGCACAGGAATGTTGAAAGTAAAATGACTGGAAAAGTCATACCAGATAAATATTAATCAAAAGAAAGTTGGTATATTTGTGGTACTATTAGACAAAACAGACTTTAAGGCAAAATATATCACTAAGAGTAATATAGAAATATATTACTAAGAGTTTTATGTGTGTGTATATACACACACATTACACAAAACAACTGGAGAACACATAATATGTTTTTCAAACACACCTGGAACTTCACAAAATCCGACTACGTAGTGGAACCTAAAATAATCTCAAAAATGTCTAAAAAACCATTACCATACAGTTCATCCCCTCTGATCACAACTACACTAGAAAACAAGAACAAACAAAACAACAGAAAACAAAACATACCTCCCACTTTTGGAAATAAAAAAAAAGCAAATTAAAAAATATGTAGGTCACAGAAGAGATAACATTGGAAATTAGAAAACACTTATAATTTAAAAATATTAAAAATAATGCTGGGCAGGGTGGCATGCACCTGTAGTCCCAGCTACTTGGGAGGCTGAGGCAGGAAGATCACTTGAGTCTAGGAGTTTGATGCCAGCTTGGGCAACAACATTGTGAGACCCTGTCTCTAAAAATAAAAAATGCTACAATCAAATTTTGGGGGTGCAACTAAAGTGGTTGTATTAGTCTGTTCTTACACTGCTAATAAAGACATACGTGAGACTGGGTAATTTATAAAGAAAAAGAGGTTTAATGGACTCACAGTTCCACATGGCTGGGGAAGCCTCACAGTCATGGCAGAAGGTGAAGGAGGAGCAAAGGTGCGTCTTATATGGCGACAGGCAAGAGAGAGAGCATGTACAGGGGAACTCCCATTTATAAAACCATTAAATCTCATAAGACTTATTCACCATCATGTGAACAGCATGGGAAAACCTGCCGCCATGATTCAATTATCTCCCACTGGGTCCCTCCCATGACATGTAGGGATTATAGGAGCTACAATTCAAGATGAGATATGGGTAGGGACACAGCCAAACCGTATCAGTGGTATTTGACAGGAAGTTTATAGACTCAAATGCTTATATTAGAAAAGAAGGGTAAAAATAAATTAAACTTCCACATTAAGACATCAGAAAAGAAATACTGAATACACTTGAACAATGTAGAAGGATGAGAATAATAAAGTTAAGAACGTAAATGAAAAGATATAAGAAAGTAGATTAAAATAAAAGCCAAGTTATTTACTTTAAAAGACTAACAGTAGTGACAAGCAACTGACAAAACTCATAAAATAGAGGAGAAAACAAAAGAAAACATCAATACTATTAGGAATATAAAGACAGATAGCTACAGATGCACAGAGATTTAAAAGATAATGAGAACCACTGGATTGGAATGTGAATAGCTCTTCCAGAAGGAAAAACTGGAAGGGAGAGTGTATAGCATAGGTATAGTGCTGAAATGATAAGGACAAAGTCTTCTGTTCTCAGTGAAATGGAAAATAAGAACCCTCATATGGTTTGTCTTTGTGTCTCCACTGCCCAAATCTCATGTCAAATTGTAATTCCCACATGTTGGAGGAGGAGCCAAGTGGGAGGTGATTAAATCATGGCAGTGAATTTCCCCCTTGCTGTTCTGGTGATAGTGAGTTGTGTTCTCATGAGATCTGGTTGTTTAAAAGTGTGTAGCACTTCCTCCACTTTCTCTCTCTCTCTTCTGCCACCATGTGAAGACGTGCTTGCTTCCCTTTGGCCTTCTGCCATGATTGTAAGATTTCTGAGGCCATCCCAGCCATGCCTCCTGTACAGCCTGTGCAACTGTGAGTCAATTAAACCTCTTTTCTTTATGAACAAACAGTCTCAGGTAGTTCTTTATAGCACTGTGAGAACGGACCAATACAAACCCCAAATGAGAGTGAGGAGGGCAGGTAGGGAGTAAAAAACCTATCCTGTAAAGCACCGTGGTTGATATTTTTTTTTTATGCAATCTCACCAGAACCTATTTCTCTAAAAGAAGGACAAGTATTCCCTTCAACAAAGACTTGGGGGCATTAAACTTACAGAACCCCTCTTCCAAAATTATGCTTAGTGCCACAGTGATAATTCTTTTGAGAATACATTTAATTTTTTGACTCAGATAGAAACCACTTGAATCAACCCTGATAAGGAAGATGAGTAGAGGAGAAAAGCATGTATTTTAAACCAAAATAATATGTATTTAAAATAAAGAAACAAGCATTATTTCCTTCTCAACTGGCATTGGAAACTCTTTGGATTAAAGGGCTTTCACATATTTTAAGCAATGAAAGCATAAGGCTAAGAGGGGCACCACTTCCGTAGGCAGTTATGTTGGAGACCTCACTCAGCTGGCAGATTTTAAAAAGAAATCAAATTGCCTTGCTCATTTAATGTTTCTTAGATTGAGGTAACAGATGAATAAACCCATTGACTTAATACTTCATAGGTGCTCAATAAATGCTAGCTATTTTACCAATGTTTAATATCTTGCATATAATATCTCATATATTAAAGAAAAGTATGGTTCTTATTTTCAAGAGCATATTTATTTTGAAAAGTGTTTGAAATTTTGGAGCCAAGTATTTTAAACTTTGGAGCCAAGCATTTTAAATTTTGGTGGCACATGCCTGTAGTTCCAGCTACTCAGGAGGCTGATGTGGTAGGATCACTTGAGCCCAGGAGTATGCCTGGGCAACATAGTTTGCCTGGCCAACCTCATCTCTTAAAACAATTTTTTAATATTTTAAATTTTATTTTTAACTGACATATAATAATTGTATGTATTTGTGGGGTAGAATGTGATGTTTTGATATATGCTTACAGTATTGGAATGGTTAAATTAGGCTAATTAACAGATCCATCATGTCACATACTTATTTTTTTGATGGCGAAAATATTTAAAATCGACTTTCTTGGCAATTTTGATCTATGCAATGCATTGTTATTTATTAGAGTCACCATTATGTGCAATAGATCACTAAAGATTATTCCTTCTAACTGAAACTTCGTACCCTTTAATCAACATCTCCTCTTTCCCCATTTATCCCCCATCCTCCAGACTCTTATAACCATCTCTACTTCTATGACTTTTTTAGATTCCACGTATAAGTGAGATCATGCAGTATTTGTTTTTCTGCACCTGGCTTATTTTACTTAGCATAATGTCTTCCAGGTTCATGTTGTCATGAATGACAGGATTAAACTATTTTTTAAAGGCTGTATAGTATTCTATTGCATATATATGCCACATTTTCTTTTTCCATTCATCTGATGATGTACACCTTGGTTGCTTCCATATCATAGCTATTGTGAATAGCGCTGCAACAAACATGAAAGTGTAGATATCCCTTTGACATATTGATTTCAATTCCTTTGGATGTATACCCAGAAGTGAGATTATTAGATCATATGATCATTCTATTTTTACTTTTCTGAGGAACTTTCACATAGTTTTCTGTAGTAGCTGTATTAATTTACATTTCCACCAGCAGTGCACAAGGGTTCTCTTTTTCTCCACACCCTTGTCAACACTTATCTTTCATCATTTTGGTAATGGCCATTCCAACAAGTGTAAGGATATATCATTGTGGTTTTAATTTGCATTTCCCTGATGATCAGTGATGTTGAACATTTTCCATATATCTGTTGGCCATTTGTATGTCTTCTTTTGAGCCATGTCTATTTAGATACTTTGTCCAGTTTTTGATTGGGTTATTTGCCTTCTTGCTATTGAGTTGTTTTGAATTCCTTAGGTATTTTGGATATTAACCCCTTATCAGGTATGTAGTTTGCAAATATTTTCTCCCAGTCTGTGGGTTGTCTCTTCACTCTGTTGTTTCCTTTGTTATGCAGAAGCTTTTTGATTTGATGCAATCACAATCCCATTTGTTTATTTTTGCTTTTGTTCCTTCTGCTTTTGGAGTCATATCCAAGAAATCTTTGCCCAGACTAATGCTGTGGAGCGTTTCCTCTGTTTTCTTATTGTAGTTTTATAGTTTCAGGTGTCACATTTAAATCCATTTTGAGTTGATTTTTGTATACAATGTGAGATTAAAAAGCACATTTTTGATGAGCTATTAAACAAAGATAACAATAGGTTTATTATCCTTATTTTATTAATTAAAATTTAGGATCTGAGTGATATTTAAAGAAATTACACACACCTCTAATAATCATAAAATATTCACCACAGACCAATAAGATGATCAATCCTTCTATTTTTATTGTGAATTCTTTCTATGATTGTCTTCCCAGATTAGGGTAACATCTTGTCAATGGGTTGAACTGAGTAGGCTGAAAACTGGAGGTTTAGATTTCCTTATGCTGACAGTAAGCAAGGAATGGTAGGATAAACATTTGTATCCTCTCTTCCTCTTTATGCAGCCAATAGCTCAAAGAACAGTGCTTTTCCATTTGGATTTCATCATTTATTGTGTTTATCACTTCCTGGCCCTTTCCCATGGGACAACCACAAACCAATGACTCAAGTTTCAAAAAGCCGCTGAATAGGTCCAAGATAAAGTTACTTTTGTTTTCTAATTCTCTAACTAGCCCCCCTTGCCCCTTGCTTGCTTTTTTTTCCCCCACGGGAACAGTGTTGAGCTGTATCATAATACACACACACACACACACACACACACACACACACACCACTTTACAACAAAATATTAACAAGCCATTTGCAACTTGTCCCTACATCTGCCAATACAGAGAACACCACTTTTTAATATTTAGCTCAAAGTCAGGAATTTTTGCTTCAAGAAAAATATACCTTTCGTTGTTGTTGTTGGTCCTGCATAGACAGGCTAATTGGTATCATAAAGCAACAAGATCAATTCAGGTTTCTAAGATCAACTCTGAGGCTTGGGTTCTAGGTCCAGCTCATATTGATCATGTCCCATGAGTAATTTCAACAGGCAATGTTCTTTTCTCCTTCAAGATTTTTTCCATTAGTCACTTCCACGTCCCCAACATATAGCCACATGTTATAATGGCTAAATAAGATGTGGCTTGCAAATAGTGTAAAGTTCCCAGGCAGAAAGCTAATGAATGAGACATTATCAGTAATAGCTCAAGATAAAACTTTAGTGTAAGTAAATACTTCTGGAAGAGTTCATGGTTTTAACACAGTGGGTTGAACTATTAATGGCTAATTAAAACAATTATAGTTCTCTTTGGATATAAGTAATTTTAGAGTTCTTTTAAAAATTAATTTTTCACATTTTATAAATATTTGCCTTCAGTCTAAACTGTAGGACATACTTACTACAAATTGTGTCAAAATAGCAATAATATTTAATAAATCCAGATCCATTGTTTCATATAAAATAATAAGGATTTTCCCTATTTATGTTGGCAGATGGTTGAAACAGGTGAACCTTCCATTTAGTCCCACAAAAGCAGTTAACAGTTTTTCATTAATCAAAGCAGAAAGGGAATTTTGAGGGCAACTCTCCTGCATGGAGCCTACCTTGTCTCCAGGCCCTTGAAATGTAGGCCTCAGGCTACATTTCACATGACCCTCCTCAACCCCATTCTCTAGAGTTGAAATGGGAGTCGGGAAATGTCCGGTAATTCAGAAGGTCTAGGTTATGTTCACCATATATCCCTAGAATCTGGAAGATCACCCAAACACACGTGGAAAAGTGAGCTGCAACAGATCCAAAAACAAAAGCTGCCACACAACAGCTATGTGGGTTCAATAGGTGGGCCATTTCTCTTCCTTTGTTCTCTCCCTCCCTAATTCCCACATAATGGCTGCAGGCTTCTAACAATGGGGGGCAGGCATCAGTGTCCATCTGGGAGCTGGAGTCCCTGCTTTGTTTAATGGATTTCATATTTGGAAGGAAAGGGTTCATTTCTGAGGTGCAGGCCCTTCTGCTTGCTCCCCTTGCAGCCCTCCCTGGTGACATGTCAGGATTGTTATCTGTGACTTTCTGATAAGGAAACCAGGCCCAGGGGAGTGGAGTGGCCTGTTGGGCCCCACAGCAAGTCCTAGGCAGAGCAGGCATTAGGATTTTCTGTCTGACCCTTGGCCTGTTCTCCATCACTGCCTTCCCAAGGGATCCTCAGATGCCAGAAGAGACATCATACCATGAAGACAGACGCTCTGCTGCTCTACAGACCCTGACCCCGTTGTTCTAAGTAATCAATCTGGAATGTCCCCTTGTTTAGGCTTTTAATTTCATTATTTAAACCTAAGATCCACAACTGAGTTACTTATATTCCTCAGGGCATGATACACCATCACCTACAATATCCATTTAAAATTTTCATTATTTTTTCCTTTTATTTTCCTCTCATACTATACCACCTTGACAGGTTCAATATATGTCTTTACATCTGAATGTGCCCATGAAAAATTCTCATTCCAGGTCTGATATTACCATCTGTTTGGGTAATCTCTTTTCTTTTTTTTTACTTTACTAATTTTCTCTCTCATTCTGTACCTTGCTTTAGGCTTACACTGTAACATGGTTAATATATATCTTCGATAAGAAAGTCCCCTGAAAAAGCATTCATTGTTGCTTTTATCTTCATATTTCTGATTTTTAATTTATATAAATACTGTTATAGTCTAGATCTCATTCTGTTTCTTACTATTTTCCTTATTTTAAAGATCTATCTAACTTTACATACTTTATTTCATTACTTCTGATTACTGCTTTGTTTTCCATCTTACACTTTTACTACATTTTACTAATTTGATGGATGACTTTAATTTCTAGATTTTTAATTCATTTTGAGGTTACTTTTGCACAATCATTTGGGATAGTGATCCAAAGTATTTTTCTTCATAAATGGAGCCAATTTCCCCAATATTATCTAGCAAACATTTTTGGCATAGTTTCGAATGAAATAAATCAAGGTACTCTCTCCTCCATTATTTTGAAGAAATTTAAGTTGAAATGAACTTAAAATGCTTCACACAACATCTTAAACATCATGCTTTATTTCTTGATATGGTTAAGCAGCCCTAAGTCCATAGAATTTAATTAAATAAAAATTTATCAAGCCTATATTCAAAGTAGAATGCTGAGTACTAGGAAATCCAGGTGAGCTAAAGCTGGTGTTCCTTTTTTACTTTGCAGTCTACTTGGGGAGACACATCCACATTAACAACATAATGTGGAAACTGCAAAAATGATGACATGCACTGAAGGTTATGAGAACTAAGAGGGAAGATTTCATAGAAGTGATGTTTAAGTTGGGCCTTGGTTTTTAAGGAGGTTATATGTCACACCCCCAAAAGAGGAAAAGGCCTATTTAAGATACCAAGGTAGCCAGTGGCACATGTCTGTAGTCCCAGCTATTCTGGAGGCTGATTGTTTGAGCCTAGGAGTCTGAGCCCAGCTTGGGCAACAGGGTGAAACCCTGTCTCTAAAATAATAATAATAGGATACCAAGGTATGAAAAGAGAAGATGCCATTAGGAGGATGGAAGGATGTGAGGATGAAATGCCAAGTTGGGGCTAGATTGTGACTGGTTAAGACCACACGTGCTTCTGAGAGCTGGTGATGGGTCCCTGTGATACTTAACTGACAGTATGTCATGATTAAGTTGAATTTTTGACAGAAAGCTTTAATGGCCAGGTGAATGGAAGAGAAAGAGACTGGTATCAGGGAGAAACATTTAGAAGGCTATGGCAAGAATAAAGAGTGAGGTGGGAATGCTTGGTCCATGGCAATAGCAGTGAAGATGCAAAAGAAGTAAGGGGTTGGAGAGGTATCCAGGGAGCACAATTAATTTCTAAACCAACAATGGCTTTGAAAGTTGAGCAGAAGGCCTCTGGATTGAGATTTTGATGTTCTCTTTTGATTTTGTTTTACATGGCCATGACCCAAGAAAAAGTAGTGCGATGTTTAGAAGGGTAGTTGTGTATGTATGCTAGGAGATAGAATTGAGGAAAATAACTTCTCTTTGGTTTAGGAAAACACTTCATGAGCCTTTGTGCTCTGCAAAGGTCACATCTCTGGACCTAGTCGCAGATCAGGAGTTTGAGGAAGATGGAGATACCTGCTTTCCACCATGGGAGAGATGAAGTTGAAGTCTTAGAACTGAAGGAAGAGGAGAGAGGCAATACATTGGGAGGCTGAAGCCTGAGGAAAGAGTTGATAAGAGATTTCTCCATAAGCTATATTCCTCCAGAAGCTATAGCTGAGGAAACCCAGAGGATGTTGATGTCCAATTTTAAGTGATTCCTGGAACTATGTAGCAATTTTACTCTCCACCTTTTTTAACCTTTGGTAGACTTTGTTGCATAGTATGGCACTTTTGTTTGTTGCACCTTAACAGTGAAGGAGAGGAGCCTATGTGCATCCAACCTAGACAAAGTAGTTTGACAACATAGGTAGCAAGAAGCCTGGAGAAGTAACTGAGGATGGGTGATGATGGGTGGTTCAGGTGAGGAGCAACAGATGTCCACCACTAGGACACAGATGCAGCCAGAACCCATTAAAAATACTGGAGCAGGCCTGGACATAGTGAAGTGAAAGAAACACTAGACTCGAGTTAGTTTATTTGGATATTCAAGGACCCAGCAGATCAGAAGACTCAAGCACTCCAGTTACAAAATAACCAGACTATTTATACCCGAATATAAGATGCAAAGACTAAACCCAGCTTGGGGTAACTTTCACCAAGTAATATTTTGCATGGCCCCAGTTTCCTCAATAACTGAAGGAGATGGGTTATACCAGGTCCAAGATAACTTCTGGTTCTGAAAATCTTTTATTCTAAACTAACCTGGTTGTTTGGCTGCTTGACGTGCTGACTGATGTGGAAAGTCTTGCAAATGGCTTTAGAGTATTGTTTTGGGGCCACCATATTGTAAACTAATGTCAAATGGGTATTCTTGGTATTTTACTTCTCATTCCCTCTTTGAGGCTTTTTTTCTCACTTAGATGGGGAAATGTGCCTAATTAACACTCCCAAATCTCCAATCAGTTTGAAGTTTTTGTGCAACCACAAAAAAGAAAATATTGTGTTTTGTTTTGTTTGAACCTCAAAATGGTTTAAATTATTCACTTCAGAGCTGGAGGAAATTTAGTTTTCCTTTTGCCAGTGGAGGCAGGTCTCCCTGTGCTGATGAAAATTTTGTAAATTCTGGACTGAAGAACAGACTTACCTCCTCTATTCCATTTTATGAACCATGCCCCTCCAGGACTAGGCTGGAATTCTTGAGCACCTTTATCTAGGTTGAGCCCTTACTCCACTCCAGTCCTTTGGGGCTACTGCTTTGTTTCCCACTTGTGAACTTGAGATTTCTCTCAGAGTAACGTTTGGAGTAACATTGTGGAGTTCATGTCTTTTCTCATTGTACCAGAAGTGAGATAGATATACTATTTTTATTTTCTAGAATTATTTAGATAACAAATAGTTGCAGAGGGAAAGTATTTGCTTATACCTTTCTACCAAGCAGTAGGAAGAAAAACAGTTCTATTTAACATCTATAATTTTTTTCCTAGTCTTACAATCCATATGTTTTTATCGGAGATGTTTATACTATTACATTTAATGAAGCAAGGTTAAAATCTGCCATCTTGCTATTTGTTTTCTGTTTCTTCTTTTCCTTCCTAGCTTTTATTTTATGTTCAGGGATACATGTGCAGGGTTGTGACATGGGTAAATTGTGTGTTGTGGGGGTTTGGTGTAGAGATTATTTTGTCACCCAGGTAATAAGCATAGTACCCGATGGGTAATTTTTTGATCCTCACCCTCCTCCCACCCTCAAGTAGGCCCCTGTATCTATTGTTCCTTCTTTGTGTCCATGTGCACTCAACATCTATAATTCTTATTAGTAGTTATGTTCCTTGAGTGCGACTATTGGTATATGCACTGATGACTGTTAGAAGGGTCCACGTGTCCAGTCAAAACTGAGGGTCCAAATCAATCCACGTGCACCCTGAACATGCAGCTTGGAATATTTGAAGGAATTCTACAAATAAAAAGTTAAAGAGAATGGTGAGCTTTATAAGGAATATGTTAGTGTTGATCTGTATGCATGTGCACTCCTGGGAGCCAAGGAAGGCTGTTCATCGTGTCCTTGGAAGAGCATTCCCAGGGTGCTTGGTGTCAAGGGCCTGTGTGACTTGCTTCTTAGGTTTCATGTAGAAGACTCTTGGCCACAGGCACAGGATAGGAATATAATTGCCTGGAGAAAAGTACACTTTTAAACATGGGTATACACCAGCTCCCAGTAGGAAAATATACCTTCCTTAGGAGGAAGGGCATTTGGCTAGTGGGCACACCTTAGCTTGCTTTCTTCGGCAGTATTTATACCAGCTTTTCAAGCAGACTTTATGTTTTCTGTAAAGTAATATGCTAAAGCATCAAAACCTGCTTTGATGTCTTATGGCCTTTGGACGTGATCACTTGATATTTATCCTTCTTGTTGAGAGCCAAGGGTGAATTTTTAAAGTTCCTGTGTTTAATTCCCCTGGCATCATTCACTGAAGAGAAGTTATTACACATGGAAAACCATTAGAAATATATACAGAAGAAAGCTAGGTGGACATATTTATAACATCTATGCTGTATATACGTGTGTGTATATACATATATATGTATATATGTATATGTATATGTATATATGTATGTATATATATATGTGTATATATGTATGTGTGTATGTATATATATGTATATGCACGTTCACAAAAATAATTGGGACACATTAGAGATTATCAGCAGTCAGCCTCTGTATCTGTGGGTTTGGCATCTGTGGATTCCATCAACCACAGATCAAAAGTATATTTTTGAAAAGGATGGTTTCATCTGTACCAAAGATGTACAGACATTTTTTCTTGTCATTATTTACTAAACAATACAGTATAACAACTACTTACTGATCATTTACATTGTATTTGGTATCATAAGTCATCTAGAGATGATTTAAACTATATAGGAGGATACGCCTTTAATCCCAGCAATTTGGGAGGCCGAGGTGGGTGGATCACTTGAGGCCAGGAGTTTGAGACCAGCTGGACCAATATGGTGAAACCACATCTCTACTAAAAATACAAAAATTAGCTGGGAGTGGTGGTGCGTGCCTGCAATTCCAGCTACTCAGGAGGCTGAGGTACGAGAATCGCTTTAACTCGGGAGGCAGAGGTTGCAGTGAGCCAAGATCATGCCACTACACTCCAGCCTGGATGAGGGAGTGAAACTCTGTCTCTAAGTAAATAAATAAACAAACAAATAAAGTATATGGGAGGGTGTGCTTAGGTTATATGCAAATATGATACCATTTCGTATAAGGGACTTGAGCATCCATGGATTTTGGTATCCATTGGGGTCCTAGAACCAATCCCCATTGATACTGAGAGACAACCATATTTAGAAGATAAATCTATTCTGATTTTTCCTTTTAAATAACCCAGCAGCCTAGAGTTAAATATGTAAAAATTCATTGTAATGATAAAATTATTTTGTATTCCATTCAATATATTTTCTTTGGGGAAAACAATTGGCATTAAAATACTATTGGGGAAATAAAATCAATCAAATGTAAATCATCTACAGAGTATCCAAATTGAAGTTGTAAGAATGCAGAGCAACTAGACAGAAGCAAAGTAGTGTAGGAAACAGAATCAACTCAAAGATTAACATTAACTTGAAATGATCTTTTCCAAAATATGAAGAATAGTAAGACAGCTATTTTACATTCTGTAAAAACAGTTTTGAGTTAACAAGAGAAGTCTGGCTCCAACAAGGACCACCAGACTCGAAGCTAAAGATAGTGCTGAGGACACTAAGTAGCTCACTCAACTCACATTCTTGTGGCCACCCCATAACAAAGGGAAAGCCTGTGGCATCTTTTATGTCATTGTTGAAAGGGGTTTAGGTCTAAGTGTTGAGGGCAAAGCTTATTTTCCTATATATCCTAGGATCATTGGTGCATATCTTTTGTGGACAAATATATAAATATTTTGGCTTACTTTTGAGAATTTTTCTGCTCTTTTTCCTGCCAAGTGTTACTTATATTTTCCACAGAATAAATGTGTGCAACTTCAAAAGCAGCACCATCCATTAGAAAAGTTTCCATAAAATCACAAATGGATTATTTGAAAGCCCTGTGTTTAATAATGGAGAAAAAAATCCTCAGCACCTACAATGCATTGTTGTAAACATGCTATGCAGGAAAACAAATATTGGGTGGCCTTGATGGAATGAATCAACTTTCCGAAGACCAAATTCATTTCAGAGAAAAAAATTTTTTGATTAAATTTCTATTACAGAATTTACTCAGAAATTGTAAAAATTATAAAAATAAATGGAATATTATAAGCAGTTGCTCTTTATAAACAGAAATAATTGGAAAGAAAGAAATGAAACTGGCCAGGCTCAGTGGCTTACATCTGTAATCACAGTGCTTTGGGAGGACAAAGTGGGTGGATGGCTTGAGCCCAGGAGTTCGAGGCCAGCCTGGGCAACATGGTGAAACCCCATCTCTACAAAAACAATACAAAAATTAGCTGGGTGTGGTGGCATGAGCCTGTAGTCCCAGCTACAGGCTGAGGTGGGAGGATCGCTTGAGCCCGGGAGGTCGAGGCTGCAGTGAGCCATGATCGTACCACTGCACTCTAGCCTGGGTGACAGAATGAGACTGTGTCTCAAAAAAGATAAAATAAAATAAAATAAAAATGAGAATAAAAGAAATAAAATTATGAGCCCTCAAAAATGCTTCCTGTTTTCTATCAACTGCTAAACCTACCAAAACATGGATTAAAGAATGCTGGTGTCACTGTCCTTATCAATTTAGCAAACACTCAGACAGTGTTCATTGTGTGTCAGGCACAGTTCTAAGCATTTTACAAGTATTAACTCATTGAATGCTCATCATAACCCAGGAGCAAAGACTGCTACTGTCCCATTTTACAGCAGGAGAAACAGAAGCACAGAGCTGGTAAGGAGCAGAGCCTGAATTCAACCCCAGCTCTGATCCCAGCATCCCTGCTCCTCACCCCTACTCTTTTGCCTCTTGGATATACTTTCGCTGTTTGTATTATTTTCTGGATGATGACCCTTGCAGAAAGAAAACAATTCAGGCTAGGCATGGTGGCTCATCCCTGTAATACCAGCACTTTGGGAGGATGAGGCGGGCAGATCACTTGAGGTCAGGAGTTTGATACAACCTGGCCAACATGGCGAAACCCCATCTCTATTAAAAATACAAAAATTAGCCAGACATGGTGGCGGGTACCTATAGTCCCAGCTACTGCAGAGGCTGAGGCAGGAGAATCGCTTGAACCTGGGAGGCGGAGGCTGCAGTGACCTGAGATTGTGCCATTGCACTCCAGCCTGGGCAACAGAGCGAGATTCCACCTGAAAAAGAAAGAAAGAAAGAGAGAGAGAGAGAGGAGAAAGAGAGAAGAAAGAAAGAAAGAAAGAAAGAAAGAAAGAAAGAAAGAAAGAAAGAAAGAAAGAAAGAAAGAAAGAAAGAAAAGAAAGAAAAGAAAGAAAAGAAAGAAAACAATGCAAATTGTGTGGCAATGCAGTATGCCATGGCCAGCAATGCTTGTAACAGGGGGCCTGAGAGAGCTTTCTTATTTGTCATTTGTCATCTCCCATTGCATTCCTCTCCCCACTTCCTGAGACGCTGCAAGCCCCTTTGCCTCCTGTCTGCCTTCAATTTCTGACTTTACCGCTTTTTGATTTCCCTCCCTTGCCTGGTTTCTGTTAGTTAAAGCCCAATTGGATAAAGAGGAAACAATCTGGGTTGGTGGACTTGAGTCTTTCCCTGTTCCTCTCAGTTTTCAGTCTTTATTCTAAATCATTATCTTCCTGAAAGCTATGAATTTATCTCTGAGTCTCATAGGTGATTGGGCCTAGCCTTATACAACCTAGCCTTAGGATGTATCCACTGATATGCTAAACTTTATATGTTCCAAGAACCAGTATCTTAATTAATCTTGGTTCAGCCCCACTTCTCAAAAGCATTCTTTTATCATCTCTACAGTGCTGCAATACTCAGGAAAGTCTTTTAAAAGCTGCTATTTTTCCATGAGAATTAGTCATGTGACTACCCAGCTATCCTGTTTAATTCCCCTTGTGGATTCTGTGGAAATAATAAGGTAAAAATAATGGCTTGGAAATTGTGTTCTACAAATTATCCTTCAAAGCCTAACAAGTAATGAAAGTGATATGTGTTAGCATTGCTTCAGATGACACATATTTATTTTCTTTTAAAGCCACAGTGAACTGATTCTGTTAAATACTACTAGGGCATTTGATATTTACATAGCACTCGCTCACTGTGGATGAGGGAGTGAACAAAGATACCTGACATGTTTTAGTGGACTTTTATCACTGTTCTCACCATCAGACTAGCAAGCTAAAGGGATGCAATTTTTAGAGACTTAACCAAATTGGAACATGGTTAGTTGAGGTAAGGAGTAGTTCCTTGACTCCTGGAGTCATGTTTAATTAATTTATTTATTACTGATCATTTGAGTTCTCTTGTATGTTTATGACCAAGAAATCATGACCTCAGGACCAACCCAAGGCAAAGTAGGCTCCAGAAAAATAACACAAAATATTTGGGCAGATGATGAATTCAGGTAGCACTCATCAAGAGCTCTGTCATCAATTCCTCCCAAAAATAGATACTCTCCTTGAATGTTTATTTTCTCTCCCTAAAATAGAGCGTTTTATTTCCCCCTTGAGTTATCTGGGATGATTATAGCTCTGTTGACCTGGCCTCAGAAAACTGGAGAGGATCCTGACTTCCATTTCAGCACCAGTTTCTGGATCTTGTCAAGTCTTGTATTTATTTAAAAGATGATATATTATGAGGTCAAATTAGTCTACGCACCAAATTTAGGTTTTTGTAAAAGAAAAAAAGCACGAGGGCAAAGGTTTGCAAAACCTAATATGACCAGAAATGTTTGTGTAAGATTTTTTAAGAATTAATGAAAACATGGGAGGTCATTTAAACACTGCCCCCGCAGGGCTGTGAACGCAACTGGTGGCAGCCTCTGAATGCATGAGAACTAGAAAGTGAACATGCCCTTAAAGGCAAATATAATGCAGGAAGTCAGCCAATGGCATATGTGCCAAAACTAAATTTAGTTCTGGAAACTATATTTCGAGTGTAAGTGAAGTGTTTTTACAAATAGTTTTTTTTTTTTTTTTTTAAGTCACAGAAGTACTATCTTTTCAAAGTGATTGTAGCTCTATGGGTTGAATTGGAACACCTGGTCTCTTAAAGGTGCGCGTCACTGGATTAAATCAAGGCAGGTGATAACTTAAAGCCTCTACCAGGGCTGGGCACCTGTAATCCCCGCACTCTGGGAGGCCGGCGCCGGTGAATCACTTAAGGCCAGGAGTTCCAGACCAGCCTGGCCAACATGACAAAAAACCTGTCTCTACTAAAAATACGAAAATTAGCTGAACGTGGTGGTGCGTGCCTGTAATCTCAGCTACTTTGAAGGCTGAGGCAGGAGAATCGCTTGAACCTGGGAGGCGGAGGTTGCAGTGAGCCAAGATCGTGCCACAGCACTCTAGCCTGGGTGACAGAGCAAGACTCTGTCTAAAAAGAAAAAAAAAAAAGCCTCTACTAGGTCTCTTGAGAGAAGCTAGACTTTACTTTTCTCATAAGAACAGTGAGGCAAACCTTAGAGAAAGCTTCAGGGTTATTAAGGCTCAGGGTTTAGGTTTTCCTTGATTGCTCAATGTATATAGGGTTACTATCATTGACCTTTAGAGTTATTGTCTTAGTCCAAATCAACTACCACCTCTTCAGAAAGGTCTTTTCTCACCACTGTAGCTAAAGCAGCTCACCAGTCTCTCTGCTTTCGACTCTTCATAGCATTTACCAGTTCTTGAAATTATATATTAACTTGCTTATGTGTTTATCATGTGCCTCCCTTCACAATTTGGTAAGCTGTCTGAAAGCAGGGACACTTTCTTTCCTATTTACTGCTGTATTCCAGTGTTTAGGAAAATTCCTGGTACGTAAGTGGTTACTCAATAAATATCTGGTGGCTGTCTGACTATATAAAGCCATGATCACTCATTTGAGGATGAAATATTTCAAGAGATGCTTTGAGTAGAATTTGAAGGCTCCAAGGCACCTGCTGAAAACTATCTAATTTGGAGGTCAGGTTAGTCAACAGATCTATGCCAAATTTTCTCTTTCTCCAGAAAGGTCATGTGTGAAAATCAGTATTTCCAAGATGTCTTGTGGTTGCCACATAAAGGGGGGCACATATTGGGAGAAGTTTTATTTCCTTTAGCAATAAAACATAAAAAGTGACTCTCCCCCACCCCCACACTCCAGCTCAATAAAAGGAACAGAAAATGTCTTTCTAATTAGTAGTTTACTTCCTTTTGACTTTCAGTCTTATCAAATGAAAGTCCCATTGTGTTCATGGCTTTCTTTAAATAGTTGATGATGTTCTGGATTAGACTAACAACTTGAACTCCTAGAAGAGAAAGGAACTGGTTGACCATGAATTAAAGAATTTCAAATAAAAAGAGGCACCATCCGAATAGTCCTTGGGGCTCTGGTCTGTCCCAGGCTGCAGAAGGGGGCTTGAGGTCACCATTATCAATTACTCCATCCCTCTAGGGTGGTTTGGAACTATGTTTTATCTGGCCTTCTCATTTCCAGTGTTTTTAATTTGCCTTTTAAAACAACAGCAAATGTCAAACCAGGACACTGAAGCAATCTGTGAAAATAAATGTTTTATCTTGCTGGAAATCAGTAATAATAAATCCATCTGGCTTCGCCTTAGAAGTCTGTAGCCTCTGGATCTGGTCAATCATCTGAGAATCTCATGATTCTACTTTGGAAGCTCTTCTTTATTAGCAAGATGCTGATTCAAAAAAGCAAGCTCCTCGTCATAATAATTTCACTACCAAGTTAAAAAGGTACTTCAAACTCTCTTTTAGTTATAGCCAACATATATTTCGGAAAATACACTCAATTCTCAATTGGTGGTCTCAAGGGATGCATTAAGTAAATCAAGAGATGGATTCCAAAACTTGTTTTAACTGTGCACATTTACCTTGTTTCTTAACAAATCTTTAAGCAGACTTTAAATAAATATATGTAACATCACTATTTAGCTAATTTGAGTGAAACTGAATTAAACGGAAAATGAGTGAATTTCATGGCATGTGAATTATATGTCAATAAAGATGTTAAAAACAATGAATGGCGCTCAGTGAATTAATGTCACAGATGTGATTCAAAATAATATGGACAGTGACCTTGGTGTGTCAGGTAGCAAGAATTCTAGTTCCAGAAATCTCTTATTCATCCATTCACTCATTCGTTTATTCTCTTTAATGAGTGCCTATTTAGTGTCAGGCATTGTAGAATATTCTGGATATGAAAAAATGAATGCAACACAATCTCTCATTTCATGGATGTGATACTTCCTATTTCTATGCTATAGCTTTCTCCATTCCATAAGTAAATGGACTAGACACTTGTATTTCGAGTCTCATTGCTGGTAGAGATGCTAACACCTAGGTCAAAGTGAGAGGTGTAGGTTTAAGGAAATATTAAATGCATAAAATATTGCCTTATCAGTTGCTGTGATGTAAGTAGTATCAAAAAAGGATCTTGTTTTTTTTTTTTTTTTCAGGACTTTTCAATAAAAGGTTTTTGCAACCAAATCAAGTTAATTATTATTTCTTCAAATCAGGGTGTCAAGTAAACATTTTTTTTGTTGTTGTTATCTTAATGATCCAAGTTGTGTTGTAAGCTTGAGCTGAGTAGATCCTTTTGTTACTGAAACAAGGGGTTCAGTCTAGGTCCTGCTGCTCACTTCACAGAAAGCCAATGACTGAGATGATGAGTATTGCCAGGGAAGAAGGATTTAATAGGGTGCTGCAGTCAAGGAGCTGGGAGCTCAGTTTCAAATCCATCTCCCTGAGGTGCCAAAACTAGGGGTGTATATAGCAGGGAAGAAATAAACAATGTGTAAGAAAACAGGAACTATGGAGGGGCAAGGAAGCAATCATGATGAATGAGGGGTCTGGCATCTCATTATCTGGATGTGGTGATCTGGTGAGTTTCAGTTCTTTAATACTTTTGTTTCCTGAGGAAGGAGCTCAGACAAAATAAATGTAAGTTTCAAGCTTTAAGACCAGAAGGGTCAATTTCTATGTTTATAAAAATAAACTGGCCGGGCGCGGTGGCTCACGCCTGTAATCCCAGCACTTTGGGAGGCCGAGACGGGCGGATCACGAGGTCAGGAGATCGAGACCATCCTGGCTGACACGGTGAAACCCCGTCTCTACTAAAAATACAAAAATTAGCCGGGCATGGTGGCGCGCGCCTGTAGTCCCAGCTACTTGGGAGGCTGAGGCAGGAGAATGGCGTGAACCCGGGAGGCGGAGCTTGCAGTGAGTCGAGATCGCGCCACTGCGCTCCAGCCTGGGCGACAGAGCGAAACTCCGTCTCAAAAAAAAAAAAAAAAAAAAAAAAAACTATCTATGGGACTATTGGGCGGGTTTCACTTTCTTGGTTCTCTGCTTCATCTGCTCAATCGCCATTTGTAAAGACACTGTAAAGCATACAATTTGGAAATGCTTCAAGTATCATCTGGTTCAAGTGCACTGACTTTCCACTGATGAGAACTCATTTGGGCAAATGGAACTGTTCTGAACAATAATAGGGAATTTAGTAAGAGCAACTTCTCATAATCTTGGAACCCAATTTGTCAGGATTGGCCTTTTTTCACCTTACGGATAACAAGAATTTGATGTACAAGATTTATTTACCACCACCCTAAAGACATTAGGCAAATCACAGAGGGTGAATAAAAGCCTTCTACACAACTTCTTAATCAGCACAGATAAATCAAACTAAACACAGCTTGGATATGTCGCTTTAGAGAGCACTGTGTCCAGTTTGGGGCTTCACAACTTAAAAGGAATAATGCAGCACATAAAAAATTCCCAAAAGAACATGTTTACAGCACATAATAGACATGCCAGAGGAAAATAATTAAAGATTTAGCCTGGAGGAAAGAAGGCTAGAATTCTCTTAATAAGTGAAAATATCCATAGGAAACACAGAGCTGTAGCTAATTCCCACCTGCTCTCAGAAAGTACAAAGGGCAAGTACAAGTTAGGAATATGACATTCCTGTTCATGGTCAAGTTTTCTGATGACTGTGATTATTTAGATTTGCTAGCCAGATTAGCCATTCAAGAAGTATTATGGGGAACACATGGGTTGTGACATGACAGACGTGGGTGTGAATCATTGATTTCTGAAATGGGAATAAGAATATTTACCTCACAGCAATGTTGTGTAGAAATCATGTGTGTAAAGTTCTTAGCACAGAATAGATGCTTGGGAAATGCTAAGCCCTCCTTCACCATATCTGATCCCCACACCCCGACACTCCCAGTCCTGTCTATGTAGTGCAGATCATGTGAATGGAGAGATGAGCATGACTTCTATTTGTCACACATTTTTCCATAGAAAACATGTTTTAAAAAGTGACTTTGTATAGTGTATGAGGATTAGTTTGATAGCTCCATTATTTCCTAGCTAACTTGGGCAAATCAATGGCTCCACCATTTACTAGCTCACTTAAGCAAGTTTTTAACCTCTCAGTGACTCAGTTTCCTCATTTGAACAATGAAGATGATAGAGAACTACCTCAACGAGTTGTGAAGATTAAATAAAATAACCCATGTAAGACACTAGTCACAGTACCTGATACATATTAAAGGTTGACTCATTACTACTGTTATTGTTAGATATTCAATTTTATAATATGTACAGATAGGCAAACCTGAATAAGCCATATTATGTGTCTTATTTCTGTAATTAATGATAACAAATTTATTAATAACAGATAACAGTTATTTTGTATTTGTTCTATGCCACAAAACATACTAAATGCTTTACAATGTATAGCTATTAACTCTGTGTACCAGAGGAAGAACTGAGCCTCTGAAGAATTAAATGACTTTACCCAAGGTAGACTGGTTGGTCTCTCTCTCTCTCTCTCTCTCTCTCTCTCACACACACACACACCATGCACACTTAGGACTATAACTTGGAGATGTCTGACTCAAAGCCCATACATTTAACGAAATATTAACAATTTTGACTAGCAGACATCTGTATAGTTATCACTCATTTTAGTTCTTCTGTGACAAGTCAAATTAATAGAACTTCCCACTGATGCCTGAGGATAAGTCCAAGGTCTCTGAGACACAGAAGGCGACAGCTGTCAGAGACCTGAAGAGCCAAGTTCCAGATGAGGAGACTGAGGTTAAGAGGTGAATTATGGTTATCGATCGAGCCTTTATTCTTACGTGAGATGAGTCATTCTAGCACTAGGATTACAAGGGAAACCAATCAGTGATGACTCTTGCTTCATGAAACTTAGGGTCTTAGGGATGTTAGGGATTGAACATGCATAATTGCACTAATGAATCCCATATGCTTACCACTTTGGTAAGTGCTATAATAAAGGGAAGGTCTGAGAGTAGGAGAGTTATACCATGAGAACTAACTTAACTGGAATAGGAGCCTAAGGCAGAGCAAGAGACATTTAAACCAAGTAGGCTTAAATGGTGAGTAGGGGTTTCCTTTGCACAAGGTTAGATGACTGAGCTAGTTAGTAGCCAAGCATCTACTAAGAGTTAGATCTATGATTCTCATTACTGCATTTTTCTTACTGCTCCATAAACCTCCAACAACTTCCATCAGTTTGCTTTTGCCAATTCTATAAAACTGGTTCGTGAAGCCGTTTCTATTAAAAGGGGGGAACCCCTTACTTTTAGCTCCCTGATCCACAACCTGCTTATTACGATCTTGTGAATGTCTTATTTTCCTTCCTATATCTTTAAAGGGGGCTGAGAGTTCTTTGGTATGTCTCTAATCTGTGTCATGCTACAAAGCAGTGAACTGTGAAAAATACCCAAGGAATTCCCAATAAATCATACAGGAGGCAAATAAAGGGCATGTGGCTTTTAGCTTAAGCAGCTCTGCTTTTTCAATTGGATCCCCGGAAGTTTTCCCTAGAGAAAGGCTTACCAGGCTTTGGTTTCCATGAAGCCTGTTGAAGAGTTTCAGCAGCTTCCATCTCCTTTTAAAGACATTTCTTACTGGCTTGTTCTGGCACTCGAGCTCATTTGTGTCTCAGGTGTGTGCTCAGCCCCTTTAATGCAGAGCAAATTAAACACCAAAAAAGGCAAACCAAAGCATCTCAGCCCTCTGAATTTGAGTGTCTCTTTCTGGTTTGAGCCCCTTTTGTTGAAACAAATGCACAGAAGGGCAGAAGTCCCCCAAGGGGAAAGTGAAGTCCATCCTGAAAGAAGACGGAGCCGTGCACACGTGGGACCTAACTGCAGCTTGGCTGCTGACATAATGATGACACCATGCTTAGCAGGAGACAGGATTTCTAATCCATCACTTTTCCTTTGGAAATGAAACACTGATAAGCATTCATTAGCCATTCTCTTGTCTTCTTTTAAAATTCTTTGGGATTGCTTTTTGCTCAATGACTTCCTTGGGTTTTATTAAACTGTTTGAAAGAAGGAGAACCAAGCTGTGGCAATAAGAAATACAAAATTTTCCTAGGGCTGGCATGACAAACTACCACACACTGGGTGGCTTTTTAAAAAAAAAACCAGCTTATTCTCTTACAATTCTGGAGGCTAGAAGTCAAAAGTCAAGGTGTCAGCAGGGTTGGTTCCTTCTGGAGGCTCTAAGGAAAAATCTGTTCCGCCTCTCTCCTAGCCTCTAGTGGTTACTGGCAATCTTTGGCGGTTTTTTGGCTTGTAGCTGTATCACTCTAATTTCTGCTTCTGTCTTCACATGGTCTTCTTCTGTGCACACGCATGTGTCTGTATTCCATTTGCCTTCTCCTTTCTCTCATAAAGACACTAGTTATTGGATTTAGGACCCATCTAATTCAGTCTGACTTAATCTTAATTTGATTACTTGTGCAAAAACCCGGTTTTCAAATAAGGTCCCATTCACATGTACCAGGGATTAGGACTTGAATATGCCTTTTAGATGAACACACTTCAACCCACTACAAGAACTGAAAAAGCTCTGTTCTCTATTTTGTCCTCCCTCCCTCATGCTCTTCTTCCCTCCTTCCCTTTTTATATTGGCCAAAGGCACTACTCAACCATGAACATAGCAAAACTCAAATTGTCAATGTTCATTGAACGTTAATAAAAGCATACACTGGAGGTGATAGGAATGTTCTGTATATTGATCGTGGTAGTGGTTTCATGGGTATACACAACTGCCAAAATTCATTTATATAGCTTATTGTATGTAGATTCTCAGTAAAGTTGATGTTAATATATATGTATGTGTCTGTATGTACCCTAGGCATAGTACCAGTTGTTTTATTTTCTTCTTTCCCTTCCATACCCCATCCTACCTTGTCACCAGAGAAACATGTTAGGCAAAATAGGTCCTCCTGTTTCCATTCAATATAGAAAAGTGAAGATTCGGGGGAAAAATTAACATTTCATAGGCAATGAAACCTCATGTTATTTGGTTGCTTTTTAAATTGGGAAATATTGATGAATGCTTAGATTATGAACAATTTAGGGTAATTAATAAAGTATCTATTAAAATTGTTTACATTATTACAGAATTCTTCATCCTCAAAAGTAGTTCTGAGACATATGCTACAGAAGATTTTAAAAATTAGTTTAAGTAGCTAGTACAGCTGAATTATATACCAGGTTCAGATAAATTTAACTTATTTTGAGATTCTAAGTACACTTTCACCACAAAGATAGAACAAAGAATGCCACTAGCACACAGTGTGTGTTCAAAAATGTTTATCAACCAAAACTGAATTTGGCTTTCAGCCAATTTATATTTCTAAAAGTCTCCTGAGATCAAGATTCAAAGCCTAAAGCAAAAGGGATGATGGTCATACATTTAGGATTTGATATTGGAAGATTCGTTCACATGCCACAGGTAGAGTAACCACTGTTTGGTTCAGGAGTTGCCCCTGTGATCCTGCTGAGCACATCTACACTGCAACTTGGTTTAAGATTCTTATACAGCCTTGTTTTTCACTTGCCCTGCTAACTTGGGCAAGTGAAAATAGGATGGTTAACATTTAGAAATAGTGTACCCCGACCAGGCGTGGTGGCTCATGCCTGTAATCCCAGCACTTTGGGAGGCCGAGGCAGGAGGATCACTTGAGGCCAGGACTTTGAGACCAGGCTGGCCAACATGGTGAAAACCCATCTCTACTAAAAATACAAAAATTAGCCGGGCATGGTGGCAGGTGCCTGTGATCCCAGCTACTGAGGAGGCTGAGGAAGGAGAATCGCTTGAACCCGGGAGGTGGAGATTGCAGTGAGCCAAGATGGCGCCACTGCCCTCCAGCCTGGGCCACAGAGTGAAACTGTATTTAAAAAAAAAAAAAAAAGAAGAAAAAAATAGTGTACTCATACCTGCTCAAGAAATAAACATGTAAGCGAAAAGGCAGAAAATGTGCCTATGCCAAACTCCTGCTTTTTTAAGTCTAGAAGATAAATATTAAACACTAGAAAACATAGAACATGTTGCTAATATTTGCACAGAAAATGAGAAAATGGACAATGTTGCAAGTGGATGTTCGTGTGTTCAATGCAGATGCTGACACAGATACAGTCGTTTTCTTTTACTGAATTTAATTTTTTAAGGTCACAATTGGTGAGAAATGGCAAAATTAGGCACACAGAGTGGGGAAAAACTGGGAAAGATGAATAAGAATAGTCATTTGGGTTTCCGAATATAACGTCAGAAAAAAAAATTTCACAGGTCTGGATATCAACTAGAGGAATATTAAAACCTCAAGTGTGTACCTGGAGGGTTCATGGTTCCAATTCTGGGCTATGTGAAATTGATCCAAAATATTGAGCCAAAAACCTTGCCTGTTGGTATATAAATGTAATAGAAGACAAAAATTTCCTGTACTCAAAGACTCTAGGTTTACCTCCACTGACGTTTGTCGATTGTAATTTAAGTGCTTTGGCAGCTGGCATAGGAATCTAAAGAAACATTTTTAGTTCAGGCATGGGGAAGTTGGGCTATTTAATGCAATTTGCATTCTTAAGCCTTGTAAAATTTCTCCACATATCTCTCATGTATTCCATGCATGTCACACAGATTTAAATGATGCTTCTTTTTCATGTTTCAGGAGCTTGGAGACAGAACCCGGACTTTTATGGGCAAGTGAGATGCTGTGAACTGTTTACCCACTAAGAACATAGAAATGATATCGGGGGATCATGATCAGTTTGAGAGACATGGGCAGGATGAAATGAAAATCAACAATGCTAAAAGTTGGGAGCCAATCAGATAGAAGTCTGAAATATTATATGACACTCAATCAGAAAGTTCAGTGTGATTTGAGACTGTTTAAGCAATGGGATTATATAACAAACAAGAGCAAAATAGGATGCCCTAACCTGGAATATTGGACCTCAGGACTGAAAAACAAAAGCAACTGGAGGGAGTCCAGAAAAGATCATCTACAGTGATGGTTTTAAAGCAAAATATGAACTTTATAGTGTAGCCAAACCACAGAGTCAGACCCAAAGGGCATGATAAAAATCTACAAATAGCTTTGGGGTCTAAACACCAAGGATAAAGAGGAATTTTGGCTGGAGATATGAAAAGCTTCAAGGGATAAAGTTAAGGAAAAGGAAATTTAGGTTAAGCATCAGAATATATCCTTTGATAGTAAGATGTGTGTGTTTGTAGAACAGTCTCTCAAGGGAATAGAAAGAATACTGATGAGTTTTCTAGGATCTCTGATAAGAGGATAGCTTGATGTCAGTCCAAGGATTCTAGAACTTCCATTGGAATATTCTTGTGCCATGACCAGATGGAATAGATAGCATAAGATGTTTTTTAAATCCTAGATGTCTACAATAATTATCATTGGGAATGAATAGTGAACAGAATGTTCTGCTCTTTAATGAAAGGTATCCCAAGTCTTTGATTAACTTTGTCTCTGAGGAAAAAATTAACAAATATAGGCACTATTTTCAATATCAAATGCCCTAATAGAGAAGCAAAGCAAAGTCTTAGAAACCTGCTTTTGAAAGCATATACATTAAAACTATTTATTTCTTGACTACCAATTATAATGCTTCTGAAGCTAGCTGATGAATTGTAAGAAGGATTCTGGGAAGCAATGTAACAAAACCAGCCATTTTTTGAAATTGGTAACCAAAACCCATAGATCTTCCTTAACTGAATTTGGCATAACCTGACAGTTGATCAGAAAGGCCAATGTGAGTTGAGTCTATATAAACAAAGAGAATATATAACAAACAAGAGTTAAATAGAATGCCTTAAATAGGAATGAATGAATCCACCATAAGCCACTATGACTGCAAGGTAAACCTAATAGCAGTCAGGTTGAAAATCAAAATAGTTTTAAAAAAATCCAAAAAAATTCTTACAAAGTCTTTCTAGAAGAACATCAACATCCCCTGCCCCAGGTATTAAAAGCACACATACTTACACTGAGTTTTTAAAAGGAGCCCCAGTCTAATTTGATTAATATTTAAAACAATTTATTCACTGTTCCCAACAATGACACAAGTTTCCAGTTTCCTGGAGGGTCAGGAACACTTGGAAACTAGATGATGAATTAACTGGCATGTGTGTGTTCCAAGCCCTAGGAGTGCTAATAGAAGAATCCCTCTGCTGGTTGGCTCTCCAACACCCATGAGCAAGAATGTATGCCCTTGTGCCTGGGGGCATTCATACTAGCCTATACAGTCATGGCAGGGGTTCATTTGCTACCCCATGGTTATCATATGGGGTTAGAGAAATATATAAATCATCAAATACAATCATCAAGTTGCTCACCCCCCTTGAGTTATAAGTGATTCTGTGAAGTGACTCTGTTAACCATCTACCCCGAATGCCAAACTCCACTGAGGCATAACCATGCAATGAGGCATAACCATGCATTCGTATCCCAGTGGTAGAGACATTAAGTGTTTCCATTACCAGTGATAAATTACAGTTTTGTTACTAAAGAAAGGGCAGACAAGACCCACACACTTTTACTTCTAATGTGACTTGTATGAGGAGGGAAGAAAGCCAATGCCAACAAGCCCCCAAATGTAACTTGGCCTGGGTGTAGTTAGGCAGGGGAGCAAGAGCTCTTTTTAAACACTGTGCCTGTCAGCAGCACACCTGATTGACAGCCGCTGAAAATACTTAAGAAGCTCAGGGTGAGAAGAGATGGACAGCGATGGGGGATGGGAAACTAGAATCGAACTCTGTCTTCAGACAGCAGATAGCTCATTAAAGCTACCGGAAAAAAAATCTCTAAGGGTGCAGTCTGTTCGGCTGCGTTTACAAAAAACGAGTACAGCCAAGACCTGGGAGCCCGACGCCCTTTGTGGAGACAACGAATTCTCCTAATTAGATTTCATGACGTACCTCCTCCAAAATAGCTGAACACCTAGGAACACCAAACACGCTTTTCAAAGAGTCTAAGTAAATTAACTTTTCCCCTGAATATGTCATAGGGAATAAAGGAAGTCTTCCAGAATCAAACTTGGACAATTCTGGTAGATATGCAAGAGGAATGTTCGTGTCCAACATCTGTATTTATAATTTCATTGTATTTTTTCTCCAAAATAAAAGAAATGGTAGAGTCACCTTTACATTTATATAAAATTATCTTCATCCCTAAGTGATAAAAGAGGACACAAACACAAAGTAGACATTTCCAACATTCTGTCTGCTCCCTGCTGAGATGGTTGTAAGTTGCATTGCAAAGCTTAACTGTTACATCAAAAAGCCCTCCAAGAGGGCGAGGCTTTGCGCTTTATAGATTCCAGGGGTCCGACAGCGGGAGAAGCTGCTTTCAGACTCATCTCCTTGCCGGGAAGATTGATTTCCCCAGCGTTCTCCAGCTTCCCAGGACTGTGGCCACCGCGCTGAGACCCGAGGCGTCCCAGAGCGGGACGCGGAGACAGATCGCTTTGTGAGCGCCAATCTCTGCAGCCTCTGGGCTGAAGCTGCGCCCGGCGCCTGCCCCCTACCCGGCCTCACTCACCCCTCCTCCTAGAGCACGTTTCCGCACGTGCTCAGGACCCCTTCCACGGCAAAGGCTCCTCCCCCTCCACTTTCTTAGTAGGTCTCCATCTCCAGCTCATTCATCGGCAGCCACTGCTTTTAGACAGTTTCCTATCTATCCTTCCTTTTTAAAAACAAAAACAGCCGGGACAGGGCGGGGTGGGGGGGCGCGGGGAGAAAAGGCAGGAGATTTAACTCCAACTTCAGAGCAATCGTCCCCGGCTGCCCATCTGACACCAGTGGGTGGGGTGCAATCTGACACTTCCCTTCCTTTCCAGAAACGTGAGTGGAGCTGGCGCGACCCTTGATCTGGGGGTGGGGAGACGGGGGAGAAGGTCCGCACTTCCGTCCTCACGACTTTCTCCCCAGGAGACCCGGTATCAGTGGCGAGCTGCCTTCTCTCCTCGCCGCTTGCAGGTTTGGCGCCTGGAAAACTCTTCACGTTCTGCTTTCTCCTGCTCCTGGCTCCGCCCCAGCTCCAGCCCCGGCATTCCTCCAGCTCTACACGTCCTGGCCGCCCCCTTCCCGCTGCCTCTAGAGCGAGCGTACGGGGTCATCTCCGCGTCTGCCCTGGGCCCAAGGCTGGGCTGCGAATAGCGTGTTCCTCTCCGGCGGAACACACACACCCGGCCTTGGGGCTGTCTCCTGAGCTCCCTCCTCCACGGAGAGCGCTGAGCGCCGCCGGGAATTCCATCCCACCGTGGGCACGCAGTCTTTGGAGGTCCCGGGCGCAGCACGCTCGGTGTCCCCACACTGCAGCAAGACAGAGACCCCGCGGGAACCTTGAGCTTGGAACAACCCTTGAGCCTCTGCAGTCGGAAGAGTGGGCGCAGCAGCCCAGCGGAGGCCAGGCGCGCAACCTCGGGCGCCGGGGCAAGGAGAGAGTGCAGGGAGGCGCAGCTCAGGCGCCCGGCTCAGGAGCGGGAGGAAGTTCTCGCGGCGCCGGGAGCGCGGTGGACGCGCCCTGGGCGCACGCCCAGGCAGCCTTCTCCCTGGCCCTCGGGACTGTCCTCGGGCCGCAAGGAGGAGCTTGCTGGAGTCTTAGAGGCCATCCAGAGCCAGCGAGCAGGAGCGCTGCGTCTCCCGCCTCAGCTAGGAAGGGGGAGTGGCGCTGGCAGGCTGGAGCTGGGAACCCAGCGAGCGCCTGACCTTCCTCCTCCTCTTCCTGACCCTCTTCGCGTCTTGGGCTCCGGAGGAAGGTTCTAGCGGCTGCAGGAGGTCCCCAGACCCATTTTCCTAGAAGGCTGGTGATGGATCTGCTGCTCCTGCCGCCGCCGGGGCACTTGGAGCGCACCGGCGGCGCGTGAGCTGGGCTTTGCTCTCCACTGCCCTGGGCAAACCCCGGGCCAGCCCCGCCTGGCACCTTTGCCTGAGTCCCTTTCGGTTCCCGACCCAAAGCCACCAGCGTCCAGGGAGGGAGGAGGAGGTGGTCCTCAGGTGCAGCCCCGCCGAGATGTCCGCGCAGAGCCTGCTCCACAGCGTCTTCTCCTGTTCCTCGCCCGCTTCAAGTAGCGCGGCCTCGGCCAAGGGCTTCTCCAAGAGGAAGCTGCGCCAGACCCGCAGCCTGGACCCGGCCCTGATCGGCGGCTGCGGGAGCGACGAGGCGGGCGCGGAGGGCAGTGCGCGGGGAGCCACGGCGGGCCGCCTCTACTCCCCATCACTCCCAGCCGAGAGTCTCGGCCCTCGCTTGGCGTCCTCTTCCCGGGGTCCGCCCCCCAGGGCCACCAGGCTACCGCCTCCTGGACCTCTTTGCTCGTCCTTCTCCACACCCAGCACCCCGCAGGAGAAGTCACCATCCGGCAGCTTTCACTTTGACTATGAGGTTCCCCTGGGTCGCGGCGGCCTCAAGAAGAGCATGGCCTGGGACCTGCCTTCTGTCCTGGCCGGGCCAGCCAGTAGCCGAAGCGCTTCCAGCATCCTCTGTTCATCCGGGGGAGGCCCCAATGGCATCTTCGCTTCTCCTAGGAGGTGGCTCCAGCAGAGGAAGTTCCAGTCCCCACCCGACAGTCGCGGGCACCCCTACGTCGTGTGGAAATCCGAGGTAGGGACCAGCGCTGCGCGTCCCACGGCCCAAGGAGGAGGCCCCCAGGCAGTTTCAGGAGACCGCCTTTAATTCCATTACATTTACAGAGCAAGGCACCCACTAAGGGGTTTCCGTGGTGTGGGTTTTCCTCTTCTACTTGCTAAATGGTGCCTGGAAATGGGATGTCCCTAGTGGCCACCCGCTTGTGCGTCTTGTAGGACTTGTTGGCTCTACTTTGGAGCAGTCGTGGGAGCTGGAGAAAGAGATGGTGTTCTGGTTTTCTGTTAGTGCTGCAGGCAATTTCAAAGGGTCACCTTATCCCTTCACCCAATGTTGATATTTTTTCCAACTCAAATATCTATTGCTAAGCTGTTTGTAACGATTGGATGAAATATATTTTGAAATATGTCTGCCATCTTGTTCTGTAGAGAATTCAGAAACATTATTTTGGAGGGTGTCATTGACTGTATGAGTGAGTGTGTGTGTGTGTTTGGGTGGCAGGGGGGACAAGAATTCTCTAGTTTTCACCTTTTCTTTCCCTGAAGGGGCAATTTCAGAAATCTATGGTACTGAGTATTAGTTTAACCTAGGAGAAGAAGAAAATCTCTGTGTAGGGGTGTGAAAGATCATGGAAATATGCTGATGCCTAAATTCCATTTAGAACAATTAGTAGTTTAGTGAAGAATCAACAATACATAGGGGACTCAGAGGGAGCTATCAGATACCCTTAAAATATTTGCTGTCCAGTTAAGAAAAATAGTGAATTGACCTATTGGGAAACTGTCACTGATGGGCGCTTTGAAAATAACACACTTTCAGAGAATAGTAATTGTTTTAAAAATGAACAGCCCCTATCCCCTTCGGTCCACAAACTCTATAGGTTTGCCTTGGATCTGTTTCCATAAGGGAAGGGAGATTCCATCAGTTGTAATTTAATATTTTAAAGTACAGTTAGCATTACAGAAATGAAATGAAATACCATGTAATTGCTGGAGATTTAGGCTAAATACACAACCAAGGAAAACCGTTTGAAAATAGCATCTGAGATCATACTCAGCTGTGTTAATGTGAGATAACTGTTAGACTTTGGCTTTAGTAAACCGCCTTAGAAAAATAAGCATCATTTATCAGAATTATTAGCATCACATATTATTAATGTTAGTTACTGTGTCAAAGTAACTGAGGCTGTTAGGTGTTGGGGGTGCAGATTACAAAAAACTAACAAATTTTGCTAGGTCTTTTGCCCATTTTCTTGAGAAAGATAGGCAGTAGAAAGGAAAGTCGAGGCAGAGGGCAAGATGTTACCTCCAAACCAGGGAACTCAAGATTAGAAAGAGCATCAAAAATTGAAATGTTGAATTTCTCTTGGTCTTTAGGAGGGGCTGGATTCTCATTGTATTTCAGAAGCACACATTATCAGATTAATCTGTACAAGTTGAGAGAAAGAGAAATACAAAAGCAAGCCAGCATTTTGGATTAGCTAGCTAACATTCGTGCTTAAAACTAATTGCATCATTAAGAACATTTCTGCTTTTCTTAGCAACCATATACATACTTGGAATATAGTATACAGATGCTGCTCATTACTGTTATGACCAAAAGGCATGTGGCTGTAGATGATTTCACTTGTTGCAAATTATCTTCTTATCCATTAGCATCTCATAATTAATGGACAAGGATCTGAACTGCAGTGATACTGGGTGGCTTCTATTCCATACAGTGGGCAGTCTGCACAAAACTCATCTACCATGATTTTTACCTTTTCATGGTGGTTAAAACTAAGGATGTAGCCATCTAGCAAAAAGCCAGAATTTTCTCATAGAATATGTGTGTATGTGTGTGTGTGTGTGTTGGAAATTCCTTTATGCTTGAGGCAGGCATGGAGTGATTGGATAGAACTCTAGCATGTAGCTCCAACCCTGGTTTTGTTTAATAAAGGCCAAGATATCCTAACATAACCCTTGGATCTCTAATTTAATGGCCTGGATTACCTTTCAAAGGTTTAACGCCCTGGAACCCTCTGAAAAACCAAGAAAATGTATCCTATTGGGCACTGCCTGTCCTTTTCACTTGCAGGCAAGCTGAGTCTTTGGTCCTTAAAGGAGAGTCTTTACTAATGACATCAAAATGTCAGCCAATGAGCATCTTGCAAGGCTGCTTAGAGGCCCTGGAGGGAATATCTGGTTCATATAGATTTGGTTCTTGAACTTTTCTGGTTGCTCTGGCTCAGGGTTTCTCAGCCTTGGCACTATTGACATTTGAAGCTGAATGATTCTTTGCTACAGAGCTGTCCTGGGTATTGCGGGGTATTTAGCAGCACCCCTGGCCTCTTCCCACTAGATGCGAGTAGCACTCCTCCAGACCAGTGTGACAACAAACAATGTCTCTAGACACTGCTGAATATCCTCTGGGGATCAAAATCGCCCTAACTGAGAACTGCTGCGTTAGTGAGGTTGCCCATAGTACCCCATGCTGGCCATCAAGAGAGTGCCCACAGAAGTGTTTACAGCTGGCCTAAACTTTGTTGGCGCCTTCGTTTGATTCCAAAACCACGAGGATCCCTCTGGAGTCATGTACCCCTTACAGTCTGTTCAAATTTTCTATTTCTCTTCCATTGAATCCATATGAAATCCTAAGAATTCACCTTCAGGTTTAGCCATTGATGGATCTCATCCATTTCCCACTTTGTTCTTTCAGAATCTTGTCTGCTTTTAACGTAAATTGTCCATACAACAGCCCCTGCTCCCAAGACTCTCACAAATGCCTGCAGCTTTGTTACTTGTGCTCGTTCAAAGCTTACAAATGACCATTTTATGGCCTAAACCTGGGAAGTGTTAGGCAAAGTCAGCTACGATCTTGTTAGCATTTCCTCACTACGTGTTTCAGGATTGCTTTAACAAAATCTGATTCCTGGACATGCTGGGTAGATCATCTATTGAGTAGAAACATGGAGGAGACAAAGGGTAAATGGTACGTGGTAACACAGTTGGAACGTGTTTCTCAACTTGTGTTCTTAGCAGCCAAGCTCTGCCCCTGACTCTGATCACAGGCAAAGGAATAAAGTCTCATTTCAATCCTGAGCTTCTCCTAATTCTTGTGGATCAGAGCTGGGATTATGTCCATAGCTAACCTGGAGTTTGCCAACTTTTGCAACCCATAATTAAAATGATTTCTATATATCACTGGCGTCTATACTTTTCTTCATTCATGGCACAAGCATTTCTTGAGCATACGCATTTCTGTAGGTACTAGGAATGCAGAGAGGCTAAAGAGCTCATAGTCTAATGAGGGGACAGGTGAGTTAACTGATAGGGGGAATACAGAAGATCAGCAGAATGAGGGAACAGAGAGGGGCGGGTGATGATTCACTGTGCTTTGGGGGGCCTTGAAAGGCTTCACTGTCCAGAGAACATTTAAACTTGATCTTCAAAGATGACTGCCATTTCTAAGGAGAAGAAGGAAAGTGATGCCTTCATGAGGCAGAAAAGAGTGGACAGGCAAAGGCGCAGAGGTGTTGGTGATTCTACAGCTCCCAAAAAAGAAGACTTAGAGGGCCCTAAGCGCAATAATTTGTTTGGAGGAGCAGGTTAGGGCACCTGCAGTTTGATACACGTACAACCACATGGCTTTTCATGTAATAAAAGCCTGACCGAATAAAGTCAGAAATCAGACCTGTTGGGTTTTTTTTTTTTTTTTTTTTTTTTTTTTTTTTTTTTTTTTTTTTTTTTGAGAGAGAGAGAGTCTCACCCTGTTGCCCAGGCTAGAGTGCGGTGGCACGATCTCAGCTCAATGCAACCTCCCATGTTCAAGCGATTCTCCTGCCTCAGCCTCCCCAGTAGCTGCGACTACAGGCATGCACCAGTAGAGACTGGGTTTCACTATGTTGGCCAGGCTGGTCTTGAACTCCTGGCCTCAAGCCATCTGCCTGCCTCACCCTCCCAAAGTGCTAGGATTACAGGCATGAGCCACCACACCCAGCCTCTACTGGGGGGATAATTATGGGTATGAACAAAAATGAGAGACTGGTCAAAGCACATTACTCTCCAAGGAGCCCCTGGGCATCACAACTGCAGAGAGTGAAGGCATATTGAGTGTTGCCCAAGTGAAGTTTGGGGTGCCTGGAGAAGAGGATGTATCTTGCTGTGTGCAGGATAATAGTGTTCAACAGGTAGGATAGTGGTAATTACGAAGCGTCTCACTGTGCTCATCTCAGGAGTTTGGACTTGTGTAGAGCAGTGATTCTTAACCTGGAGGTGACTTTGTCCCCAGGGGACATTTGGCAGTGTCTGAAGACACAACTGGAAGTGGTGGTGTATTAATTTCCTATCACTGCTGTAATGACCACAAACTTAGTGGCTTCAAGCAACACAAATTTATTGTCTTACAGTTCTGGACCTCAGAAATCCCAACAGGTTTCACTGGGCTAACTTCAAGGTGTTGGCCTGACTGTGTTCCTTCTGAAGGCTCTAGGATCTGTTGTGGTTCCTTTTCCAGTGGCCCCCTTCCTTCATTTTCAAAGCCAGCCAAGTTGCATCTCATCCACTCTTCTTGTGTGGTCATTTCTCTCTCTCGCTCTTTTCGGGACTCTTGTGATTACATTGGGCTCACCTGGATAATCCAGGATAATCTCATTATTTTAATGTCAGCTGATTAGTGACTTTTAATTCCACCTGAAACCTTAAGTTCCCTTTGCTATGAGGTATTCACATGTTTTAGGGATTGGGGCGTGGGCATTTTTGGTGGTATATTATTCTGTCTACCACAGGGGAGTTCCTACCGGCATCTAGTGGGAGGCCAGGGATGCTTCTTTTAAATACCCTGCAGTGCACAGCCCCACAAGGAATAATCATCTGGCAGTCAATGTTAGGAGTGTGGAGACTGAGAAACTCTGCTGTAGAGAGTGGGAGAAATTGGTGATTTTTAAGCATGAGGTGTAACATGATCAGATGTGTTTTAGAGGTAAACTGGTGTCTGGGGGAGCATGGGTTAGAAGCATAAAACAAGTGGAGGACAGATCCTCAGAGGAGGTGGGCATGGGGAAATCATGCCAAGCATGCATCCTATAAATAACTGGGAGTTGGCATATAAACATAATACTTTTATATTTCCCACTTCTCTGTTTTAGTAAAGTTTTTCTTGCTCTGTTGAACTCCTTGAAAGCAGAACTGTTACTCATCTTTGAATTCTTAAAATCTGGCCCCTGTACTCTGGGGGTTTTAGAGAGATCATCATAAAGACCAGTGGTTCTCAACCAGGAGAAAGTTTGTACCACAGTGTACTTTTGGCAATGCCTGGCAGCATTTTTGATTGCCAGAACTGGGGCAGGAGTGTGCTACTGGCGTCTAGTGGGTATAGGCCAAAGGTACTGGTAAACATCCCACAACACACACAACAGCCCCCACAAACAAATACTTATCTTACATAAAATGTCAATAGTGCTGAGGTTGAGACGCCCTGTATACAAGAAACTGAATTCCAGGTTTTGCTTTTCAGTACCATTTTCTCTCATGCTTGTGGCTTTACTCTTTGTCATTTTCCTCTTCTTATCTAGTATATGTCAACCAAGGCTTTGAAATTCAAAAAAATGACTTTCTATGGGTATTGAGCATATGAAAAAAAATAAGGGATTTCTAAATATATCTATAGGGAAGAAGTGAATGGTAAATATATAATGATGGAAACTGGAATTAAATTTTAAAATGCAGCAGAGAAAAATATTGTGTTTAAAAATAGAGGCTCATTCATGTCACCAAAGAGAAAGTAATTAGAATAAGACAGCTTCAAAAAGAAATTGACAAAAAGTGTTTTACAAGGATTTTTGTCTGAAATCAGTATAATGCCTTAAGGTTTTTTTAAGTTAGGAAAAAGAGTTATTCAACTTTCACACATACACTCTCTCTCAGGCTATCTCTCTGCTAGAATTCCTTCTGAAGGCAATTTTTAATTTTAATGGAGAATACTGTGAAGATAGCTTCTCAGATGACTTAGAATTGAGTTTTCACCAACATTTTGAGATTTGAGGGTTGGGAAGAGCAAAGTTTAGACTCAGAAAGAACCTTGGGTAGCATCTAGCTCCAAATTGCTTATTTTACAGTTGAAGAGAGGGACTGTAAAGCTTAAGCCACTCAAACTCAGGCAAAGAGCCAAGGGCAGAACCACCCTGAAATCCTTCTTGACTCTCTATATAAACTGCCAAGCTTCTGGAAAAAGTAAGTGACCACGACTGCTTTTATTCTCTGGTGAGCACCTTAAACCTTGGCAATCAGTTTTTATCCTGATTACGTACTGAAACTATTCTCTCAAAGTTCCCTAAGTTCCAAGAATCTTCTTAGACTCCTTTGGCTAGACTTCTGGGCAAAACTGAGAGTACCACGTCCCCTCCCTGCTCCTCCTATCCCCATCACACACAGAGAATCTTGGTTTCCTCCTTACCTTTCTTCCCACTCCTCTGACTCTGGGATTGTCTTGGCCAACCCTACAGTTCTGTGTTTTTCCTTCAGGTCATTGTCCCTCCTATTGTCTCATTCACTTTTGTGACTTCAACCATCATCCCTCTGGGGGAGACTCCTCACTCTGTGCCTACCTGGAATCTTGTAGTTGAGCTCCCAATATATATTTTCTGATTTCTTCCTAGATATCTGCTCATGGATGCCCAATGGACTCAAATTCTACATGTTTGAAACAGAACAAATCACCTCCCATTTCCTCTGAACATGTTTCATTTTATGTATTCCTTATTTTGGTTGGTATCGCTCTTCTTCTGCTTGCCTAGGTTTACCAGGCCAGAATGCCTTTACTCCTCCCTTTTTTGTTTCCTCCTTTATTCTTCCATAAGTTTTCGAACGCTGCAGTGTGTACTTCCCATTTGCTCCACTCTAGAAAGGATTTGAAGTGGAGTGTGTCTGAGTTCTTACATCTCTCTCCAGCTGTTCATTCACAATGTCACTGCCTAGTTTGGGTTCTCATTTGCTGTGACCCCCTTCTTGGTCACCCTGCCTTCAGTTTCTCCTTGTTGCCATCTTGGACTTATCCTCAAAAGATGCAATTGTAATCATGTTAACCCCTGATTGAAAACCTTTGATGGGTCTCAGAGTGTACAGAATAAAATCCAAACTACTTAGCTAGTCATTTCAATGCCTTTTACAACATCATCTCAGCCTGCCTTCTCCCAGGAACTCTAGTCCAGCAAAGCCAAGCTGGCCACTCACACAGATAGTCATCAAATATTTATCGCATGCCAGCTATGCAATGGACACTAGGAATGTAGGTGGAGCAAATAGGTATGGCTCTGCAAGGTGCTTCCAGTTTATGAAAGCAGTAACTTCAAATCAATTAATCTCTATAGTTTTTTCAGAGTGTTAATTGCATTTTGACGAGAGGACTGTGGTAGACAGAACAATGTCCCCCAAAGATGTTCATGTCCTAATATCTAGAACCTGTGAATATGCCACTTTACATGGCAAAAGAGGATTTTGCAGATGCGAGATTATCGTGGATTGTCTGGGTGGGGCCAATGTCATCACAAGGATCCTTATAAGAGGGAGGCAGGAAGGTCAGAGTCAGATAAGGAGATATGAGGATGAAAGTAGGCAGAGAGAGAGAAAGAGGGAGAGCGGAAAGGAGGGAGGGATAGGGCAATGAGAGAGATTTTGAAGATGCTACACTTCTGGCTTTGAAGATGGAGGAAGCAGCCACAGCCCTTGGCTGTAGCAGCCCCTAGAAGCTGGAAAAGGCAAAGAAATGGATTCTTAGAACCTTCAGGAGGAATATAGCTCTACTGACATCTTGATCCTAGCTCAGTGAGACTTCTGACCTTGAGGACTGTAAGAGAATATGTCAGTTGTTTTATGCTACAAAATTTGTGGTAATTTCGAGCAGCGATAGGAAACTGATACAAGGCATAAACAGGTCTGGGATGTCTCAGCTGAAATCATTGGATGAGGAGGCATTTGCCAAACAAAAAGAAAGGGCACAGAGCTCCTGCGAGAAGGAATGGCGTGTATTTAAGAGGGAACATAGCATGCTTCAAGAATTTAGAGAAATCCAACTAGAATGGATTATGGGATTGGGAAGATGGTGAAGAATAAGTCTCGCTGGACTTTGGGCTTAATGATATGGATTTTACCATTTAATGTAAAGATTCCCCACATAGATTTTGTTTCCTCTCCTTCTCACTTTACTTTTGATAACTTGGTCCCATATCTACCTGAGAAGGCTCCATTTGTACTTTATGGCTCAGCCAGGTGCCTCCAAATAAATGAGCTTGACTCTGGTACATGTCATGACACATTCAGGATTTGCAGAAACAGAAGCTCATGTTTTCATAGTGAGATTCACATTCTTCCAATCTGGTGCTTGAAAAAGAGAAAGTGTGTTTCATATCAAAATCTAGTCAATGACTGAGGGAGTCTGCATGCAGATAGCAGTTCTCCCAGATTCCCAGAGGCTTGCCTTTGGGGCGTGACATCTTGTTCTAAAATTTACTGCATCCTCTCTGAGCCATTACTTAGATAAAGAGAGTGAGACTGTGATTGTAACTATGTTACGACATGGCAGAAAAACCCTTGGAATGTAATGTGTGAAAAAATGAAATTAGTTGTGTTATCTGGTAAAGAACGATGTTTTCATTAGCTATTAGGGAAACGTGAATCAAAACTACAATGAGATATCATTTATACCCACTAAGATGGCCATAATAAAAAAAGATAGATAATAACAAGTGTTGACAAGATGTAGAAAAATCGGAACTCTCATACACTGCTGGTGAGAATGTAACATGACGCAGCAGCTTTGGGAAACAGTTTGGCAATTCCTCAAAAATAAAACAGTTACTCCAGAGCTCAGCAATTCTACTTCTGGGTATATACCTAAGAGAAATGAAGATGTATGTCCACACCAAAACATGTATATGAATGTTATAGCAGCAGTATTCATAATAGCCAAATGGTAGAAACAATTAAATATTCATCAACGGATAGATGAATGGTTAAACAAAATGTGATTAATGAAAAATTACTCAACAATAAAAAGGAATGAAGTACTGATGAATGCTATGCCTTGGATGAATTTTGAAAACATTATGCTAAGTGAAAGAAGCTAGTCACAAAGGTCCACATATTGTATAATTCTATTTATATGAAATGTCTAGAATAGGCAAATCCATAGAGACAAAAAGATTACTTGTTGTCAGAGGCTGGTAGGGAGGGATGTGGAGCGACAGCTAATGGGTATAAGGTTTCTTCTTAGGGTAATGAAAATGTTCTGGAATTAGATACAGGTGATGGTTGCACAATCTTGTGAATATATTTAAAAAATCACTGAATTGTATACTTTAAAAGGGTGAATTATATGGTCTGTGAATTTTACCTAAAAATGATATTTATAATTTTCAGAAAATATGTTGTTGCCACATCTTGTTTTCAATAAAACATAAATATAAATGTAGAAGAGTAGTTATATAGTCAGTTGAAGCTTCATGTATTCAACATGAAACTAGGGAGGTAGTAACGGCTCTGGGAGATTGAACAGAGTCGTCGGCAGCCAGCCATGGGATTTTCTGAGATTGGTTACTGTGGAAATTCGATGTCCTGATTATTGCACTTTGAAAGCAAGCACAGAGAAGCTATTAAAAGATTGCTTTTTCAGAGAGGCAGAGATTTTAAAAACTACTTACAATCTTGAAAAATTGCCTGGCCTTATCTCACCTGAACTATTAAAAAGCCTAAGATTTTCAGGAGCCGTTAGAAGTAACAGTAATTCTAGAAACCACCTATCGAATGATATGCTGATGGATCCAAGAGGAGAATGCTGAGCCTGAGAAGCTCTCCTCATCTTTAGAGAAATTGGAAGTGAATTGAATTATGTGGCTTGATGGACCAAGAAAATAACATGTTTTCATTTCTGTAGAAGTGGACAGCTCATGGAAATAGGTGAATTAATACCACCTATAGGAGCTGAAGTGTCAATAAGCATTGGATCAGTTCTCAGCTTGTATTGCTCATAACTTCATCTCTCAGGGGTTTGAAAAACAATTGGGCAAGCTGGTACTTTGAGGCCCAGATATAGATGGAGTAGGGGAAAGAGAAGCCTTAGGCAACAATAGCCATGCTGCCTCAGCGTTTAATATAACAAGGGCTTTGATATAGCTAGTAATTTTGTCCAGGGAAATCCTGGACTGGGCCAGCAGACTTTCTGAGCAAAGTGTAATTCTGCTCAAATTAGAACCTCCAGGTGATTTCTTGTTCACTTATTTCAGTCAAATAATCGTTGATGGGTGAGGATGATGATGATGGTGACAAACAAAATAACAATTAGTATTTGTAGAATGCACGCCAGTTTAGTGTTCTTAGAACAACTCTGTGGGGTGATAGTATCAACCTTCATTTTATGAGTGAGGACACTGAGACTCAGATTCAGAGGTAGGCAGATTTAGCTGCAGAGAAAATGAAGTGAATCGGTTCAGCTAGACTCTGAACCAGACTGCCTAGGTTTAAATCCCAGCTCTGTTTTGTGACATTAAACAAATTATTAAGCCCCTTTTTTGCCTTAGTTTCTTCATCTATCAAATGAGAATGATGAAAGTGCCTACCTCAAAGAGTTTTTGTGAGGATTTCATGTCATAATTACCTGGAAAGTGCCCAGCACGTAGGAAGTACTAAAAGATGCATAGGAGTGCAAGGCTAAATAACATTAGAGATGTGGTCACACACTAGGAAGCAACAAAGGTAAGACCTAAGCTAAAGAATTACTTTAGTCAAAAATAGTTATCGTGCACCTACTATGTGTGCCAGAAACTTTGGTCAGTGAGTTAAGCCCAGCTGCATGAGACAACAGCAGGAAACAAGTGGAACTTTATTTTGCGAGCTGTTAAATAAGGTATAGTTTTCATGGTAGGCATTGGAGTGACAGCAGGCTGTCACTCCAGGCATTTTGGCCTAGTGACTTGGAACACAGGAATTTGTCAGACTTGTATTGTGGATTTGGTGTAACCCAAGACATGCCAATAGGCCAAGGGGCTGCCTTCATTCCAGTACATGGTAACTTCATTGCATTTAGACACTTTTTAGTAGAATATTTAGAATGTTGGAAACTGAAAAGTTCTTAGTCGAGCCCTGTTCTTTAACTGGTAAATGGCAGTGTGCTTCTCATTTCAAGCCAGGTGTGTTTTTATTTCCACATACTACAGTGATTACATGAGACCAAGTTGACTGCTTTTCAAGGCCCATCTCATTCAACATCTTTCCAGGGTAAAAACGCAGCAGCACTAAGTTAAGACAATCCTATCTACAATCAGATTCTCTTTTTGCTCAAAATCTAAATGTAAACTCCATTAGCATTTCTAGACTGATTTTAGCATTCTACGAGCAAATAGAATATTAGGAAGAAAAAGTCCTTGAAGGTCTTCTGTCTATTCCAAACATCCATGTCGTGCTTAAATCCCATCTATGACACCCCCAGTCTATGCCTAGCTATCACCCACAAACAGAGACCTTCATGGTTCTGCCTTTAGATTATAATAGACATAAAAATTCTCCATGGAACTGTGTTCACAACCAGTCTCCCTGAAACTTTCATCATGTTACAGACAAATTCTGCCTCTCTGGTTTTCCAGAAAATCACTAATACTGAATTATTATTGTTGCTAGGGAAGTACGGGTTGGCCTAGCTTGCTTTCTGAGCATCAACACAAAAGTTTGGGTCATATTTTCTTTCTGGCAGATGAGAATTGTGAATATATCCAACTACAACTGGAAAATATTTTAAACGAAAGTTAAACTCTTGCCCCCAAAGGTATTTTGCAAACTGCTTATAGAAACTAGGTTTAGGCAGGGAATCCTTTACCCATTGCTTGTTTTTGTTGGGTTTGTTGAAGGATTCCCTATTCAGTAAATGGTGCTAGGATAACTGGCTAGTCAATATGCAGAAGATTGCAACTGGACCCTTTCCTTTCACCATATACAAAAATTAACTTGGGATGGATTAAAGACTTAAATGTAAAACCGAACACTGTAAAAACCGTGGAGGACAACTGAAGCAATACCATTCAGAACATAGGCATGGGCAAAGATTTCATGACAAAGACAAAACCAATTGCAACAAAAGCAAAAATTGACAAATGGGATCTAATTAAACTAATGAGCTGCACAGCAAAAGAAACTATCAACACAGTAAACAGCCTACAGAATAGGAGAAAATTTTTGCAATATATGCATCTGACAAAGTTCTAATATTCAGCATCTATAAGGAACTTAAACACATTTACAAGATAAGAAGCAACGCTATTAAAAAGTGGGCAAAGGATATGAACAGACACTTTTCAAAAGAAGGCATAAATGTGGCCAACAATCCTATGAAAAAAGCTCAACATCACTGATGATTAGAGAAATGCAAATCAAAACCACAATGAGATACCATCTCATACTAGTCAGAATGGCTACTATTAAAAAGTAAAAAAATAACAGATGCTGGCGAGGTTGTGGAGAAAAAGGAATGCTTATACACTGCTGGTGGGAGTGTAAATTAGTTGAACCACTGTGGAAGACAGTGGGGTGATTCAAAGACCTAAAGACAGAATTACCATCTAACCCCAGCAATCCCATTACTCGGTATATACCCAAAGGAGTATAAGTCTTTCTTTTATAAAGATACATGCACATCCCTGTTCATTGCAGCACCATTCACAATAGCAAAGACATGGAATCAACCTAAACGACTGTCAATGATAGACTGGATAAAGAAAATGTGGTACATACACACCATGGAATACTCTGCAGTCATAAAAGAGAATGAGATCATGTCCTTTGCAGGAACATGGATAGAGCTGGAGACCATTATCCTTAGCAAACTCACACAGGAACAGAAAACCAAATACCATCATGTTCTCACTTATAAGTGGGAGCCAAATTATGGGAACTCATGGACACAAAGAAGGGAACAACAGACACTGGGGCCTACCTGAGGGTGAGCAGTGGGAGGAGGGAGAGGATCAGGAAAAATAACTAATGAGTACTAGGCTTAATACCTGGGTGATGAAATAATCTGTATAGCTAAACCCCCGTGACACAAGTTTACCCATGTAACAAACTTGCACATGTACCCCAAACCTAAAATAAAAGTTAAAGAACCTAGGATTAGTACTCACAGTCTCTAGATTCCCGCTGCTGATGCAATGAGTCAGGTTTCTGCATTTCATGATTTATAAGAGAGCTCAAAGACAGATACAGTTTTCATATCATATCAGAGTGTTACTCTAGATATTTCAGCAAGTCCTCAAGGAGGTGTGTTGAATCTGGCTTCTAATGTTTTAATATATTGTCAATAAATGATATTGTCAGAATGTGTCAAAATGCTGAGAAAGTAAACATGAAAGGTGATATGAAGATTATCCACAGGCTTGAAGGTCACAAAGTGTGATATGAATCCCAGACCAGCTCCAGACACTCCAAGGCATGAGCTCAGCAAATATATTGTTGTTCTGCTGCAATGGCAATATTTTAATCTTCTAATTTATGATTGAATTGTAAATATATTACTTTTTCTCATGTAGCTGAAAGTGTATGGTGAAAGATAGGTATAGTGTTATGGAAGTAATCAAATATTTAGGTTTTTGTTCAGGGTTCTTTAGCTGAAATTAGTTATTCAGAGTTACAAGTTTAAAAAATGTGAAATAGTTCATTTTCTTTGAGCTATTCTGTTTTGGTGCTCCCTGGGGAGAGCCGGATGCAGGAGAGTCAATGGATCTTGATTGTCTAGTTTGCCTTTCCTCATCAAGAAATAGCCTTTTTTACAGAAAATGTTTAAAATCCTACTGTGTATTTTACTCTCCTTATGAGGTTATCATTTCTAATTTATATAAAGATATAGTAGATGCTGCTTATATAAATGTTCATTGACTGAATCTAAAACCAATCTAAAAATAAAGTTATTTTTTAAAAAGTTCATTGAATAAGAAAGTTGAATGATTGGGCCAGGTGCAGTGACTCACACCTGTAATCCCCTTGAAAGCAGGCTGAGGCAGGAAGATCACTTGAGGCCAGAAGTTTGAGACCAGCCTGGGTAACATAGTGAGACCCCATATCTACAAAGGAATTTTAAAAATTAACCAGGTGTGGTGGTGGGTGCTTATAGTCCCAGCTACTTGGGAGGCTGAGGCAAGAGGATTGCATAGGCCCAGGAGTTCAAGGTTGCAGTGAACCATGATCGTGCCATTGCACTCCAGCCTGGGCAACAGAGTGTGACTCTGTCTTAGGAAAAAAAAAAAAAAAAAAGAAAAGAAAGTTGAATGGTCAAGAAGAAAATTAACAATATATTTGCAAAGATTCCTTCCAATTAATTAATTAAATGTTTCTATGCAATATTTTTATAATGCAGAAAGTTGATTTTTTCATTTTATTTAAAAAGACTTCTTACAGAGTTTTAGATCACACTCTATTAGTATAATTTCCCTGTCTATATGTACATACATGTAACTTTTAACTTAATAACTGCTTTATAATAAAAAATGAAAGGTTGGCTATTACCATATATAATTGGAGCAATGTGGTTACATTATTTTTATGAAAATACAAGTTTTTAAAACTTTGTGAAGAAAAGATAAGAGTGGCAAAAGCTCTGTTTCTTAGTCTGAGTTTTCCCAAAGGCAGGATCTGGGTGAAAGCAGTTTATTTGGGAGGTGCTCTCAGGAAGGAGTAATGAAGAAAAAGGGATAATGAAATGGGGAAGGAGGGGAAGTAAAGCTGTATCTTGGAAGTTGTAATTGTGGAAAAAGGGATGATTCAAGTTCCACCAGGACTGCTGGAAAATGTGTAGAATGTCTATCGAGATGATCTACCCATGTTTTAGTTCTCTATTGCTGCATAACAAACCACCTCCAAACTTAGTGGCATGATTCTGTGGGTCAGGAATTAGATCACAGCTCAGCTGGGTAGTTCTTTGGCTCTGCATGGCATTGGCTGGGCTCGCTCACTTGGCTGCTTCCAGCTGGTGTCTGGGATGCCTGGAAAGTTCAAGGTGTCTTCATTCACATGTGTGGTGCCTCAGTGATCCTCCATGTGGCCCTTCTCTCTCCAACTGACTAGTTTGGGCTTCTTCACTGAATGTTGGTCTAATGGTATTTGATCAGAGTGAGTCACAGGGCCAGCCCAGATTCTAGGGCAAGGGAAAAAGAGTCTACCCCTTGATGGAAGAAGTGACAAAGAATTTGTGGTCTTCTTTAATCTGCCACGAGCTAAAGGAAGGGAAGCTGGAGAATGTCTCTGTTGGTTTCCATCTTCCATTTTTTAAGATTGCTTCTGGGGTTTTAACTTCCACATGCTTCTTACATATGATGAGGTGTGCACTAGAGATGAATCACTAGCAGCACACAACGTCAGTCCGAGCTTGCACAGAACTGCCCAGCACAGTTGTAGCAGAACTCAAAAACTTTAGCACAGGCTCATGGGAAGTAGCATTTAGAATCAGTCACCCACAATCTTAGCTACTCAAAAACATAACTGAAGGACAATATGATCTTAGACAAGCCTAGGATCAAATCTCAGTGCCACTATTTATTAGGTGTGAATTTCAGTTTTCTCAGTTGTTTAAGGGGAGTATAACAGTATGTACTTTGTAGGAGCTTGTGAAATGAATTGGTTGAGGGTACACAAGCTATAAGGGGTCATGTAGAAGTATTTATTGTTTATTACTTTAATTCGTTCTCAAATGTTATAGGAAGGTGTACATCAATTTTATAATGCTTCAGCGGGAAGAGGAAAGGCAACAATACTATGGTAAATGTAAAGAGCAATTGTAAGATGCAACTTTAGGTTTTTTAAACTGTAGGGAAAATAAGTAGTAGTTGAAGAATTATGATACAATGTAGTTTATCCTCTACATTCATGGGAACTAAGAAACAAACTTTGGCAACAGGTTTATTACTGGGGCAATCTTGGTAATGTTTTTAATTAATACTTTAACAAAACTTATAATTGATACATAACAGTTGTACATATTTATGGGGTACAGTGTGATATTTCAATGCATGTATACATTGTATAATGATCAAATCAGGGTAATTACTCTGTCTACCACTGTAGACATTTATTATTTGTGGAGATAACATTCTATACCTTCTAGCTATCTTGAAATGTACACTTTATTGTTATTAGGTATAGTTACCCTACTGTACAATAGAACATCAGAACTTATTTTTCCTGTCTAACTGTAACTTTGAAATACTTTTAACTGAAATATAGAACTTACTTGGATTTTTATCAGTTTTTCCGCTAATATCCTTTTCCTGCTTCAGGACCTGATTGATGCAGAATCTCACATTACATCAGGTTGGCAAGGCTTCTTGGTCTCCTCCAATCTGTCTTTATTTATTTTTCGTGAGCTTGCCACTTTTGAAAAGTATTGGTCAGGTATTTTGTAGAATGTCCCTCGGTTTCAGTTTGTCTGATTTTGCATGATTAGAATGGGATACTTGGAAGAATACATAAAACATCATTTGAACACCAAGTGTCACTGTTTATCTATGTTAGTAAAATACAATGTTTCTTTTATTGATGATGCTTTTCACCCAATCAGCCCACATTCTCCTGTCCTGTCTGCCTGGTAGCATGGCCATATGCGTGTTGATAAGATGCAATACTGAAGGCTGTGCTGAGGGACTGAAGAAAGCCACCTTATAACAGTGACCTCATTAGCAGCCAACTGACTTCATTGGCCCTTCAGCTGGATTCTCTTTCTCTGTAATTTGGATTCGCCTGCCCTTTTTTTTCCATTACATGGGAAGCTCTCTGGCAGGCTATTGCTTTGTCTGTCCTTATTGCCGCCTCGGGGCATCAACAGCATGTCTTTGGGTGCTGCATTTGTTAATGTGGGAGGCTAAGAGAAATCCAAGATGAAAATACTCCTTGTCATTCCCCTGTCAGAAGGGGGAGGAAGAGCTAAGCTTTGAGTACATATTCATTTACATCAGCAGCATTCTTCTGTGCTCATTGGTTGCTTACTTCTCTCTTATTAACAGTGCTAGAATAAACACACAAATCTACCAAAATATTAGCAGTGTGTGCTGTTTTCTTTCACTTGCCAGGATTGTTTTATAATAAATACCATTGGAAAAAATACCACTGGCAAGCATCCTCAGCAATTACGTTAACATCTCTAGAGAACAAAGTATGGTATCGGAAGGTGCTTTGCAAAGAGGAGCAGAACGTGTCTGGTTTATACTGCATTCCTTGAATATACTGATCTTGTTACCTATGAGTTTGATTTTAACTTAGGTATTTCTCTTGATTGACAAAAATTGATGCCATCATTTTGTATGATATTCACTAATTAAATATATTTTGGAAGACAAATATAAAGGTTCCTTTAAAATGAAGTGACACTAAAACAGATGTTCATAATGTGCTTTCATGGTAGGAATTTGTAGATTAAATCAGATATTCATGTTTGTCAAAATATTTTAGTCAAATGGAAGAAATGAGTTTTCTCAACAATTTTGTTTGTTTGGCTTATGTCATGTCTTAGTTTATTTCAACTATCATTTCTATCCTTTAGAGGTAAAAATTGTTATTTCTCTCCCCAGTTGAACCCTAGTTCCATATTTCTGTTTGCAAACAAAATGTTTCTACTTGTTGATTCCACCATCACTTCAAACTCTAAATATTTAAAATAATTACCAACCCTTTCCCCCAACAAAGGAAAAGTAAATACATGAATATACAAACCGCAACCAGTTCTTTCTCTAAACCTTCCTGTTTTCTTCTGTGATAACCATTTTTGTAACCTTGGAATCTTGAACACATTTCTTATTGTTCCTCAGCGTTTATATTCTGTATTGAAATGACCCCCAAGACTTGTCTCCTGTTCTAGGCAATGTTCCTATTTAGCCTTTTCTCTCTGTTCCACCGGGCATGGCCCTTGTCTCTCATGCTGGGTGATATGGTTTGGCTCTGTGTCTCCATTTACATCTCATTTTGATTTTTAATCCTCATGTGTCGAGGGAGGGAGAGACCTGTAATACCCATGGGTATTACATGGAGAGAGGTGGTTGGATCATGGAGGTGATTTCCCCTATGCTGTTCTCATGTTAGCGAGTGAGTTTTCAAGAGACCTGATGGTTTTATAAGTGTGTGGAAGTTCCTCCTTCGCTTTTCTCTTTCCTGCCACCATGCAAAGAAGGTCCTTGCTTCCCCTTTGCCTTCCACCATGATTGTTAGTTTCCTGAGGCCTCCCAGCCATGTGGAACTGTGAGTCAAACCTCACAGCAATGTGAAAACAGTTTAATACACTGGACCTTCTAACTACTTTCCTGGATGATGGGTTAACCTTGTTTTAATCCATGCTTTCCTCTTCCTTAAGCATTAATAACATCATTTAATAATAATTAACAACATCATTTAATTTCGTTATGAAGTCCCTGTTACAATCAAGACAAAATCTCATCTGTCATATAGACCCTTCCTACCATCATCAGCCCCTTGCCCATCCTTTTCTAGTAGGTCTTCTTTGTTCCTACTCCTCTCCTTCTCCTCTTTCCTAATTCCAAGCTTCTTCTTTGCAGTCTTCAACAACCTTATTCAAATTTCACAGTCATCTCTTTGGCTCTAAAAGCCAACGAGGGAGAGCACCCAAGGACTTTATTTGAAAGTTTAGAGACAAATAACTTTATTTGAAACTTTATTTGAAAGTTTAGAGACAAATAAAATACGTATGTTTGTCTAATTTCTGAGACAATGACTTAAAATAAAACCATTTTCCATGTAAACTGTGATAGCATCTTTGGGGTTGGGCAATCATGAATTGCTGAGAACCTTGGTAGCCACTTCATATTGTTGAATTATAGTTTCTCTTTTTTAGAAATGAAGTAACGTTTCCCCCAGAAGCTACTGTGGATGAGATGTTTGGAGCATTGAGTAGTCCATATTAATATAAGGGATAGCAAAAAAAATGATTTTTTTTCTTTTGGAGTATAATTCTATGGATTTTAGTACATGCATAAATTTGTGTAGCCACTGCCACAATCAGAATACAGAACAGTTTCAGTGTCCCCAAAAAACTGTCTTGAATGATTGCTTTATCATTCCTAACCTGCCCCTACTGGCAACCACTGATCTGTTCTCCATCACTATAGTCTTGTCTGTTTAAGAATTTCATAGAAATTGAATTGTACAGTATTTAGCCTTTTGAGACTGGCTTCTTTTGCTCAATATAATGTCTTTGTGATTTGTCCAACTTGTTGCATTATCAATAGTTTGTTCTTTTTTATTGCTGAGTAGTAAGTTCCATGATATGGATGTCCAAGTTTGTTTTTCCATTCACCCGTCAAAGTAAATTTGGCTTGTTTTCAATTTGAGGGCAATTAGTATGGCTATAAATGTTTATTTACAAGTTTTTATGTAGATACAAGTTTTAATTTCTCTAGAGTAAATTCCAGGAGTAGGATTGCTGTGTCATATAGTGAGTGTATGGTTAACTTTATGAGAAACTATCAAACTATTTTCCAGGGTGGTTGTACCATTTTCATTCCCATCAACAATATATGAGAGTTTCAGTTGCTCTGCATCCTTACCAGCACTTGGTATTATTAGTAGTTTCTATTTTTTTCACTTTAATAGGTGGTATCTTTAATGAGTGGTATCTTGTCATGGTTCTGCTTGGAATTTCCCTAACAGTTGATGATGCTGACCATATTTTCATGTACTTATTGGCCATCCTTATATCCTCTTTGGTGAAGGGTCTGTTCAAGACCTTTGCCCATTTTTTAAAAATCAGGTAGATTTAATTTTTGTAAGAAAATTCTTCCTAGATTTCTCTAGGTAAGAACATAATGAAGGCATCTATTTTCTAGCAAGGGTGGCTAGAAGCAGAAGTTTCTAGCTTTTACAGGCAGCAGTGGCAGCAAAGTTGAGTTTCTGATGAGAGTGGCATCCATCTGGTAACAGTGTGGTTGTAGTAACATTTAGGTTTGGGAGGCAACATAAATTATAGCATCTGGAGCTTGAAGATGGCCAAATTCAGTTAAATTACCAGATCAGCTCCATTATGTGGTTTTGAAAATTTTTCTCGGAAGCTTGGTTCTGGGCCTCTCCATGATCCCCTTAGCTAGCTGCCCAATATCTTCACAACTCCATTTTTCATTAGGTGGAGTTAGCTTCTAAGAACCTAAAGTACAACATTGAATTACCTACTGCACCAGTTATCTATGACCACGATAAAGTTGTATAACAGACAACCACAACACTTGGTTTCATGCAACAATGGATAGTTAATTTTGCACATGGATCTGTAGGTTTGTGTAGTCTGGTTGATGTGGAAAGAGTGTGGCGGATCTCTACTGGGTTTGCTCATGCATATGCGGTCAGCTAGCATGTTGTTGGGGATAATTCATGCTGATCCCTATGGCCTCATTCTCCAGCAGGCTAGCTCAGATTTGTACTCATGGTGGAAGCAGAGTTGTAAGAGAGGAAGAAGATGCTCCAAGCCTCTTGAGGCATAGGCTAGAAACTATGCACTGTCACTTGTGCTATCTTCTATTGGTCAGGCTACATGGCAGCCCAAATTCAAGGGATTGGGCCATAGACTCTATCTATTAATGGAAATTTCTTCCACAATGTAAGGGATTGATTCTGTAATCAATCTCCTTTATATATAAATGGTTTGGAATTTTGAAATGAGTGCAGTATAAAAAGAGAACCCAGAAAAATACATCAAAATATTATAATATCTCTGAGTGAATTTAAATCCTCTTTTGCATTTTTGTACTTTAGGTTTTCTAAAATAAACAGATATTACTTGGTGTAAGTTAAACAATAGTTGTAAAAAATTTATAAAGTGTTTTGGAAACAAAGAAGAGGGAGTGATTAATTCTGGCGTTAGAAAGGTGCTAACATTTTTTCCCAAATTGCAAGAATTGTAAATAGTAGTCCTTCAGGGAGTAAACTTGTCCAGAATTTTTTTGGCATAAAATATTAAATACACTATTTGTAGATGGGAACCTCTGACTTTTACCAAACCTTTGGATATTTTAGACTTATTTTTTTACAATAGCTTTGTGCTAAGAAGAAAGACTGTAGAAGGGAAGACAAGGCTCTGGTGTTATCCTCTTAAATTTGGAAGACTGGAATCATGCAGGGGAAAGGACTCTATAGTATGAACTTTTGTGTGTGTTTGATGTTGAGTAGACAGCTTGGTGGTGGATCTATGGATGGGGCAATGGCTATAGAAAACAGCTTTTCTTCCTCAATGCCTTCTGACAAATCTCAAATGAGTTGTTCACAAAAACAAAAGCAGGGAAATGCTACAGGAGAACCCATATTAAGTAGATTTCAGTTATACCCATTATTTCCTTTATTGTTTTAAAAAAAACAGCTTTATTGAGATTTAATTCACCTAACATATAATTCACCCATTTAATTTTAGGACATTTTTATCACCCCCAAGAAGAAACCTTGTGCCCATTAAGCAGTCATTCTCCACTGTTCCTTGCCCTCAGTTTCTGTCTAATCTACTTTCTATCTCTGTGGATCTTCCAGTTGTGGATATTTCATAAAATGGAATTATACAATATGTGACCTTTTGTGTCTAGTTTATTTTACTTAGCAAAATGTTTTCAAGATTCATCCATGTTCATGTTATAGTATGTATCTGAACTTCATTCCTTTGTATGACTGAATGATATTCCATTGTGTGGATAGACCACATCTTATTGATCCATTCATCAGTTAATGGATAGTTAGGTTGTTTCCACTTTTTGGTTATTATGAATAATACTGCTATGAACATTCTTGTGCAAGTCTTTGTGTAGATACATGTTTTCAGTTCTCTTGGGTATATATGTAGCATTGGAATTTCTGAGTCCATTGAGGCTTAAACAAATTTATTGCTTAGGCACGTTTGGCAAATATGATAGTTGATTTTTCTAGGAATATATATTTTTTGGCCTAAACACAGTGAATATAGGACATGTTATGAGTAATCATTCTAGGAGAGTTCCTCAAAAGCAGAGCTGTAGATACGTTTAAGTGATGGCACCCAAGTTGGAATAGGTCTCCAGCATCTGTAGCTAAGTATTTTGAAGTGATTGTGCAAATTCTGTGGATTGTTTCCAAGATGTACTACATCTATTAAAAATTAAATCTTATAGTTAATATTCAATATATGATGTATTGCATATACTTGGTATCAGCATGCATTCAAACGTGAATTGAAAAAGAGAAAATGGATCCGTACTTATGGTCTGAAAGAAGTAAAAGAAAGGGTAAAATCGGTCTGTCAAGCAATGTAGAAAAACTCTGGATGTTTGCTATCTTTTTAAATGGTATTTTTTTTTCCATGGGGAGAAAACACATGATGAGAAAAGAAGAGAAAGCAAGTGATGATGATATGATTGATAATTAAATGCAGCTGAGCAGAAACAACGTGGACACGCTTAGAATTTGCTTTAGTACTTTCTATGCTTCCTTCCCGGGAGGCTGTTAAAACTCTTCAGCATAAGAGCATTTAAACAAAGAGAATATTGCCTTTTTTCCTTCTACTGCATCTATTCAAACATGCAGAATGTATGTCTTGGTGAAATGCTCCAAAGATAGCTTGTGGAAATATTTATAATGCGTGTACCAGCATTTTTCACATAATTTAAATACATGCTTTTAAACTGTTTATTCTTCTCTGAAGTTTTGCAATATCTATATGACCAAATTTATTGCATCATCTGCTAACTTGACCGAGCTGTTAATGTGTGATGCGACCTTCTTCAGGTTGAAAGTGACAGTTTAGCATATCACAAAGAAAAGGTTATCCTTAAATGTTGAGACTTTGAGATACTAGCCACCGTTGTCAATATGCCAAGTCCCAGGCTACTTGCTGCTCATACTTAAGGACAAGATAAGTGTCTTTGGAAAACATTTTCTCCCATTTGGGCCATCTTTTTGGAACCAGAAATTGCTCTGCTTCTATGCAAGGGAAGAGAATTTTGCTCTCTCCATTCCCTGTATCATTTTGGCAAATCCTTGTTACTGTTAATTCAGGGGGACTGCCAATTTGAAGGATGTGGTGAATGTCAAAGTAAGAGGCCATATTTGCCCCATGTTTCTCCTGAGGCAGAATATAATTTTTACATTGTGATCCTTTGTGAAATCAGATAACTAAGGACCACTGGTTCCAAAGACAAGTCTTCTCCCTATATTTTTTTCCCACTTACTAGTCCAGAAAAAAAAAATGGGTTACTCAATCTCTGTGCCAGCAAGTATTTGTTAAACACCCATGCCCCTGTCACTTACACAGGCTTGTGATGTAAAACTGCCTTAACCTTCATACAGCTTACCATTCTAGGTAGGTAGGACACAGGGAAATTTACAGAATAACACATCAATATTAAACTGGGATAAAACTATATAAGGATGCCTGCCAATTCCATATATATTTAGATAAGGGAGAATTTGGGATGACTGAGAGTTAACAAAGAAGACCTCACAGATGGGGGTACTTTGAGCTGCCTCTGGAGGTAGACAGAACAGAATGTCAATATATGAATTGGAGACTCTTCTGGGTGTTTGAGGTTGGGGAAGAAACAAACAATGCCTCCAGGAGAGAAGCAGCCTAAACAGCAACTCCAAGGAAGATGGGTATGAAATTCACCGTGTGTGTGAAATTATGACAGGAGTCCCAGTTATAGGATAAAGCAGCAAAACCAGAAAGCAAGTGTTTAGACATTTGAGCAAACCTCTTATTTTCTTATCTGTGTTTGCCCCGTCACATAATTTACAGTAGAAAGTTATTTAAGGCGAGGCAGCACTGTTCTTCATCAGACTTGCATTTATGTATTCAATTTTGGAAACACTATGACTTTTGGAAGCAAAGAAACAGAGTTAGGCTGAACGCCCAACTCCAGTGTACGAGAATTTTTCTTCAACTCACTGAATAAATGAGTATTTTGGGGTTTTTGTAATGTTCAGATGGGAGGCAAAATGCAGACACAAGCCTAGAAAATAATGCAGATGCCAAGTTGATGTGTTCTTGAGCAATGGACATTGAATCAACAAATAGCCTGATGAGAGAGCAGTGAGGGTGAAGTAGGGAGTGGAATATTCATGTTTCCTTTCCCGGGGCACTGTTCTTACATCTCCTTTACATTTTGTTAGATTTAAAACTAAGGAATCAGAAGCTGATAAAAAATTACTGTAAGAGAACACATTGAATAAAAGAGTGGTGAGAGGATTCATTCCTCTATTAACATCAGCAGTCATCTAAACATGTACTTTTTTTCTGGCACAAAATCATAGCTGTAGCATGACCTTCTTGCTTACTAAAGATCACTTAAAATTTTTAACAAAAAATGGCTTAAGCTTGAAAGGAGGCTTTTAAAATGTTAAGTATGGTTCTGATCTACTTTTAAAAATCCAATGGTTAAGGCCAGGGGCATTGGGGTTAGAAGTTGGTGGGGGGTCAGGAGCAGGTTGGTGATTATCTTTCTCTCTCTTTCTCTCTCTTTTTCTCCATGTCTCTGTCCCTTTCAATCTCTCTTTTTCTTTCAATCTTTCTCAATCCCCCATCTCTCTTAATTTATCTATTTCTTTTTCTCTCACAGATATATACTGTAAAGTATATAACAAAAATGAAGTCCCATGATAATTTGTTGCTAAACCACAGTGCAGCTGTCTAATCAAGAAGGCATATTTTTTTGTGGCACATATACACCATGGAATACTCTGCAACCATAAAAAAGGATGAGTTCACTTCCTTTGCAGGAACATGGATGCAGCTGGAAACCATCATTCTCAGCAAACTATCACAAGGACAGAAAACCAAACACTGCATGTTCTCGCTCATAGGTGAGAATTGAACAATGAGACAACTTGGAAACAGGGAAGGGAACATCACATACCGGGGCATGTCGGGTGGTGGGGGGCTGGGGGAGGGATAGCATTAGGAGATATACCTAATGTAAATGACAAGTTGATGGGTGCAGCAAACCAACATGACACACGTATACCTATGTAACAAACCTGCACATTGTGCACATGTACCCTAGAACTTAAAGTACAATAAAAAAATAAGGCATAATTGTAAAATAATTTATACTCTTTTCATAATCTGCCCCAATGTCCCTTGTTTCAGACTTATGTTTTTTCCCTTGTTTCAGACTTATGTTTTTTCTCCCTTCCATTCCTACTGCCTTGTCACTTTCTTACCCTTTCACATTCCTTAGACTCTGGGTTTAAATTCCTGATTTTTGGCAGTCAGAAATCCCTTCAAATGAGGCTGTCAATCCATGCTTCTTGTAGCCTCCAATTTTCAGATTAGCTAAATTATAAACTTTCCCATTTACAAGTGTGGCATTCCTCCGCAGCCTAATGTTTATCTAAAAATGGTGTTCATTATCCATTAGGTCTTATTCACTCTAATTTATAAATTTAGTAGTTTGACCACTTTTACTAGTGAATACACTTATTTAAAAATACTTTTTACATTTAATTTTTGTGGATACATAGTAGGTGTATATATTTATGGGGTACATAAGATGTTTTGACATGACTTTGTATTTAATAGTCTTGGGCTATATATAATTTTTCTTTTATCTGCTAGAAATTACTATCTTCTTCCTTTGGGTTGGGGACTAAAACTTGCATTTAATATGGAGGGGTGGTAATAATTTGGCCCTGTTTTCTCTGTATGCTTGTTGACTCCTTGTTCTTAGGACACATACTGGGAAGAATTATTTTTGCAACTGAAAACAAGTAGAGATTTTAATAGGGGGTATAGAATGAATTTCAGATGACAGTAATCACTAAAAGTGTCTAAACAGTTCAAATTAGTTGTGTGTCTTGTGGACAACTCATCTAAATACCTGAAGTTTGGTTATTTGCACATAGAACCTGAACACTATTTCAAGCTTCAGGTTTTAACGTGTGCTGACTTGTAAACAACTTTCAAAAATTTAAGGCAGGCAAGTTCACCTCAGGCCACTGAATTTTCATTGCTTCTGTGTATATTTTTCAGCGTTACCCTTGTTCTTTTTTGACTTTGTCATTTTCTTCAGTCCAACTGAAAATGTTAGTCAGAATTTATTTTACATTAGAGTATATATTCCTAGATGCTAAATCCCTGAGAACAACCTTTTCTACCCACTTTTGTTTCTTCTGGTGATACCTATTTACATTTTGCTTTCAAAGGGTGCCCAACCACTGGATGCCATACTTGTGTTATTAGCTATCTCTATCTGCCTAAGCCTCTGGTTTGCTTCCTCTTGGGAATTAAAAATAAGATTTCTCTTGATTTCATTGAAAAATCATCATTCTTTCAGCTTTGACCATATTGTTTTGATAAAAACAGCTGATTTGTATTATTGAACATCTTTCTCATTTTTCTTTCTCCATAAGGAGAAATTCATCACGATTTATTACCTGAACATTTGTGAAACCAATTTGAGAGAATCCCAAAAGAATCATTTTAATTGAAGCCACCTAATTACTTGTAATTAAGAAGACTTAAAATGCCAAAAAAAAAAAATCAAAATTACAGCTAACAAATTCAGAGGATAGGATAAAATCAATTACTGAAAAATCCAATTAGGTTTGGGGAGAAGCTGAACAGAATTTTATTTAAACCCAGTAAAATGTCTTTGAGCTTTTCACATGGACCCATTTGAGTTCAAACTCTTTATTATTAAGAGTTAATTTTATCTTTGTTTTCTGGTAGTGTAGTAGGTTTGAATAGGAGCTCTTGAATAGGAGTGCAAATAATTAGGTTAATGGTTTTTCTTTTCATACGTTATTAGAGGAATAATACAGGAGGAATGAAAATGAAAGCAAAATTTAGAATAAAACTTTAAAAAGTTTATGAATTGTTAAAGCTAACTGTTGGACTCCCAGCAGTGGCTGGGAAAATGGTAGGATTTTATGCCAAATATTATTATTGTTGCCTTTTGCCAGAGTTTAGTGGAATTGCCCTGAACATCAACTTGGCCATTTCAACTCTCTTATGTTTGAGGTCTGCTGCCAGTAGTCAGACCATGATAAAAACCCATGACATGCTAAGTAATGGATGCTGGGCAATAAGGATCTTTCTAAAAATGGCTCTTAAAAAAATCATCATCTTGCAACTGTAAATGGCCTGTTTGTTAATAGATTATTTTTCTCCTTTCAGTCAAGATTTTCTGCGTAAGTTTACAGCCTATAAGTTTATAAATAAAGTACTACATTGAAGCAACATTTTTATTAGTAGGTATTTCAACTTGGATGTTGTGAGGGCCTTTTAATTTCACTTTGCACAAAGTGAAATTGTAGAAATATTTTAAACAAATTGATCATGGCCTAAAATTTTCTGCAACATATTTGGTTGACTGAAGTTATTGTTAAATTTGGCCTGACCAAAATTTGAATTTCATATTTTATGGTTACCAGTGTACTCTTTGTAACAAGTTGTGCTTCTCTTGTGATGACAAGAATTCTGAAAGATGGTTGATTTAGTACTTCGAGTTTCACATTATACTGAAAAATGTGGATGCCCACCTGAGCCTTGATCTGATGACCAGGGAAACAGCAGCACTTTTTCAAAATCTTAATTGATTTTAAACAAGCAAATCATTTAATTCTGTGAGCCTTACACTCTGTTTCTTAAAAGAAAACTGGAGAAGAAACCCTATCTCAATCCTTGTCCTTGAGAATCCTAGAAAATCCACATAACCCTTTTCCCCAAGTCATTGGAGACCTTTTTTCATCCTACAAACTCTAGATAGGCTTGTTACCGGGAAGCTTTAGGAGCCTTCCTAGTACCTACTGTAGTATCTTGCTAGCTCTACAGTAAAGAAAGAAAATAATATGAAAAAGTGCTCTGATTTATAGCCCATATCTCTAATTGGCTATTAGTCTGCGCTGACAGTAAAAATATTAAAACAAATTACCCTTTTAAGTTAAATTCACACCCAATGAATGAACAAATAATCTGAATGAACAAGCATTCTCTTGTTGATGGTGATAGTAATTATTATCTGTTGAGCAGGTTGACTTAATTTAGTGAACATAAATGGCCTCTACTTAGGGTGTTCATATAATTTGTTGTCAAAATTGTAGCATTTTGGAAAGTGAAAAGAGGCGCTATTAATAATTACACTAAAATAACAGGCATAACCTGAATTGTCCCTGTTAACCCTCACCTGGAATGTATTGTTCTCCTTCCTTCCATGTGTAGTCAAGTGCTACCCACTTTTGACGGCCCAGATGAAGTTTTCTCTAAGAAGGCTCTTTAGAGTACTTTGTTTATATTTTACCTGAATTAAGGCATTGAGGTGCCAGCATGTCAGAAATTAAGATGTTTTATATATTTCAAGGAAACAATTGTTGCTGTTATTTGACATGTATTTGTTCTCTCTTACCAAGTAGAATGCAACCTTCTTGAGCACAAGGGATATGTCCTATCCTTCTGTCTTGCTGAAGCACTTAGGTATATTGCAACGCCCAAAGTGAAGAGAGAACACATTCTTGCTGAGTTGCTTTACCTTCATAGTAACATTCCTCTCTATGTTTGTGAATAAAATAATGGATATTGGTGCCAAAAATGCTGGTTATTTAAAGAGATTTCTTCTGGGTTTATAATCTTATACAGTAGAAAGGGATAAGAATCAAGCCAAATATAGTTAATTATGGCCTGAGTACCCATTTAGTCACCCGATGTTTGAAAGTGTCCACTCAGATTTAGACATTTTAACAACAACCAGACCTTTACTAGCAGTACTTTATCATAGAAAGGATCATTTGAGAATATCTTAATTGTAGCATTCTGAGCAAAATTATAATTAAATTTTACTAAGTATTTATTAAAAATATAAAGTGGATATTTTTCTAATTATAAAAGTAATATATGCTCATTTTAAAAAAATCTCATAGAATACAAAAAAATGTAGAAACAAAACCAAAAACCACTCATAATCCTTTATTATAGAGATAATTACTTGGACTATTTGGGTATGTTTCCTTGAAGTAGTCTTTTGTGTTATTTATATACTATACAGTGATCCTTGCCTTCTGGCATTCACAGCCTTGTGTAATCCCCTCCGTATAACTTGCTTATAACCAATAAGAGATGACAACTTTGGGAGGACATCACTTACATGATGAGGTCACAAAAGATTGTGAAGTTTGACTTGCTAGCCGGTTCTATCTTGCTGGATTTGATGAAGTAAGCTGTCATACTGGAGAGGTCCACATGACAAAAAACTGAGAGTGGCCTCTGGCTAACAGCCAGCAAGGAACTGATTTCTCAGTCTCATAACTCTTAAGGAATTGAATCCTGCCAATGACCATGTGGGTGAGCTTGAATGTGAATCCTTCTCCAGTTGAGCCTCCAGATGAAACCCCCACTTCAGTGACACCTTGATCATGGCTTTGTGAAAGTCTGAGCAGAGGACTCAGCTAAGCTGTGCCTGGATTCTTGACCCACAAAATCTTTGAGATTACAAATGTGTGTGGTTTAAGCTGCTAAGATTGAAGTACTTTATTACATAGCAATAGGTAACTAATATAATTACAGAGTGTCTCATTTATAGTTTAATAGCATTTTTACTTAACATTTTCTTATTAAAAATCTCCTGTGTCATTAAAAATTACTGAAAATATGATTTTTCTTTTCCAGGTGGAAAAGAATCACATAGTAAGGATATGCCAAATTTTAATTATTCTTATCTAATTGGATATTTAGATTATTTCTAATTACTGGCTACTATGACTACCACTAAAGTGAACATCCTCATACATCCATCTTTCACTACAATGACTACATATCTTATTATCCCAACAAAATTCATTGCCATAAGATAAATGATCCAAAAGGTATGCATAATTTTAAGGATTTAGGAATATTGCTAAATTACCTTCCAGAAAGTTAGGCTATTAAAATGCCTCTGAGTATTTCAATGTACCTTGGCCAGCACTGAATGGTTAAACAAATTAGTCAACTTGAGAAAGAGTATCTCTTTGTGATTTTAATTTTTATTTTATTATGTCTTCATATGATTATTAGTTAAAGCTTATTAAGAATTTAAATAAAAATAATTACCAGCCTGGGCAACATAGGCAGACCCCATCTCTACAAAAAATTAAAGAAAAATCAGCTGGGCATGGTGGTGCACACCTGCAGTCCCAAACCTTTGGGAGCCTGGGAGACAGAGTGAGACCCTGTCTCAAAAAAAAAAAAAAAAATAGCCAAGCACATGGCTTAAACCACTCAATCCATAAGTAAATATACACATAGGAGAATGCTTTTCAGTGAACATTTATCAAGTGCTCCTTATTTGTTTTACAAATATTAACTTATTTGATCCTCACAACAACTCTGAGTCAGGTACCACTATAAATGCTGTTTTACAGAAAATAGGCAAAAAGCAACTTACTGAGAGCAGCACAGCTAGCACAGAGCTGGGAGCTGGAGACAGGCATGCCCTTGACTGATATGTAATAGACACCCCCATTTCAAACAAAAAGCCACATCCATTCACCAAATTCCAAAGGAGGCATCAATTCCTTCATTATAGATCAGAAAAATGAAGCTCAATGCATCTTGTCTAGTGAATGGTTCAAGGTTGTGCAGCTTGTCAGTACTGTGATTTAGAACTCAAATGCTAGTCTGTCCAGACGCCTTCCACTTCCACATTTCCTATGAGGAATAAGCACACAAAGCAGGTGCTCAGTAAATATAGGTTGATTGAACTCCAACAGGCTACATGCAATATGAAAGGGTGATGGAATGTCAGTGAATTGGAAACAGTGGGTATAGTGGAGTGATGCTAAAAATGACCCATCATGGCAGGTCACAGGAGGTCTCCCAGTGGCTCAGTCCCTCAGAAGAAGGTATGGAGAAGTAATGGGGGAGGTAGAGAGAAACAAAAGGTAAGTTTAAAGAGATCCTACTCATAGGCAAGCTTATGACTGTTTCTGCAAAGGCATTCATGGCACTGGGACAGGGAGGGTGTATTGACACACAGCCAATACTATAAGGGAAAAGGTAAAACAAAAACCAAGGCATGTTTGTCCAGGTAGCCGTAGCTGTTACCAGCAGCATTTAGACAATTGCATATGTTTTAGGTTGTATTCTCCACAAAGCAGACAGAGCTAAGGGTTTGAGTGCTAGTGATTTGTAGGGAAGAGCTTTAGAAAGAAGCCAGAACAGTAGTGGAGTAGGAAGGGGAAGAAGCCAAGCAAGGGTGTAGTTTTGGGTGGAGTCCCAGGGTCAGCCTAGATCCCACGGGGTGCTTGGGAGGGTAAATTATACCTCAGAGTTTGTTCCACCATGAGGCAAAGGCTCTGGGCATTGGTACTCACACACCAGTCAATGGCTAAGTGTCTCAGGCACTTCTGGCATGTGTGAGCTGGCTTCAGCACAAAGGGGACAGGTGCCAGTCACTAGCAGCAAAGCCCACAAAAGCCAAGGGATGGACACACAAAGTTAGTAAAAGGGATCTTAGAAGATGTGGTGGCTACCAGCAGTGCCCATTACAGCATGTTTTAAACTACATATGGCAGGGCATCCACTTAAATACATGTATTTGTGAGAACTGGAAATTTCTAATTTGACAATTCTAATTTCCTCAGTTCCTGCTGGGTCTTAATGTACCAGACAGAAGTAGAAATTATATTATGTTCTTTACACTGTGACCATTCATGCGGAATCTGTGGGAGTTATAATTACGTCAATTAAAGCTGCAATTTGCTAAAGGAAAATAAAGAATAGAACAAATAATTCCAAGTCTCTAACTTAGAGGATTAGTGTTCAAATCAAATTGGAGCTTTGCAAATGTTAATAGTTAAGCTATGTTTAAGGTATTTCAATTCTCTACCCATAAAGGCAGGTTTTAATAAAGTCACATAAATGGTAACCCCAAAGGCTTTCTAGCAGCAGGATGGCAAGTTGTTATGTATTATTGGGAAATGAAGTATATTTAATACCTTTCCAATTGTCATCACTCTAAAACACACTTCAACAATTGATTAAGCTGAAACCAGAAGAAAATTATTTCCCCTTACTTTTGTTTTCTTAATCTAATGTCTTTGCTAGAAAATGTAGATATTAGCTAATCTGTGTCTGGCAGCAAATACCTGCATGTTTTAAGTATTCACAAATTTCACTAATAGAGTAGCTTAACAATAGTTCTTCATTTCTAGGTGAAATATTAAATATTATATTCTTAACTCTTACTGTCAGATTAGGAGAACATTTACATCATATTTAAGGCAAATATTCCTGAGTCCTTAAAGCACTCTAGCTGGGTATTTAAAAACCACCTTCTGTAGACCAGGGGTCAGTAAACTATGGCCCATGAGCCCAATTCAGCCTTTCATACATGCATTTTTGTACATCCTGTGAGCAAAGAATGCTTTTTATATTTTTAATGGTGGAAAAAATCAAAACAATATTTTATGACATGAAAATGACATGAAATTCAAATTTCAAGGTCCAAATAAAGCTTTATTGGGACATAGCTACACCCATTTTATTTACATATTGTCTGTGGCAGCTTTGGCGCTTTTATAGCAGATTTGAGTAGCTGTGACAGACACTGGATGGCTATCAAAGCCTAAAATAGTTTTTATTTGATCCTTTACAGAAAATGTTTGCTGCTCCCTGCTGTAGACTTTTGTGCCTCCCTTTGCCCGTAGTTTGTGATCTCTTAAAATAACATTGGAACACTTAGAACTTGGGGAGTCGTGCTATGGAGACACTGGAAATAAAGTCCATTTTACTTTTTTTTTTTTTAGACGGAGTTTTGCTCTTGTTGCCCAGGCTGGAGTATAATCACGTGATCTTGGCTCACTGCAACCTCTGCTCCCCAGGTTCAAGCAATTCTCCTACCTCTGGCCTCCCAAGTAGCTAGGATTACAGGCGCCTGCCACCACGCCTGGCTAATTTTTGTATTTTTAGTAGAGATGAGGTTTCACCATGTTGGCCAGGCTGGTCTTGAACTCCAGACCTCAGGTGATCCACCCGGCTCGGCCTCCCAGAATGCTTGGATTATGGGCATGAGCCACTGTGCCCAGCCCATTTTACCTTTTTGAGGGAAGAGTTGATTATTTTGATGAGCATTTTACTTAAAGACATATGGCTACAACACAGACATTGCACAAGATCTTTTATCTATGCATATTTGAAATGATTGTAGATTTCCAGGGGCCTGAATTATCTGAACTATTATCTCTGTTCCATTTACATGAGTGACATGTCCTTTGGCATAGAGACAATCATCAACTCTCTTCAATTTACCTTGTCCCAGCATTTTAAAAAAAACAGTGCCTGGCCAGGCAGCCAAGCGGCCGCTTTCATTGTTACTCCATCCCATCCTCTCGATAATCCTACAAATAAATTTTATTTTTCAATTTTAGCGATGAGGAAATCGGACAAAAAAGGTGATGCTATTCATATTAACATTGCATACTTAATCAAAGGTCGCTTCAGGATCCACACTTTGATTCATCTAACTTCAAAGCTTTGCTCAGAGTATTTTGTCTTATTGCCAGTCAAAGGAAGAATGTCGTTAACATTGGTCAGAAATCTTTTCCTAAATCATTGATTATTCTCTACCCCTACTCATTCTCCGCCTGTCCAGGTAACTATCTGCATTCATCTGCTTTTCTGTCTGTCCATCCATCCATCCATCCATCCATCCTTTCATTCATCATTAACTCAAACATCAAATGTTTATTGAGTACATGCCAGCCATCTTGCTAACTGCACTAGGCAGTAGACATACATTTGTGAACAGAAGAGACATGGTCCCCACCCTCATAGCATCTTTTTGACCTGACAGAACTGCACAGAGGATGGATTTTATTTGTCCACAGATTTATAGGGCCCAGGCATCTATATCATAAGTGGGATTTGATGTCTATATGTTTCATAATCTGCCCTTTTGGAAATCATTTGACTTGGACCTCTTGGATGTCTTGCTTTTACAAGTAGCCTAAATAGTGTATTGAAGAGGTTATAATCAGATTTTTAAATTGAAGGGTGGAAAACATATGACACTGCATCTTTTCTTTTTAACTGAATGTAACGCTTTACATAAACATTTCCCTCAGAGCTACTAAACACATGCCAAATTCTACTAACAACTTTCTATCTATCTATCATATATATATATTTGGTAATACATTTTTGTTGATCCTATCCCAAAAGCTTTCCACCCATTGCTTGTCACTTTGAGACAACAGAAACTGGCAGGAGGTAATTAATAGACTTGACCTGTAGGGTGAATACACACACACACACACACACTAGTTGGGGGAGCTTCGATTCTTTTCAAAGGACTTTGCTGGTGAGACTTGAAAGTGCCATATGCCTGCTGGGAGAAGTTTTGTTTTGGTAGTAGTTACTGGTTAGGCTTTGGAAATTTTTCTTTTGGAAATCTGGCTGGTTCTCAAAAATTGCCTTTAAGAATTGTATTTTGTAAGTTAAGAGCAGAAGCTATTATTAGCTGTGTGTTTGTGGTTGAAACATGAGGTCAGGTTTGGCAGGGAACTCTTAAGGGTGTGTGAATGCGAGCCTCAGCCCAGCCATCCTGTGGCCACTCAGTGCCTTGGGGAGCGGCTTATTCCTGGATACAGAGGCAATGCCTTTGTCTTACAATTCGTGGGAGTATGTGCTTTAATAATGGAATGCTTCCTTTGTGATTTAAGAGTGACTTATAGTAAATTTTTATTAAGGATTCAATGTCCTATTGAGAATATATATATGAATATATATAATATTTATATTCATAATTGCTTTATTAGATCAGGGATCATGTTTGTCTTGTTTATCATTTTATTCCATGTTCCAAGTGCAGTGCTTGGCATACATTATAAATATCAATATTTGTTAATGAATGAATGCATAAATGAATGAGTGAAAAATGACCACAAAGAGCACATGTAGAAAGATTAAAGACATATGTTAAATTGAAGGATAGAAGTTGGTAGTCAGAGAACATTTGTAGGTCAAGCACTTCCAAGTGATGGCAGATATCTAAGATGGGGTGACCACACTCATGAATTGCAAATACAGAATTCTCTGGACCTAAGAGAACTGTGGAACTGTGAGGTAATTGTATGCTCTGATGTTGAAGCCACTAAAGGTAATGGCAGATGAAGGTGGTGGAGATGGAGGAAAGTAGGCAGGTTCCCTCCTTTCCTAGCTGTCTCTTGGAATGAACTAAGTAATTTTGTATAGATGTGTAAAGATAGTAAAGATAGAAGATCTGTAAGACTCGAGCTCTAGCTCGTGTATACACACACACACACACACACACACACACACACACACGTATCTGAAGCATGGGGATGATCATATGACAGTAATAATAATTAAACACTTACTGTAAGCAGATGACCAAAATTAGCTGTGGTTGGACATTATGGAATGATTAGTACACATAATTATTTTCTGCTAATAACAAGACAGGAAGTATTTATACCCACATGAAATATTTAAGCAGGGAGAAAACAATTCCAGTTTTGCCAAACGTTTCTTATATCCATTTTGTGGAAAAGACTCCGTACTAGGGAAAAGGAGTTGATCTGTTCATTGCTCACTTGCTTTCACGTAGCAGATTTTTAGCGACACTTAGATGGTGAGCTCTGGAGGAAATGGCTATTATTATTCTAGTTCACAGCAGTACCTAAAATTGTGAATGGTTAGAATCTCTTCATGCTCTGATGACCCAACTAGCTGTAGAGTATCACAGAAAGAAATGTTGTCTTGCTACCATTTGCACGTATGCAAAATATGCAGAGAATATAGCTGTTTTAAAAGAAAGCTTTGTAAAAAGAAACTAGTAAGCTTTCAATAAGAAATCCTTTAAATCCTCAGCATTACACAATAATACAATTCCCTCTTTACAGATTCACTTATACCTTTACTGAATCAGAAGATGATGTTGGGGGAAAAGTTGCTTTTCAAATGTAACCATAATAGAATTTTCCCTGTATCTTTCAAATAATTGTCTGTGAAATCACTTTGTGATGTCTATTTCAGAAGCTTAGCCATGACAGCACAATCATAAATATTTTCCTCTATGTCAACCATTTTAGATGACAGACAGATCTATCTAGTACATTTTGTTTTCTTCTAAAATCTCAAATACTACCCAAGTCAGCTGTTTTTAAAGCTGTGGCCTAATAAACAATTGGATATTGAATTGCTTTATTGCAAATAAAAATGCCTCATCTTTGTTTCAACTTATTCTCAAATTACCAGTGACATTCACTTTTATATTACATTGTTAATGAAAGTTTACCTGTGGGTCTAAAAATAGAGACAAAAAGCAGTGAATTGACTGGAAAACTAACCATTAGGGATATTAATTTTTTGGAAACAGTAGTTTTATTCTGAATAGTGTACACTACCTGAAGGCTTGAAGGTTGCATATACCAGTCTCTGAACTCCATAGTGGAAATGATGTCTACCATAGCAATCATCACTTAATGAGAAATTACTACTTATTACGCCAGGTACTGAGTGAATTAGATTAGTAATTGCATTTTATCTCTCATTAATCTCATGTAAATAATGTTAATTCTCCACTTTACAGATGAGGAAACTGAGGACCAGAGATTAGATAATATGCTCAAAATCACACAATAAGGGCAAAGCTAAGACTTGAAGCCAGATGTGGGTTCCTAATCACTTTGACCTAATTACTGGGAGAAGCATAATAATAAAGACAATTTATTGTGACCTGTGTATTATGTATTAATGACTAAACAGCATTTTTGCATGTTTAAAAAAATCTCTGTAAGTGGTATTATTTGATAGGCATTATTCTGCAACATATTTTCTTTACTCAGCATAGTTCTAATTATCCATTTTAATTGTTATATAATATTCCATTTTATGAGTATAATATCAATTATTTTATCTCTTTTCCTATTGATGAACAGAGTATTCTTCAAAATTTTCTTGGCTATTCTTCAACACTTCTTCATTTACATAAGTTCTATGGTATGCTTATCTAGTTCCTGATTAATCATGTTGGAATATTGTGTGGAATTGTTTTGCATTTGTATATTAATTTAGGAAAATTGGCACACATATGATATTGAGACTTCATGTCATGAAATGGTATATCTCTCCATTTACTAAAGTAATATTATATGTTATTAGCAATATTTTAAAACTTTTTCAACATACCCTGTATGAATTTTCTTGCATGTATTCCTAGGAACCTTAGGATTATCATTGATTTTTTTTGTATGGTATGTTTACTTTCTAATTTGTTATTACTCTGATATAGCAAGGGCATTGATTGAATGTTGATCTTGATTAAACAACCTTGCTGAATTATCTAACTTGTTCTAATAGTTTTTCTATGAATTTCTGAGATTTTCTTTGGAATATCATCATATTTTTGCCAGTATGGGCTGTTTTATCTCTTTCTTTCCAATTCTTAGACATCTTAACTCCTTTATTTTTGTTTTGTTTTATTTACATTGATTGTGGCCTTCAGAAAAGTTTGGAGGGAAAGTGGTGATCTAACATCTTGTCTTAGATTTTAAAATAATGTCTATCAAGTTAAAAATTGGGAGTTCTTTAATTTTTGTTAAGAGTTTTTAAAATAATGAGTAATGAATTTTATGGATTTTTTGGTAAATACAATGAGATGCAGATATAGGTTTTCATGTGTAAGTTACTAATGTGGTGTTTTCATTTTTAGATTTGCTTTTCCATTGAACCATCCTTGCATTCCTGATGTACATTTTATGATGCATTAAGAAATACCTGCTATATTTTCTTCCAGACTTTAACATCTGTGTTCATTGTCAGGTAGTTCTCATATTTTAATTTTTTATACAGTCCTTATCAAATTAGTATAAAGAACATTTTAGCTTCTTTCAGAGAATTGGGTAATTTTTTTCCATTTTCTGAAATAGTCTGTACAGATCATAAAACCCTGTGAGCCTGGATATCATTTTCAAGGCAGACTTCAAATTGACAATTGAATTTCTCTGATGGTTATTTATTTGTTCTGGTTTTATGTTTTCTCTTGAGTAGTTTTTGTAATTTATATGTTTCTTGAAAATTATCCATTTTATCCAAGTTTTGAAATTTATTATATTACATTCATATTATTCTGATTTAAGATTTTATTGTATTTGTATTTTTTGAATTCTTAATATTGTGTATATGTATATTTTATTTTGGCATATCTGACTTACAGGTTGCCATTTTACTAGTTTGTCAGTAAAAAAACTAGCTTTTGCTTTTACATATATTTTATTACATCTTGTTTTATATTTCATCAATTTTTGCTTTTCTCTTATTCTGTTTTTTCATGGTATTTTATTTTATTTATTTGTGAAAATGTGTTGAGAATATATTATAGACCAGGCACTGTTTAGAGATTTGGCATACACTTAGTACAAAATTTCAGTAGTTATTGGAAACTTAATGACTCTTTTGTAATTTTTTTCATTTTTCATTTTCATGGATACATCACAGTTGTATATATTTACGGGGTACATGTGATATTTTGTTACAAGCATACAATGTGTAATGATCAAATCTGGGTAATTGGGATATCCATCACCTCAAACATTTGTCATTTATTTGTGTTGGGAACATTTCAAATCTTCTCTTTTACCTATTTTGAAATATATAACAAATTACTGTTAACTATATTTGTCCTATTACAGAATACCTGATCTTATTCCTTCTATCTAACTTTATTTTTGTATTTATTAGCCGAGCCCTCTTCATTCCTCCCCACTACCCTTCCCAGCCTCTGGTAACCACCATTCTATTCACTGTCTCCATGAGATACACCTTTTTAGCTCCCACATATGAGTGAGAACGTGAAGTATTTTTCTGTGCTTGACTTACTTCACTAACATAATGTCCTCCAGTTATATCTGTATTGCTTCAAGTGACAAGATTTCAGTCCTTTTTATGACTGAATAATATTCTATTAAACACACACACACGTAAACATATATACATATACACACACACACACACACACACACTCCACATTTTCTTTATCCATCAATCCATTGATGGATACTATATCTTGACTATTGTGAATAGTGCTGTAAAAAACATGGGAATGCAGATATATCTTTGACAGATGCATTTTCTTTCTTTTGGATGTATATCCAGCAATAGAATTGCTGGATCATATGGTGTTACAGTTCTATTTTTAGTTTTTGAAAATTCATATTGTTTTCCATAATGGCTATACTAATTTACATTACCACCAACAGTATACTAGCATTGCCTTTTCTCCACATTCCATCCGCATTTGTTATTTTCTGTCTTTTGGATATAAGCCATTTTAATTTGGTTGATACGATATCATATTGTGGGTTTGATTTGCATTTCCCTGATGATTAGTGATGTTGAGTATTTTTTCATATACCTGTTGGCCAATTTTATGTATCCTTTTGAGAAATTCAGATCTTTGGCCAGGCATGGTGGCTCATGCCTGTAATCCCAGCACTTTGGGAGGCTGAGGCGGGTGGATCACGAGGTCAGGAGATCGAGACCATCCTGGCTAACGCGGTGAAACCCCGTCTCTACTAAAAATACAAAAAATTAGCCAGGCGTGGTGGTGGGTGCCTGTAGTCCCAGCTACTCAGGAGGCTGAGGCAGGAGAATGGCATGAACCCGGGAGGCGGAAGTTGCAGTGAGCACTCCGGCCTGGGCGACAAAGCGAGACTCCGTCTCAAAAAAAAGAAAAAAAGAAATTCAGATCTTTTGCCCATTTAAAAATTGGATGATTATTATTTGCTATTGAGTTGTTTGAGTTCCTTATATATTCAGGTTGTTAACGTCAGATGAATAGTTGACAAATATTTCCTCCCATTCTGTATGTTTTCTCTTTACTTTCTTGATTGTTTCCTTTCCACTGCAGAAGCTTTTTAGCTTGATGTTATCTGATTTGTCAATTTTTGCTTTGGTTGCCTGAGTTTTTGAGGTCTTACTCAAGAAATCTTTGCCCAGACCAGTGTCCTGAAGCATTTGCCCTGTTGTTTTCTTCTAGTAGTTTCATACTTTCGGGTCATAGGTTTAAGTCTTTAATTCATTTTGATTTTATTTTTGCATATGATGAGAGATAGGGGTCTAGTTTCATTCTTCTGCATATGGATATTCAGTTTTCCTAGCATCATTTGTGGAAAAGACTGTCCTTTCCCCATTGTATGTTTTTGTACCTTTGTGTAAAGTGAGTAGGCTATAAAGTGTGGATTTATTTCAGGGCTCTCTATTTTGTTCCATTGGTCTGTGTCTATTTTTATGCCAGTACCATGCCGCTTGGTTGCTATAGCTTTGCAATATATTTTGAAGTCAAGTAGTGTGATGCCTCTAGATTTATACTTTTTGGTCAGGATTGCTTTGGCTATTCTGTTTTCTATTGTGGTTGCATACAAATTTTAGGATTTCCTATTTCTGTGAAGAATGTCATTGGTATTTTGATAGGGATTGCATTGAATCCGTAAATCACTTTGGGTAAGATGGATATTTTTACAATATTAATTATTGCAATTTATGAACATAGGATATCTTTCCAATATTTTATGTCTTTTATGTCCTCTTCAATTTTTTTTTTTTTTTTTTTTGAGACCGAGTCTCACTCCGTCGCCCAGGCTGGAGTGCAGTGGCGCGATCTCGGCTCACTGCAAGCTCCGCCTCCCGGGTTCACGCCATTCTCCTGCCTCAGCCTCCTGAGTAGCTGGGACTACAGGTGCCCGCCGCCATGCCCGGCTAATATTTGTATTTTTTTTTTTTAGTAGAGACGGGGTTTCACCGTGTTGGCCAGGATGGTCTCGATCTCCTGACCTCATGATCCACCTACCTCAGCCTCCCAAAGTGCTTGGATTACAGGCATCCTCTTCAGTTTTTTAAAATCAGTGTTTCATAGTTTTTATTGCACAGATCTTTTGCTTTTTGGTTAAGTTTATTCCTAGGTATTTTTTGGTAGCTATTATAAATAGCTTTCTTGATTTCTTTTTTGAGATTGTTTGCTGTTGGCATCTAGAAATGCTACTAATTTTTGTATGTGGATTTTGTATACTACAACTTTACTGAATCTGTTTATCAACTCTAACATTTTTTTGGCAGAGTCTTTAGGATTTTTTTAAAGAGTCTTTAGGTTTTCCTAAATACATGATTATATTGTCTGCAAACAAGGACAATTTGACTTATTCCTTTCCAATTTAGATGTCCTTTATTTATTTTCCTCGTCTTATTGCTCTGGCTATGACATCCAGCACTATGTTGAATAAAAGTGGTGAAAGTGGGCATCCTTCTTTTTCCAGATCTCATCTTTTGCAATTTTATCAGCAAATGGTAAAGGTAACATAGAACATGGTTCTTTGACTTATAAATATTAAGATTTTACTTAGGTTGTTGATAATTACTATATTTTTGTTCCATGGTCTTTATTGAATATATACTACTAAAAACTTGGCATAGAGCCATTAAAAAAATACAAAATGTTTTCTTGGAAACAGCAAAATTTCTAATCCATATACACATTTCAAGGTTAATATTTTATACTTGTGACTACTAGATCATTTATGCTAAATAGTACAGCTTAAAGATACCATAATGATAACCTTTTAGATTAACCAACATCTTTGATCTAGGATCAAGGAAATTTGATTTCCCTCAATCCCTTATTTTTCAGATTAAGCAGTTAAAGTAATCAGTCATTTTTGTGACACAGCAGGGTCCAGGTTACAATAGTTCTCCCCATTTTTTATGGTTCTAGACCCTTCTCCTACCTATCTTCCCCCAACCCCCTGGTTTGGTAACTATTTCTCTGAACAGTCTTTCTGTTTCTTTGGTACATTTTTTTCCATGTATAATTGATTTATTCTGGTCATTTACAATTCCTATTAAATTCTCTAAATGCTTTTCCTTGCCCAAATTTATTATTCATCTCTTCACTTGAAAGTAGAATTTTCTTTCATAGTGAAATTAAAAGCAATATATTAAAGTGGGAAGTATGAGGTAAAATATTAGAACAACTAAACTCAAGGGCATTTGGCATTTCTGAGAGTGAAGCAGCTTACATACCACAGCAATGTCACTTGTTTTTCATTGATGAGACACACAAAATTGTTTCCTTTGTCCTATGCCTTTCCCTTGAATTCACATATCTTTTTGCTGAAATGAATCCTTTCATAGTTCTTTTAATGAGTGCCTGTGGGTGTTAAACAGTCTTAATGTTTTATATTTTGTAATATCATTATTTTAACATTGCATGATGGTTTCTCTGGGAGTAGAATTTTATATTGGCAGTTATTTTTCCTCATCACTTTAAAAGGCATTGCTTCAGGTTCTTCTACCATTTGTTGTTCATGATCAGAAATCTGTGTGTATGATAGTAACTTCTTCACAGGTCAAACTGTATTTTGTCTCTGCTAAATTTTAAGACTGATATTTTGCAGTTTGACTAAAATGTGTCTAGGTGTAGGACTTATTTGTATTTATGTTTCTGAATACTCATAGGGTACTTTCAACTGAGGATTCTCATTTTTTTCTGATTCTGGAAAACTCTTGGATATTAATGTTCAAATACCGTTCTTCATTAAAAAAAAATCTCTAAACATAAGTTCTAAATTTTAAGTAAGCCTTTGAAGCTAGAGGCTCTCAAACCATCTGCCCTGATTCTTAAATGCTCCTTTACAAGTTTTGATTACTTTTTCTCTTTTTGCTGGCTTCTGGGTAAATTTTTTGGTATCAAAATCTAATTCACTAAAACACTTACCAGCTGCCTCAAATCTAAAGTTTATCCTATCTTTTGAATTTTTCCTTTTAAAACACCATTTTTTTTCAAATCTTATTTATATTCACCTATTCTTATCTCCTTTCTGCCTGATTTTGTGTCATAATTTGTTTGATTTTTATACATGTGATTTCATCTATCTTCCTGAGTATTTTAAACATGCTTGTTTTGAAGTCTTTGTCAAGCTATTTTATAAAATTAATTTCACCACAGTAAACTCATATTCTGGATATTGATATATTGGCTGTCTTCTTCAGTGTTATATTTCTTCACATGTTTTGGGATTTTGATTCACAGGCTAATTTTGAGTGAATTTTTTGTTTGTGTTCTTCTGTCTCTTGCTCTCTGTTCATGTATGTCCGTTCTCTCTCTCTCACCCACTTTCTCTCTCTGTATGAGCTTCTTTTTGTGGCTGGTATTTTTCAGTTGATGTCCACCGGGGTCCCCAGGACAAAACCACATTTTAGGTGATGGTTTGGAGCTCCTGCCCTATAGTAAAATAATGCAGAGCCAGTCTCCAGGCCAGGAGCAGCTTGTTTCAGATCTTTGTCTAGACAGAGGCTGTGTTGACGTCTTTTAAATCTGTAGGTTTTTAGGTTTTAACTTCATATAAACCAGGTTTTCTCAGTAGGGCACTGTTGACATTTTGGACCGGATGATTCTTTGTTGTGTAGAGCTGTCCTTTGCATTGTAGAATGTTTAGAAACATCCCCAGCCTCTACTCACTAAATGCAACTAGTGCCAACTTCCCTCCAGTTATGACCACCAAAAATGTCTCCAGACATTGGCCAAATGTCCTCTGGGGAAGAAAGTCACTGACTCCCCCTTGATAACCGGTGGTAAAACCTGTAAACCCTGGAGTCAATTGGCAATGTCTGATGTTAGCTTCCTTTATCAAGGAAAGGGTGCCAAATCCAGTCCAGCTTTAAGCCTAAAGCCTGGCTTCAGCCTTTCATAGTAAGTAGAGGACTTTTCGTCTCCCATTGGAAAGAGATTTCTCTGTCTCACTGCCTGATTTGGGGCTCAGCACCCATCAGGCTTTGGCTTCAACCACACTCACTATTACTGGTCCTGAGGATGTATATCTTAATTTATATTCTGGCATTGTCTTTTCAGTATTCTTTTGTTATATTTCACTTATCACAATTGCATGTTTCGAGCAATGGGGACACCATATAGCATGAACTTAAAATTCTTTCTTAACCAGAAGTCATAGAAGGAAGTTTTTCAAAAAAAGTTTGTTTTTTTAATTGCACTTCTTGGTAGTTCAACATTTTAGATGCCTTATTACCTTATGCCCTGACTTGATTATGCTTTTGCTTCTTCTTTATTTGTGATTAACAAAAGCCTCCATAAACCTGCTTTATTTGTAGTCAAATTCTATATTTGGAGTATTGATCAGACTAATAAAAATTAGATATTTTTGAATGATTTCTACAGATATCTCTATGACTTTGTGTATGACCTCATTGGAATTGAGCACAGGCATTGCATTTGGGAAATTAAGACAATTAGGAGATTGTCCTACAAAGTCAGAGCAAAGGAAGCCTGTAGTTAGTTATAATACAGAGGGACAGTGAAGACTGTGAGGGAGAGGAGGGCAGCAGGAGGCTTAGACCTTGCTGGAAAATCCTCAGGAATGAAGTGAAATGTAGCCAATTTGGAACCTACCCCAGCCCTTTCCCTCCATGTTAAAGTTAGTTAAATCAATTCCAGTGCCTATTTATAGTTAAGCCTTGGTTTTGATTAATGATGTTGGAGAGAGATAGGAAAGCGGGGAGGACAACTGTTAGGAGGAAGGGAGGAGGCAAAGCTGCTGAGGCTGATATGCTCATCTGTTGTTTGAACCCTACTCTTTGTCACACACAGATTTCTGGCCAAATATGATAAAAAAATATTTTTGTTAGAGGGCAGTAATCCATGTCAACATTTTCACTGTATGCCAAGTGAAGAAATCAAATACCTAAACCCTGAATTAACCATATGATAAATCATGGTTCCCTTTTTCATTGAGTCATCCAGCATGCATCATCATGGACACAACCTAAGACTTAAATGTCTTTAGAAGTTATGCTTTTATACATTAACAAAAATGAAATTATTAAAACAAACCCACATTAATGGTTAAGCATAGATTGCTTTTGAGCTGCAAAGAGCTTTAGAGACACACAACTGGTCCAACATTTAATATTGTCTGGAGAAAACCAAGATTTGAGAGTCCTAAGGACTTGCTTAAAGCTGCACAATATCTTGGTTGCAGAACAGGGACTAGATCCCTTGTCTTCCCTCCAATCCAAAGATCTGGTTACTTCTGCCCAAAAGATAATCAATTTTAATTTTGGTAGCTAGCCATAAATACTTTTCTGGTTGACTTATTCTCTGCTTTTAATGTTGGAAATAGATGAAAGTTTATAGTTCTCATAAATTAGCTTCAGTTACTAAGGAGATTAGTGTATTATTAATCCCTCCTATTTTTTCAAAAAAACTTTTACTAAAACCCACTTTCCTTGAAAACTGATATTTTCTAAAGATTTAGCTCTCCAGCTATGCACTCAAACAGAGGATTGTGAATGGGGATTGTCTGCATTAAAAAAAAAATCCTTTCTTTCTTGTTAATCATGAATTTAAATATTATAGAAAGGTAGAGGGACATACAGTGACTATGCTCCTCCTTCCACTTAGGTGGCTATGTAAAATGTCTTTTCCTTGATATATGTAATTGTTGTTTACTCACAGTAATTTTATGTCAGAATCTCAACAGCATGGGTTGGGTAATGACTATCCATTTGTTTATCTACAGGAAAATGGTATTGTGTATGAAGCAAGTTCATTATATAGGACAATTGAATTTTTATTTCATAACTTTATCTTCTTTTTCTCTTTAGTGATTTCTCTTTGTGGCCCCATGCATATTGTGCAGATTAATTAATCATGCATGAGCTCGGTACAATCTACAATGATTCACTGGGTAAAGCAGTTTTAGGGAATGCATTGTATTATAAATGTGGAAATGGGATAGACACCTAGAATATATCAGCTATCAGTGAATGTCCTTAATCATAGTCATATAGATTTCTACTTACTAAAATGAAGTCATATATTTTGGTAGAATCCTTCATTTTGAAGGAAAGCTGACATGCAACGTAATTTATCTGTGTATGTGTATAAAGCTGTATTAATTTCCTGTTGCTGCTGTTACAAATTACTGCAAACTTAGTGGCTTGGAACAGCACAAATTTGTTATCTTACAGTTCTGGAGATCAGATGTCTAAAATGGATTTCACTGGGCTAAAGCTAAGGTGTTTGCAGTACTTCGTTTATTCTGGAGGGTCTAGGGAAGAAGTTGTTCCACTGTCTATTCCAGCTTCTATTACAGAAGCTGCCTGCATTCCTTAGTTTGTGGCCCCTTCCTCCATTTTCAAAGCCAGCAGTATAACTTCTTCTATTTTCTCTCTGACAATGCTTCTGTTATCACATTTCCTTCTTGCTCTCCTGCCTCCCTCTTTCCCTTATAAATACTCTTGTGATTATTGTGAAACCCTAAGGAGTAAAAAGAAAATTAGAAAATGGGCTTACCTGGCAGGAACAGAAATAGATAAGGGGAGCAAATGTTTTGAGAAATGGGGTCAACCACAAAAGGCTCACTGGCACCCATAGCATCCTGTTACGAGCATTCAGCTCATGGCCCACCTGCATTCAAGCATTCTGTCTGCAAGCATTCAGCTCAAGCAGCACGACCTTATAAAACTCCCCTTCCAGCCCCTGACTCTGCAGATAGCAGACAGCCTTCTTTCTGCTGTCTTGCAATGTATCTCCCCTTCTCCTCTAAATAAATCTGCCTTTCTAAACTCATTACTATCTTGGTAAATTCCTTTACCACCAGTGCACTGGCTTCAGATAATCATCAACCATGACAATTATATTGAGCCTACCTAGATAATCCAGGATTATCCCTCATTTCAAGGTCCTTAACTTAATCACATCTTCAGAGTTGCTTTTGCCATGTAAAGTAACACAATCAAAGGTTTAGTGGAAATCTTTGGCAGGGGGTTATTTTGCCTATCACAAATGCGTATGAAATTGGGAGACTATTTTGAAATAGCCTGTACTCATGCTACTTTGCATGATGAATATGACACATACTATTTAAACTATGTATTTTCTATAGCAGCAATCTCTATAGCACCAATGGTCATAGAAATATAATGTAAGCTACAAATGCAAGCCACATCTGGAAATTCAAATGTTCTAGTAGACATATTTAAAACATAGGTGAAATTCATGTTAATTATATATTTTATTTAATTCAGTAGATCCAAAATATTATATCAACATGCAGTCAATATAAAAATATCAATGAGCTATTGATATTCTTTGTTTTATACTGTCTTCAAAACCCAGAATGTATTTTACACCTACAGCATATCTCCATATGGATTAGACACATTTCATGTGCTCAATAGCTGCATGTGGTTCATGGCTCTAACTTTGGAAAGCACAACTCTGTAGCCAAGGTTTTTATAGCTCCACACCCATTTAAGAGTTATATTGTCTACTCAAAAGAATGTGATATGATGGCTAAGACATTGAATAAGACCCGGGTTTCTCAACACTGGCAGTATTGACATTCTAGACCAGGTAGTTTTTGGTTGTGGGAAGCTGTCCTTTGTATTGTGGGATGTTTAGCAATATCTCTGGCCTCTACCACTAGATTCCAGGAGCAACCCTCCAGTTGTGACAACCAAAAAAGTCTCCAAATATTGCCAAATGTCCCCTGGGTGGCAAAATTGTGCCTAGCTGAGAACTACTAGGCTAAACATAGAAAGTGTGTTAGTCTGTTTTGTGTTGCTATGAAGGAATGCTTGAGGCTTGGTAGTTTATTAAGAAAAGAGGTTGGCTGGGCGGAGTTGCTCACACCTGTAATCCTAGCACTTTGCGAGGCTGAGGTAGGCAGATCACTTGAGGTCAGCAGTTTGAAACTAGCCTGGCCAACATGGTGAAAACCCGTCTGTACTAAAAATACAAAAAAATTAGCTGGGCATGGTGGTGGGCACCTGTAATCCCAGCTACTTGGGAGGCTGAGGCAGAAGAATTGCTTGAACTGGGAGGTAGAGGTTGCAGTGAGCTGAGATCACACCATTGCACTCCAGCATGGGCAACAGAACAAGACTCCATCTCAAGAAAAAAAGAAAAAGAAAAAAGAGGTTTATTTGGCTCATGGTTCTGCAGGCTGTACAAGAAGCATGGCACTGGCATCTGCTTGGTTACTGGCAAGGGCTTTTGTGCTGTGCCAAAACATTTTGGAGAGGGTCAAAGGAGGAATCAGTCACTTGGGAAGGGGGACCAAACCCAGGGTATACTAGTTATAACAATCCATTCTTGCCAGAAATAATCCATTCCCTTGAGAACTAATCTGCTGTCACTAGAGTGAGAACAGCACCAAGCCATTCATGAGGAACCTGCCCCCATGTCCCAGGCACCTCTCTCTACGCTTCTCCTCCAACACTGCTACACTGTGGGCCAAATTTCAACATGAGATTTGGCAGGGATAAAGAAACTATATCCAAGCCATAGCAGAAGGGTTGGGTTTGAATTCTGTTCTCCATACATTACTGTGACCTTGAAAGAGGAGCCACTTTAAATTGTTAACATAGTTTCATCCTCTTTACAATGGGAAAAGTATTATCTAGGCTGCTTGAGCCTCAAAAGAGACAGTGTAGATAAAACAGCTCTGTAAACTGTAGATACTCTGTAAGACAAACTCAGCATTGTCTTTATTTGTTTATGTTCAGCACTTGAATGTAAGTACAGCTATTTCAGTACTGATGTATTTTCTCATAATATTTAACTTATTTTTTAATGCCCTATTTATAATGATTGGACTACAGTGTAGACAAGATGTTTTAGGTGTTTTGTTTTCCTGTCTGTGGGTGCTCATGGGAGTACAGAAATAAGTAGAACTGGGTCTTTTCAATGAGTTGATCAAATTTGAAATAACTGGGAGTTGTTCTGTGGCCTTCTCAGCTCTGATAGGGTACACCTGCCTAAGGAACTTGCAGAGATATTCTGCAAATTACTTTGTTTGACCCAACAATTATTGAACACCCATTCCTGTTAGGAATAGTGCTAGTTCCTGGGAGTAGAAAAAAGAATGAGACAAGATTCTATCCCTCAGAGTGCTTGCAAGAGTAGTAGGAGAAAAGGCATAGACATTAATGGAAAGTATTTGGATGGAAGTGGTGCTTGGAAAAGAGTCAGGAGAATGCAAAGAGAAGGTTGCAAAATGACGTTTACAGGAAGGTCAGAGAAAGGCCTGAGAAAGGTGCAGAATGAAAAAGTGCATGGACTGGTTTGACATTTTGGGAAATGGAGCATAGCATGAAGGAAAGAGAGAGAAAAGGAGAACATAGGAGTATAGTCTCCCTAAGAAAGGTGGGTCCCCTTTTGCAAAGGCCAATTCTTGGGAGAAGGAGTAAGCTAGGAGTTCTTAGCAACTGGGAATGGGTCCACCAGCAGTAAGGGTCTGTGGCAGCACCACAGCATCCACTATAGGCTCTAATGTGTCTCCACCTTTTTTTTTTCATTATTGCCCCCTCAAGGAAGCTTTTTAAAACATTTTTTCTCTAATCTCCCCAGCCTCCACCCATGAAATTTACATAGCACAGATATCCTATTTATCTGTTTGTGTTGTGTATTTCTGTGCTTTATACATAAAAATAATACGTTTTCTTCGCCTCTCCCAGTAATCGATTTTTACCCCCTTGGTGGCGATATTGCCTAGTTGAGAATACATGTGCTACGTTTGTCACTCATGAGCTGTGTTATTGGCTTTGGTTCCCTTGACTCAAAAATGTTTTAACAGTCATTCTGTGTTTCAGGGTGATATGGTTTAGCTCTGTGTCTACACTGAAATCTCATGTTGAATTGTTAATCCCCAGTGTTAGAGGAGGGGCCTGGTGGAAAGCGATTGGATCATGGGGGCAGATTTCCCCCTTGCTGTTCTCATGACAGTGAGTGAGTTCTCATGAGATCTGGTTGTTTGAAAGTGTGTAGCAGTTCCCCCCTTGGTTCTCTCTCTCCTGCTCTAGCCATGTAGAACGTGCCTCTTCCTCTTCACCTTCCTCCATGAATGGTAAGTTTCCTGAGGCCTCCTCAGCCATGCTTCCTGTACAGGCTGTGGAACTGTGAGCTAATTAAACCTCTTTTCTCTGTAAATTACCCAGTCTCAGGTAGTTCTTTATAGCAACCTGAGAACGGACTAATACACAGGGGCTACACTGAAACAATCCCTTTCTCAACACTTGGGGGAGAAGGCTGGAGTAAGAGTTTCTGAGAGGTATAGGGGTGTGATCCTGCTTGTGTGCCACATGTCTGCCCAGCAGGTCCTTGAGGATAGAGTTGGGGTGGAAGTGGCTAGGTGGGCCGTGGAAAAGGTCCTATTTACTGAATTTGCCATATAGAGAAGTGGGTGGTGCCCGCACAGGGACCATTTGTGCCAGTGGTCTGGGAGCCCTGGATGTGGTGCCATGATGGTCTGCAGACCAAAACCCTTCCTGGTTCCTGCCAAGGGTTCTTGGCCTCATCTGGAGTTATTGGGAAAAGGCCCAGCTAAAAGTAAAGTACAACCTTGTTTTCTGTTTTGCTGTTTTTCTTTGTACATGTAACTCTTCCAGGAACCTGTGGGCAGGGGACAGAGGGTGAATACAGTCAGGATTTAGCCCAAAGCTATCAAACAGCACCAACCATTGACTCTTCCTAAGAGTGTGAGTCCATTTTCTCTTTTCCAAAGAATGGCAGCCTGGTCACAAACTACATTGCCAGAAGAATGATGGGATTGATACTCAAAAGATTTATAGTTGAATTATAGACAGGGAATGCCAAGGAAGAAACGCTGTGAGAAAACTCCACATTTGTCCTTTATCATTTACTGTTAAAAAGCTCTGTCAGAGCTTCCCAGAACCTTCTATATTAGATAGGGCTCTGGTCGCTAGTAATCTAAGCTGATTGAACTAGCTAAAGGACACTCTGTGAAAGTGTGTGGGAATGTCTGTGGGTCTCAAAAGTAGAGATGGAGCCAGATCTCAGAAAAGGCTGAAACCTAAAGTTAGAATTATATATGCATCATTCCAGAATCTCTCATTGCTTTGTATTTGCTTTATTCATCTTTCTCTGTTCACTGTCCTTCTCAGATTCTCAATTTCCATGGTGGCCAAAAGGTAGCCTATCCTCAGAGGTTATATCAAATGAGCCCTGTTCCTCACAGAGCCGCTAACAGTTCTTCAGCTTTGCAGTCTCAATTCCCAGATGCAAGAGTGTGATTGACCCTCCTTGGGTCAGGTTAACGCTTAAGTTTGGTCACACATAATGGAACAAATATGGCTGCTATGGGCCAACCTTTGGAATAGGGATAGAGCGAGTAGATTAGTAGATGGAAGGTCCCAGAGAAAATAATATCATATTGTTGGCTTCTGAAGCTATCTGCTACAGGCAGTGATCACTGATTTTTCCAGCCAGAATAAACCATTCAATTTCAATAAATTATGGGCATTTTAGATAATGGAAACCTTAGTGTTTAAACAATGTTCTTTCCTTATTCTAAGTTTACAGCTAGTAGGCTTAGTTGGTTGGTACATAAACAAGGAGTGATAACTTAAGAGTGAGAATGTAGAAGGACTAGCTGGATCATAATGCCACTTACTGAAAGAACACTGAAGAACACTGAAAGAACACTGGAGTTGTATCACTAGGGATGCTGAGTTATTATAGACCTCTCCTCTATGAGAAGTGTTATTTCTTCCCATCTTAGTTCAGGCTGCCATATAAGAAATGTCTTTGACTGGGTGGCTTATAAACAATAGAAATGTATTTATTATGGTTCTGGAGGCTGGAAGTGCAAGATCAGGGTGTCAGCATGTTTGGGATCTGGTGACGGTCTACTTCCTGGTTCACAGATGGACAACTGTCTTCTTGCTGTGCCCTCACGTGGCAGAAGGGGCAGATGAACTATCTAGGGCCTTCCAAAGGCTCCACCTCAAAATACCACCACATCGGGGACTGGGTTTTAACATGTGAATTTGAGGGGTACACAAACATTCCGTTTATAGTATCTCCCATCCCAGGTAACAGCTGTTTAGATCAGAAGTGGATACCTGACCCAAATGACAACCTGGTTTTTCTCTTCTGAAATTTAGAATTGAGATTGGAAGACCTTAGTCAGTTTGGACATCTACAGTGTGCCAGAAGCTAGCAGTTGGGTGTACAGTATTTAACAAGAGAGAAGTTGCTGCTCACTTAAAACATGCATTTCAGCTTTATGTTCAGCTATGTGCAGGCAAACAGACACGTGGAATTATGATGATTTTCACTTCCTCCTGAAGCCAGCTGTACATGTGGCCCTTCCAGGTCTGTGAGATTGAGATCACATTATCAGTGATCACACTAGGAAGATTAAGCTAATTTGAGGTGAATTTTTATTACTTAAAACCAAGAATGTGTGTGTATCTTTGTTTATGAAATGTTTTTGATAATTTATTTGATTGGTTGATTAGTCTCCATCTTTTTAAAAAGAGGTTAAATTCTTTGAGGGCTTTTTTTTTTTTGTACTTTTCTGTCCCCAGGGTGTGCCACCCACTATGCTTGGCATATTATAGTCACTCAGTTGTCACTGCATGTTGTCTGGTGCCCCTGAGCACTCAGTGATATGGAGTGAGAGAAAGAATGGTTATAACTTGGGGGAACTCCAAGAAAACTTGATGGAGTGAGTAGCCTTGAAGGATGAAAAACTTTTAAGTGGAAATGCAAGGGCAAGGAGTGAGACAGGCTATTGTAAAGAGGGGATTTACTGCTTGTTGGTTTGAATTGAAAAAAATTCATTGTGCGCTTCCTTTGGAAGGTTTTTTAAGATTTTTTTTCTCAGCTGCAGAGTGAATATTAGGCAGGGACATATAAATTATTAGATCTTCACTAGATCCCAACTAGTGATTCATTCCTTGGAAAGATAAGCTTTAGCAACTACATCTTTTGTCCTAATGGAAATAATCCTATTTGTTCCTCATCATGCACTAAGTCAAGGGGAAAGAATGCTGGATAACTTTTTCTCATTGTTGTGTTCAGAAATGTAGTTACACTCCATTTTAGCAAGCACATTATGCCCTAGCTTCTTGCCGTTTTTCTTAAGAGTGTGTTTCATTCCCTACAAGGTCTTCTATTCTCTTGTAAAGTGTCTTTTATTATGGGTTCTTAGTAATTGTTCCCTTCATTAGTTAGAAAAGTTATGTTTTAGAGCCCTAGCTGTAGAACTCTTTCCTCTTTATGCTAAGATGGATTATATGAAAACAATCTGATTAAAACTAATGCATATTTAGAATTAAAACACAAAAAGTTGCACACAAATGTTTATAGTAGCAATACCCATAATAGTCAAATAATAGAAACAACTCAAGTGTCTGTTGACTTGTGAATGGATTAATAAAATATGGTACATCCATAAAATGGAATATAATATGGCAGTAAAAATGAAGTACTGGTATATGCTACAACATAGATGAACTTTGAAAACATTATACGAAGTGAAAGAAGCCAAACACAAAAGACCACATATTCTATGGTCCCATTTATATGAAATGCCTAGGACAGGCAAATCCATAAAGACAGAAAGTAGGTTAGTAGTTGTCAGGGCCTGGGGAGAGGTTGGAGGAGGGGATGGGGCATGAATGCTAATGGACATAGATGGGATTTCTTTGTGTGGCGATGAAATATTCTAAAATTAAGTGTGATGATGGTGGCACAACCCTGTGAAAATACTAAAAACCTCTGAATTTTATCATATGTATCATATGTGAATTATATCATATGTAAATTACACCTTCATAAATCTGTTTACAAAATAAGACATTTCTGTGTGTGTATGTATGTATGTTTCTTTGTGTATATATTTACATATGTTTATGATGTTTCAGATGTTGGCAAGTGCAGCAAGCATCATTACCATGGGCACTTCCTCCATATGACCGCTGGAGGAATTTAGAGTGCATATAACAATCCAGGGCTCTGCCATTGGCTGTGTGAATTTGGATGGGTCATTTCATCTTTCTCAGCCTCAGTTTCTCACCTGAAAAATGGGGATAAGAAACCACCTTTGCACAGTCCCTATAAGAATTAAATGAAATGGTGTATGTGAGATGAGGTGACTCACTCATTAGGCAGAGCAGGCACAGTGCCTGGGGCTCACAGTACTTCAAGGGCCCATGAAAATGTTTTAATTTCTTTTAAATGCAGAAGAAAGAAAGATGTCCTTTTAGGTCCAATAAAAAGTTTTAATGTATAATACTAATGTATTTGTCTTTACACCAATCTGGTCATACAGCATATTTTGTATTTTTTTTTTTTTTTTTACTGGAGGAAGAGGCCCATGAAACAAAGGTAACTCAGGCCCATGGAAGGCATCATGGACACTTGAACGTGGCAGCTCAATGACACAGGCTGGGTTTATCTTATTGCTCTGCAAATTCAACAGAAACCTCCTCTAAAATCATACCAACAATTTAGCAACAGTGTAAGCAGTCTGTGTTGAGCAGCTCACCTGCACACGCCTGGAGGCATACACCTAGAGGAGAGGAGGAACACTGGGTTGGCCAGCCTGGGTTACTGGCAGGTTCTTCCATTTAGTAGTGCCCAGCCTCCTCTTTCTTCTAGGGCATCTTTGCCACCATTGCTCCCATTTGTTGAGTCCCTGTTATGAACCAGACACTTCATATTTCTTATCTCTGATCCTCACAATCTCCTGTAAAGGTGAGTAGTGTCCTGAATGTAGCAGATGCTGTTGATGCCCTTTCCACTTTTCTTCTGCCTGATATTCCCTGCAGCTTTACAGTGTGCAGTTTTTGGTATGCTGATAGGTTGCCACTGCAAGGTCCTGCCATTGTCTTCTTTGCCATAGCTGCCTCTCCTGCTTCTCTTCCTTCTTAAACTCTGCCTGAGGGCTTCCTCTGGCATCCCAGGAGCTTGCTTTATTGTTTATAGCGGCAACCTGAAAATGTCAAGCGGGGTTAATGCCTCAGAGAATAGCCCTCAAGTAATAGTGGACAGAAGTAAGTAGAAAAATGCCATAGCTCCCTCCTGTCTAGTGAGTGATTCTGAGGTGTGTTCCTTCTGGTTTCTCAGAGAGTGCTTTACAAGATTGAGCCCCACCTGTCCATAGCAGGAACCTATTCATCTATGTACTTTTTGACTTTTTTTTCTTCTTCTCACATTTCACTTCCTCCCTTGGACCTCTTGAGATCACTTCCTATGTAAACTCCCTGCATCCCCATACTTCTCCAGGGTCTTCTTTTGGTGGAACCCAAATTTAAGATAATGAGTTTGTAAATGTAAAAACTAAGGCTAGGGAGAAGTTGGGGAACTTGTCCCAGGACCACTGCCCCTAACCAATGGAGCCAGGTTTGCAACCTACATCTATCTAGTCGCGGGGCATTCTGTCTTTCAGCCATTGCAGTAAGTACTATTACAAGCCAGGAGTTGCTTTTTTAGTTATGACGGAATCTGCCATTCCTGGTGCCCCATAGGTGGTTAGCCATGCCTTAGGTGGGTGTATTAGTCCGTTTTTACACTGCTGATAAAGACATACCCAAGACTGGGAAGAAAAATAGGTTTAATTAGACTTACATTTCCACATGGCTGGGGAGGCCTCAGAATCATGGTGGGAAGTGAAAGGCACTTCCTACATGGCAGCAGCAAGAGCAAATGAGGAAGATGCAAAAGCGGAACCCCCTGATAAAACCATCAGATCTTGTGAGACTTACTACCATGAGAACAGTATGGGGGAAACCGCCCCCATGATTCAAATTATCTCCCACGGGGTCCCTCCCACAACACGTGGGAATTACGGGAGTACAATTCAAGATGAGATTTGGGTGGGGGCACAGAGCCAAACCATATCAGTGGGCAGAGACCATACAGCTGAAAGGACACAGAGTCATGATGTCTCATAGCCAGACTTGTCCAGCTTCAAAGTCTGGGTTTCTTCTCCAAAAGCCTCATGCTTCATGGTGGTTATGATGGTAGTGATGATGGTGGCGATGATGATAATATTGATGATGGTGGTGACAGATTTTTCGGTTGTCAGAGTTTACTAGGCACCTATTTTGAGCCTGAAAATGTGCAATGTACCATAACCATGTCCTCAGATTTAATAATCCAATTTTGCAGAAAAAATTATTTTTATATTTTGAACACTAAAATGTACCAGAACCATCATTTTCTCATTGATACTATTATTCCATTACTTAAATTTATTTGTACTTGAAGGAAAAGTATCATTTCAGTCACTGTGCTCATATAATCCTGCCATGTTTGCCGGGTTACCTTAGGGTTACTTACTCTAGAGTTGTAGCTGTGAATTATCACTTTGTAAAACTGAAATATATTTATGCAATGGTAGTAAGTGGGAGAGTAATGAAAACCAGGCTTTATCTATTTTTGTCCAGTAAGGACAAAACATTCTTAAATAATAATCTGCTGTATCCACAAGATATAATTGCATACAGATTGCAGACTTAATTCTTAAATCAGCGTTTTTGAAGAATATACCCAAAGAAAAACCAATTATGATTATTTCCCCTTATTTTTCATTGAAGCCTGTAGTATCAGATGTGCTGTTAGGCTTTTGCACTGGTTCGCTCAAAGCTTTGTTGAAAGAAGCCAGAAGATTACAAATTATTTGTTGCCCCAGCTTTTTGGCTACAATCAAACATAAATTTAAAGTAGACTGTAAGGTCACTGTCACAAGCTATACTTTTATACATGGCATAACTTAACAGTAACCAAGCCAACAATAAGAAGTTGATTACATTCCTTCACGGCTATTTTAAAAATACATACTTACAAAAGAAGATGGAGATTTTAAACCCTGAACATAACCTCAGATTCTCAGTTACTTTGTCTATAATTCTGTTAGCTTCATGAATTTTTCCTCTGAGTAACTCCAACATCATCTAACCCATCTCTGAACACTAAATAATGGTGGAAATACCTTCTCAGTTTGCTTTCTATTAGGGAAAGAAGTATGGAATCAACTATTGTGCTGTAATCACCACCAGGGATCTGTCCTTTTATATCCATTCATTTCTGGATCTGGCCTTTTCGGGGTACTTCAGAAACAAAATCCTGCCTCTAGAGAAGCTCCATCATTTGTACATTGTCACTGTTCAACATCTCTTTGGACCTCTGTTGATATCATTGCTTGAGATGACAGACTATGATAAGAGAAACAAGGTTCTCTATAAGGCAGCATTGACTGCAGGAAGAGGTGAGAATTGTAAGTTGTCAAAATGCAAAGGGCAAAAAAGTAGTCTGCCAGGAATATGTTCATACAGATTATTATATACACTTACTGTCTGTAACAGCTAAGCATTCAAAGATTACAATGAAGATGTTTCCAATATTTTTAATGGGAACTATGAATTAGTTCATGAGTTGGCAACTGTAAGAACAAAATCCTACTTAATCAAATTAATACTGACTGAGGCAGAAGGATTTGAGCATCTTGTTATGAGAAATTGGAAGAATGAAAGAAATAAGAAACCGACTTGAGAGAATGAAGTATTGAATGAAGTGGTTTTGTAACGTGGGATTTGTAATCACTACATTTTGAGCAACATTTATGTTTTGTGAAGTGGTCTTCCTAATGTATTTAAGCTTTTAAATTACCCCTCATATATAGGTTTCATTCAAAAGTGAAAGTGGTACCTAAATTAAACAATGTCTAAACTTTCTATTGGGTTCAGATGAAGTTTTAAGATTTTAAAGAGTAAAACTGAGCCTCAAGAGACCCAAAAGTAATTTAAGAAATGGTATCCTCACACTAATAAGATGCTCCCACTGTGCTTTCCCCTATGTGTTCCCTGGACTGTGTCTAAGGGAGATCCTGGCCATTGATTTCATTTTCACTTTAACTAATGATGTGACCCTATCAGGATCTATTCATTCACTCTCACAGGCCTCATTGATCCTGTTTGCCACAAGGACTGCTAAGACCCTTGGATCTGCATGGACAAACCTTGCCTTCAGGGAGATCATGAAGCATGTACACACTATCAATAAGTGGAAACTGCAACAAGAGCACATTCTTGGGGTTCTCAGAAACAGATAACATAGCAAAGAGTTTAATAAAAATGCGAGACAACCCTTGGAGAACCATTACAAGGAGTTCCACTAAGTGTAGCAGCTCTATCCTGGCAAATCTTTATTAATTCCCTCAGTTCATTTGTATAACTTGGGTAAAGCTAAGCCACTTCCTATCCAGTCCAAGTGGGTGTCACATTCAAACCAACACAAATTCAATAAACTAAATCTTTGTTGCTATCTTCTTTATGGTGAAATTAAATTGCACAACACACAGAAAATCATCCTGAAAATCTTCAACAGTCTGAACTCCCAAATCCTATTCATCACAGCGAACTGCCTTTGCATAATTTCTTTCCTTCCTGTTCTCCTCTTCCCTCCCTTCTCTTCCTTTTCCATTCCCCACCTAGCTTCCTCTCTCACAGCACTCCATGCCCCACAACTTACTTTCTGGATCTATTCTTTTCTCCCCGGGATGGGGTTGCTCTTGGCTCTCATATAGCTCATACTCTCTTCTCTGGGCTTTTTTTCAGTTCACCTTTCTACCCATTACCGAGATCATACAAATTAAGGCCAGACCCTATACTCTCAATAAAAAAAGACTCCATCTTTTTTGGGGGCTGATGTGAGGCTGTGAATATTCAATTGTTGTTATTAGGATTTTCCTCTGTCACATCAGTTTCATGGAGTATTTCTGGGAGAAATAGTCTTATATTTCTCAGCCCTCCTGGGACATCCAGATTAGAGGAAAAGCTCTTGAAATTCAAAATTACAATGAGATGTTTAAAAGAAAGTGTCGGGCACCCAAATGCCTGCCTACTTGCCTTCCTCACATGGCAATAGAATCTGAACAGTGTACTCATTATTTGGGGGACTATCCAGAGAGCTCTTGTACAAGTAACACAGACTAGTTAGCTGCCACGCCCACTGCCACTCCCCCTGTTCTTCTTCTCCTGCCCCATCTCCAAAGCCACTTGGCGAAGCTTCACCCAAACACCTTCCCTATAGCAGAATACCAGTGTCTCTATCACCAGGCACTCCAAAATTCCCAGTCCTCTGTGTGCCAGCTTGCTGCTGGGTTCCATGTAGAAGTGAGGAAGAGTGGACAGCTCCCCATCTCTTAGTCAGGCTTCGTCATTTTTACCTGAAGCTTAGGTACTGAGTCTCCCATGGAAATCCAAGAGCCTTAACCAGAGAACTCAAACCCAAACTTAGGGACCAAATGGAGAACATTGCGTCCATTCTCCCCCTCCCTCCTCCTGTCCCTTGTGCACAATCACCAACTCTTATCTCCTCCCTCTGTTACTTAGCATGGCTTCCCAAACAGATCAGTAGATACCAACTGTAGTGGATGCTGTGAGGCTTCATCCAGGCCTCTCTTCAGGGACAGCTCATTCAATCCTAGCTTCTGGGAATGGTTTGTACTGAAGGCTTACAGCTGTCCCCTGACCAGAATTATCCTTGGCCCCAGGGAACTGGCTGTCCAAAGATTACACTTCCTCTGAAAGGGCAATCCATTACCATTGACTGGCTGATTTAGGGATATGAAGGTCAAGCCTCCTTGCCTCTGAAGGGCCACCACAGCTCCAGAGCTCCTTGTTGAGTCAGCTGAGGCCTCCATTGCAATTGTATTGCAAGTCAACTCTTCTTTCTGCCTGATCCTTCCTTGCTCACTTCCTCATAGGTTTATCTCTTTAGAGGATTTTCTAATAAACCTTCTACATGCAACTACCTGGTTTAGTCTTTTTCTAGAGAACCTAATCTAAGACCCCACAAATACTTTTATTTGGAGAGGATGGGGACTTGGGAGAGGCCCCAGATAGGCTAGGTTTGAGCCCAGTTACACAATAAATAGCAGCTATTTATGCATGAGGTATGTAGATTTCATGGGGACACTGGGAATTTCTAGATGTCTGTAGAACTCAGCCTCCAAATTCACTCATGAAACTTGAGCCACTTTGTGACTCAAACTTGAGCCACTATGTGGCAGTTTCCCACTGTTGATAAACTCAGTGACTAAATCACTTATATCTACCATCTACACAAAACTATTCATCAGAATGTGTTTGGGGCCCTTGATCTGGGCCCTTTTTGGGTTATAATGATGGGATTCTTGTACAGTGTGATAGCTTGGTTGTGTTTTTAATGCTTCATTCTCTCTAAGGCAGTATGATTTTCCAGTGCACTAGAGTGGGTTGAGTATATTTTTGCACCAATAATTGGTGTTGGGGGCCATATGACTTGCTTTAGCCAATGGAATGCTAGTAGCTATGATGCAAGTGGAGGTTTTGCATATGCTTACATGGTTAGGCTTGTCCTCTGGTCTCCCGATGTTGCTGTGATTAGAGCATGCTCCAGGTACTTACTACTCTTTCATCCTGGGCTTCACGAAACAGATGAGCCTGAGCCAAACCAAACTGACTGCAGTCTAAAGCAGAGACACTGAATGGGATTGGATGATACTTGTTACTGCTGGACACAGAGCTGTAACTCAACAATTTGGGTTAGCATTTTTGATAGTTTCACACATAAAATATTGTGAATTTTTCATTTCCATTTTGATGTATTATACTCTTTTATCTTGTTAAATCAGAGATGTTATGCATACAGACCATAAAAGTGCACCTTTAAGAAATTTTGTTCTTTATGTGTAAACCTAGGTCTTCTCTACACACAATCCTGTTTTCTTCTCTAAGTATAAATTGCATTATTTTTCTTGATAAATTGTATTCTAACATATAATCTCATCCCTCTTTCCTCACTATATGGATAATGCAAAAGCTTCCTGTTAGTAAATCACAAATAATGTTTAATATCAGAGTCACAGAAACCACAGACCCTTTGATGTCTCAAATCTGATGTATTTCAAGCATCCCCCTCTACACATGCATATACACAAATGAGATCTGTAAACACTGCACATACACACCCACCCATGCATTTGTAAGTCAAAGCAGCAATCGACTGAGGGTAAAACACTTTCTAGAGCATTATTTTGTACCTTGTTTTGTGTGAAAAAGCAAAACAGTTTTCACATTGAAGCTCTGTTAATTTAAAAAAAAATTATAAAATTAGGACTGAAATGCTCACACCTATAGATCTTCTTCATCAGGGTAGCATTTGCTACTTCCCAGGATATAAATTATACTCTCAGTGGATTAAGTGGCCTGAAAACCGATTTAGGAATTTCACAATTTTTGCTCAGGGCTTAAATGCTTCTTGAGAGCCACTACCGGTGAGATGGAATGAGCAACCTTAGTGCTACTTTCCAGGGCAGAAATTCCACTCTGCTTTTCAGAGCGAAGGTCATGTTCATGGCCCTTTCTGGAGCACATAGCCTCAATCAATGCCATGCTGACGAAAATGTGTATCACAATCTCCGTGACTTAAGAATAAAGTCAGGTGGGCCAGTTTAGTGGTTTTCAGTCTTTAGGGATTTTTAAATGTCCTATCACTCAGACACATCCGGTGTTCTGGGCAAAGCATGAGTCCATAAGCACTCAAGTGAGTTGAGCTCACCTCCTCAGTGGGGATCTTAATGCTAATGCTTGCATGTAAGTGCCCTGATTTCCAGTATCCTCCAGTGTCAATTGGGGATAATGGTAATTGACCACACAGAGGTTTAGTAAAGAGCTCCAGCGTGGGTCTGGCAGATAAGCACACCCAGAGGTTGTGGACAGTTGGTAGTGCCACATTACCACCCCTTTCCTCAACTGGACAATACCCACTGTGTGAGTTGGGATGGGAAGCATATCCCTACCTCCTCTTGCAAGAGGTTGAGAGGGAAAATAATCCCTCTCCCATGCCCAGGTGGGCAGAGCAAGGGGCTCATGACATAGACCTAACCAATCAGTTATTTCTTCCTGAACTTGTAGCCTGGAGGTAAGTGGCAGGGTAGTGTGGCCACTGGGCCCCATGATAGTAGCACTGCACAGGCACAGAGAAAGTGTCAGGTATCCCGGAGAGACACTTTTGTTATGTAGCCTCCCTTGATTCCTGTGCATTTTCCAAGCCTGAATTTTGAGAAAATGCTAATATTCTTCCAATATATTGCAATATACCCCTCTGCTTTTTAAGTTAGATTTAGATTTCTGTTGCTTGCAACCAAGAATCCTAGCAGATACCCAGACAAATGTTTCATTTGATAAACTTTAAAGCATTTCACTGATGGGAGGTATTGCTTTTTTTATTAAGATATGTCATGATATTAGGAACAAATTATATATATATTTATGAAGCATCAAAATAAGACTTAAAAAGTATCAGTTACATTTTACTATCTAGTGGTAGAGAATATTTGTGCTGTCCACAGTTATGATATAAATATCCCTAGTTCTTTTTTCATCCTTAATCAACTCTTGTACTCACTCCATTTTTGCTAAGCAACCCCCTCTCACCTCCATACACACAGCACTACTATGACTAGCAAAACTGCACTGTAGGTTCTTTCAAGCTTTGTCTTACTTTTTTTGTACTTACTCGCCATTTGTTCTTAGCTTCTTTTAAGTGTTTTCTTTGCTGTGGTTGTCCTTCAGATGTTGGAGTTGCTCAGAGTTCTGTTCTCAATGTTCCTGCTCTCCCTGGGCATCTTCTCAGCTGCCATGGTTACTGCCAACATGGTTGTGCTGTAAGCTTCAAGAAGGAAAGGACTTCTTACTTCATATTCACCACTGCATGTCTCTAGAGATTGACACATTGGCCGGCACATAGTAGACATTTAAAAAAATCTCTGTTGAATCAGTTTTATCTTATATTGGATGCTATGAAATATTTGTCTTCAGCACGGACTGCTTCTGGGTTCCTTACCAGTAATATCCATAGCATGCTTTTATTTGGATACCCCATAGGCCTCAAACTAAACATGTTAAAAACTAACTCGTGATGCTCACTGAGGCATAAATAAATGGTCTGTCCCTCTGTGTCCCTGGTACCATGAATGGTGCAGCCATCTGGTGTCTGGAGGCAGACATCTGAGAATCTCCCTCTTTCTGTGATTCTTTACCCTCCCACCATTCACCACATCCTCTTGATTCCATCCCCTCTCTCCAGCTCTACTTCCTCTCCCTGCCACCAGGCATGCACCACCACTGCTCTTTTGGATCAGTTCACCAGCCTGCCACCTACTAGGCCTCCCTTCATAATGGCTCCCTTCCCATACACTGCTGCTGTCCCTCTCCCACACCCCTCCCCTAAGCCCCACTAGCTCCTACAATCCTTTAGGACTTATCCCGATCAGTCACCTGGAACTGCTTGCTGGTACCCTCTTTCCTGGTTTGTGCTTCTCTGTGCTTAACATTCACCATTCCTGTATGGTCTGACTGTTGACTTCCATCTACCAGCCAATGCCAATCTCTGGACATGCCTCTGTGGATGCTGCAGTCTTTCTAGCCTCTGCACAGTACAGGATGGAAGTGCCAAGCAGTCACATCTGCCAGGATCAACCCTCAGCACATGTCCAGTGTGCTTCCTTAGTTTTACTAGGAAATCTCTGAGACATGTTCCACCCAGGCTCGCAAAGGTCCCCAGCAGAACTGAACCTCAGTGGCCCACAATGGGAAGCTGTGCTACGGGCTTTCTTCCCTTGCCAATCTCACTTCACACTCCCCTACTGGTGTTTCCTGGGAACATCAGCAAAATAAACTCCATACACTCATATGCTTGCCCACTGGGCTCAATCCTGCCAGAACACTTTGGGCGATAGTATAGAACACCTCTCAGAGTTATCCCAACTGGGGACCAGGGAGGTTGATGTATTTGCCCACCAACACTTCATTTGTCATTGGTAAGGGCTTCTTCCAAGGACATTAACTTTCTGGTATTTCCACTTAGCCCTGCACAGGAGGTCTTGCTCCTTCAGCCAGAAGAAAAGCCCTCAGGCAGAGATTTACAGGTGTTCCCGGCAGGCAGGCTTCAGCAAACAAGGTGGAGGTCGAGGGTGAGGCATCAATAATATCTGTTCCACAAGTTTAAATTTTATAAAAGACTTTGTTATTCTGCTGCAACGCTGAGATTTTCCCTATTTGTTTCTGGGCTTGGAGCTTATGAAATAGAATGCGAGAGTGTTTCTTCCCCCATGTTCAACGCTGAAAGCATCTGGTCCTTGACAGTCTGGTTAATCTGGTGTGTTACCATCCAGATATACTCTGGGATTCTTACATAGTCAAAATTACAACTGTCCTTCTGCATACTGATACTGTTTTCCTTTGGCTTACCTTGGATTCCCAGGAATTCATGTATGGGCAGCATGCTGTGCCTGTATTCTGGTCAAATGGCTTTTGAGAGTAGTGCATGGTATCTTGGCTATCACTGCAGAGCCACCCACCTATGAGAGTTTCCAGAAAAAAGAGCTTCCCTAGAACATAGGGTATTATGTCACTGAAAGCCCAGACTTATTACAAATTGCCATCTCTGTTCCATTTACTCTCTGCATTCTTTATTTTGCACAAGTAGAAACATTCGTTTTGAAACCACACATTTCATTGTTCTGCTGTGTTTCCTTTTTGTGTATGTTCTTAAGGTGTGCAACTTTATAATTTGATATACATATACATTGTGAAGTAATCACTACAGTCAAGTTTATGATCATATCCGCACCTCACATAGTTACCGGTTTGTGTGTGTATGGTAAGAACACTTAGGATCTATCCCCTTAGCAAATTTCAAGTATACACTATTGTTACCTGTAGTTACCATGCTACCCACCAGAGCCCCAGAATTTACTGATCTGGCATAACTGAAACTTGTACTTCTTGAGCAACATCTCTCCATTTCCCTGTTCCCCCAGCCCCTGAAAACTACCATTCTTCTCTCGGCTTCTGTGAGTTCGACTATTTTAGATTCCACATATAAGTGATATTATGTAGTGTTTGTCTTATTTCATTTACCATAATGTCCAAAAACACATGGAGATTCTTCAGAAATTTGAAAATAGATTTTTGAGTATTGTTACCATAAAAAATTATAAGTGTTTAAAGTGATGGCTATAAAACTAACCCAATTCGATCATTATATTATGTATACATGCACTAAAACATCACATTGTGCCCCATAAATGTCTACAATTATTATGGAGCAATTATAAATTTAAAAAATAAAAAATAGAACTATCATATAACCCAGAGATTCCACTTCTAGGTATTTACCCAAAGGAATTAAAATCAGGATCTCAGAGAGATACCTGCACTCCCATGTTCCTTGCAGTATTATTCACAATAGCCAAGACATGGAAACAACCTTAATTCCCACAGATGGATGAAGAGATCAAGAAGATGAGGTACACAGACACACGGTTTATTACTCAGTCTGAAAATAAATAGCTTTATTTATTTATTTATTTATGTATTTGGAGACAGGGTCTCACTCTGTTGCCCAGGCTGGAGTGCAGTATCATGATCACAACTTACTGTAACCTTAACCCCCCAGGCTCAAGCAATTCTCCCATCTAAGCCTCCCAAGTATCTGGAAACACATGCATGCCCCACTATGCTGGGCCACTTTAAAAATGTTTTTGTAGAGATGGGGTCTTACCATGTTGCCCAGACTGGTCTCAAACTCCTGTGTTCAAGCAACCCTCCCACCTCAGCCTCCCAGAGTGCTGGGATTACAGGCGCGAGCCACCATGCCTGGCCATGGCTGTGTTTCTTAAATGGAAATTATGTATTTAGAATATAAAAATGTGGTACATATACATCGTGGAATACTGTGCAGCCATAAAAAGTATGAAGTCACGTCCTTTGCAGCAACATGGATGGAGCTGGAGGCCATAATTCTAAGTGAATTAACATAGGAACAGAAAACTAAACACTGCGTGTTTTCACTTAGAAGTTGGAGCTAAATATTGAGCACATATGGACATAAACATGGGAAGAATAGACACTGTGGACTACTAGAATGGGGAGGAAAGGAGGGGGTATGGATTGAAAAACTACCTATTGGGTACTTTGCTCACTGCCAGGGCACAATATACCCACATAGCAAGCCTGCATAGGTACCACCATATCTAAAATAAAAGTTGAAATTTAAAAAGAAAGAATAATAAAAGTATGTATATGTTTTAAAGAAAGTGGCACTGTAAGCTGGTATTCTTTGTAGGTTTTTGTCAACTTAAGGGTCAGTGTATAAAGCAGCTGAATTCATCATCTTCCCATCCCCACTCATCCTCTTCCAGAGTTTCCATCCCTGTGAAGGGCACCAGGTCCACTGATTGCTGAAGCCAGGTACTTGAATGTCAGTTTCTGCCCTTCTGTCCTCCCATGTGCCCACCCTACATCCAATCAGTTATCAAGTGATATGTCTTCCATTTTCTAAACATCTCTCCAGTTTTCCTCTCTCCAGTGTCCCATGTGAGATCACACCAAGACCTGTGGCAGTCTTAGGACTGGACTCTCTGCCTCCAATTTGACCCATCAGCAATGCACTCTCTCCTTTTGTTATTTGAGTGATTTTTTGAAAATAAACATCTAACATCTACTTCCCTGCAAAAATGTTTTGATGGCTCCGCATTGCTCTTAGAATCAAGTCTAAACTCTGAATTCACTTCTCTACTTTTTCATCCTTAGCCCCAACTCTCTATCCTCTCCTCAATTTTTTCACAAACAAAACACACTTTTAGCTTCTTGAATATGTCTCATGGCCCCTCACTTGTAAGTCCTTACTCACGCTCTTCTCTCTGCCTGGAACATTATTGCTTAGTCTTGATTGCTTGTGTTTCTCAAGAGCCAAGTTCAAGCCCTGACCTGCTGTCAGTTTCTGATTAAAAATGTTGATTTTGGCTTTGCTTTTTATATTAACAGTGATAAACTCTGTAATTCCTTACGGCTTACAGAATGATATTTGCTTCTCCCATGGGGATTCAAAGTAATTTTTAATGCAACATATTTGACAAGGAAAAAAGGGCAGATTCAATACTCTACTATCACTACCAATGAAAAAAGGTGGTAGAACAGATACTAATCAGCTATATTAAATTGGCCATAAACTTCACTCCTACTGAGATATTTCTCAGTGGTCACAGATAAGATGGAGACTTAGTTAACACGGATTTTTCTAGCTGTGCCATATTTTTTTAAAGCTATTAACATTTTTGGCTTTGAACTTTTCTTTTTCTCTTTAGGTTGCCAGGAATTGGCAGACCATTTTTGTCTAATTATAACAGTACTTGGACCTTATGATAAATTCACAGAAAATCACTATTTTGGAAATGGATGCTTAAAAATGCAGCAACAAAAATGCATGCAATTGAAATTAATCACAAATATTTCTGAGTAAATGTTATGCTTAAAGCCCTGTATTAAGCCTGTGAAAAACACAGATAAGCTCATAATTTAAATCAAAGGGTATAGGGTGACCAACTATCCCAGTTTGCCTGGGACTGAGTGGGGGAAGGAGTCCTGAGAAATTGAATTTTCAGTGAGAAAAAACAGAAGGTCCCAAGAAAACTGGTACGAGTTGATCACCCTAGCTACATATCAAAATAATAGCATGAATTGTTTTATGAAAAGTGCCACACATTAGTTTTAACAAAAAATAATTACATGCTTGGGTCAGGTGGGGAAAGAAGAGATATCAAGACACTCACAAGCCAGGAAAATGGCTATGATCAAAGACAATGTGCTTTGAAACCTTTGAGTATCAAAGATAAGTATGAGTCATGAGACCAGAGAATTTAGAAGAGGCCAAATTTGAACACCTTCCAAATTCCAAGCCTGGGGGCCAGACCTTATTCTCTAAGGACTTGGGTGCTAATTTTGGAGAATTTGGGGCAAGTTGGACCAAAAATTATTATAAAAGCAATTTTTATGGAGGAGTAGTCTAAGTTCTTTTTTATTTTTAATATACTTTAAGTTCTGGGGTACATGTGCAGAACGTGCAGTTTTGTTACATAGGTATACACGTTCCATGGTGGTTTGCTGCACCCATCAACCCGTCACCTACATTAGGTATTTCTCCTAATGTTATCCCTCCCCTACTCCCCCAACCCACTGACAGGTCTTGGTGTGTGATGTTCCCCTCCCTATGTCCATGTGTTCTCATTGTTCAACTCCCACTTATGAGTGACAACATGCGATGTTTGGTTTTCTGTTCTTGTGGTAGTTTGCTGAGAGTGATGGTTTCCACTTTATCCACGTCCCTGCAAAGGACATGAACTCATCGTTTTTTTATGACTGCATAGTATTCCATGGTGTATATGTGCCACATTTTCTTTATCCAGTCTATTATTGATGGACATTTGGGTTGGTTCCAAGTCTTTGCTATTGTGAATAGTGCCACAATAAGCATATATGTGCATGTGTCTTTATAGTAGAATGGTTTATAATCCTTTGGGTACATACCCTGTAATGGGATTGCTCGGTGAAATGGTGTTTCTAGTTCTAGATCCTTGAGGAATCGTCACACCGTCTTCCACAATGGTTGAACTAATTTACATTCCCACCAACAGTGTAAAAGTGTCCCTATTTCTCCACATCCTTTCCAGCATCTGTTGTTTCCTGGCTTTTCAATGATCGCCATTCTAACTGGTGTGAGATGGTATCTCATTGTGTTTTTGATTTGCATTTCTCTAATGACCAGCGATGATGAGCATTTTTTCATATGTCTGTTGGCTGCATAAATGTCTTCTTTTGAGAAGAGTCTGTTCATATCCTTTGCCCACTTTTTGATGGTTTTTTTTCCCCTTGTAAAATTGTTTAAGTTCTTTGTAGATCCTGGATATTAGCCCTTTGTCAGATGGATAGACTGCAAAAATTTTCTCCCATTCTGTAGGTTGCCTGTTGATTCTGATGATATTTTCTTTTGCTGTGCAGAAGCTCTTCAGTTTAATTAGATCCCATTTGTCAATTTTGGCTTTTGTTGCCATTGCTTTTGGTGTTTTAGACATGAAGTCTTTGCTCATGCCTATGTCCTGAATGGTATTGCCCAGGTTTTCTTCTAGGATTTTTATGGTCCTAGATCTTACGTTTAAGTATTTGATCCATCTTGAGTTGGTTTTTGTATAAGGTGTAAGGAAGGGGTCCAGTTTCAGTTTTCTGCATATGGCTAGCCAGTTTTCCCAATACCATTTATTAAACAGGGAATCTTTTCTTTTTGATCCTTCTTTTTTTTTTTTTTTTCTCTTGAGACAGAGTCTCACCCTGTCACCCAGGCTGGAGTGCAATGGCACAATCTTGGCTCACTGCCACCTCTGCCTCCTGGGTTCAAGCGATTCTCCTGTCTCAGCCTCCCGAGTTGCTGGGATTATAGGCGTACGCCACCATACCCGGCTAATTTTTTGTACCTTTGGTAGAGATGGGGTTTTACCATGTTGGCCAGGCTGGTCTCAAACTCCTGACCTCGTGATCTGCCCGCCTTGGCCTCCCAAAGTGTTGGGATTACAGGTGTGAGCCACTGCGCCCGACTGATCATTCATTTTTAAGAGAATGAAGAAATCTCCAGAAAGTTGTGTTTACTAAGAAGACTGCATCATCTCAGGCTTTGTTTTTTATTTTGTAAACAAGAGCAAGTGTTCAGAACCTTCTTAAACAACTAGCAACATGACAAGCAATATTGAAAACTACAGGTGTGCCTTATTTTATATAAAACTGCTTTGTGAAATACAGATCTTTATGTATGAAGCAATTAGAACAGCATCCCCAACCTTTTTGGTACCGGGAATTGGTTTCGTGGAAGACAGTTTTTTCATAGGTGGTGGGTGGTGGGGTGGTTTCAGGATGAAACTGTTCCACCTCAAATCATCAGGCATTAGATTCTCATAAGGAGTATGCACCTTAAATCCCTTGAATGTGCAGTTCACAAGAGTCCATGGTCCTACGAGAATCTAATGCCACTGATCTGATAGAAGGCAGAGTTCAGGTGGTAATGTTCACTCACGCAACGCTCACCTCCTGCTGTGAGGCCTGGTTCCTAACAGGCCACATACCAGTACTGGTCTGTGATGGGGGAGCTGATGACCCCTGAATTAGAAGGTTATTTATTGCATGAGAAAGGCATTTTTCTTTTCTAAATTAAATAGCATTTTAAAATAGTGTTAAATATATTTAAAATAGCATTTATTATATAATGTAAGCATTGATTTACTTAGCTGTGACTTCTCTGCTGAACTGAGACCTGTAGGGTCAATAGTGGAGTGATGAAAAATTGGAGGAATTGTATTCCAGGTAAGGGAAATACATACAAAGGCCTTGAGGCAAAGGGAGCATGGAAAATTTTAGAAAGTAAAGGAAGCTCTGGGTGACTAGAGCATAGAGAGTAGGGTGGGGCTGAGAGAAATAAAGCTGAAGGGGGAATGGGCCTGGGATATCATGAAGGGCATGTCAAATTAATTAAGGACTTCCAACTTCCTCACTGTTTACAGGGGGCTTTGAAGGGTTTTAAGCAGGGAACCGTATGTCAAGGCCAGGGCCAACTTCATCAGCATGTGATGAATGCCCATTGTTTAGAGAGGCCCAATGTTTGATTTAATGCTGTTTCCACCATTTTGGAATTTTAAATTTTTTGACCAAGTGGCTCTGCATTTTTATTTTGTGCTGGACCCTGCCAGTTACCTAGCTGATCCTGGCCAAGGCTCTAGGTCATTGTGTGTAGTGAATTAATACCTACTGAGAGGACCATGTTTTTCTGCTCACTGCTTTTTTTCCTTTAAATAGACTTTATTTTTTAGAGCAGTTTTCAGTTCACAGCAAAAATTGAGATGAAAGTGCAGAGTTCCCATACATCCCCTGTCCACCCACTGCAACAGCTTCTCCCATTATCAAGAGGTTTGCACCAAAGTGATACCTTTGTTACAACTGGTAAACCTACACTGACATATCTTTATCACCCAAAGTCTATAGTTAACGTTAGGGTTCACTCTTGGTGTTGTACATTCTGTGAATTTGGAAAAATGTATAACACGTGTCCACCATTATAGTATCATACAGAATAGTTTCATTACCCTAAAAATCCTCTATACTCCACCTACTCATCCTCCCTAAAGTCTGGTAACCAATGATCTTTTACTGTCACTATGGTTTGGTCTTTTCCAGAATGTTGTATAACTGGAATCATATGGCATGTAGTCTACTTGGATAGGCTTCTTTTCACCGCTTTTTCCCCTGCTAGTATCAGATAATTGTGCAGGCCACTCTACGAGAGCCAAAGGTCGTATTTCTCCTTCTCCTGGAATAATCACAAGAACAGGAGGTTCTGCAGGAGCAATTGACTTTAGAGGATTAGGGGACAAATAAACACTGAAGTTTTATTCTTCAGGATTTTTGTATTTCTAGAATAGTTCAAAGTATGTACAGAGTTGACAGATCTTTTCAACTGACTGGTCATTCGTTGCAAATTCCAAAGAAATAAACTGTTTAGGAAACAACTAACTGATGAGTTACATTCAATACCCTTTCTTTGATTCCAGACACTAAAGTTATTTTGCATGCCCAAATTTTGTACTCAGAGACATTACTTCTGGGGTCTGTCTAGAAGTAAAGGCACAAATATGCTGTAATAGAATGCTGCCAGGTAGTGAGGGTCATCTTCTGGCCAGAAATTTCACCAGAGGCTCTTCAAACCTTGCTTTTCCCAAATGCAGCCCCTACCACCAACAGGTTCCTCTGAGCTAACAAACAACTCCTTGTCTTCTGTGACATTTTGGATTTTAATTCTCATTTCTTCGAAGAAAAGGGCAAGCACATCTTCTCTTTTGGGCTTTTCTACAAATTGTATATACTGTCTCAGAAGTAGTGTCCAACCTTTATTATTATGTACATGTGGATTTTATCACTAGTATATACTAAATATATTACTAGATATAACCACTAATAACTATAATACTATATAATGATATAATACCATATTTTTGTATATATTATATACCAGCAATATACTTTTTTCCTATTTTGTCTTCTCCTGCCTATATAATAAAAACATGCTTGTTGAAGATGCTGCCAGAGCTTCATCTGTATTCTCATGCCTCCTTGTACCATTTATTGTGCACATCAGTTCCTGGGTACTTTCACTCCCAATAGCCAAGTACTTGTATCTCTTTCTTGAAGGATCAACCTTAGGCTGTGGCACACAAAGAACCACAACAAGTTTCTGTGAATTTACTATTCCAGGCAGGGGTGGAGGTAGGGGTGTCAGCCAATGGCTGATTGGTGTTGTGTGTTGTATGTTTGTATGGGTGGTATTATAAATACTCCAGCTTCCTGAGCAGATGACTTTGAGTGGGACCCACACTGTGTCATCAACTTCCCCTTCCCCCATCTTCCTCCTCTGCAGGATGGAGCCATAGTTAACCCTCTCAGGCTCTTTGTCTGATGTCACATGTTTGCTTGCCATTCTTACCTACTTAGTCTCCCTTTCTCATGCTCCTATTTTTTCCTGGGACTACTTCTTACAAATCACTTTCACACAGTTCTTCATCTCAGGACTACTTTTGGGGAACCTACTGTAAGAATTTGTTGAGGTAGAAAAGTTGCAGATCATTGTGAAGTGTAAAAAAAGAACAGGAAATGAATCATACTATTTCCCTACCCCCAAGAAACCTGTTGTCAGTCTTTTTCTATGAATTTTTAGAAGCTTTATTGAGGTATACTTTGCATATCATTTAATTTATTCTTTCAAGTATACATTTCAATGATATATGTAGTAAATTTACTAATCAGTCATTTTCATCATCCCAAGAAGACCCATCATGTCCATTTAAATGACATTAATCTTCATTTTCCTCCACCCTAGCCCCTGGCAACCGCCAATATACTTTCTGCCTCTATGGATTTGCCCATTATGGTCAATTTGTATAAATGGTATCATAAAATATGTGATCTTTTGTATGTGCCTTAATTTAGCACCCGTGTTGTAGTATGTATCAGTTCTTCATTTCTTTTTATGGCTAGCATTTCATTGTATGGATTGAGCACTTTTTATCCATTCATTCCTTGATGTACATTTGGGTTGTTTCTACTTTTTGGAATATTAATAATTATTGATTAATAATAGAGGCTTTAAATTAATAATTATATAATTAAATAATTATTTAATTAAATAATTAAAATTAATAAAAGTTTTAAAACATATTTTAAATTTAAGGCTGTTGTTAAAAAGTAATCCTGTATTCTATTGTTTGTCTGTAATTCTATTGTCAGTATCTGTATGTGGGATAACAATATACATTTGACTGCTACGCTGGAATTTATTTATTTATATATTTATTTTATTTATTTTTATTTTTTTTTGAGACGAGTCTTGCTCTGTCACCCAGGCTGGAGTGCAGTGGTGCGATCTCGGCTCACTGCAACCTCTGCCTTCCAGGTTCAAGTGATTCTCCTGCCTCAGCCTCCGGAGTAGCTGGGACTACAGGCGCCCGCCACCACGCCCGGCTAATTTTTGTATTTTTAGTAGAGACGGGGTTTCACCATCTTGGCTAGGATTACAGGCGTGAGCCACTGAGCCTGGCCCCCTGAATCTTTTAAATCAAATGATTCAACTTAACTTATCTTTTCTTTTCTTTTCTTTCTTTCTTTCTTTCTTTCTTTCTTTCTTTCTTTCTTTCTTTCCTTCTTTTCTTTTCTTTTCTTTTCTTTTCTTTTCTTTTCTTTTCTTTTCTTTTCTTTTCTTTTCTTTTCTTTTCTTTTCTTTTCTTTTCTTTTCGAGATGGAGTCTCACTCTGTCACCCAGGCTGGAGTGCATTGGTGCTCACTGCAACCTCCACCTGCTGGGTTCAAGCGATTCTCATGCCTCAGTCTTCCAAGTGGCTGGGACTACAGGCGTGCACCACCACGCCTGGCTAATTTTTGTGTTTTTAGTAGAAATGGGGTTTCACCATGTTGGCCAGGCTGGTCTTGACTACTAACCTCAAGTGACTCAGCCACCTCGGCCTTCCAAAGTGCTGGGATTACAGGCGTGAGCTACTGCACTCAGCTGATTCCATTTTCTTTAAGTTATTTGTATTCATTCATTTTTTTTTTGTTTAATAATTCAACAATTTTTAAAAGTATTATGCCAGGCATTGTGTTTGATACTGGAAATACATGGTTATATTTTTGAAACCAAATTTCAAGGCATGATTTGACAACTGCATATGTATTATTGGAGATGATAAAACAGAGCTTTGGAAATCAAGATTGGTGAGAAATAATTTAGATAAAAAAGGGAGATACAAAGAATTATAATATAGTAATTAACCTCTGGGACACTCTACCTTTGTAGAGTTATGATCTAAATCTTTCTCAAATCTGAGTAGATTTTTAAAAATCTCCATATACACGCCATTGCTGTGTATTTTTAAGATATCAGATTCCGATTCAGGACCATAAGAAATCTCAGAACACAGAGAGCCAGTATAAGTTGTGTTTTCCCTTATTCTCCCTCTCTTCACCCTGCCCTTCTCATAATCACTTCTGTCTCAAGTTCTCTGTGTCTTCATCTATAGGGCTGGTACTTAAAGGCATGCCTCATTAGTCTTAACTGTTTCTTTCCCATCAAAGGCTGTATAATTACCTTGTAAATTCCAATGGGAGCATGAGTGAGTTTGTCTCATCGCTGAGCTTCAGGGTTCTCATAAGCTAGCGATAAAGTAACAGTTCACACAGATGAAGGGGGACTGGGGAAGTGTGGGTAGAAGTTTTTGCAATGAGGTAAATTTTCTTCTGCAAGGCTCGTAATGAGACATCACCACATGAGTGGGCTGGTCTGGATTTTGTCACTCTCCTGTATCAGCCTTTCCCCTCCAAACCAGCCTATCAGGCTCCCTATTAGATAATTTTGTTTGGACTCAGCATTTCAGCAGATAGTAACTAAACACCTTTTTTCCTTCACTCAGAAAAGTACCCTGTTTTTATAGAAAACAAGAAGAGCTTGCCGAAATCCTTCTCAGAGGCAAGCTCTCCAAGTAAGTATATTTTCTCAGGCTTTTTATAGTTTAATCTACTTACAAACTTCCATAAGCATAGTATGTGTCTTTCCATGCAGTCTTCTGCTTGATATCCATGTATGAGAAACTGCAAAAAAAAGGTTATATTTGATTTATAAAAGTTCTTCATTATTTAAAAGTGTACTAGAACAAGCCAGTATAAATTCCAGTGCAGGCTGGTGCGGTGGCTCGTGCCTGTAATCCTAGCACTTTGGGAGGCCGAGGCGGGAGGATTACTTGAGGTCAGGAGTTAGAGACCAGCCTGGCCAAGATGGTGAAACCCCGTCTCCACTAAAAATACAAAAATTAGCCGGGCGTGGTGGCATGCGCCTGTAGTACCAGCTACTCAGGAAGCTGAGGCAGGAGAACCACTTGAACCCAGAAGGCAGAGGTTGCAGTGAGCCAAGACTGCACTACTGCACTCCAGCCCGGGTGACAGAGCAAGACTCGTCTCAAAAAAAAAAAAAAAATTCCAATGCAGCAGTCAAATGTATATTGTTATCCCACATACAGATACTGACAATAGAATTACAGACAAACAATAGAATACAGGATTACTTTTTAACAACACCGTTTTTGAAGATATAATCCACATAGCACAAAATTCACCCTTTTAAAGCATGCAATTCAGGGGATTTGAGTATATTCACGAGGTTGTCCAACTATCATCATTATCTAATTTTAGAATATTTTCATCATCTCAAAAGGAAATCCTGTGTCCTTTAGCAGCCACCCCTCATTCCGTTCTCCTCCTCAGCCCTAAGAAACCAAAAATCTACTTTTTGTCTCTATGGATTGATCTGTTCTGGACATTTTATAGAAGTGCAGTCATACAATATGTGGTCTTTTGTGACTGACTTCTTTCATTTAAAATGGTGTTTTCAAGATTCATTCACGTTGTAGCATGTATCAGTACTTAATTTCCTTTTGTTGCTGAATAATTTATTGTATGGATAGATCACATTTTGTTTATTCATTTTTCAGGTGATGGATAGTTGGGTTGTTTCTACCTTTTGGATAGTGTGAATAATGCTGCTATGAACATTTATGTATAAGTTTTTGGGTAGGCAGATGTTTTCAGTTATCTTGGGTATATACCTAGGAATGGAATTGCTGTGTCATGCAGTAATATTATGTTTCTAAGCTTTGGAGGAATTGGCAAACCATTTTGCAAAGCTGCCACACCCTCCTAAACTGACAGCAATCATGGAGGGTGATTATCTACATTTGTAGACCAGAAAGTGGTGGTCCAGAGAGCTTAAAAAAGTTGCCTAAGTCAATAAGATAAACCTGTATTACTTTTCAAAATGTTGCATCAGCCCTGAAATGAAGCCCTCTCAGATTCCTTTAAGAATGTCTAATGACAGAGATGGAAGCCAGGAGATTGGGACCTGAGTAATGGATGTGTCTGCCTCAAATTCTGAACATCTCAAGGGCAGTTCCATAAATGGCAAACACATCTGTAAAAAGCATATTTCTCTTTTTAACAGCAGAAAATTTTAATTCTTATTAAAATAAACACATATCACTGTGTTCATGGAGAACGCAGAGGGGTTAAATATATAGAAAAGATCATGCCACTGAAACCATCATACTCTAAGAATTTATTCTGTCATAAGATTAACTCTTCTCCCTTTGCTTTCTTTATGTGAAGGTGAAGAATCCTATGGCCCATAGATTTTTACAGTGTTCTCCATCTTGCAGCACATTAAGGAGTTAATTCCTTTCAGGAAATCCATTTCTGCTGAAAGGCTCACTTTTCCAGCCCCTGAACAGCATATGTGACCTGCAGTGGTTATTCTTAGCAAACTTCTTCCCAGGGATGACCCAATGGGAGCAGCACAGCTCAATCTTTTCGTGAAGAGAGAAAACATCTCAGATTCTTTTCCTGTTTTAAATTATTGGGAACCAATGGCTCAGAACTATACCAGTTACCCTTATAACTAACTGCATTACCATCTTCCATCCTTCTATACCAGTCTCGCTAGTCTTCCTTGCTGGCTGTAGTTCTTGGAACTCTTTAACCAATCTTGACTTAGGGTCTTCTTTCAGATTGCTCTCTATGCCTGTGATGATCTCCCAAATTCTTATCTAGAAAGAATCTTTTCCTTCCTTGGCATGCAATGTATTCCTCATATGTATTACCAAACACATTGCTTTAAAAATTATATAGATACCTCAAAATAATAACAGCCACCTATGACAAACACACAGCCAACTTCATACTAAATGGGCAAAAGTTGAAAGCATTCCTCTTGAAAACCAGCACAAGACAAGGACGCCCTCTCTCACCACTCCTATTCAACATAGTATTGCAAGTCCTGGCCAGAGCAATCAGGCAAGAGAAAGAAATAAAGGGGATCCAAACAGAGAGAGAGGAAGTCCAACTATCCCTGTTTGTAGACAGCATGATCCTATATCTAGAAAACCCCATAGTCCCAGCCTCAAAGCTCCTTAATATGATAAACAATGTCAGCAAAGTCTCAAGATACAAAATCAACGTATAAAAATCACTAGCATTCCTATACACCAACAACCGTCAAGTCAAGAGCCAAATCAGTAACGAACTCCCATTCACAATTGCCACAAAAAGATTAAAATTACCTAGAAATACAACTAACTAAGGAGGTGAAAGATCTCTGCAAGGAGAACTATAAACCAGTGATCCAAGAAATCAGAGATGATACAAACAAATGTAAAAACATTCTATGCTCATGGATATGAAGAATCAATATCGTGAAAATGGCCATATTACCCAAGCAATTTATAGAGTCAGTGCTATTCCTATCAAACTACCAATGGCATTCTTCACAGACCAGAAAAAAACTGTTTTAACATTCATATGGAGCTGAAAAAAAGCCTGAATAGCCAAGAAAATCCTAAGCAAAAAGAACAAAACTGGAGGCATCACATTACCCAACTTCAAACTATACTATGGGGCTACAGTAACCAAAACAGCATGGTACTGGTACAAAAACAGACACACAGACCAATGGGACAGAATAGAGAGCCAAGAAATAAGACTGCACACCTACAATCATCTGATCTTTGACAAACCTGACAAAAACAAGCAATGGGGAAAGGACTCCCTATTCAATAAATGGTGCTAGGATAACTGGCTAGCCATATGCAGAGATTGAAACTGTACCTCTTCCTATCACCATATACAAAAATCAACTCAAGATGAATGAAAGACCCAAATGTAAAACTTAAAACTATAAAAGTCCTGGAAGACAACCTAGGCAATACCATTCTGGAAATAGGAATGGGCAAATATTTCATGACAAAGACACCAAAAGCAATCACAACAAAAGCAAAAATTGACAAACTAATGAGCTTCTGCACAGCAAAAGAAACTATCAACAGAGTAAACAGACAACCTACAGAATGAGTGACATGGTTTGGATCTGTGACCCTGCCCAAATCTCATGTTGAATTTTAATCCCCAATGTTGGAGGTGGTGCCTGGTGGGAGGTGATTGGATCATGGGGGCGGTTTCTCATGGTTTACCACGACCTCCCTTGGAGCTGTCATCATAATAGTGAGTTCTCACACAATCTGGTTGTATAAAAGTGTGTAGTACCTTATTCCCACTTCCTGTTGCTCTGGACATATAGGCTCTGACAATATAGGCAGAAGGCTTCACCCTTCGCCTTCTGCCATGATTATAGGTTCCCTGAGGCCTCCTCAGCTATGCTTCCTGTACAGCCTGTGGAAATGTGAGCCAACTAAGCCTGTTTTCTTTATAAACTACCCAGTCTCAGGTATTTCTTTATAGAAATGTGAGAATGGACTAATACAATGGGAGAAAATATTTGCAAACTATGCATTTGACAAAGGTCTAATATCCAACATCTATAAGGAACTTAAATTTCCAAGAAAAAACAAAACACCATTAAAAAGTGGGCAAAGGACATGAACAGAAACCTTTCAAAAGAACACATACATGTGGCCAACAAGCATATGAAGAAAAAGCTCAACATCACTGATCTTTAGAGAAATGCAAATCAAAACCACAATTAGATACTATCTCACACCAGTCAGAATGGCTATTACTAAAAAGTCAAAAAATAACAAGCACTGTCGAGGTTGTGGAGAAAAAGAAACACTTATACACTGCTGGTGAGAATGTACATTAGTTCAACTACTGCAGAAAACATGGCACTTCCTCAAAGACATAAAAACAGAACTACCATTTGATGTAGCAATCCCAGTACTGGCTATATACCCAAAGGAATACAGATTGTTTTATTATAAAGACACACACACACATATGTTCATTGCAGCACTATTCACAATAGCAAAGATGTGGAGTCAACCTAAATGACCATAAATGATAGACTGGATAAAGAAAATGTGGTACATATACACTATGGAATACTATGTGGCCATAAAAGAGAGGGAGATTATGTCCTTTGCAGGAACGTGGATGGAGCTGGAGGCCATTATCCTTAGCAAACTAATGCAAGAGCAGAAAACCAAATACTGTATGTTCTCAGTTACAAGTGGAAGCTAAATGATGAGAACACATGGACACATAGAGGGGAACAACAGGCACTGAGGCCTTTCTGAGGGTGGAGGGTGGAGGGTGGGGCTTGTACAACAAGCCTCCATGACACTGATTTCCCTATATAATGAACTTGCACATGTAACCTTAACTTAAAAGTTAAAGAATAAAATATTTGTTGAGTTTCATGTTACACATCTGTAGTTATTATAGTCATAACACTTTAGAGCTGCACAGACTCAAATGATCAGCACTGCCAGACGTTCTGACAGCAAAATTATCTGAATAGATAAGAGACTTAGGTGGGCTTTTGCTCAGTAAATGAGGTTGTTTATATTCTTTGAAACAGTACGGCAATTCATAATACTCCAACACACGACTGCCTGTGGGCAGACCCTCCTGTTCAAGGTACTGTGTGGGGTATCACAGAATGCTGTTCAGGAAGATATCACTGGGGCCTTCTACTCTCAAAGGGGTTGATAAACACTTGAGAGCATGAGGATGAATACCCAAGGGATTAGGTATGCTTTGGGCTCTGAAGCTGGCCACATCAGTAAAATATCACATACTTGGCAAATTAGATCTGAGTAATCAAACAGAATAATTCAGCATCTCTCCCCCATAGACTTTTAGTGGCTGACATTAGTTTTCATTTGATGATAATTACTGATCACAGTAATCCTCACAACTAACAGTTTTTCACTTCTGTAACTTTCTTATATAGATCTGGCACATTTCTTAGTAGTTTACAGATTTACTTTTCGTTTGTTTCTTGGTTGTGTTTGCTTATCTGGGCGAAATATATTTTTCCTATATGTTCTCAATTTGGTTATTTATGACTTATAGGAAATCGATTAACTTGTAAGTTTGTCTTGTATCTAGTGACATTATTGCTTTCATATTAGTTCCAGTAAACTTTAAATTGACAAGTTGGATTTGTAGACAGAAAGTCATTTATTTGTTTATAATAACACTTTGGCATAGTCCTTTTCCGTATTTAAGGCTTTAAAGAAATCTTTTCTTATATGTTGCTGAAGACTTCTGGTACAATGTCAATTTTAGGCATCTTTGCCTTGCTCCTGAGTTTAATGAGACCACTTTTTAACTTAAGCAAGATAAATCAGTTTCTTTCCATCTTGACTTATTGGTAGTTATATTTTTCTTTCAAGCTGGAAAGCCTGTGAAATTTTGTAAAATATATCTTAGCATTACTTGAGATGATCATGTTTTTTTTTCCTCCATCTTTAATATAAATACATAGAGAATTCTGTTAATAGTTTTCCTAAAGTTGAACCTCCTTGAATTCCTGGGATAAAGCCTGGTTGATCATGATTTATTGTTGTGGAGTTTTCTATTTGCTTAGCTTTGTAATAATTCTCCATTAAAAAACACTTATTGGCTAAGTGAACCAAAATATCTAATGAACCATGAAGTTGTTTGAAATTATAGCAAGGAATATAAATAGACTAGTTGGCTATGCTGTTCCCTTTTTAAAAATAATTTCATTCCATGCTGACATGAGCAATAGGATTTGATCGTAACAGAGAGATGACTTCTTGGCTGTGTAGGCCATATGTTTCCTGATAAAATATCTAGTGTCTAATATCGAATAGCCCTTGTGGCTTATTTTGTGTGTTTAAACAATCTGGTCCAGTTCTGCTAAGTGACAACAAGCATCACCTACTGTCAAAACTCTTTTCTGAGCCTGCAGAAATTACTACAACTGTGGGATGTACTTGATTTCAATGTGCTGTATTAATGTTTGCCCAGTAATTTCTAGTTACAGAGGCTATAGCTTGTTCTTCCACCAACCATCCTGGAGAGCAGTTAGTAAGGTGTAGCAGTTGAGAGTGTGAACTATCTGGTTTCACTTCACAGCTCTGCCATTAACTGGCTGTGAAAACCTTAAATTCCTCAGTTTTATTATTTTAAAAATGGGACTATTTAAGGTAACTTTGAGCTATTGTGAATATTTAGTGACTAAATATAAAGCACTTAAAATGTATTTGGTGCATAGTGTTACATATGTGCTAGCTATGATTTATTTTTTGTTTCAATGTAATTTTTTCCTTTTTTTAAATTTAAAACTTTTATAGCTCTATTGAGGTATAATTCACAAATAAATATTGCATATGTGTATATATTGTATACAATGTGATGTTTTGACACATGTATACACTCTGAAATGATTATTACAATCAAACTAATTATCATGTCTATTACCTCACAGTTATATTTAATATTAATATTTAAGATTATTCTCTTAGCAATTTTCAAGTATACAATACATTATTAACTACAAGCTATGACTTTGAATAATCAAGTTAGAATGATCAATTTGCCAGGAGTTTTTGTTACAGATGTCAGAGTCCTATGATCACACATGAAAGATTTGCTTTTTTTCCTTATATGTGACCCATGGAAACATATCCCTTGTAGAATTTGACTAGTCCTTTACTCATTCAAGGAATTTCTGAAAATAGGCAGATTTGTTTGACTAATGTTTTTCCAATAAAAAAGGGCTGGCTGTTTTTCTCACAATATTTTACATTTTGAAAAATTCAAAGAAATGAAATTGAAGCTGATTATCAGAATCTGTCGGGGAAATCATTAAACATTGGCCAGCCCTAGTAAATAGCAATGGAAGGGTAATTTACACCTCTCATTGCTCTATAGGAGGTTCTTCTGTTGCCCCTGTGTTGACCGGTTCACAGTTAGCAAAAGTATCTTGTAGGGGGACTCCAAAGACAGAGAGATTGTGTGCAGCTTCTGCTCTCAGACTCCCTGGGTCAAATCTGAGCTTTGCCACTGGTCATCAGCAAGTTGACCTTGGGTGTGTTTCTAGTGCTCCAGTTTCCTCATTTGTAAAAATGTGATAATAATAATAATTACCTCTCAGGGCTGTGGGGAGAATTACAAGAGAAAACCCCTGTGTATGACCAACATAGGACCCTGCACATACGAAGTGCTCAATAAGTAATGTGTCATTTAGTACAAAGCATTTGTTATTTGGAAGTTTTTTTTTGTTGTTCTAAGGTGTAAGTCATCATATCTCCGGCTAGGCAGTATGCCATACATGAAAGTTTGGGAGAGTGGGGTTCATTTATTTTAAAAACAGTTCAGTGTTTTTAGTATAGTCACAGATATGTGCACCCATCACCACAATCAATTTTAGAACATTTTGATGACCCCCCAAAGGAACCTCATACCCAATAACTCTCATTTCCCCCTTCCCCCGTCCATCTAGCTGGCTGTAAGCAACCACTCATCTACTTTCTGTCTCTATAGATTTGCCTATTCCGGACATTTCACACAAATTAAATTGTACTATGTTTAGTCTTTTGTGACTGGCTTCTTTCATGTAGCTTAATTTTTCAAGGTTTATCCATGTTGTAACAAGTACCGGTACTTCATTTCTTTGCATGGCAGAATAATCTTCCAGGGTATGGATAGACCACACTTTGTTTATCCATTTATTCATTGATGGACATTTGAGTTGTTTCTACCTTTCGGCTATAGGGAATAATGCTGCAGTGAACATTCATGTACACATTTTTGTATGGATGTATGTTTTTATTTTTCTTAAGTATGTATCTAAAAGTGGAATTGTTAGGTTATATTCCATTTGAGGAACTGTCAGACTGTTTTCCAAAGCTGCTGCACCATTTTACATCCCCACCAGCAGTGTATGTTTGAAGGTTCCAATTTCTCCACACTTTCACCAATACTTCTTATTATGTTTTTGTTTATAGCCATCCTAGTAGGTATGAAGTGATATTTCATTGTGATTTTAATTTGCATGTCCCTGACAACTAGTGATGTAGACCATCTTTTTGTGTGTTTACTGGCCATTTGTACATCTTCTTTGGGAAAATATCTATTCAAATCTGTTGCCCATTTTTAATTGGGTTGTATTTTCAATTATTAAGTTGTAACACTGGTAATTTTTATTGAGCTATTAATCGCTGTTCACACTTGACCTTGCACACAAATCCCTGGGGACTTTGTTAAAAAGCAGTCTCTGCTTCACTTAGGTCCCTTGGGGAACCTAAGAGTGTACATTTTCCAGTAGTTGCAGATGGCGTAGTCCATGGACCCTACTTGAAGTAAGAAAGACACTTTTTAAAATGCTTCATGATTGGCTTTTTATGTATTACTCAGAAAAGCCATTTGAAGAGAGAAACACAAAACCTACATTTTATTTATTCTTTCCTATATTCACTTCCACAAATGGAAGTATTAGAGAAATGTAAAATATAATATATTCTCACTGTTTTAAAGAGAGCTAACATTATATTAGTGTCTGAAAATAAAGATATAGTTAGAATAATTTAACTTTTTTTCTCGAATACTTGTATTATAATTTAAAGCATTTAGAAGCAGTATTTGCCAAGTGACTAGATTTACTTTCAGTTTTTAAAATAGTTTTGGCTACAGATGTAGCTGTAAGTTTGGACTTTCTAGTACTTATTTATTATCTTTTTCCTTTAAAAAACAGTTTGAGACACAGTCTCCTTCTAATGAAAGATTATTCATCATCCTCTTTGGTCATGCTTCGTTGGGAGGCACTTGCATTGATGTAGGACAGGAAGAAAGGGGAGGGACCCTGGCTGAACCAGCCAGATTTGCAGAATTAGTGGCCAACACGTGTCTCATAGATTTATGTGCCTACAGTCTTGGCAGCATCCCAATATAAAGGTATATTATTTCCAGGGACTTAATTCCCCTCACAGTGTGAAAGAGCAATGAAAAGCACAAGTTTGGAAAAGAAACTGCAAATGAAAAAATCAATGTAATGAAATCAATTGTGAACACTAGAGTTTGTTCAAATTAGTTTTTTGTTTGTTTGTTTGTTTAGTTTTGGTAGCTATCATCCTCATAGATACCTCACCTACCCTATAGGACGTATGATTTCACTTTCAAGGGGATTTTCTGGCCTTTAATGAGTCATGGCAGCAGTTAACACTAGTTGCAGTGGCTGGTGGTATAATTTGGAGGCGCATTCTGTTCTTTTGTGACATTAAAATGGAAAATATGAGCCCAGAAAATGATTTCTCTAGGGATGCACATACATGGTTACAGCTCATTATGGACCTGTCAACATCTTCTCCTCTGCCCTTCCTTGGGGGAGATTTTGTCTCCTGACGCAGTTTTGAATGAGAGTTTAACAAGTGCTGAGTCTCGTACCTTTTACAGTAAAATATTTGCCCAGATGAAGTCATCTCCTTCGGAATTTGAAATTTCCCTCTAAAAATATGGCTAAACCCACAAGCTATAAAGAATCATAATAATTCATTTAGAGATAACTTTTTGGCAGCTGGAACCACTAGAAATTTTCTGGAGTATAGATTTGGTAAGTTAGGCAGGCTAAAGGGCTCTGCCCCCAGATAAGTGACCCTTAGGGAATTTTCCATATCTGAAGGTAAGAAGGACTATGGGAAATTGGTTTATTGATAGAGTTAGTTAATCAAGATGTTATTTCTGGCAACTTTTAATAATTAACATTTATTGTACACACATTGATAAAGTTAGAAAATATCTACTCTGAAATAATGGGACTATAATTTTTAAAATTTAACTTAAATAATAAAGTTATCATTTGTAACATTATACTACACTAATACTATAGTATCACCATGCAGATAACACTATGAGGCTGATTTGTTATATTCTCTTTACTTCTTAGCTCAGAAGGCAAGTAGAGATGTTTCATAATCTGTCGTTAAAATTGTTTTCTTTTCCTCATTGGGCCCATGATCGTCCAAACGTTTCTCTAAAGAAAGTCCCCTTGAATAAAAGTGGCTTTTTAAAATTATTATTATTATACTTTTAGTTCTAGGGTACATGTACACAATGTACAGGTTTGTTACATATGTATGCATGTGCCATGTTGGTTTGCTGCACCCATTAATTCGTCATGTACGTTAGGTATTTCTCCTAATGCTATCCCTCCCCCATCCCCCCATCCCCCCACCCCACGACAGGCCCCGGTGTGTGATGTTCCCCACCCTGTGTCTAAGTATTCTCCTTGTTCAATTCTCATCTATGAGTGAAAACATGCGTTGTTTGGTTTACTGTCCTTGCGACAGTTTGCTCAGAATTAGGGTTTCCAGCTTCATCCATGTCCCTACAAAGGACATGAACTCGTCCTTTTTTATAGCTGCCTAGTATTCCATGGTGTATATGTGCCACATTTTCTTAATCCAGTCTATCATTGATGGACATTTGGGTTGGTTCCAAGTCTTTCCTATTGTGAATAGTGCTGCAATAAACATACGTGTGCAAATGTCTTTATAGTAGCATGATTCATAATCCTTTGGGTATATACCCAGTAATGGGATCACTGGGTTAAATAGTATTTCTAGTTTTAGATCCTTGAGGAATCACCACACTGTCTTCCACAATGGTTGAACTGGTTTACAGTCCCTTCAACAGTGTAAAAGCGTTCCTATTTCTCCACATCCTCTCCAGCACCTATTGTTTCCTGACTTTTTAATGATAGCCATTCTAACTGGTATGAGATGGTATCTCATTGTGGTTTTGATTTGCATTTATCTGATGACCAGTGATGATGAGCATTTTTCATGTGTCTATTGGCTGCATAAATGTCTTCTTTTGAAAAGTGTCTGTTCATATCCTTTGCCCAAAAAGTGGTTTTTTTTTAAATCATGAAAGCAAAAGAGATCCTCCCTGTGCAGAGTGGAAGTGATAACCCTTCATTGGTGAGATAATATCCCATTATTTAGATGGGGGAATCTTCACATTGTTAACACACTGAACTTAGAGTATAGAGGGTGGGGGATGCCCATTCCTGGCTGCAGGGGCCCTGGGACCTCATCTCTTCTGGGTGCAGCACTGCTGCCTTTACATCTTTTCCACTCTAGACCTCCATTTTAAGCCACTGCTTAAAGAGTATAAAAATATCTTCTGTTTCCTTTCTTCCCCTTTCCTTCCTTTTCTCCTTTTCTTCCTTCTTTTTTTTCCTTCAAAATTTAAGTAGTACACTCATGCATGCTGGTGAGTATGCTAGGTATGAGGATAGAAGTGGTCCCTCAAGACGATGACTATGATGTGGCCCCTGAGACAGTCATAGGCTGGGGACCAGAAAGGAGGCAATATAGGTATCGGCCGAAAGATGATGACTTTCATTTTGACTGTGTTGAGTTTTAAGAACTGGGAGCATGTGTCCAGCTACTTGTACAGTGCCTAACACATAGTAGCCTGAGACACTGAATGGAAGCCACCATCAGTGCTCTTCTTTGGTCATGTGACCTTGGGTAATTCCCCCTCCCCAACCAACACCACCATTCTGGGCCTCTAGTTGCTCTTCTGAAAAAAGATATCATTGGATTAGATGACCCTAGAAGTTTCTTCCTTTACAAGAAGCTGTTGGTACCCTCTATGTATTTCCTAGACACACACCTGATGGCAAGTACCTGGTAAAAACACCTGCAACTCTCTTTCTAGTAGTTTCTTTCTGGTCATGGGAACATACTCTGCCATGACAGGGCAAGTTTCAGAAGTGACAGAGAGTTAATGATCCTAGGAGCAGCCCTCAACTGGTGATGGATGAAGAGTAGGTGGGTAATTCTAGGTTAACTCTTTCAGGGTAACTCTGAAGCATATCCACTCTGTCTCGCAGAGTCTCCCTGCAGGGCTGAGTCCCAGTTTCCTTCGATGATAACTGTATTGTGAACTCATGTTTTATTGACTTCTTTCTCTTTCCTATCTCATTGCCTCTCACTCCCCTACCAACTGTTTCCTGGTGTTACCTCCTGTGGTCAGCAGAATAATACCCTGAGAGATGTTCACATGCTAATCCTGGGACTTGTGAATCTGTTCTCTTAGATGGCCAAAGAGACTTTGCAGATGCAGATTAAATTAAGGATCTTGAGATGGGGAGATTGGCCTGGGTTATTTGGGTGTGCCCATTGTAATCACAAGGGCTCTCATAGGTGAAGGAGGGAGGCAAGGGAGTCAGATTCAGAGAAGGAGGTGTGATGACAGCAACAGAGTTAGAGAGAAATTGGAAGATGATACACTGCTGGCTTTGAAGAAGGAGGAAGGTGCCACAAGCCCAGAATTGCAAGTGGCTTCTAGAAGCTGGACAATGACAAAAAAAGGGGGATGGGGGGCTCCTCCTCTAGAGTCTCCAGAAGGAATGCAACTCTGCCTCTTGGTTTGAGCCCAGTGAGATCCATTTTGGACTTCTGACCTCCAGAACTGAAAGAAAATATGTATCTGTTGATTTAAACCACTAAATTTGTAGTAATTTGTTACAGCAGTGACACAAAATTAATACCCCTCCTAAATAAACCATTTGTTCAGGAATTGTTGCTTCAGCATCTGCTTCTGGGAGAACCCAAATTAAGACACTTCCTAATCTGATATTGTATGCTTATTTTTACCTTAGTTAAAATATCAACATTTTTCAGTTGTTCAATAACAATTAGTTATTGTGCCCTTTTATATGCTTGATGTTTCTGTAAGGCAAGTCACAAAGATGCAATTAACTCAGCCCTTCCCTGCATAGAGCTTACATTCTAACAGTGGAAATAGAAAATGCCACAAAAATTGTAGCATGTGTCTTGTACTATTGAGCACTTTTTTCTTCACTAGTCAGATAACTGTAAGTATTTATAAGGCATCTAATGTGAACCTTGAGCAAAGCATCAAGTATATAAATATATGCCATACACAATGGTGTATAAAATAATATAGTCACTGCCAACAAAAAAACACATTCTCAAATCTAATTTTTAATAAAGTGACAGTATCACCCTAAAAGAGGCCAATCTTATTTTGTCAGTAGAAGAAAAGGAAGAAGAACAAGGAGTTCTCACTGTAAACAATGTAGGGATCCCATTTTAGGGAAACTGAAACACTGATTTCACCTTCTAGATTCCCATAAAAAGCATGGAAAGTTTATTTTGTTCCCAAGGAAATTCACTGTTGTTTAGCTTCTGAACCATCAGCACATTAAAAAAACGATAATTTACTGCAGCATTTTAGCTGTGAAATATACGGAAAGAAAGTTGAAGTCAGATTCACAAGATATGAGTTCAAATCCTGGATCTGTCACTTCATAAAATCATGAGCTCTCAGGCAATAATTTAACTGTTCTGAACTGCAGCTGTTAAATAACAAGTCATGGGTGGAGGTCAGCACATGCTAATGTCCCAAGCTCTTTCTCTGTTTTATATGGTTGGGCATGTAGTAGAGTAAGCTTTTTCAACGCTTTAGGCTGAAATTCTGGAATCCTTGTTGCTTTCATTTCTGCTTTCAAAGTTGCCAAATTCTCTCCCATCTCTCCCCCACCCTCTTTCCTTTTAATCCCTTGTCAGACACAGGCAAGAGTAGCCAACATATGCTAACATTTTAATTCTAAAGGTGCTGGCTTTGAAGGCATGTGGTCGCCCTTCCAGGTTATCACAGGTAAAAGATGTAGCAAGTTTTTTTGCTGCCACATGATATGAGTCACCTGTCTTTCTAACCTCTGGTATCTAGTTCCTCTTTGTCTGTTACCTAAGGACTAAGCCAGTTCTAAATTCATTATTAGGTCTTGGTTATGGCAGCACCTCACTTTAAGGTGCTCAAATATCTCAAGTAGAATAGTCCTGTTGCTGCATCAAGAAGCTAATTGCTGGAAAAAACAAACTGAACATTTTTGCGACTTAACACAAATTTAGTTTTCGTTTGCATTGGAATTAGGCATTTGGAGGGCAGGCTACCATGTGGGGATTCAAGGACTCAGGCTTCTTCTGTCTTGTGGCATCCTCATGTTCAATCTGTGTACTCCATGGAATGGCCTAGAAAATGGCAGATCCCATGAGCCTGACCTGGAAGTGACACACATCACTCCTGCCTTTGACCAGAACTCTTATCATTCCATTGACCATTATTTGATCACATGGCTCCATCCTACCTACAAGGGAGGTGAGGAAGTGTGAACTCTGGCTTAGCACAATCCCTTAGTCATCAGTGAGCCATCTCTGTCTTCTTGTGCTTACTTCAAAATGTTGCTATGCAGGTGAAAACTGCAAAATTGATCTGAGAGTTACTTTTAGAGTAAAACATATGGTACAGATGAGAGGGATTGATTTTTTCAAAGAAACCTCATTACCCTGAGACTTTGCTGAAGTTGCTTATCAGCTTAAGGAGATTTTGGGCTGAGACAATGGGGTTTTCTAGATGTACAATCATGTCATCTGCAAACAGGGACAATTTGACTTCCTCTTTTCCTAATTGAATACCCTTTATTTCCTTCTCCTGCCTAATTGCCCTGGCCAGAACTTCCAACACTATGTTGAATAGGAGTGGTGAGAGAGGGCATCCCTGTCTTGTGCCGGTTTTCAAAGGGCATGCTTCCAGTTTTTGCCCATTCAGTATGATATTGGCTGTGGGTTTGTCATAGATAGCTCTTATTATTTTGAGATACGTCCCATCAATACCTAATTTATTGAGAGTTTTTAGCATGAAGGGCTGTTGAATTTTGTCAAAGGCCTTTTCTGCATCTATTGAGATAATCATGTGGTTTTTGTCTTTGGTTCTGTTTATATGCTGGATTACATTTATTGATTTGCATATATTGAACCAGCCTTGCATCCCAGGGATGAAGCCCACTTGATCATGGTGGATAAGCTTTTTGATGTGCTGCTGGATTTGGTTTGCCAGTATTTTATTGAGGATTTTTGCATCAATGTTCATCAAGGATATTTGTCTAAAATTCTCTTTTTTGGTTGTGTCTCTGCCTGGCTTTGGTATCAGGATGCTGCTGGCCTCATAAAATGAGTTAGGGAGGATTCCCTCTTTTTGTATTGATTGGAATAGTTTCAGAAGGAATGGTACCAGTTCCTCCTTGTACCTCTGGTAGAATTCGGCTGTGAATCCATCTGGTCCTGGACTCTTTTTGGTTGGTAAGCTGTTGATTATTGCCACAATTTCAGATCCTGTTATTGGTCTATTCAGAGATTCAACTTCTTCCTGGTTTAGTCTTGGGAGGGTGTATGTGTCGAGGAAGAAACAGAGAGCCAAATCATGAGTGAACTCCCATTCACAATTGCTTCAAAGAGAATAAAATACCTAGGAATTCAACTTACAAGGGACGTGAAGGACCTCTTCAAGGAGAACCACAAACCACTGCTCTATGAAATAAAAGAGGATACGAAGAAATGGAAGAACATTCCATGCTCATGGGTAGGAAGAATCAATATCGTGAAAATGGCCATACTGCCCAAGGTAATTTATAGATTCAATGCCATCCCCATCAAGCTACCAATGCCTTTCTTCACAGAATTGGAAAAAACTACTTTAAAGTTCATATGGAACCAAAAAAGAGCCCACATCGCCAAGTCAATCCTAAGCCAAAAGAACAAAGCTGGAGGCATCACGCTACCTGACTTCAAACTATACTACAAGTCTACAGTAACCAAAACAGCATGGTACTGGTACCAAAACAGAGATATAGATCAATGGAACAGAACAGAGCCCTCAGAAATAACGCCGCATATCTACAACTATCTGATCTTTGACAAACCTGACAAAAACAAGCAACGGGGAAAGGATTCCCTATTTAATAAATGGTGCTGGGAAAACTGGCTAGCCATATGTAGAAGGCTGAAACTGGATCCCTTCCTTACACCTTATACAAAAATGAATTCAAGATGGATGAAAGACTTAAACGTTAGACCTAAAACCATAAAAACCCTAGAAGAAAACCTAGGTAGTACCATTCAGGACATAGGTATGGGCAAGGACTTCATGTCTAAAACACCAAAAGCAATGGCAACAAAAGCCAAAATTGACAAATGGGATCTAATTAAACTAAAGAGCTTCTGCACAGCAAAAGAAACTACCATCAGAGTGAACAGGCAACCTACAAAATGGTAGAACATTTTCGCAACCTACTCATCTGACAAAGGGCTAATATTCAGAATCTACAATGAACTCAAACAAATTTACAAGAAAAAAACAACCCCATCAAAAAGTGGGCAAAGGACATGAACAGACACTTCTCAAAAGAAGACATTTATGCAGCCAACAGACACATGAAAAAATGCGTATCATCACTGGCCATCAGAGAAATGCAAATCAAAACCACAATGAGATACCATCTCACACCAGTTACAATGGCAATCATTAAAAAGTCAGGAAACAACAGGTGCTGGAGAGGATATGGAGAAATAGGAACACTTTTACACTGTTGGTGGGACTGTAAACTAGTTCAACCATTGTGGAAGTCAGTGTGGCGATTCCTCAGGGATCTAGAACTAGAAATACCATTTGACCCAGCCTTCCCATTACTGGGTATATACCCAAATGACTATAAATCATGCTGTTATAAAGACACATGCACACGTATGTTTATTGCGGCACTGTTCACAATAGCAAAGTCTTGGAACCAACCCAAATGTCCAACAATGATAGACTGGATTAAGAAAATGTGGCACATATACACCATGGAATACTATGCAGCCATAAAAAATGATGAGTTCATGTCCTTTGTAGGGACATGGATGAAATTGGAAATCATCATTCTCATTAAACTATCGCAAGAACAAAAAACCAAACACCTTGTGTTCTCACTCATAGGTGGAAATTGAACAATGAGAACACATGGACACAGGAAGGGGAACATCACACTCTGATGACTGTTGTGGGGTGGGAGGAGGGGGGAGGGATAGCATTAGGAGATATACCTAATGCTAAATGACGAGTTAATGGGTACGGCACACCAGCGTGGCACATGTATACATATGTAACTAACCTGCACATTGTGCACATGTACCCTAAAACTTAAAGTATAATAATAATAAAATAAAAAATAAAAAAAAGAAACCTCATTACCCATTATGATTTGATTATCCTGATAGTACAAATAGTTTAGCATCTAATAGGTCAATCAGTTTAATGGACTTGAGCCCTATTCAACAGGTGTTAACATTGCTTTTTGGGAAAATGCCTGTTTCCTTGCTGGCTGTTGACAGCAGGTCTATCTCAGCTTTGAGAGGCTGTGAGCATTTCTTGTCTCATGGTCCCTCAGTCTTGAAAGCCAGCAATGGTATGTCAGATCCTTGTTATGCTTCCAATCCCTTTGACTTCTTCCTTTATAATTTTTTATTTTTGAGACAGGGTCTCTGTCTCCCAGGCTGGAGTACAGTGATGCAATCACGGCTCACTGCAGCCTCAACCTCAAAGGCTCAAGTGATCCGCTCACCTAAGCTTCCAGAGTAGCTGGGACCACAGGCATGCAGCACTATACTCAGCTAATTATTATTATTATTATTATTATTATTATTTAATATACAAGGTCTCCCTAAGTTGCCCAGGCTGATCTTGAACTCTGGGGTCAAACTGTCCTGTGTTGGCCTCCCAAAATGCTGAGGTTACAAGTTTACACCTGAAAAGCCACCATGCCCAGCCTTTGACTTCTTCCTTTTAAAGGACTAATGTGATTAGAGCAGGCCCACCCAGATTATCTCCCCATGTAAGGGTAAGTGATTTGGGACCTTAGTTACATTTTCAAAATCCCTTCGTAGCAGTACCTAGATTAGTATTTAATTTAGTAACCATGGGATGGGAATCTTGGGAGGCTATCCTTAGAATTCTACCTACTATAGTTAAGTGAATTGCCTGAATTCACATGAGTAGAGAGTAGTGAGTGAAGCAAGGATTTAAACCCCAGCCTATCTGGCATCAGAGTCTGTGCCTTTTCTACCTATCAGGTGACCCCTCTATGAAAATCAGTGGTGGACATTAACCCCAAAAGAATTTTCTAGAAGGAAAGCCCAACCCTAATTCTTAACCTAGAGGAATGTCTTAGTTCATTTGTGCTGCCATTACAAAATACCACAGACTGAGTAATTTATAGAGAACAGAATTTTATTTCTCACTGTTCTAGAGGCTGGGAAGTCCAAGATCAAGACCCTAGCAGTGTCATTTTCTGGTGAGGGCTGCTGTCTACATAAAAATGATGCTGTCTGCATCCTCCAGAGAGGAAGGATGCTGTGTCCTCACATGGCAGAAGGGACAGAAGGGCAAAAGGGGGCCTAAGCTGGTTACCTCTGGCCCTTTTACAAGGCACAAATACACTTATTAGGGCTGAGCCCTCATGATTTAACCATTTCTCCAAAAGGCCCCTACCTCCCAATACCACCACAATAGGGATTAACTTTCATCATAAATTTTGGAGGGGACAAAAATATTCAAACCTTAGCAAGCCATATAATTTAAATAATTATTACATTTAAAATTGTAGATTTAGTGTTTAAAAATTATGCACCAAAGTAATACTGAATCTTTCTGAAATGCCACCACCAAAGAGATAGTATGATTGTGGGCTATGTAAACAGATCTGGATCAAGTCTAAGAGCCACCACTTACTTGCCCTGATTCCCCATGCCTCAGTTTCTGTACCATAAGTGGGGGATAATAATAGTGGTATCTTCTGGTTGTGCTGAGAGATTGAAATTATAACACTTACCATAGTTCCTAGGACACTGTAAGCACTCAATAATTTCTAACCACCCCCACTACTATCATTATCATCATCATCACATTATTATTATTATTGTTATCTCCAACCTTCAGCCTAGATGGTTGATACCTATTAAACATATTATCAAATATTTATACTTTCATATCAATAACATATAAAATAAATTATGTTCATTCTTCAGATGAGCAGAAGAGGTATCATGCCATGATCTCATTTTTAACATGCATTTGCTTCTGAAATCTCAGCTGTAGATTAGTAAATGTAATACTTAGTAATTTTTTGATCTGATGTTTTCTCTGCCCTTCCTGTAATTTAGAGTTTGTACACTTGGTTCTAATTCTGTCAGTGACTTAAATAGATATAAATTTAATGTCATAGCTCATGAGAATTAATGTCACTTTCAAAGTCATCCTCTCAACCTGCCCTTCTCCTTTTTCCTCTTGATCCAAGACCCATTATTCTAAGGTTTCTAACACATTTCTTTTCACTTATACTCCAGACTTGAGATTGCTGTAAACATGAAATTTATTTTTAGATCTTTTTGCTCTGCATTCTACTCAGAGCCTTTCTCTTTTTGCATTTTCACAACATTCCTAGGCTTCTGCTCAGCCAACATTTTAAATATGACAAAAATAAATGCCATGGAGGGAAGACTCTGTGGCAGCAACAGAAATGCCTGTTGAGTCCTCTGTGGAATGAAGCCTGAGACCCCTTGGGTGGTTTAAGCAGAAATATTTGAGCGAAGAAGTGTGAAGGACAGAGGTGTCAGAAGGAATTTTCAAGAGTGTTTATAAACAGTATATGCTACAGAGGGTGCAGGGCTACTGAGACCTCAATTAGGATGGGGGGTGTGGTTAGGAGAGGCCACTATGGTGCAGACATCCACCCATCCCAATTTCTGTAGAAGTCAGCGATGGAAATGCGCAGTGGTCCAATAATGTTCCCATTGGTGGTAGAGTCAGAGCTTTGGTTTTTTATCACCTTACATGGATTTTACACATTATTAAGACATAAGCTAGAGGAGAGAAATTTCTTATTAACAAAACCTGAAATCCTACTAGCACTGATACCTTCTCCCAGCACCTGCACTAGCCACCCATGACATCCTCTACAGATTAGTGTGCCTCCTTTGCTTTCCATGTTAACCTTTTAGCATCCATACCATTCCCCTTATTTAAAATAGGGCTTCTCAACTGAGACACCATTGACATTTGGGGCCAGACAATTCTTTGTGGTGGGGGCTGTCCTGTGCATTGTGGGATATTTAGTGGCATCTCTGACTTCTACCCACTAGATGCTAGAAACCCCTCCCCAAGTTGCTACAACCAAAAATGTCTCCAGACACTGCCACATGACCCCTAGAAGTCACGATTGTCTGCACTTAAGAACGACTAGTGTAGAACCCCCTCTTTCTTCTGCTCTACTAGTCCTTCCTTGTTTTCCTGTATAACTCTGCTCAAAGCTCACCTGTACAAAACAATTCATTAATTAATCCCACCTAGCTCTGAGCTTTTTCATCACTAAGTACCTTCTGTCCTGCTGGGCCTAGACATAGATTTTACCAATTATGTTTTTGCCATAGCCTCCATTTGTAATAAATCAGTTTTTGTTACTCCTTCTGTATGTAAGGAAAGAGTAAGTTTATGACTTCATTTTAAAAATATCTCCAAAGTTCCTGCTAGCATATTCTGCATAAAATGGACTCAGTAACACTTTGATTTAGTGAGCAGAACTACTTTTTTTTTTTTTTTTTTGAGATAGTATCTCACTTTGTCGCCCAGGCTGGAGTGCAGTGGCGCAATCTCAGCTCACTGCAACCTCTACCCTTAGCGTTCAAGAGATTCTCGTGTCTTGGCCTCCCGAGTAGCTGGGATTACAGGTGCCCGCCATCATAGCCAGCTAATTTTTGTATTTTTAGTAGAGACAGGGTTTTGCCATGTTGGCCAGGCTGGTTTCGAACTCCTGACCTCAAGTGATCTGCCCACCGCTGGGATTATAGGCGTGAGCCACTGCGTTTGGCCAGAACTACAGTTTTCTATTACTACCAGTTGCATTGCTTGACTTTTATTTATTTAGCAATTTTACCATTGCTGAATTGCTTCAGGATTGAAGAGAATGAATCTTTAGAATCTCTATTGAAATAAGGAATTAAATAATTGTGATTTCTTTTATTCTGCTGAGAACTTCCAATATACTCATTTGGTGATGAATACATTTTTTAAGTGAATATTCCCAACATACTTGGGACCACTGTAGCTTTCAGCTATATGGCATGTACCTGGGTATGCTGACGCCACACTATTTTTTGTTGGAGATTCAGCAGTTATTTTGTGTGCAGTTGACAGACTTTTTTTTTCCAGGTCCTCCCTGGGATCTAATTTTGTAATGCTCTCAGTGTTTTCTCATGTCCCCTTAGCATTTACTCTATGCATGGAAGGCTGCGTGTTTGGAACACCTAAAACTCTGCCACCTGAGGGCATTTCTTCTAACAGTGGGAATTGCCTGGGTGTTAATGGCCATGAAAGCAATTCTCCCAGCATGGTGACTCATGCCACCTATAATTCCAGTGTTTTGGGAGGCTGAGGCAGGATAATTGCTTGGGCCCAGGAGCTCGAGACCAGCGTGGGCAACATGGCTAGATCCTGTATCTACAATAAAAACAACAACAATAATAATAATCTGGATGTGGTGGTACATGCCTGTAGCCCCAGCTACTCAGGAGGCTGAGAATGGAGGGTCGCCTCAGTCCAGGAATTCGAGGCTGCAGTGAGTCATGATTGCAGCACTGCACTCCAGACTCCAGCCTGGGCGACAGAGCAAGACCCTGTCAAAGAAAGAAAAGAAAAGAAAACAAGCAGCTGGTTGGATGGGGATTTGGCAAAAAACTGCCCCAGCTTCCTAGTCCCCCTGTGAGGACAACTCTGAGGCAAATATATATATATATTTTTTTTTTTTTTGAGATGGAGTCTCCCTCTGTCACCCAGGCTGGAGTGCAGTGGCGCCATCTCGGCTCACTGCAAGCTCCACCTCCCAGGTTCATGCCATTCTCCTGCCTCAGCCTCCCGAGTAGCTGCGACTACAGGCGCCTGACACCACGCCCAGCTAATATTTTTTGTATTTTTAGTAGAGACGGGGTTTCTGAGGCATATTCTGTACTGTCTCTCAGTATTACCTAGTAGGATTGATCAAATTGCTCACAGAAGTAACTTGTGTGATAACACACCTCGGTTGGTTTCTTTCCCTTCTCTGTCTCACCTTCCAAATAAACTACTTACACTCAAATCCTTGTTTCAGACTCCACTTGTAGGAGAACCCAAACCAAGAATCCATGTTATAAATATGATGATTTAACATGTTTAGAGAAATCTTGAACTAATTCACAAAGGCTTGTTCATGAAATGCTGTTGATCGGTGTTGTCACCAAATGTTCTAAGGTCTACATTCTGGGTGGGCCAGACTGCATCAGGGACTGCTGTGCACTGATGTGTTTGTCTGTGATGATGTGGGCATTGTTATTTTTACTGGGTTTGTTGTGAGTAAAGCTTTTGGAAATTATGTTTTCCCACAAGTTCCGCAAATGTTTTCACATTTTAGAAATTGTTTGAGCATGCTGTAAGCCATAACTTTGAAAGTCAAGCAGTTTGGCTGGTGATATTATTTTTAAAGAAACAAAAGTCTTGTTTTGTTTTCAATTTTGGCTTTTGTTATGCTTTGCAATCCTTTTTTGCTCTCATGGCCTTAACTTACTTTGTCTTGTACATGGTTTTGCATAATACTCATGGAGATATTTCATATACATTTTTGTGTGGATATGATTGCAATAAATTTTTTACTGGTAATACTTCACATTCTAAAGCTCTTTTACATATATTTCATTTAATGCTCACAAACCCCCTAAACAATAGGATTATAATCACAGTTTAATGATAGAGAAAACCAAGTTCCAGAAGAGTTTAAGTGAGTTTCTGTTCAGCACTTTTATTTTGTCATGAATTAACATAAACATTTTATTCATGTGATCAGCAATTCTACAAAGACAACAAAGAGTGAGAATGTAATCTCCAAGGGAAGCAGAGTGTGTATTAGCATAGCTGTAGGGCAGGGGAACTTGGGGATGAATGGATACAGACCTCAGCAATTGTCCTAAGTCTGGTCTTCTTTCAGGTTTGTTAATTCACCACATTCTCATGTAATGGAAAGAGTAAACATTCTCTATATGCTAGCATTATTTTACAAAATGAACACCAGTGAACCAGACATGAAAGCAGCATTTTCCCAGTGCTTTCTCACCTTCCAGGAAACCTCCTTCACTGTTGCTGTCAGCCTCTGGTGGATTATCAGCACCATGAACACTATAGTCCATATTTTCTGCATCACCAACCAGGACACCATGAGTACCATGTGTTGGTTTACACACAATCTCTATCGTACTTGCACTAAATTCGTATCTGGGGTGAAGAGGAAGTGCATCACTATCTCAAATGTCAACACTGAATTTTGAATTTTAGTGGATGCTGTTTCTCCCAGGAGCTAGAATATTGCGTTTGATAGCCAGCTCTGAATAGGTCCCTCCTTGACAATTGCCATCCCTTATGTTGGACTCAGTCTGATTTCTTGAACCTTTGCTTGTTATCTGCTGTTGGTACCTGAACTGCTTCTATGGAGGCCAGTTAACCCCCTTTGGCCCTTCCACCGACAGTGCACCTGAGTTATGACTAAGCCATTCTGCGCTGGCAAGGATTCAGTTGGGAAAACATAAAACCTTTAGATATTTCAAGAAGAAAGATTTATTACAGGAGTGAGAGGCTTTCTAAAGAATTGAAAAGGACTTCAACTAGCATTCAAGAAATTAGGAAGATAATAACAGCAGGCAGGCACCATTGATGGTCTCAGATACCTACTGTACCTGGAAGCATCTAGCAACACCTCCCATGGGCCACTGGCCCAAGGCTGTTCATCTGCCTGCCATCACCATATTGGACTTTGGCTTCTCTTAGGCCTTGTGAATATATCTCATTTGTGTGAGCTCACCCTGAACTGTATCGCAAGGTGTCTGGAAAATGTAATTACCAAACTTCTAGCTGCTGGGATCCAGAGAAGAACATAAAGGAATGAATATAGTTCTGAGTAGCCTACTGGTAGTTCAGGCCATATTGTGTTTCTAGGATTTTCTGAAACTGATCTGTGAGCCTGGGGTGCCCAAAGAAGAGGATGTTGTTCCTCCAAAACTGAAGGTGCTGAGAAAAACATTTCTGATCTGGGGCAGGGCAATAGAATCAGGGAGAAATAGCAACTGGAGATGTGATGACCCTCAAAATTAAGATTCAGTGATAGTTGTTGATGTGAAATAGGAAAAGACTAGTACCTATGCTTCACACAGAGCTACCAGGAAAATTGGGCAACTCCCTAACCGTATCCTTACTATACATAGTAGAGTAGTACTCTGAGATTTCCCTACTTTCTGGTAAAATATGTTGTGCACTTTAATCAGCTGGCTGAGTGTCTTCTCTACTCCTGTATGCCAAGGTCAGAGTCTTTGGATAAGTTTTCTCCTTCAGAGACAAACCTTGGAAAAAGTCTCCAGGAGGCAATGAGATTTGTCCAGGAGGTTATCCTTGCATAGGAGGTGCTCCATCCAGCCAGTCCTGTAGGGCATGAGACCTGGCCAGGAGTAGTAGAACAACTTTTGGGATTGTTTTTAGTGGCATATTCTACTTGTCATGTGATTCATAACATTTGCTTCCAGAAGCCTGTGCTTTTGGCCTAGATACAAGACTGAAAGGCTGAGGCATCCATGAAATTGACCTAATGCTGTATAAAAATGTTACTACATGTTACAAGTCATAAAGTCTGGTTTATTCCTCGTAGAATGCTAGCAATCAGTTTTCTTTTCATCATGATGTGAAATAGTCTTTTTATATTCATAATTAGGTTTTGTTAAGAAATTTTACTGTGTTCAGATGAATTAATATTAAATATCAAATAATGATATATTTTTTCCTTCAAGAATATATTATAAAACCAGAACTCTATTAAAAAAAAAAGTTCTGTTGGATAAGTCAAATAAAAAGTACTATACCTAAGCACTTATGGGCCCTTAATTTAAGCAAACTGAGGTACTAACTTTGAGTTTCCTTAATACCTTATTAATACTTTTAATCTTTTTTTAAGGAAATTTGTATGGAAGTTGTAATCAATAGTGTTCTGAAGGTTTTAAAAAATTCTAGTTGGAAAAATACTTCACAGAGACTATACCTAATACTGAAATTTTGTTTCTTTTATAATGATTAACATGCAAAGAGAAAGGCATAATAAGCTCCAGTTAATTAATTGGAAGTTGAATTATTTAACCTGTATATATTGGAAATCTTCCTAGTTGCACTGAACACTGATTTATCTATTCTTGCTATCTATCATTTTATTGTTTTTCATTGGAATAAAAGCACTTTTTAGACCTTATGTGAATTTTTTTGTTGACAATGATAAGCTAACATGTCAACAAAATGTTTTATAAATGAGTAGTTTTAGAGGCTGCCTCTCTTTGTGACCTTTAACACACAATGCTTTAGATCTCTAGACTAAAAAAAGTGACAAGTCAAAACTAAGAATACTCGGAGACATGTTACTGAAAATAAGGCCTGCAAGAAATTATTTTAAGTTAACCAACAGTAACTTATCAAAGAGTATTATGTTTCACATTGCAGGCGAAACTAAGAATACCAGCATTTGTTATGGTGAAGTTTAACTTCAAAGTGAAGTTTAACTTCACTTTGATTTTAAGTATAAACATAAGTGTGAATTTCTGCCAGTTCCTTCTAGACTTAGGTTATGATGTGAAATTAGGAACTTGATTGTAGCTGCAATCAAGTTCTTAATTGTTATGAATGATGAATGTTTGCAAAGTTTCCAATCTTTGCAGAGATGTGCTATTCTGGCTTACAGGAGTATCTTTCTAATTAGTAGGTGGATATGTACTTATATGCATGTGCACGCATATGAGAGAGAAATACTTTTCTCAGTTAATGTGCTTCTGATTATATACATCTTGTGAGATTTCATACAATTGAAAATTAGCTAGAAAGAACAATAATACTGAGTTTTCTTCATAACACATTTCCATAATGCCTGTTCCATTACTTTTGTTATTTACATATTTGAACTTATTATTATTAAATTGGATTATCTTATGATTTTTTTAATAAGTGGATATTCCAACTCTTGGCTCACAAAATTACAGTTGGTAAATAATTTCTTCAAGGAATTTTAATATTGATAAATTACTTATTTCAAATGAATTCACTTAATATCATTTTTATTTTCTTATGAATTTTCTAATAAAAACATATTTTTCATTTCTTCCTCTCTTTTTTCAACTCAATGTCTTTTTTAAAAATGACAGTAATGTGTGGTTATAATTATGCATTTTTTCCAGGTGCTCAATGGCCCTTATGTCTCTTTTAAAAAAACTTTTATTTATTGTGGGTTTTCTCCCCAAAGCAGAAGTTAGTCCAATACACATGGCATAGAAATTTCACAATTAGGCAATTAAACTAGAAGTATAACAGCTGACATGTGTTCAAAGTAATAAAGTTCCAAAATTAGAAGGTGAATCAAATTAACATAAAGGCATTATTAACTTTTTCTAGGAGGCGTGAGTTTGCAAAAGTCTTGGGTAATTTGATTTGCTTATTCTCAAAATAGCCACTGAACCTTGAGTGACATTGCGTTTCAAAGGTGGGAGCCAGAGGGAAGGTCACTGTTAGTGTTGGAGTGGCAAAGAGGAGGTTTAACTTTCAAATCATCTAGGGTAATGCCTGCTACTCTATTTTGAGACTTTTAGCTAGATGGCAAGAAGTTTTTTTTTTTTTGATGGGAATCAGAAAGTTAAATAATTCCTGAATTTGGAACTTCAGGTGGTTTTTAAACCTTCTCCTTGTTTTATAGTTTCCTCTGTTGTTTATACCTTCCTAACATTCAAATGATAAAGTTATTTTCATTTTTAAAAGAAACAAATCCAAATAATAATCCCATTATGTGGGATTGTTGACTCTAAGCATTGTGTTTTCTTAATATACCAATTACATGCTAATGGGCTTTTTAAAAATCTATACAGGAACATTTTAAGATTGAATGAATGAGCATGCCATTTCCATTACAAGCTGCTAGACTGCAGTTTCACAGACTACTGATGTGGATCTGAGGGCAGTTCCTCAAATTAATATGGTAGATCCACAGTTTTGAAAGGCAATTTTCATTTTATATAACTTCTGGCATGTTCTTAAAAAGAATTACACACACACCTTTTAAGTGGTTCCCCCAGTGTGGCTGCTATTCATTTTGTTGTCATCCTTGGTATTCAGGTCTGGCCTAGTCCCTTCATAATGTATTACCCCTGTCGCTTTTGCTTTCTTGCCCTTCCTATGAGCTCCTGCTCTCTTTTCTGGTGCTTAGGTGGGGCAGCACTTTTCTTGTTGCATATGGATAGAGTCAGCCCTGCCTCTGGCCCCTCCCAAAGGACATGCTGTATCACCTGCCCCAGCAGCTTCTGTGGTAGGCCCACAGTGCTTCCATTTTGTGATTGTTGCCACTGGCCTCCGTCTGAATTTGTTTCACTGCCCTAGCCATGTGTGGACATCCAGATGTTGCATCCTTGGTGTTCATGTGGAACAACCAATGCTTCCTGATACCAAGGAAGCCAGGGCTTTCTGCAGCTTCCCTTCTTTGACATGAAAAACAGAGGTGGATAGGGAAACTTGAAATCACTAGTCCATTTTTGTCCAGAGCTGGCAGAAAATTTGGGTTGGCCAGATATAACTTTATTTCCTTTGGGGTCATAGCCAAACTTGATTTTCTTTAATACATCAATTTTCAAAACATGTTATTTTATTTTTATATACTTATTAATGTTGAATAGTTCATGTATACATACAGATAAAAAATTCAAATGGTCTTAAACAATATGTGCTTTTATTAAAGGTCTCATTCTCATCTCTAGTCCTGAGTCTACCATTTTACTTACCCAGAGACAAGTGATAGCAATGTCTTGCATACATTTCCATTCTTCCTGCGTTATTGTATGCATTTATAAGCATGCACGTTTCTGAATCTATATGTATACCACTTTTGTACAAATTATACTGCATAATTTGTATACAATTTCTTATACTTAACATACCTTGGAGATAGTTTTATATCTCTGGGTGTACATATGCTTCCTTTGTTTTAGCTTTTGTTTTTAAGGGTTTTATAGTGTTCCATTATATGGAGATTAATTATAAAATAGTGATCCCTTAATTTGTTTAACCTGTCCTCTACTGATGGCTATTTCTGTTGCTTAGGATCCTTTACTTTGGATCAAGGGCTGGCAAACATCTTCTGTAAGGGATAAATAGTGAATATTTTAGACTTTGCAGGCCTTGTGGTCTCTGTTGAAACTGCTTCACTCTGTATTACAATAACAGCCATAAACTATACGTAGCTATGTTCCAATTAAACTTTGTTTATAAAAACAGGCTGCAGTCCAGGTGTGGCCCCTGCCCTAGATGTTCAGTTTTGAGAGACTGTCATGCAAAAAGTGTTTGTGACTGGCCTGCAGAAAGTGCTTAACAGATAGCTGTTATTTGATTGATGGGTAATTTGTCTGGAAATTTGTCATTAGAATAAGGAGAATGCTAAACAGTAAAAGATTTGAAAAATACATTTGTATCAAAAAAGAGGTATGGAAAATAGAAAATGCATGACTTTAGGAGCATTTGACTTTCTGGTGTTTAAAAAATTGTTTAAGATGACGCTTTGACTTCTTTTCAAAGTGTAGTAAGCAGGAATAAGAAAATTGGAGGAAGGATTATCTACCTCTTTGTAGCACTACCAACCTTTGAAATTTTGCTTCCTGCTCCAGTCTGACTAGTAAACTCAGATTCACCCACAAAACTGGGTATGGTAACATAGCTCATGGTTATTAAAGCCGTTTGGTTTTGCATGATGAGTGTATTTTGTTGAAAATGTGTGTCAACCTTATGATGTCCACATACAAATGTCCTACATAGGCTTTTCCCTCCTTCTGGGGTTCTAGAGAACACATGAAAGTACTTCTCCTTTCATTAAACACTAAACTTGATGCTTTTAAATTCTTTGACGTTCTGTATTAGAGATGAGTAAACTAAGGCCTGCAGGCCAAATTCAACCTGCTGCTTATTTTTGGAAATAAGGTTTTATTGGAACACAGTCATATGCATTTGTTTACACATTACCTGTGGCTTCCTTCATGTTACAACAGACAACTTGGGTAACTGAAATAGAGAATATAGAACTCATGATAATGAACATTTACTGACCCTTTATGGAAAAAAATCTTTTCAACCCGTCTTTTTGATTGCACTATTTTTCCCTCAACTTTGAGAATCGGGTGCTCTCTTCTCTGAAGTTGTAGGGAATCTATTATTATTTTTTTAGCATGGAGAACTTGCAATCAGCATGTTTCTTAGCTTTTAAAGAACAGGCATGGTTGTTCGGTTGATTTATCTTTTCAATATAGTGAATTCCTACTTTATTATTATTATTATTATTATTATTATTATTATTTTGAGACCGAGTCTCACTCTGTCGCCCAGGCTGGAGTGCAGTGGCGCGATCTCGGCTCACTGCAAGCTCCGCCTCCTGGGTTCACACCATTCTCCTGCCTCAGCCTCCCGAGTAGCTGGGATTACAGGCACCCACCACCATGCCTGGCTACTTTTTTTGTATTTTTAGTAGAGATGGGGTTTCACCGTGTTAGCCGGGATGGTCTTGATCTCCTGACCTCGTGATCCACCCTCCTCGGCCTCCCAAAGTGCTGGGATTACAGGCGTGAGCCACCGCGCCCGGCCCTCCTACTTTATTTGTTGAACAGACAGTTATTAAACTGCCTCTTAAATAGTTATTAAACCTGTTATGTTCAAGCCTGGGAATACAAAGGCAAATTATATTGATTTCCTGTTTGGGAAAAAACTTGGGGGCCAATGATTGACATAGATAAATAAATCAGTGATTATAAGGGTAACAGAGATATGAAGGAACTGTTATGGGAGGAGGAACCCTCCATATTATCCCGGAGGACAACAAAGGCTTGCTGGTGCAGAAAGGTGACATTTTGAAGGATAACAAGGAATTGGACAAACAAGGAAGAACACATTCCAGGCAGGCAGAAGGTACACTAAGCATGTACAAAGATGCTGAGATCTTAAACAGCTTTAAACAGCTTGAGGTAGTGGAAGAAGCAGTGACAGTAAAAAAATGGGCCTCATCATGAAAGACCAAGTGCATCGATGATGTAAGAGGTGAAAGTGGCATTGCTTCTCCCTTCCATACCACCACCCAGCCACCAGGGGGCCATGACCTAGAGATTGCTGGAACATGAAGGACTCTGATGTTCTGGAGGAGGTGTTGCCATCTCTGATCCCTTTAAAGGAAGGACTAATAAAGATCTGTCGCTATAGCTGAAAAATAGCTGTGGACAGGGCAGACAAGTGGACAAGCAGAAGCGGAACAAAAGTTCCCGATAAATTCCCAAAGCAGTTAACTGTAGTAGAGGGAATTTACGTGACTTAACTGTAGAATTCTCCATAAGGGGAGCTGCTTCATGCAACTGCGTAAAATTTGTCCTTTTTTTTTTTTTTTTTTTTTTTTTTTTTTTTTTGAGATGGAATCTTGCTCTTGTCGCCCAGGCTGGAGTGCCTTGGCATGATCTCGGCTCACTGCGAACTCCGCCTCCCGGATTCAAGAGATTCTCCTGCCTCAGCCTCTCAAGTATCTGAGATTACAAGCGTCCACCACTACTCCCAGCTAATTTTTGTATTTTTAGTAGAGACAGGGTTTCACCATGTTGGCCAGGCTGGTCTCGAACTCCTGACCTCGTGATCCGCCCACCTCGGCCTCCCAAAGTGCTGGGATTACAGGCATGAGCCACCACACCTGGCAAAATTTCTCCTTTTTAAACTGTACCTACAGCTCTTTATCTTAGTGCAACTAAAGTTGATAAAGTCTTCATGATCCTTTGCAGCCTAGTTCAAGTTAAAACCAAGAGAGAAGAAAACAAAAGCAAATTAAGCCCATTCCTTTGCCAAGAAGAAGTGTTACTTGATTTTTATTTGCATCCTCAATGTTCCTTGGAAAATAACATGATGTTTGGCGATGTTCAAATGCCTGTTGACAATCCTCCGACATCATTTTCTGTTTCCATTGCCTCACTCAGCACAAGGGCTCTCATAAGCTTTCCAGTCAACGATGAAGCCCAGATGTTATGGATAAGCCACAGACTTTTGGGGGAAACTAAGCAAACACCAATAATAAATAATGCCTTGAGGACATACTACAGCTCCTCTCTAAGTATCGTGATGGTCAGGCTTCATCATTTCCCAAGCAGATTGCTTGGATTTTAATTTTGGCAGCAAATAACATGGAGCGTGTGGGTTTGTAAATGGTAGCTCTGTCCCAATAATTCCAGATGATGGGGCCATTCCAGCTTTCTTTAACTTAGAGATTTGAGCATGCATTGTGGTAGGTCTACTCACCGTATCTGTCTAGAATGATTCAGAGAGGCCACTCCTGGGCTGAGTTACTTCTCATACATATATATAATTGGAGGCCACATTAGCCTGCAGTATAACTTTGGAATTAAGATTTGCTCAAAACCAAGGCTGAGTTTGATTAATAGGTTGTAAGTTAGAAACTTCCTTTCTTGTGTTCTGATCCCAAATTCCTACTTTATATTGTGGCACCTATAAAATTGTCCTAGCTAAGGATGACTTGATGGTACCTAACGTGAGACTGGTTTATGGATGAAGTTCTTTGTGCTTACAGGGTTTTTTCCTGATAATTAACACTGGGATGAATCGCAAGACCCATCTTTGCAAAAGGCAGTTTCTTTTCTTATTTTTAGAGGATTGTTCCTGAAATGATTTTGTTCATGTTTTGGCTCCTGTAATATCTCTATTCATTTTTTTCATGGAATTTTTTCTTTGGGTCTTTTTCTTCATAATTTTTTTTTTTTGCCTTTCAGAAAACACAACACAAAACAAAAAAAAAGAAACAAATGGTTAAAATTCAAGGGATTGTTGTAGCTCTGAGGGTAAAACGTGCAGCCTGTTGGTGTCATTTGTTACTCATACAAACTCTTAGTATTTTATTTCTGTTGCAGCATTGGGGTTGCTATCTTTCTCATCATGAGTAATCTAGCATTCATGCTGCATTCTATTCATAGCTGTCATACTGTCTCTGACAGGGTGTTTTCAAAACTTTGATCTGCTTCCAGAAAAGACTTTTACATGGGTGATAGGATTTATGGAGGAAATTTTCAACTGAATACCAGGTATTACCTTCTTGGAAAGAGCAAAGCATCAAACGTGAATATCTCCTTTTTCTTCTTCCTCTCCTCTTCTTCCTCTTCATTTTAATTTTATCGAAGCTCAGTTTTTAGTAACTTTATGTTTCCTTTTTATTACTGTATCTTTGTACTCTTCAATAGCAGTGTCCAAGGGGTAGAAATTTGATTGTTGTGGTAGGGGAAGAAGCAGGAAAAACTACATATTTCAACAAAGGTTTGTCTGACTCTGAGCAAGTTATTGGGGTACAGACATGGATAAGACATAGTCTCTGTCCTTGGAAATTTCAGAACCTAGTAGGGAGACAGTTACATAAACAGAAAATATAACATAGGAAGGAATGAACAGGATATTCTAGAAATACCAAAGGCTCTGAAAGTAGGGTGATTTCTACTTTTAAAGAGGTAATTTAGGTTCTGAAATTAAATTCCTGAAAATAAGGGCCACCCTAGAACCTTACCATAACAAAATTAGCTACAGTTAGTTATGCTAATAGTAACCTCTTTCCTGTCTCGAGGAACTCCTTTTCTTTATTCCACAAAGAGCCTCACCTTCATGGAAGATCCAAAACAAGAAACTGTAAGTCTGGTTTTGACTGTTGGTCTTTTAAAGAAACTCTGTAATCGGCAAAGAATGGGTCCATTGCAGGAAGTTGTCCAACTGGATGTTAACTAGTCAGATAGCAGCCTTGCTGGGGTATAGCACAAGTTGGCCAATTCGCACTGGCACATAGCCTGGCCTCTTGGGTCTTCCTTGTAACTCAAATCACTTTGCAAGCCCTGGTAGTTTCACGAAAGTCAGATGTACCCTTAACTCTTACCCCATACACTCATCTATCCTGGAAAGAAAAAGTTGTTGGATCTTGGCCCACTACTCAGGAAAGTGTATTGACCACAGGTTGTATAGTTAAGTAACAGCATTTTGAGGAGGATGATAATGATAGTGATGATGGTGATGATGATGATAACAACATTGATGGTGCTGCTGTTGCTGGTGTGCTTAATGATAAGGATATGTGATTATAATAGGGTAGGAACTATATCTTATCCTTTTATACCTAGTATTTGGCGCAGAGTAGGGATTTCAGAAAGTTTGTTTGTTGTGGATGGAGTGAGCAGTTAGAGTTTCCCACTTAAAACCTGACACAGAGCATGCCATCCCACTTACTCAACACCCTCCAGTGAACTTCCGTTTCATCAGCATCACCCTGTGTTGACCTATGTATTCTGGCTCTCCTCTGATGTTACTCTGGTCTCATCTCTTATCACTCCCCAGAGACTGGCTTCTTTGTTTTTCTTCAAACACATGCACGTTCCCATGTGGAGGTCTCTGCGTACGCTCTTCCCTCTGCCTGGAATGCTTTCCCCCAAATATCACTGTGGCTCATTTTTGTTGTTGTTGTTTTTGAGATGGAGTCTTGCTCTGTTGCCCAGGCTGGAGTGCAGTGGCATGATCTTGGCTCACTGCAACCTCCACCTCCCAGGTTCAAGAGATTCTCCCACCTCAGCCTCCCCAGTAGCTGGGGGCCCACCACCACTCCTGGCTAATTTTTTTGTATTTTTAGTAGAAACGGGGTTTCACCATATTGGCCGGCTGGTCTCAAACTCCTGAATTCAAGTGATCTGCCCACCTTGGCCTCTCAAAGTGCTGGGATTACAGGTGTGAGCCACGACGCCCTGTCCCAATGTGGCTCACTTTTTAGCTTTCTCAGTTCTCTGCTTAAATGTCCGCTTCTCAGAGAGGCCTCCCCTGACCACTGTGCACCCCTCTCTCCCTCCCATGTCCCTTTATCCAGCTTTATTTTTCTTTGCAATATTTACGTATTAAGCATTATTTGTGTATTTGTGGCCTATCTCTGCTCACTCCATCTCGACTGAATCTAAGCTACATGAGGACTACCTCCTTTGTTTTCATCATAGGCATTTCCCTAGAACCTAGAACAGTGCATGGCATATAGGCATACCTCTGTAAATATTGTTGAATTAATTTGAAATGAGTTAATGAATTGCTTATACCATCAGAAGACACATTTCATGAACTGGCATGTATTTCAGGTATCTTTCTAGGTTTGTCTTTCTTATCACCCTCTTGGTTGTGTGAGCCCCTTCAGAACAGAGATCCTATCAGATGTGTTTTGTTGTCCCAAAAGGAGCCCAGCACAACCCCATTCACACAGTAGTTGTTCAGTAAATGCTTATTCATTGGTAGATTGTCTCAAAGGTTCCCACTTAGGAGTATTGCTTTTCTTTTTTGCTCTGCTTCACCACATTTTTCAGTCACTCTGTTTTCCTTCCTGCGTTTTGACACTTTATCAAACTGTACTTTTTCACTGTAGACATCTATGGGGGGAGAGATTATACAAGAGTATTTTTATTTCCACTCTCAAATACATGTGGTGGATTCAGGTTTAATTTTGTATTATTCATACCACTGCACCAAAGACCAACTACCAAGAAAACTGTAAAAACCAGAGAATATATTTTCTATTCTTGATGAAATAAAGGTTCTGTATGAGAAACCAAATTTCTAACTTCAAAAGATTTAATAGGTTGATTCTTTTTTAAAATTGACACATAATATTTGTTCATATTTAGGAGGTACATGTCATATTTTGTTACATGCATAGAGTGAGCAATGATTTAGTCAGGGTATTTAGGGTATCCATCACCTCGAGCATTTATGATCTCTATGTGTTGGGAATATTTCAAATCTTTTCTTCTAGCAGTTTTGAAATATACAATACATTGTGGTTAACTATGGTCACCGTACTCTGCTATCGAACCTTAGAACTTATTCTCTCTATCTAACTGTATGTTTGCACACATGAACCAACCTCTCTTCATCTCACCTCCACCCACACTTCCTAGGCTCTGGTTACTATTATTCTACTCTCTGCCTCCATAAAATACACTTTCTAAGCTCCCACATGTGAGTGAGAACATGTGGTATTTCTCTTTCCGTGCGTGGCATATTTCACTTAACACTATGACCTCCAGTTATATCCATGTTACTGCAAATGATGGGATTTCATTCTTTTTTTATGGTGGAATGGTATTCCATTGTGTATATTATACAGCACATTTTCTTTATCCATTCATTGAACAGGATGATTCTTAAAAGCAACTTCCAGCTGATTACATTTAGGCAAATACATTTAAACATTTGCTGTGGTTTTTAGCATGTTAGTAGCTTTTGAATATAGTACATTCTGCCTACTCAATGCCCTTGAAATGTCTTTCTGAAATAGTTAAATTCATGTTGGTATTCACACTGGACTCTGTATCACTGCCTCCCTTACCCAAAGGAGTTTGACTAGTTACTTGCTAGTTGAAACCAGCTTGGTACAAGCTGACACATTTTTCAAGAAATAGTTGTGTAATACATGTTGATATTCTTTGTTCTTCCTTTCCTTATTCATCCATTTGGCTCCTTTCTTCTTTCCCTGACTCTATTCCTTCCCCCTTGACTTTTTGGAAGCCATTATCGCTTTAGTAAACTTAATGGTGAATTGCTTCAAGAGTAAAAATGCTCTGCTTTTCAAATTAGAAAAGGACTATTTCCTGTATTCTTGGGGATCTCATTCTCTCATAGCTCTTATTTAAAACGTTCTGGCCAGGTGCAAGCACTCATGCCTGTAATCCCAGCAATTTGGGAGGCCGAGGCAGGCAGATTGCTTGAGTCCAGAAGTTCGAGAAAAGCCTGGGCAACATGGTGAGACCTCCTGTCTAAAAAAAAATACAAAAATTAGCTGGGCATGGTGGCGCACGCCTGTAGTTCCAGCTGCTCAGGAGGCTGAGGTCAGAGGATCGCTTGAGCCCAGGAGGTTGAGGCTACAGTGAGACATGATTGCAGCACTGCATTCCAGCCTGGGTGATAGAGTGACACCCTGTCTCAAAAAAAAAAAAAAAATGTTCTAAGCAACGATTTTGTTTATTTGTTCAAGATTGGATTTTCTACACATTTAAGCCTGATTTATCACAAATAAAGCACTTTCTCACAAAATATATTCTCAGCTAATTATTATTTTCATTAGTAGCACTGTCCTAACTTTATAACACATAAAGTTCCCCTGGTCTTGTTTTTAACGTCTTGACATATGTATACATTTTTGAATGACTAAATCAAGCTAATTAACATATGCATTACCTCACATACTTATCTTGTTTTGTGGTAAGAACACTTAATATCTACTCTCTTAGCTATTTTCAAGTGTACAATACACTGTTATTAACTGTGGTCACCATGTTGTACCATAGAGCTCTTGAACTTATTCCTCCTAACTGAAATTTTGTATCCTTTGACCAACATCTTCCAATCCTCCCTCTCCATCTCCAGCCCCTATCAACCACCATTCTACTCTCTGCTTCTATGAGTTTGCCTTTTTTAGATTTCACATATAAATTGATATCATATGGCATTTGTCGTTCTGTGCCTGGTTTGTTTCACTAAACATAATGAATTCCAGGTTCATCTGTGTTGTTGCAAATGGTAGGATTTCTTTCTTTTTTAAGGCTGAACAGTATGCCATTGTGTGTGTGTGTGTGTGTGTGTCTATATATATATATATATATATATATATATATATATATATATATATGGCACATTTTCTTTATCAGTTCATCCACTGATGGAACTTTAGGTTGATTCCATATCTTGGCTCTCGTGAATACTACCACAGTGAACATGGGAGTGCAGATATTTGACATGCTGATTTCATTTCCTTTGGATATATACTCAGTAGTGGGATTGCTGGATTATATGGTAGTTCTATTTCTAATTTATTGAGGAACTTCCATACTGTTTTCCATATTGGCTGTTCAAAGTTACATTCTCACCAATAGTGTACCAGGCTTCCTTTGTCTCCACATCCTCTCCAGCACTTCTTATGTTTCATATTTTTGATAACCATTCTAACAGGTGTGAGGTGATGTCTCATTGTAGTTTTGATTTGCATTTCTCTGATGACTAGTTATATTGAGTATGTTTTTCATATATTGAAAAAAATATTGACCATTTGATGTTTTCTTTTGAGAAATGCCAATTCAGGTATTTTGCCCATGTTTTAAATGGGTTGTTTATTTTCTTACTATTGAGTTGTTTTAGTTCCTTATACCTTTTCTAGGTTTTTGTTTCATCTATGCTGTCTTCTCGTACAGCTCATTGTATTTGTTTGCTAAGGCTGCTGTAATGAAGCAGCACAAACTGAGTGGCTTAAACAAATGTATTGATCCACAGTTCTGGAGGTTAGAAGTCTTAGATCAAGGTGTCAGCAAGGTTGGTTCCTTCTGAAGGCTGTGGGGGAGAATCTATTCTAAGTCTCTCTCCTAGTTTTAATGGTTTGCTGGCAATCTTTGGCATCATTTAGCTTGTAGATGCATCACCCTAATCTCTACCTTCATCTTCACATGGCATTCTTTCTATGTGTGTATCTCTCTGTCTGTCCAAACTTCCCTATTTCACAAGGACACCAGACATATTGGATTAGGACCCACTCTAATGACATCATTTTAACTTGATTACTTCTGTTTATTCCCTATCTCCACATAAGGTCACATTTCAAAGTAGTGGGGGTAAGGACTCCAACATATCTTTTTTTTGGAGACACAATTCATCCCATAACACTCATCTTCTGAAATGTCAAACTCTGGAGTTAGTAAAACCAACAAAAGTGTTCATTGCAGCATTATTAACATGGGTTAATAATGGGTTCTCTGGTTTATCAAATGTTTAACTTTGACTCTTTAGATATAGTAAAACTTTAACTGAGTAGGGTGAGAGGTTCTAACAGATGGAATTTTCTAATTTGCTGGCAATTAGCCTGTAGATGACTATGCGAGATGTCAGCTCTGGTTCCTTCAGTAGAATATACATAATAGAAATTTTGATGATTAACAATCCTTCTATTTAGTATTCATCCTAACCTCAGACTCTTCATTTCATTTCATGAGCCTGCCTACCCATTATGGCAAAGTGAAGACACTGTGATGTTGTCCATGACATTTATGTTGTTCCCAAGTCACCCTTGTGTTGTCCATGACTTTTATCTCACTCCTTTCTTCCTTGTTCTAACCACTCCTCCAGTTCCCGAATCTTGCTTCTCTCCCCTACTTTTGTACATTTGTATTTGTTCTGTAGATTTTTTTACTCAATGCCCCCTAAAGAATTTATCTTAGATATGCTCTACTGGCTGTTCCTGATTCAAATCAAACTGATGAATGGGCCATCCTAACTAGTCCTTTTGACATCAGTCACCACACCAATGAGTCCACTCACCAGCACACAAACTGGGCCCCCTTAGTTTATCCACAAAGTGGAGAATTTGACAAGATAATATACTGTCCTCTCATGATATGTATTGTGAGATGCCCTCTTAAGAGACTTTCCAAGTGGCTAGTCTCTACCTCATCTGATTACATTAACATGCAGTTATTCCAATGATCTTCCTAATGTGTAATTCTGAAAAGCAACTTGCATTCAAAATCCATCAAGGCCCCTCCCTCCATTGCCCATTCAATGAATGCATTCTTCAGACTGACATCTTACCTTCACATACCTACCTACTAGAGCTCCAAACAAGTAGTTCTCAGCCTTGGTTGACATTGAATTACCTCAGGAGATTTAGAAACTAAAGATGCCTGAGCCACACCCAAGATAATCTAATTTAATTGGTCTGGAGTGTGGTCTATGCATCAGGATTTTTAAAAGTTCCAATATTCAGTCAGGGTTGAGAACTACTTGTTTAGAGCAACATGTCTCCAATCTTAATGTGTGCAGTAATTGTCTTATTCAAATACACATTCTTATTCAGCAGGTCTGGGGCCAGCCAAGGTTCCTGTATTTTTTATAACCAGTGATTTTTTTGGTCCACACTTTGCATAACAGGGTGATAAACGGAGCTCTGTCAGGTCCGGGACCACATTTTTCTCATCTTTCTGTCTCTAAAGTATAGTGTAGAAGCTCTTAGCAAATGTTTGAAATCAAATTAAATTACAGCCTTTCCCCAACTTTCCAACCTTTTTCTCTGCATATTGAAGTCCATATAAGCATAGGCTTATCTCTTTTTGAAGCCTATCCCTAGCCACAACCAGAAGGCCAATGTTTTTTACTCATTCATTCAACCAACATTTTCTAAGTGCCCTTTATGGCCTGTTACCAAGCATTCTGTAGATAATAAAATGTAATTTCCACCTCAAATTTGCATGCCCTAACAGGGGATTATCCTCTTGGTGTGTGCTTCACAGATTACCAGTGCTACACAACCAGGTGTTTTGTTTTAATATGCTTTACCTTCGTAAAATACAAAGTTCAACACTTGGGTGTCTCTGCAATGTCAAGTTGCTATAAACGTTTCTAAACAGTGCTCTCAAATTCTCTCCTTGTAAAATGGCAGTAAGTAATTTTCAGATCATGTTGGTTCATGGACTACACTTTGAGTACTGCTTTTTCAGGGCCTTTCCAGACAAAGTGGAGTCTGTAGACCAGCAGCATCAGCATCCTTGAAAGCTTCTGAGAAATGCAGAAGCTTGGATCTCATCACAGGCCTACTGAATCAGAATCTGCATTTCTAGGTGATTTGTGTGCACATTACAGACTGAGAAGCACAGCTCCAGGGCAGTGGCTCTAAACCTTGGCTGCATATTAGATTCACCCCTGGGGCTTCTAAAAATTCTGCTTTCCTTCTTTTGAGAATTGTCTATTCAGATCCTATTTGTTTTTGTTGTTGTTGAGTTGAGCTCTTTTTATATCGTGGATGTTAGTCCTTCATTGGATGAATAGTTTGCAAGTATTTTATCCCATTCTACAGGTTGTCTCTTCACTCTGTTGATTGTTTCCCTTGCTGTGAAGAGGCTTTTTAGTTTATTATAGTTCCCTTAGCCTGTTTTTGTTTCTGTTGCCTCTGTTTTTGATGTCTTAGCCATACAATTTTTATGGAATTACTTAAGGCTAATAGAATTAGCTGAAAGTAGTTTCCAAATGTGCATCTCTACCCCTTGCTTTGCAACCTTCTGAAAACCAGACAATACTCTGATGTAATTTGGGAAAGAAGATATATTAGTTTAGGCCTAACGTCTTAATGTCCTGAAGAACTTCCCTGTGTTTTCTTCTAGTAGTTTTATGGTTTTGGATCTTATGTTTAACTATTCAATGCATTTTGAGTTTATTTTTGTATATGGTGATAAATAGGGGTCTAGTTTTATTCTTCTACATATATAGTACATATACACAATAAAATGCTTTTCAGCCGGCTGGGCACAGTGGCTCATGCCCGTAATTCCAGCACTTTGGGAGGCTGAGGCAGGTGGATCACCTGAGGTCAGGAGTTTGAGACCAGCCTGGTCAACATGGTGAAACCCCGTCTCCACTAAAAATACAAAAATTAGCTGGGTGTGGTGGTGCATGCCTGTAATCCCAGCTACTCGGGAGGCTGAGGCAGGAGAATCACTTGAACCCGGGAGGCAGAGGTTGCAGTGAGCTGAGATCACGTCGCTGCACTACAGCCTAGAGTGAGACTCTATCTCAATAAAAAAAAAAAAGAAATACTTTTCAGCCATAAGAAAGTGAAATTCTGTCTTTCTTGGCAATACGGATGAGCCTGGCTGACATTATGTTAAGCAAGATAAGTCAGACACAACAAGATAAATACTGGATGTTCTCACTCAGATGTGGCAGCTAAAAAAATTTTGAGCCAAAGGAAGTAAAGAGTAGAATTGTGGGTATTAGAGGTAGAGAAGGTCAGAAGGGAGGGGAGGATGGGGAGAGACTGGTTAATGAATACAAACTTACATCTAGATAGGAGGAATTAGTTCTGGTGTTCTAGCACTGTAGGGTGAATATGGTTGACTATAACTTATTGTATATGTCAAAAAACTAGGAGAGAGGATTTTGAATGTTCACAACACAAACGATAAATGTTTGAGGCAGGAGATATGCTAATTACCTTGATTTGATCATTACACATTGTATATATTATAAAAATACTCTGTATCCCATAAATATGTAGAATTGTTACATGTCAACTAAACACAAAAGGAAAAATAATTCTGCTGCACAAGCTATGTCCCAATGAATTAAACTAAAAATCTCTGGGGGTGGTCCCCAGTCATCAGTATTTTTTTTTTTACAGCTCTCCAGGTGACTCTAGCATGCAGCCCAGAGTGGGAACCAGCACTAAGTCAGCCCAGTGTCCATAGAGTCCCAGAAAGTGGCCAGCCATTGCTCTAACCTTCAAATCAGCTCAGGTTCTCAGATACTCATTTATTACTCCATTCCCTTCACTTAGGAAACTCAGGACCACAGCTAAGGTATTCCTTAGGGGGTATTTAAAGAGGACTGCTTAGATCAGTGGTTCCTCACCTTTTGTTCCACAGCAGTTCCTGAAATTGGATGGGTGCATCTTTAAAGTGCAGTTGCAGGGCCTGTGCCTTTTTTATTGAGGTGGAGCAATTATTGTGACCCTGTTCTGCTCAGTAAGACATAAAGAAAATATGCTGGGTGGCTTTCTCCCTGAGAGAGGAGCACAGAAATAGAAATATTATTAGAAACAGAATTAGAAATAGATAGAGGTCCACTTCATGACTGCTCAACTGGACTTTTTAGGGTCTCAATTTCTACTTGTGTAAGCTCAGATTGCTCAGTGGGCCAATTAGTGAATCCCAGAGAAGGGACTAGAGAACAGACCTCGTTTGGAAATACTCTATTATCGTATTTCAAATGTGGGCCATGGACTAGCAACATCAGCACCATCTAGGAGATAATTAGAAATGCAGAATCTCAGGCCCCAACCAGATCTGTGAAATCAACAATGTTCCCAAGTGATCGCTATGCACATTCAAATTTAAGAAGTGGTGGTCTCTAAGAGGCAGAATATATTTTTTCTCAAACTACTTTTCAGTTCCCCTGTTTTCCTTCTGCTGTCATGGAAGATGAGCTTGCCACAAAGGGAAGCTATGAAGAATCTAGCACATTCTTCCCTTGGAAATTCAAACACCCATTTCCACACTGCAGTGGAAGTGTTGTGACATGTTCTATTGGAAAACCACTACCTACATGCCATCATATGGAGCCATAAACTATTTTTAGGTTTTCTGGACAGGCCAAAGATTCTGCTGCCCAAATGATTCCAAAGAACGTGAGGCTGATGTGTCTCAGATTTTCTTGTAATTCTTGCATTTCTAAAAATATCTTGGGTGTTTGATGTTGAGTTCAGCCCTGTTTTACTAACAAGCGAAGCCTTTGTATTTACTGTCTCATTTGGTAGGTTATTTTCTCCCTTTTTATTTCCAGTGACATGTCATGTTTCCTGATACTGATTTATCAGAGAAGTAGAACAAGAAATTGATTCAACATGCATAATATTTTATTGAATGACCATCTCCATGTAAAATTTTTCTTGGAGTTTGAAGTGGGGAAGAATGTTGGATATAGACCTGGAAAAGAGAAGGTATGGTGGAAGTTCAAGTTTCCTCATTTTTGTTAGAGGAGTTTGAAAGCTGCCAGCAAGTGTTTAACAAATAAGAAGGCAGCCACCTGAGATAGTCTATTGAGATAGGAAGAGTGATTGTAGAAGACAAACAGCAACCCATGGTCCTTCAAAGAAAAAAAATGGCATGGGCAGGAATTACTTAAGTCTAATAGAATTAGCTGAAAGTAGTTTCCAAATGTACATCTTTACCCCTTGCTTTGCAACCTTCTGAAAACCAGAGAACACTCTGATGGAATTTGGGAAAGAAGATATGTGAGTTTAGGCTTAATACTTTCCTAGTCTTTATTATTATATTTTACAGGAATTTCATAATATATATTTTAAAGATTCTTACTACCATGATTAAATTCTGCCCAGTATGATGATCAAAAAGGGCTTACTGAATGGAGAAAGACATTTGTGTAACACCTAGCAGTCATTTATTGCAAAGCCAATAAGCGCCAGGCATTAGGGATATAGGTATAAATAATGTCCCAGCATAAAAGGCAAATATATATTTATTTGCCAAATATATATATATATATGTTTTACTTTATACATATTTTTCAGGAGTTCACAGAAAACAATGAAATAACCCTTAAATCATAGTTCATTTCTTAATTTTCCCAGTAGGAGAAGGCTCATTTTTCATGTTTTTCTTTATTATTTTGAAGGCAGGACTTCAAAAAGGAATAAAAACAGAAGGTCAATTGCAGGGCAAATCACAGCGGCTCCGTTCTTGCATATCCAGATGGGCATCACCCTCGTTTACCTTCCTAAATTGGGAAGCTTTACATCCTTTCACAAAAACATGATCCATAATTATTTTGTTGCAGTTCACTTTTTTAAACTGGTAGAAAGCATGCTGTTAATGTGATAGTAAGTACTTACTCTGTGAATAATAAAATTATTAACATTTCAAGCCTGCATTTTGGGGAGTTACCTTGAGCCCACATTGTGCCACTCTTAAACACATCAGTGCATGCAGTCTTTGGGGCAGCTCCCTGAACTAACTCTCTTGTTGTCATTTTAGAGATGTTGAGATTAAGGTTTAGGGTATAGTTTTCTCCAAATCTCAGCTATAAATAAAGGATAGAGTGAGGATGTCTGCCTGACTTCTATGCTTAAGCTTCTAAATGTTGCCTTGCATGCTGTCTGTTTTGTGATCTGAGAGTCATAGTTTATCTGCTATTTTGAAGCACAAATTATTTTTTTTAAGAAAGCCTGATAGCTTTATCTGAGAGGATTAGCTCCTACTATGCAAAACCTTGAAGGGAATAAATTATGGGAATAAACTAGACAGCTACCTGAATGTTTGTATTTTAGATTTCAAGGTTATTGAAAGTACTAGAGATATACCTCAGTCTAATGTTTGCAAATAAGAAGCACAATATCTCCTTGAAGTCAAGATTTTTGAAAGGCGTTATTACTTGGTAAATTAAACATTAGCTTGCCAAATAGATTTTTTCTTATTCTGGAGAATTACATAATAGAATCATGGGTATTTTGTACTTGCCAAGAATCACTTCTTGTACCATGTAGAACACTCCTGACTCCCTGCCCCTCATCATTGTATAGCTGAAAAAATCAGAGAAGGAAAGGCACATGCCCCAGGTCACACAACTTGCTGGTGTCTGAAATGAGTGAAACCTGAGAGGTTGTCTAGTCCACACTGCAATGGATCTCCAGCTGAACGTTAAACATAATTATGAACTATCTACATATTTTTTGTAGGAAGTTTCAGAGTGATGAGATCATTTCTTCAAAGGTTTTGTTTGTTTGTTTGAGATAATGTTTTAATTTCTGACAAATAGCGTTGGCCCTATTAGAAGACTTGCGTTATGTAAGTCTAGCATAAAATATTTATCATATCCTTCATTTGCTAAAATGTTTGATCTTCTTACCACTGCATCAAAACAGGCTGGGTTCTGAAAGGCTGATGGAGAGTCAATTTATTCGCAAGAAAGAAATCACACGATTCAAGTGACCCAAGATGTCAGTGTGAAATTAAATTCCACCAGAGAACTGATGATACTGAGATTGACCCTTGCTTGAAACAAATAAGATGAACCATGAAGTGAACCTCATTCCAAACATGGCATCAACAAACATAAATGAAGACCTAAAAAGTGACTTGTTTTGGGTGCCAGATTTTTCAACCTCAAAACTGAAGTGGTTGTGAAGCCAATTTCAAAATGACAGGCATAACCCAACCTTTAGGGTTTATTGGAAACTTGATTATGTTCTTAAGGCCTCTCAGATTTTTGGCATGGTTTAAACATTTGCCTCTCTGTCCTACATATGATAAATCTGTGGCTTTTGGCTAAAGTCTGGCCTGTGGAACTTTACCCATGTGTGAATCTCAAGCTTTCAAACATGTTGCATTCTTCTAAATAAACATTGGGCCACTAGGCATCTGCTGTTAATGTAGATCCTGTAGTCATGCATTGTTTTTTATCATTTCATTCATTATTTCTCTTCATCTTTTACTGAGCATTATCCATTACATGGGCAACATACCTTTCACATGTTCTGTGTTTCGCTTTCCGTGTGTCATGATTATCCCAAATGCCTAAAAACAATTGAACCAGCCTAGATATAAGAAAGGGGGCCATAGGGAGCCTTAAGAGTGAAGATACCTTCTAAATAATCAAAAGTTGAATTACACTTGATATGGCTTTAGCATTAAGTCAATTTCCTTGTACACTTGTTCTTACAAAATTGGGTAATCAATCTATAACAAGTATCTGTTCTTAATGCCTTGCTGTGTTACTCAGAGAATCTTGACTTTAACAGAATATTTTAAAAATTCAGCAAATTAACAAAATAAGCACTAGAATGTAAAACTCTTTCTGTCCCTCTTTCTACACACACATACATACACATTTGCAGTTGTTTACAAGGTGTCTGGGCTATGCACATCGCATGCTGTTTAGGAGTATAGGCTTTAGAGTCAGACAGTCTCGGGTCCAAACTCAGCTTTGTCTAGTGGCAATGTCACTTGTTGCCACTGGCAGGTTCCCATCCTCATGAAAGCAACCAAGAGGGGAGGATAATACTTACCTTTTGGAGTTTTTATGGTCTCAGTGAGCTAATTTCAGCAAAATACCTTTGCATTGTCTAAACTGGGGTCTCTCAACTTCAGCACTATTGACATTAGGAACTGGATAATTCTTTGTGGTGGTGGTGGTGGCTGTTGCATGCATTGAAGATGTTTAGCAGCATCCATGGCCTCCAACCACTAGATGCCAGTAGCATGCTCCTCCCCTCTGAATTGTGACAACTAAAAATGTCCCATGACATTGCCGAATGTCCCCTGTTGGGCAAAATTGCCCCTGGTTGAGAACTATTGTTCTAAAATTATACAAAATAACCTCTTTTTGCTAAAGCAAAATAATTGTTAGACATTCTAAGACTCAGAAGAGAAGGAAACTTGAAATGAATCAAGCCACTAAGGACATTTGAACTGAGAGGTTACATAGAACAGAAGCTCTAAGGGGACCCCAAGCATCCCCATCTAAATTTCCTTCTCTCCTAAAGTTCCATTGGTATCTGCAATAAATCAACATTTTTTGTAAAATCCACTTGCTCCATTTCTCAAATCATTGCTTCATCTCTCATTTGTGAAGCTATTGTGTTTGATTACTCCCAAATACAATTTTTTTTCCTACCCAAAGGAGACCCTTCCCACTCTGCATCCTAAAGTGTCTGGGTGTCGACTCATGGTCAGTAAGGTGGTTGCTATGTAGATTAATGTGCGCTAGCTGATATTTTGGTTTGCTCTCCTGGCCTATTTTGTCAAGCTTGGAGGGTTTTCTAACTTTGCAACTTGGACTCACAGACTCCTAGCCTCAAAGAAATATTTTCACACCAGCCTTAAGTTCACATCCAAGATGTGACAGATTGTGTGTTCTTGGGGTGGAAGTGAGAGGGAAGGGGAATAAATAAACCCATTTTTAGGAAGTATAGTCAGCACTTACGCCCTTCCATCATGCCTTTCTGAAGGCATTGCCTCAAACCCAGACTTGAAGTTGAGCATACTGCTTAAATTAGGGGATTGGGGCAGGGGCATGGGCATGATCTACCCATAAACCATAGATGGTTTCTTCCACCCCCGCATTCTCCCTCTTCTGACTCTATTGACCACTCCCTCTCCCCACCAATTCTCTCTTTTTATTTTCTTGGCACCAGAAAATCTTTTTTTTTTCTTTTTATCGAGGTGGTGTCTCACTTTGTCACCCAGGCTGGAGTGCAGTGGCGCGATCTCGGCTCACTGCCAACCTCTGCCACCCGAGTTCAAGCAATTCTCCTGCCTCAGCCTCCGGAGTAGCTGGGATTACAGGCACCCACCACCACACCTGGCTAATTGTTTTGAATTTTTTGTAGAGATGGGGTTTCACCATGTTGGTCAGGCTGTTTTCAAACCCCTGACCTCAGGTGATCTGCCCACCTCAGCTGGCCTCCCAAAGTGCTGGGATTACAGGTGTGAGCCACTGCACCCAGCTGGAAATCTTAAGATTTAATTGTCTTCCAGTGAATGAGCTGAGAGAAATAGGATTTATTTAACCAGAGTTGTCTTCTCCTCTTGGGAGTGAGAAAAAAAAAAAAAAAAAGTAGGGCTTTGCCTAACCATTATTTACAGCTGTAGAAAACCAAATGCACAGTCTAAATCTAAGTAAGGAAAAACACAAACACAACCTTAGAAGATAGAAATCATTCACAAAAAGCTCTGCATTTGTATTTCAGTATGTGATGTTATATGCTTTCAGTCCAGTTCAACTGACATTTTGAAACCAAACGCTTATACAGTGTTTGCAGTGATTTTAAAAATATTAATCAATGTTATCCTCATATCAATCCTATGTAGTTGTTATTATTACTATTATCCCCATTTCACAGATAAGGAAATTGAGGCATAGATAAGTAACTTGCCTAAGGTATGCAGCTAGTAGTGGTGGCTCTAGGATTTCACATTTATTGAGCAATCAGTAAATGTGCTCAGTCTTGGGCAACAAAGACAAGTAAGAAGCCAAGCAGTTTTGTGGGGAAGACCTCTGAATGGTTAATCCTGTGATGGAGTGGTGAGTGCTATGTTAACTGCTGGATTAATTAAGCCTTTTTAATTTCTATATTTCTGATCATTTGATATCCAGAGCCTTGCTGATCCTGAAGGGACTGCCCCTCCCCTGGGAGAGCTAGCTAATTCCTAGGGATGGTAAACAACTCACTTGGAATTATACCTTTCCTATGTGGACCAACCAATCCAGAGCCCATACCCCAACCACCTCATTTATTGGGCTCTCACAGGGCTCTCAAACCCTTGCCCTAATCACCCCAGGCCAGGTACCAGACACTAGAGATGGACCCTACACCCCAGAGTCCACTTAAATTATTCAAGCTAGCCAATCCTAAGCCTGCTAGCCCTGCCTCACCCATTCCTTTCCACACAAACCACAATAAAGGCTCTTGCCCATGTTTTCTCCTTGCTTCCTCTTTCCCCTGACCAGCCCTGGTGCTTCCCCATGTGGCCCTATGTGGTGTGGCATGCCTCTCCTCTTGGGAACTGTGTGTAACAAGCTGTTTTCCCAAAGGCAATTGTCTACTGATCTGTTAGCCCCACTATACCTGAATAATAACAAAACTTACATTTAGAAACATTTGCGTGCCTGTGGAGCCCCATGCAGGCACTCAGGAGACAAGTACAGCTGGACGCTGTTTTCAAGCTGCTCACAGCTGTGCTGTACTGGGCCACAAAATGCAATTCTTCTGCCATGGTTGGTGCACAGCAGCTGTTTGGCTCCCCACTGGCCTGGTCTGTGTAAGTGTAACAGATGACTTCCATGCCGTTCTTAAATTACAGCCCAGAGAAATCAGTTGGTTTAAATAGTCTCACTTATGGACTACTTCCAACGCCCTATGATTGCTTTGTCCCTTCTTTATTTGAAGGTTCACCATGTTCTTCTTTACAGAAGTACACTATGTTCTTCTATAGAATTTTCTGCATATTCTCTCAAGCCTTCTTGGTGCCAATAAGCCATCTTCAACAATGAAAGCCACTGGTGGCTGCTGGGTAGGAGTTGGTCACCTTTGGAGATCCCAAAGAGGGATCTAAGACTCTCTCAAGCTGGGGGGACATCAAAATGACCAGCTATTTGGCCAAGGAAAGACAGTTATCTGTCCTATGGGTAATTTTGCTTGTGGAACTCTGCTCTCTACCCCAAAGGTGACCATTTGCCATGATTATTGAAAAGAGGATTCCAGATCTGGGCGAACAAATGAAATTTGAGGTTTCTTATAGCATGGGACCCCCTCCTCCTCCTATTAGCTGCTCTGTAAAGCTGAAGTATTGCTCCTCATGGTAACTTTTCTTATTTAAACCTTTTCAATATTGCACTTGTTGAGGTTTTTTTTTTTTTTTCTTTTCCTTTTTTTCTTTTTTGACAGAGTCTTGCTCTGTCACCCAGGCTAGAGTGCAGTGGCGTGATCTCGGCTCACTGCAACCTCCACCTTCTGAGTTCAAGTGATTCTCCTGCCTCAGCCTCCTGAGTAGCTGGGATTACAGGTGCCTGCCACCATGCCTGGCTAATTTTTGTATTTTTAGTACAGACGGGGTTTCACCATCTTGGCCAGGCTGGTCTTGAACTCCTGACCTCATGATCCGCCTACCTCGGCCTCCCTAAGTGCTGAGATTACAGGCATGAGCCACCGTACCCAGCCTGAGGTTTGTTTTGTTTTGTTTTGTTTTGTTTCACTTTTTGTCCCTGGATAACCAATGAGATTAGGGGCTTATTAATCTCCTCTGGCTAGTTATCTCCATTAAGCTTATTGATTTTCATTCTAAATAGGTTCAAAAGAGCTGTTTATAGACTTAACTAAAGGCTTAATGGCTGGCGATTTGGAGGTCTGTATCCTTTGCCAGAGTGAGGATAAAGTCACATTCCTTTTTCTATTCCCAACCCCTCCTAAAACAGTGGGAGGCCGTAGTTAGGCACTCCACTAACATTTATTGAATGTGGGTATTTTCTGATGTTGGATCGCTTAGGCTAGTTCAGAAGTGGGAGCTGTGGTCTGGGTCTCTGTGAAACATCTCCTGAGAGGATGAGAAAAAGCTGTTTACTCTCGAGTGTCTGAGTTTATGCCCATGTGGATGGTTAGCGGGTCTGTCATTCAGCAGGGTAGGCAACTCTGCAGAATGCCATGGAAATTACCTTTCTTGAAATCCATGGAACAATTTTAAGTTGAAATCACAGTAATGAAACAAAGCTGTTATGGGGATGGTGTCAAGAAAGTTCAGTCATATTCCAAAGTCCTCTCAATTTGCATTTGAAGGGTGGTGCATTAATTGTCTCAATGGCTCATTTCTCAGACAGTTGAATGATAAATTGTTAGAACTATAGCAGTGGTTCTCAACCAAGAAAGATATTGCATTGTCTGGAGACATTTTTGATTGTCATAACTTGGGGAATGTTACTATAGTAACACCTAGTGGGTAGAGGCCAGGGATGCTGTTGAACATTTTAAAAGGCACACAGTGGGCCAGGCACAGTGGCTCATGCCTGTAATCCCATCACTTTGGGAGGCCGAGGCGGGTGGATTGCTTGAGGCCAGGAGTTCCAGACCAGCCTGGCCAATATGGAGAAACACCATCTCTACTAAAAATACAAAAAAATTAGCCACGCGTGGTGGCACACACCTGTAGTCCCACCTACTTGGGAGGCTGAGACGTGAGAATCCCTTGAACCCAGGAGGCAGAGGTTGCAGTGAATTGAGATCACGCCACTGCAGCTGCACTCCAGCCTGGGTGACAGAACGATACCCTGTCTCAAAAAAAAAAAAAAAAACCACACACACACACACACACAGTGGTCCCCACAATAAAAAGTTTTCTGGCCCCAAATGTCAATAGTGCCAAGGTTGAGAAATCTTGATCTTTATTAATCTAACATCTGGATTAGTTTCAATTAATCTATGCTGAAAAAATAAGTGTTCAGAATCTAAGAAATGGAGAAAATGATTAATTAAAAATGAAGTACCTTAATATTTTTAAAATTAGAAGCATTTAGACATTCAGTATTTGGTTTTTATTGTACACATTATAGGAGTTAATTCTTTATTAAATTGAGAAAAAAATTATAAAAATATTGAGTTCTTCCTGAAATCTGCATAAAGAAAAGAGCCATTCTGGGTCTTCTCTGTGAGTAATTGAATTTTTGGGGTACAGCTTGTGTTAGTTACTCTTCTCCTAAAGATACATTTTATAGACAGGTGCTCAGCCATAAAGGGCCAGGAAAATCAAAGAAAATATAATTTAAGGTCTTAAAGTCCCTTTTTATTATCAGATTTCACTGAGTGTGGGCACATGAAACATGAGTCCATGATCTTCTGATAGTTTCAGATGTCTCAGATTAGAAGATGGAAATGACTGATTGTTTTTCTCAAATGATCTCTAAGATCAATGAGCCAGTCCAATGTACATATTCAATATTTAAAAAGATCAAAAGTTGCTGTTATCATGATATAGTTGATTTTTGTTTCTCTTGTTTGTACACTTTGGGCCATAGAGAAGCTATAAGAGACAACTCTGTATCTTTTAGAAATGAGCATATATTTACAAGGAGAAAAGCCTTTTTATGTCACAAAGGATACTAGTATATTTATCAATTTCTAGGCCTTTAAAGTGATGTCTTTAGTCCTGCAGTTTTCAAAGTATGGTCTGAGGAACTATTGGGTTTTTTTTTTTATTCCCAGGAGTTCCTTGAGGTCAAAATTATTTTAATAATAATATGAAGATATTGTTTGTGTTTTTTAATTCTCATTCTCTCAAGAGTGTGCCATAAGAGTTTTCCAGAGACCACATGGTGTGCAATGAATATCATGCTGATAGCTAATAGAATGTGTTCTTGTGTTTTAAAACTTTCTCAGTTTTAATTCCTAATTCAATAAATAGCAATAGATAAAACTCACATAAACACAAGCTTTTGGAACTTCCAATAATTTATGAGTGTAACGGGGTCCTGAGACCAGAAAGTTATGAGAACTACTGCTTTAGTGATTGACAGAGAAAATGAATCAAGTTGAACAAAAGTTCAGAACTTGGGATATTTCAAATACCATGGCTAATAACATAAGCCAGCATCATCTTTTATTGCTTTGTAGATATTAGAGACACGAAAAACCCTTGGATTCTGTGCCAGAGCTTAAAAGAACTAGAAGCAATTGTTTCTGAGTTCTTGTTTCAAATCCAGTGTCTGATTTGGAGTTGTGTAATCTCTGTGCCGTTGACATTTTGGGCAGGGTAATTCTTTGCTGAGAGGAGCTGTCCTGTGCATTGTAGAATGTTCACAACAACCTTGGTCTCTGCCCACTTGATACCAGTAGGAACCTCAGTTGCAACAACTAAAAATGTCTCAAGACATTGCCACATGTTCCCTGGCTGGCAAGTCACCCAGTTGAGAACCACTGTCTCTTAAGGCAAAGTATCTGTTGTCGCGACAGGACGTTTCTGATTCCCTCTCATTGTTTAGAATTTATTCACATAGCCATTCCTAATTGTAAATAGGCTGGGTTATCTAATATTTATTCTAGATGGGTATATGCCAGCTAAAATTGGATGTTGTATTACTGTGACAGAAGAAGAGAACAAGTATTGAGGGACAGCTCCCAGTTTTCATCATGTGTGGAAAGAGAATCTATGCTTGAAATATTTGTGATGGTGATAGCACATTCTATCAAGTCTAGGAAAACAAGTCACTGGATTTTACTGAAGTATTTAGGTGTAAAAAATTGAAGGCCCTTCCGTGAAAAAGTTCTAATTGGTAATTTCATTTTATGCAAACCCCTATTATGTTATTATTTGAGAGAGTTCAAGCGTACTTTTTATCCTTGGTAAATATTACACAGTAAAAAATTCAAATATCAGAGACAATACAAAAATAATTGTACAGGCTCTTTGCTTTCTTTAGTTACGTTTTTGTCCAGAAATATGTTTTTGTGCATATTTTCATACCACAAGTTAAATTATTTTTCAACTTTCATTAAGGTTTTATCGTCTCTCTTGATGGTGATTGTTCACAAAGAAACAAAATATTTATCTATTAAACAGAGTGTGATTTGCATGAGGTTCTCCCAGAAGTAGCACCTGAGTCAAGGATTCACATTCAAGGAGTTTATTTGGAGAATAAAAGTAGAGGAGCGGAGGTGTGAGACAGAGAAGGGAGGAATCCAATAACAGGTGTACTGTTGAGCACATTTCCACTTTAGGAGATGGGCTGCAATCCCATTAGGGAACCCTATAAGCCAGTATAGAATACAACTCAGAGTTATCCCACCCAACGGACAAGGACACTGAGGTATTTATCCTCCAAATCTCAGCTGCTGTTGGCTCAGGGCAACATCCAGGGGCATTAGGTCCCTGGCACTTCTGGCTTTCCTTTTTTTCCCTAGTCAAGAGAAAGCTTATAGGCAGAGAGCTGCTTATGTGTGAAGCTGGATGTCATGGGATGTCCTGAAGCAGCGAGTGCTGAGAGGACATGATGGGGTACCTACAGCATCTATTCCACCCTCTACACTGGTTGGTTGGCTTGGCTCACTCACCAGCCTCTGGCCCACCAGCCTTGCTCTATGTTATGTTGTGGGCTTACTAAGGTCAGATAGGCAAAGGAAAATGAGCTGAAGCTGGACCTCAAAAGGATGCTGACAAAAATCCTTGCATGATGAATAAATGGTGAATGAACTTCATCAATGTGATGGTCAGGAAAACATAAACATTAACAAAAATATGAAGCTAGTTTTCAGGAGCCATAGCAATATAGTTTTAAATTCCAACCCAAAGGATATCTGCAGAGCAACAATGGGAAATGGAATTTTTTGCTGTTGTTTGCTTTGAACATATCACAGATTCCTCTTCTCTAGGATGTTAATCAGGGCCATCTTGGATCGTACTTACTGTCAGATGTAAGCCAGGCCACTGTTAATGAGAGACTGGAATGCAGCCCCAGAATCGGTGTCTGCTTCAACACAGATGGGCATGGGGATGAGAGATGCCGGGTGGTTATGGAATATGGGGAAAAAATATGGTGACTTAAAGGAGGGCAGAGGCCCTTAAAACTTCCTTTTATAGTACATCAAAGCTGTTGATCATTGAGGAGAAAAAGCTTAAGGTGGGCTACTGGGACCTGCCGCTTTCAGCAAGAAGGCTCATTATTTTGAGGATAAGTAAAACAAGTAGCCTCATGTAAGGATGAAGCGCTCTTCAGTAGATGTTGGTTGAGTCCATATGGCTTGCAGAACATCACATTAAAGTTTGCTGACTCATTCCATGCAAGATTTAAGCAATTTTCCCAAGGAGACAATATGGCTGTCTCCATATAAATGGGAATAATTCTAGAAGGTAAACATTAGTCAGCACAGAGAATGATTTGATGAAGAGATAGAGACTTCTATGGGTAATGGGGGCAGACATAACACAGATACATGGGAAGCAGGGTGGCTAAATGCAAGTGTGTTTTAAGCCAACAAAGGTAGCAGTGGCCATGGTGGAGGAACTGGAGAGAGGGGCCACTTGTTGATAATTTATTCCTACCAGCTCTTATTGCAATAAAAAGAAACTATGTAATACCGTATGTGGTTAAAAATTTGAAACTAATAAGATAAAGGAGGATGATGGTGAAATGGGGGGAAGAAAATAAGATGGTATCAGTATATAAAAATGCACGCTATGAGATACTGTCTCCGCACTGTTCAATATAGTAGCCCTTAACCCCATGGAGCTGTTGGGCACTTGTAAGGTGCTGAGTCCACATTGAGATGTGCTGTTAGGGTTAGGTATGCACACTGGATTTCAAAGACTAATATGAAAAAATGTAAACTATATCATTGATAATTTTTATGTAGATTACATGTTAAAATTATGATACCTTGGCTACACTGGGTTAAATAGAATATAGTTTAAAATCAGTTTCACCTGTTTCTTTTCACTTTTTTAATGTGGCTACTAGAAAGTTATAAATTACATAGTGGCTCTCATTTGTGGTTCACATTGTATTTCTGTTGGACAGGGCTGTTCGCTACCATGGCCTGTACCAGTGGTTCTCAAAGGGGGATGATTTTGCCCCCGAGAAGACAGTTGGTAATGTCTGAAAACATTTTTGGTTGCCACTGCTGGAGGGGAGGGATGCTTCTAGAAGCCCTCTAGTGGGTAGAGGCCAGGGATGTGGTCAAACATTCTATGATGCACAGGAAAGCCTCCGCCATCAAGTATTATCCAAATGTCAATATTGCCAAGGCTGAGAAACTCCACTTTACACCATAGATATAGGGTACTGGGAGCCCAATATGGAGGTATAGTATTAACCTAAGTGTGAGGGTGTAAGCATCTTCTCTAGAGTGTAGACAGTGGGACCCATAATAACACCCTTCACTGCTCAACTGCATGTCAACAGGCAGTACAGCAAGCACCTGATATTGATGTTATTTAATTCCCATGAGAGCACTATTGCGGTAGGCAGCATCTCCATTTTGAATCTAAGTCAGCTGATTCCAGCTTATGGGCTTTATCGCCCACAGAGATAAGAACTGTAACTACTTCAAGTCTCTTGAGTCCATTTATTTCTTTCCATTGTAAGGGCCTACTATCCTAGATAAGGCCACCTAACTAGTCTCTAGTCTTGACCACTTCAGTCCTCCAGTTCTTTCTCCATGTCACAGTGATCTTTCCAAAAATCCAAAACCTTTCAATATTTCTATAATTACTCTCAGGATGCAGCCCACATTCTTTATCATAGTCTAGAAACTATTACTTGGTTTCAACACATTTTTGTCAAGGATACACAATGTATTTTGGACAAAATATGGTAAGAATCACAAAATGACTGCAAGATGATGCATGTTAATGGCTGTCACTACTAGAGATGCATCTTGAAGACAGGATTGGTGACCTTTCTCTCTGTAAACAAAGACTTTTAGGGCAGTATTTTGCTTATGTGGGACCTGTGAACATTTGGGTAAAACATGTTTATGCAATTTAAATGATTATCAAACCAACAATAAGTTTATTGAAATGAGAAGATTTTAATTTGGGAATTTGATAGGAAGATACATGTTGTTTGTTATACTATAAATCTACAAATGATCAATTCTTTGGAGGGAGAGGTTCTGATTTGTATCTTTTTCTGTCTCCAGCAATAACGAGTATAAAGTAGGTTTTGATAGTTCCACCTTAATTAAATTACAAACTTTGTGATGATCCTGAAATGTGTATTTTGAATAAGGGATCTTAAGTGCCACCTAGTGGCAATGAGGGGATATATTACACATTACATTACAAAATGTATTAGTTTTGAAATTATAAAGGATCTTAAGTGCCACCTAGTGGGAGTAAAGGATTATATTACACAACATACTACAAAATAGAGCCGTTTTGAAAATGTAAATGGTCTTAAGTGCCACCTAGTGGAAATGAGGGGATATATTACACTTATTTTAAAATATGTTACTGAAAAGTTGTCCCCTTCTCGGTGGTAGCCCCAGTATGACTTAAACGCTGTGAATACAAAAATGGTATCTCCTTAAAATTATGCATTCTCATCTTCTTTATTCAGTTTACCTGTCTGTCACACTGCCCTCTGGACATCTAATTTTTTAAAAAAGAAATTTTTTGTATGAGTTGAAACAGATGAATCCTGAAATCTGAGTGAAATTTTGAAACTGCAAGTTTGTTTCTCTCTTATGTAAGAGTCCAATGAGGATATTTGGTGGACAGCCTTCCTTGTAGTGACTTGGGGATCCATGCTCCTCCCATCTTGTAGTTCAGCCAGACTTTAGGGCAGAGATCAGCAAACTGTTTCTGTTAATGGCCAGATGGGAAATATTTTAGGCTTTGTGGACTTTCTGGTCTGTGTCAAAACTACTCAGCTTTGCCTTTGTAGTGTGAAAGCAGCTGTATACAATATGTAAATGAATGAGTGTGGCTGTATTCCAATAAAAGTTTATCTTTAATGCTGAGATTGGAATTTGATAGGTTTTTCATGAAATAGTCTTCTTTTTAATTTTTCTTCAACCATAAAAATGTAAAAAACATGATTAGCTCACAGGCAGTGCAAAACCAGTTTGTTAACACTTGCCCTAGGGCTTTGGAATCCTTACTTCCAGCCAGAGGCTGGAGAAAGGATCTTGCATGGGAAGTTTTTTTCTAGGCCAGCCTGTAATCAGTCAAGCACCATCCCATTGGCCAGAACACAGTCACATGATCACAGACAGGGTGGAGAGGGAATAGGTTTTGGTGAACACATAGCAGTGTACCCACAGTCTCTAACACAGTCCACCCTGTTACTTTAAAAATAAAATTTTGTTATTCATTCATTTATTCTTTATCAGTTGATGCCATTTCTTAGCCATGTTCCCTTGGTATTTATCATTACACGCACATGTTCGTGAACATATCCACTTTAAGACCTTGTCTTTAAACTCGGTACGTATGTATAAAGTGATTATGATGAACATAAGAAATGGCATCAGTTAATAATGAATGAATGGAATTGTATTTTTAAAGAAATACCATGAACTGTATTAGAGATTGTGGCTACAGTGTTGTGTGTTCAACAAATCTTTCTCTAACCTCCACCCACATGGTTGAAAACAAAGGAGACTTCGAACCCCAGCTCAGTGTAGCACCAATGCCTCAATAGCATCCTTGGAGCAGAGCTCCTCAAATGAGAATGTGCATGTAATTGTCTGGTAAATATTACCAGCACAATGGGGCCTGAGCTTCAGAATTTTTAATACTGGTTATGCTGATGTTGCTGGACTGTGGAACACACTTTGAGTTGTAAGAATAAGTGTACTGAGCTAATAAGAGAAACCACGTTTCTTCATCTCTGTAATCACCGATAGTTTTGACTGTAATAGCTGGGACCCCAGGCAGCTGTCTGGATTTTGGAGAAAATGAGGATATAAAGGGAATGTGAACTGAAGCTCAAAGCTTGGGATAGCTATGGATTATAATAAATTTTAAAGCAACAACTTGCAAACAAATGGGTATTATGTATCTGATGCAGTTCAGGTTTTAAAAATAAATCTTACAGCCAAAAAAAAAAAGAACCCCCTGTCATTAATCTAGGTTGACAAACATGAAAGAAAAGTTTAGGAAAGAAAGGAAACAGAGAGATGGGGAAGAGGGGTAAGGTGAGTGGGTGGGTGGAGGAATGTCTTAGATTGACTAGAGAAATGGGTTTTGCTTCATGGGATTTTTTCATATTTCCAGGAGAGGGCAGCCAGTCCCCACTCTAAAAACAATGTAAACTTTTACATTTGCATCTACCATTTTCAGAAAGTATTGTGATATACAGTGATTTTTTAAAAAACTTACTTCTGTCCATTCTATTAACCATAATTGGAAGCTCAATATATACGAAGGGCATTAAACTAAGAGTCAAACATCTGAATTTGGAAGGTCCTTTTTCCTAGATCTTAGCAATTCTGTACCTGCAGGCAAGTTGATGAACATCCTAGATTTTTTATATGTAAATTAGATGCAGTAAGACTAGATCCGCCTCCTGGAAGGATGGCAGATAATTAATGAATATTGTTTGTGAAAGCCCTGTATGAATATATTAATTCATTCATCTATCCATTCACTTGTTCAGTCACACATTTAAGCCTTAACGTGTTGCAGTGCTGGATGTCGAAATACAAAATGACCGTCACACAGATTCTGCCTTCAAACAACCTATTGCTAACTGAAGAAAAATAGTATGATTATGCTATAATTGAACTGCAAAGTGACAGTCTAATAAGGCTTGGTAGGAGCACCCTCTACTGACAACCCTGACCTGCTGTCCTTTTCTCCCAGTACTTGGCACTTCACTCATTCCATTCCAGTTACATAGGCCTCCCCCAGCTGTTCCTCAGACTCAACAAGTTCTCTATGTTTTGGGGAATTTGAATTTCGTTTTCTTGCCTGAAGTGTTTTTCCCTTAGTTATCCACATGGCTCATGCTCAAGGATTTTTAAAAAAAGATCTCTGCTCCCTTGTACAATTCTTACAGAGGCCACTCAGAGTACATTATCTAAAATAGCACCTCAGTTACTCTCTATTTCACCCTCTCTCAGTCTGCAAATTAAGATGTCATTCCCTAAGGCATCCATTGTATGCAATGAATTAACTTCTCTCGTATGTATCGAGAATGGTAATAGCTGTGCATCATCCTTGGGAAAATTGAGAATATAGTCTGTCAAAGTACTTTCTGTGTTCTGTGGTTTAGATGAAGATAGCAAGTTGAGTCCGTGTTTTACTTTGCTTTATAACAGTTTTCACTTACCAAACACAATATTATGAATATATTTAATTTGTTTTTCTCTCCTTTCTCACCATTAGAACACAAACTCTAAAAAGGTAGGAACCATGGTTTGTTCAATGTTGTATCTGTAGCACCTACACCACCATGTGCCATCTCCAGCTTGGCATATTGTAGGGTAGGCAATACACTTTTGTTGGATGGATGAGTGTGAATGACGAATGAATGGATGAATGAATGTTGAGAATGCACTCAAGAGGTAACTCTTGATCTGGGTCTTGTAAGATCAGCAGAATTTTCCTTGGTAGATGGGGATGGGAAAGGTATTCAGACACAGTATGGTTTAATGCCACAGTCTTGTAAACTTGAGAGAGCCATATCCAGGTAAGGCAGTGGCTTTCTGAAGTGGCAAATCCATACCTATTGTAGTTTTCCTGATTTTTGTCCTTCTTTGGAGAGTATTATACACTGCATATACATTGTATTATTCACAATATATTTTTGACAGAAATAAGTTGTATTTCCTGAGCAGACACCTCCACTTGTTGATGGCCTGTGTACTAAGGAAAATACAGATTTTAACATTAGCCTAAATACCACATAATTAGAAATTTAATCTACTGGGGAAAATATCATTAAATTTTCATACTGCATATATTACTTTGACTTATCAGAGTTATTCTTCTCTTATTAATAAAAGAACAAGGTGTCAGTTTACTCACTGATTAAAATAATCATATTATTCCATTTCAAGAGCCTATGTTTTCAATAGTGAAATGCATGTTTAATGATCTTTAGATCCATGCTACTCAAAGTATGGTCCCCGGACCAGTGCCAATTCTTAGATAGTCCTTGCAGGTCTGTAAGGATATATGCAAATCAAGCAAGAGTAAACATTTAGAAACTTTTATAGAAATTTGGCACCATAATTTTATATCTATTGAACCTAATTTTTAAAACTGGGCTTGTGTTTCATGTGCTTCCCTCCACCCCTTTTTAGTAATTTATTTTATTTTTATTACATTTTACAAAAGTATGATTCTGCAATGGATTGGAAACAAACAAGCAAACCTTGTCTTTCAATACAGGTCATTTGAGAAACACTGCTCTAGAGCATGATTCGTGCACTGCCTTTAGTCCCACAAAGCCTAAACTATAGGGAACACTGAGAATTTAGCTTGGAGTCGAACTGACCTTAAACCAGGTGACAGTGCCTGTTAATAGTGCTGATAGCTGGCATTTATCAAGCACTTACTATGTTCCAGACATTACACTAAAGACTCGAGAGATTTCCCTTGCAGCAAGGGCCTGAGAAAAGTAAAAGTAGATGGGGGAGAGGGAGATTGTGTGTGTGACATCAGAAGCACACACAGATGTTTCTTGCTCTATCCAACTTCTTTCAGGGATAGAAAGTCTAGAATGACAACCACTCCACTGACAGTTACACTGATTTGACATCCATTTTCTTTTATTTCTGGGTTGGTTTTAGTAATGTTTTGGTAATATAAGCCATTAAGCTTACACATGGGTACAGGAAAGGCTGAGTTTCGGGTTGTTTGTTTATGCATGCATGGATGCCTTGGAGACCTGGTGGAGAACCCAAAAGCTTAATAGCGGCCTTTGCTTAAGGAAACCTGGCCTACTTCACCCAGGGGCAAAGCTATTAGTGTCCAGAATCTGGGCCCTGTTGCATAAAGATCTTGTTGTAACTGGTTCAATTCTAGGAGGGCTGGGGAAATATGTTTTTTAGAAGCCTTGAAATTTACAACCTCATTGTCCATTGTGGTCTTTTCAAAGCATTCAAAGAATCTGCATTGATAACAGTCTGTGGATTAAAAGGACAAGCAACCTTTGCTATAGTTTCCTGCATTTGGAAACCCTGTGGACCCTGCTAGGCAACCCTTTTGGTAAAAGGTAGGCAGCGAAATGCAAGAATCGGTAGAATCTACACAGCATCTGGGCTAAATCAGAAGTATGCCAGAATAAAAGGGGAATATATAACATATGCCCTTGGTAAGCTGGACTTCACTAGCAGGGCTTCATCTCCCTCTGTGCTGAAAGGTTAGCAAATATTTTATCTAAACGTGCCACAGAAAAGCACCATAGGTATTGTCTATTGGTAGAATAAATAGTTCAATCAATAGCTCAGTGTAGTTTAAGTTGAATTTAATAAGACTTTGGAAGCAGATGGACTAAAAGAAACACAGACACACACAGAATTTGGGGCCCTTGTTCTGTAGCGATTGCTCATAAAAGAATGTGAATCTTTAGACTACGTTTCCTAAAAGGAATCCAGCCATACTTATCGAAAATTTTAATGGAATTTATAAAAACTGAACTGAAACTTGTATCCACAAGTCCTTAAGCCTTTTGACCACCTCTGTGATTAGGCATATTCAGCTAATGTAACTAATTGCCAGATTTAGCAAATCACTCAGTTACATTTGAATTTCAGAAAAACAAATATTTTTACAGTATATTCCATGTGGTATTTATAAGTAGATCCCATGCAATGCTTTGAAAAGACCATAATGCAAAATAAGGTTGAAAATTCCAGGGTTTCTAAAATCATGTTTTCCCCAACCCATCTAGAACCATGCAATATTTGGGACATATTTATGCTAAAAATATTCATTTATTATCTGAAAGTCAAATTTAACTGAGTGACCTGTATTCTGTCTGGCAACCCTAATCTAGTGTCATTGATAAAAAGATGTGGGAACAGATAAAAAAGATGCAGCAGACAATTGGTTAATTCTTTTTTCTTTTCTTTTCTTTTTATTTTTTGAGATGGAATCTCGCTCTGTCGCCCAGGCTGGAGTGCAGTGGCACAATCTTGGCTCACTGCAACCTCCACCTCCCGGGTTCAAGCAATTCTCCTGCCTCAGCCTTCCAAGTAGCTGGTACTATAGGCGTGTGCCACCACACCCGGCTAATTTTTGTATTTTTAATAGAGACAAGGTTTCGCCATGTTGCCCAGGCTGGTCTCCAACTCCTGACCTTGTGATCCACCCATCTCAGCCTCCCAAAGTGCTGGGATTACAAGTGTGAGCCACTGTGCCTGGCAACAATTGGTTAATTCGTATTTGAAATCTTTATACATATATCTCACTTGAACTTTACAACACTCATAGAAGAAGGATATATTAAAAAGCTTGTTTTACAGATATGGAAACTCAGGCTTGAAGAAGTTAAGTCATTTGTCTAGGTTCAAACAGCTACTTGAGTCAGAGAGGTAAGATTCAAGATCAAATTTAACTCTGGAGCCTAGACACTTAAACATATCAGTGTAATCTTAAGTGACATTTAATAATACTTTGGAAGCAGATGGACTAAAAGACACACACACACACACACACACACACACACACACACACACACACACACTCCTCATATTAGCAAAGCATCATTAGGACTAATTCTCCTTTAGTGTTTTCCAACCATTATATCAATGGTTTCTAAACTTTTAAATTATGGACACCTCTCCTCCATTTTAACCTCTCATAGTTAGAATTACTAAGCATGGTAATTTTAGTTGTCTGATATAATATAATGACAGAAATTAGCAAATTAATTTGTCAATCAAAATGAATTCATATATAATTTTCACAACACAAGTAGCATCTAACAGCATATGAAAGACAGTAAAACATACCTTCAGATAAATTATTTATTCTAGAAATGATGTTGAGTGTGCAAATAGATTGGAGGATTCCCTTATATAATTTGAGGCTCTCCCACTACCACCTCAAAGCAGTCATGTCCCACAAGTTGGGAATCTATAAATTAGAGAAATTAAATCTTAGAGATAGACCCAAGATGAATGAAATTTCTTTCCCTGAATGTAGAAATGAACCCAAAGGAAAACAACTACTGAAGCTGGGGAGAAATGCAAGGTGAGGGGAGGGGAGGGTCAGTGATTTAATTCTCAGCCACAGCAGGTGCTTCTGGTGTCCTGCCTGCTTCAGCCTGAAGGCTTTATACTACAAACATTGGCAACTTTTGACTTGATGGCTTTCTCTGCCACCTCTCCCTACTCATGTACAGCTGACAGTAGGACAGCAGGGAAGTCTGGAAGTGGTTACACCTAGAAAGCAACACTTAACACAACCAGCTTCCTTGCCCTTTGAGTGGGATGACTCAGAGTGAAGCTTTACCCAATCTCCCAGAGGCCCCCAGAAGGACTAAGTCCCAGGTGCCCACAGTAGTCACCAGCTCATTAATGCATTTGAATTGGTCACCTTCCCTTCCTCGTCTCACTTTCATCCTTTCCCAGTGCTTCCTGGGATCTTCTCCCAATTAAACTGCTTGCATGCAAATTCTTATCTCACTCTCTGCTTCTGGGAGAACTCAATGTTAAGAAATGGACTAAGGAATTTTATATTTTTGAACCCTGCCATAGGTATCAATACCAGAAAAGATTAGCTCTCTGTTACTTTTCTGATCCTCAGTGCCTTGAGAATTAGTCCAGCCTTTTGAGGATAAGCAGGTTGGTGAGCCTGGTTAATATCAGTTCTTCATGGAGGGGCCCATGTGGTTACTAACAACATGGGTAAATAGAGCCTGACGTAAATTAATTATGCTTACGTAGATTTTTTCCTCTGTAAATTTTGGTCATTATAAATAAAGAATTGATAGGTTTTTGTACACAGTACATGGTGAATAACTGCTGTCCTTCAGTGCTCCACTCCTAGCATCTTTATTTGGGCATTTTCTTTGGACTGAACTATAAAATATAAATTAGATTAATTTATTGGATGAGAAAGTTGTGCAATGATAAAGCAGAACAATGTATTCACTCAGTCTTATGCCAGGCAGTATGGGGTAGTAAAAGCAGAATTTAAATGGGAGTTGGGAGCCTAATTTCTGCATGGTGTGTAACACCTCTGAGTCTTATTTTCCTTATGAATCAAATGAACTCTAATAATCCATTCACCAACAAGTGTCTATGATCTTTTCCACCAATAAAAGTCCCAGTGTCAATTGCAGAGTTGAAAAGGATTGTAGATTATGGGCAGACTTCAACATCTCAAGATTTCCTGCTCAACCACCCCTGGAAAGAGATCATGCATGCAGTATTGTGAATACCTCTGAAGATGAGTAAGATGAGTATATGGTAAGATAGGCTCTTCAGGGGACACTTGACAATGTCTGGAGACATTTTTGGTTGCCAACAACCGGAGTCAGGGAAGATGCTAGTGGCATTAGTAGATAGGGATGCCTCTAAACATCTTACAATGCAGGGGTCCCCAATCCTCTGGTCATGGACCAGTACCGGTACATGGCCTGTTAGGAATCAGGCTGTACAGCAGGAAATGAGTGATGGACATATGAGTGAAACTTCATCTGCATTTACAGCAGCTCCCCATCACTTGTATTACCGCTTGAGCTCTGCCTCCCATCAAATCAGCAGCGGCATTAGATTCTCTTAGGAGCATGAACCCTATTGTGAACTGTGCATGCAGGGGAGCTAGGTGGCACATGCCTTATGAGACTCTAATACCTGATGATCTGTCACTGTCTCCCATCATCCCCAGATGGGACCATCTACAAGCTCAGGGCTCCTACTGATTCTACATTACGGTGAGTTGTATAATTATTTTATTATATATTACAATGGAATAATAGAAATAAGGTGCACATTAAATGTAATGCGCTTGAATCATCCAGAAACCATCCTCCTCCCCTCCGGTCCTTGGAAAAATTGTCTTCTATGAAACCGCTCCCTGGTGCCAAGAAGGTTGGGGACTGCTGCTATAGTGCACAGAACGGTCCCCCAAAGACCAAGAATTATCCAGTCCCAAATGTCATTGGTGCTAAGGTTAGAATAAGACAACAAATAGACCAAAGCATCCAATGGCTGAAAGCAATAGAAATTTAATTTTTGCATCCATAACAATCTAGGGTAGTTCAAGCTAGACCAGGGTGGGGTTGTGGGAGTGGGCAGGTAGACCCAGCTCTGCTCTGTGAGAGGATATCAACTGATGGCATGATTGTCACTTTCAGTATATTGTTTCCACAGCTATACCAGGCTCCCTCCATTTCAGCCAGCTGAAATAGGGAAATGGTATGGAGGAACATGTATAGGAGGTTTATCTGGGTAAAATCCGGCAATAACACACACGTCTTCCTCTCATGTTCCATTGACTAGAAATCAGTCAATGCAAGGCAGGCTAGGAAATACAGTGTGGACTAATCCATTACTCAGAAAGAGGAGGAAAGAATATTCTGCCTACTAGTTAGCAATCTCTGCCCTAATGTGCAACTACATCACTTCTTTTATTATAATAATAAGAGAGATAATAGCTTCAGGTTTTGAGTACTTGTATTTTATGAATTTGTATATATTTTGCGCATGTTAACTCAATTTTCCCAGTACCCTAATAAGCTACATTCTGTTATTAGCTCCATTTTACATTTTAGGAAACCAAGGCATGAATGGTTAAATAATTTCTCTAAAATACACAATAAGTGTCAGAGCCTGCTTATAAACCCAGACTGTATGATGCTAAAACCTGAGTTCTACCCATTATACCGCCATTCCTGTTTTCTCCTTGAGTACCGTGGTTGTTTCTACTATTGAACCCAAATCTGCCTTTCCACACCCTCCCCCTCCACTTGCTGGTTCTACTTTTGTTATTGGGGAGAAACAGGACAATCTTACTTAGCGTTTTCAATATAGACAACTAGAGGCATAGGTGGAAATCAAGGTAATGGCCATGGGGGCTGGAAAGAAACAGGCAGATGTAAGAGATGCAGACTCCATAGGAGAATTCAATGGCCTCGAATTTTTTTCTAAGGTAACTGGAATTCTCTAACTGTTAAAGAAAATTGATTCTCACATTGATTTTGTATCCTGAGACTTTGCTGAAGTTGCTTATCAGCTTAAGGAGATTTTGGGCTGAGACGATGGGATATTCTAGATATACAATCATGTCATCTGCAAACAGGGACAATTTGACTTCCTCTTTTCCTAATTGAATACCCTTTATTTCTTTCTCCTGCCTGATTGCCCTGGCCAGAACTTCCAACACTATGTTGAATAGGAGTGGTGAGAGAGGGCATCCCTGTCTTGTGCCAGTTTTCAAAGGGAATGCTTCCAGTTTTTGCCCATTCACTATGATATTGGCTGTGGGTTTGTCATAAATAGCTCTTATTATTTTGAGATATGTCCCATCAATACCTAATTTATTGAGAGTTTTTAGCATGAAGGGCTGTTGAATTTTGTCAAAGGCCTTTTCTGCATCTATTGAAATAATGATGTGGTTTTTGTCTTTGGTTCTGTTTATATGCTGGATTATATTTATTGATTTGTGTATGTTGAACCAGCCTTGCATCCCAGGGATGAAGCCCACTTGATCATGGTGGAGAAGCTTCTTGATGTGCTGCTGGATTCTGTTTGCCAGTATTTTATTGAGGATTTTTGCATCGATGTTCATCAGGGATATTGGTCTAAAATTCTGTTTTTTGTTGTGTCTCTGCCCGGCTTTGGTTTCAGGATGATGCTGGCCTCATAAAATGAGTTAGGGAGGATTCCCTGTTTTTCTATTGATTGGAATAGTTTCAGAAGGAATGGTACCAGCTCCTCCTTGTACCTCTGGTAGAATTCGGCTGTGAATCCATCTTGTCCTGGACTTTTTTTGGTTGGTAAGCTATTAATTATTGCCTCAATTTCAGAGCCTGTTATTGGTCTATTCAGAGATTCAACTTCTCATGGATTAGTCTTAGGAGGGTGTATGTGCCCAGGAATTTATCCATTTCTTCCAGATTTTCTAGTTTATTTGCATAGAGGTGTTTATAGTATTCTCTGATGGTAGTTTGTATTTCTGTGGGATCGGTGGTGATATCCCCTTTATCATTTTTTATTGCGTCTATTTGATTCTTCTCTCTTTTCTTCTTTATTAGTCTTGCTAGCGGTCTATCGATTTTGTTGATCTTTTCAAAAAACCAGCTCCTGGATTCGTTGATTTTTTGAAGGGTTTTTTGTGTCTCTATCTCCTTCAGTTCTGCTCTGATCTTAGTTATTTCTTGCCTTCTGCTAGCTTTTGAATGTGTTTGCTCTTGCTTCTCTAGTTCTTTTAATTGTGACGTTAGGGTGTCAATTTTAGATCTTTCCTGCTTTCTCTTGTGGGCATTTAGTGCTATAAATTTCCCTCTACACACTGCTTTAAATGTGTCCCAGAGATTCCGCTATGTTGTGTCTTTGTTCTCGTTGGTTTCAAAGAACATCTTTATTTCTGCCTTCATTTCGTTATGTACCCAGTAGTCATTAAGGAGCAGATTGTTCAGTTTCCATGTAGTTGGGCGGTTTTGAGTGAGTTTCTTAATCCTGAGTTCTAGTTTGATTGCACCTTCAGCTGATAAGCAACTTCAGCAAAGTCTCAGGATACAAAATCGACGTGCAAAAATCACAAGCATTCTTATACACCAATAACAGAGAAACAGAGAGCCAAATCATGAGTGAACTCCCATTCAGAATTGCTTCAAAGAGAATAAAATACCTAGGAATCCAACTTACAAGGGACGTGAAGGACCTCTTCAAGGAGAACCACAAACCACTGCTCAATGAAATAAAAGAGGATACAAAGAAATGGAAGAACATTCCATGCTCATGGGTAGGAAGAATCAATATCATGAAAATGGCCATACTGCCCAAGGTAATTTATAGATACAGTGCCATCCCCATCAAGCTACCAATGCCTTTCTTCACAGAATTGGAAAAAACTACTTTAAAGTTCATATGGAACCAAAAAAGAGCCCACATCGCTAAGTCAATCCTAAGCCAAAAGAACAAAGCTGGAGGCATCACGCTACCTGACTTCAAACTACACTATAAGGCTACAGTAACCAAAACAGCATGGTACTGATACCAAAACAGAGATACAGACCAATGGAACAGAACAGAGCCCTCAGAAATAATACCACACATCTACAACTATCTGATCTTTGACTAACCTGACAAAAACAGGAAATGGGGAAAGGATTCACTATTCAACAAATGGTGCTGGGAAAACTGGCTAGCCATTTGTAGAAAGCTGAAACTGGGTCCCTTCCTTACACCTTATAAAAAATCAATTCAAGATGGATGAAAGACTTAAATGTTAGACCTAAAACCATAAAAACCCTAGAAGAAAACCTAGGTAATACCATTCAGGACATAGGCATGGGCAAGGACTTCATGTCTAAAACACCAAAAGCAATGGCAACAGAAGCCAAAATTGACAAATGGGATCTAATTAAACTAAAGAACTTCTGCCCAGCAAAAGAAAATACTATCAGAGTGAACAGGCAACCTACAGAATGGGAGAAAATTTTTGCAATCTACTCATCTGACAAAGGGCTAATATCCAGAATCTACAAAGAACTCAAACAAATTTACAAGAAAAAAACAACCCCATCAACAAGTGGGTGAAGGATATGAACAGACACTTCTCAAAAGAAGACATTTATGCAGTCAACAGACACATGACAAAATGCTCATCATCACTGGCCATCAGAGAAATGCAAATCAAAACTGCAATGAGATACCATCTCACACCAGTTAGAATGGCGATCATTCAAAAGTCAGGAAACAACAGGTGCTGGAGAGGATGTGGAGAAATAGGAACACTTTTACACCGTTGTTGGGACTGTAAACTAGTTCAACCACTGTGGAAGTCAGTGTGGCGATTCCTCAGGGATCTAGAAGTAGAAATACCATTTAACCCAGCCATTGCATTACTGGGTATATACCCAGAGGATTATAAATCATGCTGCTATAAAGACACATGCATACGTATGTTTATTGTGGCGCTATTCTCAATAGGAAAGACTTGGAACCAACCCAAATGTCCAACAATGATAGACTGGATTAAGAAAATGTGGCACATATACACCATGGAATACTATGCAGTCATAAAAACTGATGAGTTCATGTCCTTTGTAGGGACATGGATGAAGCTGGAAACCATCATTCTCAGCAAACTATCGCAAGGACAAAAAACCAAACACTGCGTGTTCTCACTCATAGGTCGAAATTGAACAATGAGAACACTTGGACACAGGAAGGGGAACATCACACACTGGGGCCTGTTGTGGGGTGGGGGAAGGGGGAGGGATAGCATTAGGAGATATACCTAATGTTAAATGACAAGTTACTGGGTGCAGCACACCAACATGGCACATGTATACATATGTAACAAACCTGCACATTGTGCACATGTACCCTAGAACTTAAAGTAATATATATATATATATATATATATATATATATATATATATATATATAAAATCAATTCTCTAACTGTTAAAGAACATTGGCCCTTTGTCAGATGAGAAGGTTGTGAAAATTTTCTCCCATGTTGTAGGTTGCCTGTTCACTCTGATGGTAGTTTCTTTTGCTGTGCAGAAGCTCTTTAGTTTAATTAGATCCCATTTGTCAATTTTGGCTTTTGTTGCCATTGCTTTTGGTGTTTTGGACATGAAGTCCTTGCCCACGCCTATGTCCTGAATGGTAATGCCTAGGTTTTCTTCTAGGGTTTTTATGGTTTTAGGTCTAACGTTTAAATCTTTAATCCATCTTGAATTGATTTTTGTGTAAGGTGTAAGGAAGGGGTCCAGTTTCAGCTTTCTACATATGGCTAGCCAGTTTTCCCAGCACCATTTATTAAATAGGGAATCCTTTCCCCATTGCTTGTTTTTCTCAGGTTTGTCAAAGATCAGATAGTTGTAGGTAAGCAGTGTTATTTCTGAGGGCTCTGTTCTGTTCCATTGATCTATATCTCTGTTTTGGTACCAGTACCATGCTGTTTTGGTTACTGTAGCCTTGTAGTATAGTTTGAAGTTAGGTAGTGTGATGCCTCCAGCTTTGTTCTTTTGGCTTAGGATTGACTTGGCCAGAATCTACAATGAACTCAATCAAATTTACAAGAAAAAAACAACCCCATCAAAAAGTGGGCGAAGGACATGAACAGACACTTCTCAAAAGAAGACATTTATGCAGCCAAAAAACACATGAAAAAATGCTCACCATCACTGGCCATCAGAGAAATGCAAATCAAAACCACTATGAGATATCATCTCACACCAGTTAGAATGGCAGTCATTAAAAAGTCAGGAAACAACAGGTGCTGGGGAGGATGTGGAGAAATAGGAACACTTTTACACTGTTGGTGGGACTGTAAACTAGTTCAACCATTGTGGAAGTCAGTGTGGCAATTCCTCAGGGATCTAGAACTAGAAATACCATTTGACCCAGCCATCCCATTACTGGGTATATACCCAAAGGACTATAAATCATGCTGCTATAAAGACACATGCACATGTATGTTTATTGCGGCATTATTCACAATAGCAAAGACTTGGAACCAACCCAAATGTCCAACAATGATAGACTGGATTAAGAAAATGTGGCACATATACACCATGGTATACTATGCAGCCATAAAAAATGATGAGTTCATGTCCTTTGTAGGGACATGGATGAAATTGGAAATCATCATTCTCAGTAAACTATCGCAAGAACAAAAAACCAAACACTGCATATTCTCACTCATAGGTGGGAATTGAACAATGAGATCACATGGACACAGGAAGGGGAATATCACACTCTGGGGACTGTGGTGGGGTCGGGGGAGGGGGGAGGGATAGCATTAGGAGATATACCTAATGCTAGATGAAAAGTTAGTGGGTGCAGCGCACCAGCATGGCACATGTATACATATGTAACTAACCTGCACAATGTGCACATGTACCCTAAAACTTAAAGTATAATTTAAAAAAAAAAAAAAGTGCACTGTTGCAAGGGAGGCCTTGAGGAAGAGATTTTTTTGAGGGGAGAAAGCAAAGAAACATCCCTTAGTTGGAAGGCACTGTTACTCTGATGGAGTAGACATGTGCCTTTCCAATACTTAAATTCTGACCAAGAAAGACAGTAGGTCAAAAAAAAAAAAAAAAAAGAAAAAAAAAAGAAAATTGGGCCAGGCACAGTGGCTCATGCCTGTAATTCCAGTACTTTGGGAGGCCAAGGCAGGAAAATCGCTTGAAGCCAGGAGTTTGAGACCAGCCTGGGCAACATAGAAGACCCCATCTCTACGAAAAACAATTGAAAATAATAGCCAAGTGTGGTGGTATGCATCTGTAGTCACAGCTACTCGAGAGGCTGAGGCGGGAAGATCATGTGATCCCAGGAGTTCAAGGCTGCAGTGAGCTATAATCATACCACTGCACTCCAGCCTGGGTGATAGACCAAGACCCTGTCAAGGAAAAGAAAAGAAAGAAAAGAAAATTGAAGACAGGAGGACAAACTGATTTTGGTTGTGGATGAGTGCGTGGGTAAGGAAGATACTGATAATTTCAGGTTTTAAAATGTTAGGTTAAGGTATTTGGGGCTGGGATGTTGCATGATTATTTTATTTTTAATTTTTTAAAGTTTTTATTTTTATTTTAAATTCCGGGGTACATGTGCGGATGTGCAGGTTTGTTACATAGGTAAACGTGTGCCATGGTGGTTTGCTGTACCTATCAACCCATCATCTAGGTATTAAGCCCAGGATGCGTTAGTTATTTATCCTGATGCTCTCCCTCCCCCAACCCCACCACCTGACAGGCCCCAGTGTGTGTTGTTCCCCTCCCTGTGTCCACGTGTTCTCATTGTTCAGCTCCTACTTATAAGTGAGAACATACAGTGTTTGGTTTTCTGTTGCTGTGTTAGTTTGCTGTGGATAGTGACTTCCAGCTCCAGTTCCATCCATGTGCCTGCAAAGGACATGATCCATTTATCACAAACCTACAGCCAATATCATACTGCTTGATGATTTTAAACCAAACACATAGGATTAAAGTTCAGGAGAGAGATGAGGGCTAAAGATAACCATTTTAACATTCTCTTAATAGACATGACAGTTGAACCTATGGAAGTGGAAAGGATTCATGATAGAGAACAGTGTGCACGAGAAGATAAGATTAAAAGCAGAAATTAGTAATGCCAGTTGTTTTATTGGCTCTGATTCCTCACCTACCCTCGCATCCACACCCTTGTAGAATTTGAAGTTCCATGCACAAAAAGGGGAGAGTACGTAATACGCTGCCCCCTGATGTTTAGATCTTTGACTTGCTTTGGCCAATAGATAAGGCAGTAGTGACAGTGTGCCAGTTCCTAGCCTAAGCTTAAGATATTTTGCATGTGTCTGTTTGTTGTCTTGAGCCTCTGCCAAGAAGGTCATGCCTGGGCTAACCAACTTGTCTTGGGTAAAGGATGAATGACATGTGAAGCAGAGCCCAGCCTACATTAGCCAGCCTCAGTCTACCTAGACACTCATGAGCTACATCAATGCCTCTTGTCATATTGTTATGGGCCTCTGAGATTTCATTATTTTTGTGATTGTTATTATTGTTATGCAGCATGGATTTTGAGTTCTGGAGAGAGGCTCGCGGATAGATATAGAAGATTATTTTCCAAGAAACAGTAGCGGAAGCTGTGAAAGTGAATAGGGGCCTTGAAGGAGAATACAACCTGAGAATGCCTACATTTACAGTTTTGGAGGAAGTGTGGAGATGACAGAGAAGGAGGCTGGAGTCTAGAAGGAGAAGACAGGGTTAGCACAGCCTTTAGATTTGGAAAAATATTTGCATAATCATATCTTTACCATTTACTAGCAATGTGACCTTGAGCAAAATATGTTTTAAAAACATACAAAATATGTTTCAAAAGAAATATCAATAAAACTGAAACATTAAACTCCCAAGTCCTCAGTTTTTTCATCTGCAAAATGGAGGAATGAGGACCTATGTTGAGTATTGCTACAACGAGTAAGTAAACTTATCACGGTATGTGTTAAATCTAATAGAATGCACAGTAAATGTTAGCTATTCTCTAAGAAACTCAATAGTTATGATAGCTAAAATGTTGCATACATACTTGGTGAGATATTGAAAATATATTTTTAGAAGAAAAAGGATGCATCTCAAAAGAGAAGAACAAAATGAAACCAAAGGCTGGGGAGAGGGAGGAATTGGGAGTTGTTTAATGGGAATAGAGTTTCAGTTTAGGAAGATGAAAAAGTTCTGGAGATAGACGATGATGATGGTTGCACAACAATGTGGAAGTACTTAACGCTACTGAACTGTACACTTAAAAATGGTTAAAATGGCAAATTTTATATTATGTATATGTTACCACAATAAAAGAAATAAAAGAGAAAACATTTGAATGAAAGGAAACTTACAAAATGTAATTTTAAAAAATACTTAGTAACTAACTTTTCGACTGACAAGTATTAGATCAGAGATATAATAAGTGCTCAATCGCTGTTTTTGTAAATAAAAACATGGTAGCAGAGAGAGTTCCCCCAGAAACAAGGTTAGGAGTAGCCACAGTAGATTGACAGGAGACCTTGATGGCCTATCTCTACTCATAGCCAATTAACTTTAATAGGAAAATTGTTGATTTTCATTTGGGATATCACGTTTGGGGGTGAAACACCCCTGGGGGGTGGTCTGGCAATGCAGAGGTTCATGGGGGCTTTTGACTCCATTTTAGTAATTTAGTCTTCACTTTTTGTTTTAGAAATACCAATAACATTTCATAAATCATGTGAGGTTTTGAGATAAAGCTCAACTAAATTTTAGGGAATGTTTTGTGCAAATTGTTTACTGTTTCTGAAAAGGACATTTCTTTCATTACTAATTTGTATGAATCATTTTGTAATAAACAAGATGAGTTTGTGCCCACGACAATGACACATCTAGTTCTTTTAATAAAAAATATGTTTTAGAAGAAAAATAAATAAAAATGAAACATTAAGGAGGCAGATGTCCAAAAACATATTTTAAATGGTATAAATTTCCATGGCCTATAGGTTTTTAGCCAAGCGCAGAAATTTGGCCAAGATTATTGAGGGAAAGCTTTGGTTGTTAAAAAAGGGGGAGGTATAGTTATGTGCTCCAGTAAGTATATAATGTATAGCTGCTACTCAAACTGATAATTTTGATGAAACCAAAATAATGTTCCCTAACATGACACTGTGATTGACACAGAGCCTAGGGAATGATTGCTTCAGGACGCAACTTTTCCTTCTTGATAAATGTATTAGGAAAATGTTTAGGAATGATTTCACAAACTTATGTGTACCTTAGTGACTTATATACTTTTACTTTCCAAGAAAGTTCTTCCTTCTGCATGAAACACATATCCTGCTTTTAAGGAAATTATACTAGAACTGGGAAAAGTCAACAGAGAGCAATGTAAGACAATCTATCTTGGATGGCATGGCTACCACCATTCTACTTCAGGTCCATGACAGACATTACTAATTGATCACAACATACTGTTGCTGAGCCTGTGTACACCCTCGCTTTTTCAACGTTGTGCTCCAAGCAGCCATTGTCAGTTATGGTTTTTCTGTGAGATGGAACCCATTTTTCATCCCGTATTAGACCATATGGCTATGAGAATTTACAGATAGGAGAAACCAGTGAGGGTGGAATTCAAAGCCTCATGGGAATGGATAGTAGGATCAAGCACACAGAAGTAAAATGTGTGGATGAGTGTGTGTGTGTGTGTGTGTGTGTGTGTGTGTGTGCAATGCATAGACAAAGGTGAAGAGGGCAATATTAGGGAGATTCAGTTGATTTGTTGTACAGTAATTATCAAGAACTTTGGAAAGTAAAAGTGGGTCAAATCAAGAAGATACTGAAAATCACATAGAGGACTTTAAGTTTCCAATTATTCAAATAGAGAATTGTTTGATAACTAGACGAGTGAAGCCTGTGCATACCAAATAGATGAGAAATGGGATATAGTAGGCATAAGAGGCCATTGGGTCTCAAATGGAGGCAATTTGTCTTCTCAGGGGACATTTGGCAACATCTGAAGAGATTTTGGTTGTCACAGCTGGCAGGGTGTTGGGAACGGTGGGGTGGTGCGGTTCTGCTGATGCCACGGCCAGGGATACTGCTGAACATCCTATGTTCAGGATAGGATATCCCGAGAGGATATTCCCCCACGACAATGAATTATCCAGGCCAAAATATGAGTAGTGGTAAATTGAGCAATTCTGCTATAGGCTAATTGCTGTAATCTGTAACCCCAAATCTCAGTGATTTAATACAACAAAATCCATCTTGCTCATGAAAAGACAAAAGCAAGTATTTTAGGTGAGGTAGAAATTCTGGGAGTTCTCCTTCAAGAAGTCACTCAGGAATTCAGGCACTTTCCGTTATGTAAAACCACTTTTTTTTTTTTTTTTTTTTTTTTTTTGAGACAGGGTTTCACTTCGTCACCCAGGCTAGAGTACAATGGCAAAATCTTAGCTCACTGCAACCTCCACTTCCTGGGCTCAAGCAATTCTCCTGCCTCAGCCTCCTGAGTAGCTGGGACTACAGGCATGTGTCACCACCCCTGGCTATTTTTTGTATTTTTAGTAGAGATGGGGTTTTGCCATGTTGCCCAGGCTGGTCTTGAACTCCTGAGCTCAAGTGATTCGCCCTTCTTGGCCTCCCAAAATGCTGGGATTATGGGTGTAAGCCATGATGCCTGGCCTAAGCCACTGTCTTTAATATGTAGCTACCAAGGTAGGCATGGAAAGTGAAGGAGAGTGTGTTCATAGAGAAGTCGTCCTTGCTCTTACCTGCCTTGGACCAGAAGTGACCTATCAATACACTCACATTCCTTTGGAAAGAATTTGTCGCATGGTTCCACCTAGATGCAAGGTGCCTAGGAAATGTGGTTTATCTCTGTGCCCAAAGATAAAAAGAACTGGGTCTCATACGTTTCAGTCTCTCCCATACTGGGAGAGACTGGACAAATAACTCAGCTAGAAAACTATTACGGATTCAGTGCCAAGTTGTAAGCACCTGGGCAAGTGATGGCATAAGGACAGAGGGCTTAGCAAGAGACTCCATTTAACAGGTAAAACAGTGCAAGTGTCCAAAGTAAGTCAACAATGGCAAGTCTTGGATGTTACGCCTTCCAACTAACTATAATCTCTGTAAACGTGGTCTTGAGTCTTGCTGCTCTTTGAAGTCTCAACTTGCTTGGGCACAGGTTTATGACCCACAGTCCATGCAAGAAAGTATGGATATATAGAAATAAAGTAGGAAAGAACAAAATCTTGTGGGTTTTTTTGTTGGTGGTGGTTTGTTTTTGCTGGGGGGTCCTGGAGGAGGGAATGATTACTTAAGATTTCGAACATGATGAGTTTTCAGTAATGGTAGAATATTCTAAGAGCTGGGCCCTAAACCATTAGATAAGAGGGCAGTATTGCAGATGTAGTTTTGGAGGCAATCATCAGTTGAGTGGATTTCACTACTATATCCCTGGAGTCCAGTTCAGAGCCTGACATGGAATATATGGTTAATAACATTTTGTTAAATGCATAGATCAACAGGTATTTGACTAACATAAATAAGGGAAATGATACTTTTCCCTTTCATTAAAATGAAAATAAACCTGATGCTTATATATCTTTGTTTCAGTTAGCTATTGATGTGTAACAAACCATCCCAAACCTCAGAGGCTTCAAACAATAGACATTGATTATTTGCCATGTATTTATGAATCAGCCAGATGATCTGTCTGGTCTTGGCTGGGCTTTCTTATGCATGTGCAGTCAGCTGTAGGTCATGGAGAAGGCTCTGCTGATCTTGGCTACCTCTTTCATATGTTTGGAAGTCAGCAGGTCTAGGGTGGTCATGCCTGAGAAAACTGGGTTCTTTTCCATATGGTTTCTAATCTTCCATCAGATTCTCCTGGGTTTTTCTTATGGTGTGGCAAGGATCTATGAGAGAAAGTGGAAACACTCAAGATCTCTTAAGATCTAGGCTCAAAACTGAAGTACCATCTCTTATGCCACCAGATGTTAACTAAAGCAACACACAAGGCCTGCTCAGATTCATAGGTGGAGAAATAGACCCAACTCTTGATGAGAGTAG